>NC_000002.12:65417625-66042625 GCF_000001405.40 Homo sapiens | reverse complement strand
TGAGGCTCCAAGAGGTTACTAACTTGTCTAAAGTTATTACTTAGTTAGTAAGTGCAAGATCGAGAATTCACATCTAAAACTGTCTTACATCAAAATCTGCGTTCTTAAAGTTGATGAATCATCCCCTAGCAGACACTGAAACTCAAATGCCTCTAGAGGCAAGGTAAGTGATGTAAGGGGAGAGAGCTAATGAGACAATAGGGAGTAGTGAAGACATTGGTGAGCTATCAACTTATGTCTGTCTCAAGGCATAAAAGTTCACGTTTCCAAAACACTGTGTTAGCCAAATAAAATACATCCTAGGGCCAGATTCAGCTAGCAAGGCTCAGGTTTAAAGTTTAGGTGTCTTGTTTTATGTTACATTAATTTCTCAACCACAAGAATCGATAACAATCTTGCGCAGCTTGGTTTTCATCCAAAATTCAGATTTAAAATATTGGTTTCTCATGATGAGTAAGACAGAGAAGATAGCAAATGACTAAGGCTTCGTTCCTCATTTATTCACTCAAGAAATACTGATTAAGAGCCTTCTGTAGCCTAAGCTCTGAGGTTAAAGCAGTGAACATAACAGACATGGTTCCTGCCTTCTTGGAGCTTACTCAGGTCTAGTTAGTGAGTGTGGCATGGACACTTTTCAAGAGCGATACTCATTGTTTCTCAGACTTATTTCAATATTTTGCAAGACCCAAGTGTTCCAAAGGAAAAGTGGGAAGCACTTTGCCCTAAACCAGAAGATGCAAGATGGCAGCACATATGCTGCAGACATGCCTTGTTCAGCCAGCACAGTGATTGACAGAGCATTTGGAAATGTCTTTAGGAAGAGCCTGTACTCTGCTGTTGGTCTAGTGTCACCAGGCCTGCTTCAAACATTAATATTGCCTTATGGCACCTGAATGTATTTGCATGTACAGCCCCTTTTCACAACACAGAAACTCTGATGCTCTGAAATGTTCACAGTACTCAGGAAAAACTAAGAAAGAACAAAAATTGGTAATGTAAACCTTTCGGGTAGAAGTGAAGCCTAGGCAATCACTGGGAAGCAAGAAAGTGCAAGTCAAGATAGGGAAACAGCAGTGACTGCAAGCATCTCTGTGGAGTAGGAGGAAGCTGAAATGTTGTCATGGGAGAATGACTTGGGAGACAAACCCACAGGGAATAAAATGAAATCTCTGATCCACATTGCCCTGGGGTGCAGTCAAAATGGGACTCCTCAAGAATAGGATTGCCAGATAAAATACAGAATTTCCAGTGAAATTTGAATTTCAGATAACCAAGGAATACTTTTTTAGCATAAGTATGTTCCAAGTATTGCATAGGATATACTTACACTAAGAAATCATTCCTTCTTAATCTAAAGTTCAAATTTAACTAGTGCTAAGGATTTTTATTTGCTAAATCTGGCAACCCTACTCAAGGGACAACTAACCAGTGATTGGTGGCAACCTGTGGGTTTTATTTTTTTTCTTTTCATTTATTTATTTTTGTTTGAGATGGAGTCCCACTCTGTCACCCAGGCTGGAGTGCAACAGCATGATCTCGGCTCACTGCAACCTCCGCCTCCCAGGTTCAAATGATTCTCCTGCCTCAGCCTCTTGAGTAGCAGGGATTACAGGCACCCACCACCACACCTGGCTAATCTTTGTATTTTTAGTAGCGATGGGGTTTCGTCATGTAGGCCAGGCTAGTCTCGAACTCCTGACCTCAGGTGATCCACCCACCTGAGCCTCCCAAAGTGCTGAGATTACAGGCGTGAGCCACCGTGCCTGACCGAGTTTTATTTTTTCTAATGTAGAGGAAATAAACTAGAGGTCACCTCCCACTTTAGGGTCTCCATCAGTGGCCTGATTCTGGTAGTAAAGACCTCAGGCTACTGCAACCATCAGAAATGCAGGGAGGCTGAAGTCAAACCATTTGAGAGTAGAATCAGTGGCTTTAGGGCTGGAAGTGAGCCTTACAAGCCATCTAATCCCACACTCTGAAGGAATCTTACAGAAATGGCCAAAGTGGTGGCTTAGTTGTAACAAGATGGAAAAAAATCTCCACTCCAGGGCATGGACATAGTCCCCCGGATATGTATCTTGTTTCTGGACAAAGAAGACATATCCAGAGGCTGACCATACAGAACACTAGTCCCAACACTGGCCAAGAGTCAGAGGAAGAAAAAACACCTGTCAGATCACTTTCTTTCAACATCACCAAAGTTTGCTGTACTTTCTTCTAGGTGCTTGGAAAAAAGAAAAAGCTTTTCATTCATTATTGTTGTTTTGTTGTGTTTTGTTTTTTCCTGTTTGTTCATTTTGAGAGGGAGTCTCACTCTGTCACCCAGGCTGGAGTGTAGTGGCATGATCTCAGCTCACTGCAACCTCCACCTCCCAGGCTCAAGCAATCCTACCACCTCAGCTTCCCGAGTAGCTGGGACTACAGGCATGTGCCACCATGCCCAGCTAATTTTTGTATTTTTTACAGAGACAGGGTTTATGCCATGTTGCCCAGGCTGGTTTGAACTCCTAAGCTCAAGCTATCTGCTGTCTTGGCCTCCCAAAGTGCTGGGATTACAGGTATAAACCACCACCCCTGGCCTTTTTTATTCATTATTTTTAATATAAAGTATATCAAATTCTATAAAGACATATGTGTCTTTAAGGACACAATCTTCATCATTTCTTAGACCAAGTTTTACTGCCTTGGAAAATCATGGAATTGGAATGAGGACCACTGTTGCACTTTAACATTAAGTTGGGATTCACTGAAGAAAATTCTCATTATGGTGATCCATCATTCTCAAAGACTCTCATGAACAGATGGGAGTATCACTGTACAAAGTTTTCTTCCCTGGACATATTGATATTTGAGCTGCAACAGTTTTCTAAAAAATCAGACTTTCACCTTAGGAAATTCTAACAGGAAAGAGAGAAGGTTGTGAAGAGTTTCCAGGGCCAATTTTTCCATTTCTTAGCCAGACAGAGGAAATGTGTGAGACGTAGGGGCTGTGTACCTCTGATTTCCTTTATTTCCAGATTGCTTTTTTGCCCCGATGCTCATTTGCACTTTTAGGTCGATGTGCTTGGGGCACATGGGTGTGTGTGTATATGTGTGCATGTGTGTGTATGTACGTGTGTATGTGTAAATATATAGATGTGTGATAAATGCATTTAGTTCTACTGCCTCCTCTGATATGGAGACTTCTTTCTTTGCATCCCAGTTCTTTTGCCTCAAGGAAAAACACAAATATAAATATTCTTATGCTAAGGTTTTGTGATGGTTAATTTTACGTGTTAACTTGGCTAGACCAAAGTAGCCAGATTAAGTCTAGATGTTGCTGGGAAGTTATTTTTTCCATGAGATTAACATTGAAATCAGTAGACTTTGAGTAAAGCAGATTACCCTCCATAATGTGGATGGGCCTCATCCAATCAGCTGAGGGCCTTAAAGAGAAAGAGGGAATTCTACTAGCAGGCTGCCTTCAGACTCCAGCTTCAGCCTCATCTCTTCCCTGGGTCTCCAGGCTGCCAGGCTACCCTGTAAATTACAGAATTGCCAGCCTCCAAAATTGCATATATACATGAAATACACAGACACACACACACACACACATATACACACAGATATATATTATATACACATACACACATCCTATTGGTTCTGTTTTTCTGAAAAACCCTAATACAGGCCTCTTCCCCAAAATTAAATCAAATAAGGTAGCTAAATCCTACGTGATATTATTTAATCCATTCATGGTATCCTCCTAGAGTCTTCTCTGAGTTTTACATGGTTTTCTGGGCTCTTTGTCTTGAATGAGAGGAGGCAGCAGAAGCCCACACGTACACTTACCCCTCATCAGAGATCTCAAGGAGCAGAACGACCCCTCCTTCCTTCTCTTTTGCTGCTTCATTTGGGAAAGGTGATTTCACCTACAAGCATGCCTTCTCCCCCACAGCCTGGAGCTTGAGTTTCAGTATCAGAGATGAGACAGGGAGTTTATCTGAAAAGCTAGCCAAGAGGCAACTGCTGCTACTCTCCCAGCATGTGTAAAATTTTTGCACAGCTGCAGGTTTCAAGGACCCTGAGTGTGAGGATGAAGAGCAGCAGGCTGGATCCCAAGCTTTCCAGAAATTTCTGAGATATGAATCAGAATTCAGCTGAGTTGAGGAACCTCCATGAAGATCATGGGGACACGCTGTGGGATGAATAGGAGTCTGTGGCCAGGACTCTTTGGACGACGTCGCTGTCACTCAGACGACATTAAACAGTTAGGCTCAGCTTCAAGGGGACGCTGAATCACGTATGCCCTGGGTGTGTTCAAAATCCACCGGTGAGGTTAGCCCAAACGCTCACATTTTGCTTTCCTATGCATAAGTATCAAAGTAAGTGCAGGCCCCTCAACAACATAATCCATTATTAAAAACTGAAAGCAGCTGGTCAGATTTTTAAACTTTCTACACAGAGAAACGCATCTGGTCCCAGTTTGCTGCATAGAAATCAGTTTCATTCTTTTACTCAGCCCGGCTACAGAAACCATCGGGATAGCCTGGACCTCATTCACGCGCAAGAATTTGCAGCCTTTCCCCACTGCTGGTGCCATTCTACCTCCAGCTTGGGAGCCACCGCAAAGCAGGGAGTCTGAAATTCCACCAGTTCAGAATGACGAGACTGGGAATCAGCAAAGCAGCTCTGGTTCCTCAGAGAAATCTCTAGACAGGTCATATGTATGAAGGGAAAAAATCATTTGTAATGGATTGTCTCCGAACCAGTTTTTTAAGATTGTGCAAAGTTGAAGTATCGACTAACATTCTGTTCATTTCAAAGGAATGCCTTGGCCATAATTTATCTCTTTGATTCCACTGACCATCAGCAGTTGTGGCCATTTTCTGCCCGGCCGTGGAGAACAGTTAAATGATGATGTCCGTACCCCCCTTGACTTCCCTTCCAGCCTGTTTCAGCAGTCTCACCAGGCACTTCCTGTCTCCCCAGCCCCACTGTCTGGCACTTATTTCAGACAAGTCAATATGTTTAAATTATATCTGAACTCAACATAATTAATCATAAAGCTTTATGCCTTGTAATGTGCTTTTTTTTTAAACTTCTGGTTGGCATTCCACTGAATCACAATTAAAAAGAAAAAGCTATCCACAATGCACTGTGAATATCACCTCAACCTTCAAGCTGGGAATCCTTTCTGGACAAGGCTGCACAAGGAGCATGTCGAACACCTCTGTTCTTTTAGGGATCCAAATAAGAGGGTCAGGATGGCATTTCAGGAAATGTTAAGCAGATCAGAAGAAAAACACACATGCGCTGGCTAGGTCCCAGTGAACAGAAACAATCTAATTTGAAAACCTAAAAGTCAGGTGATGGGTTTTCTCTTTAATGCATTTTGCAAACAGAGCAAAGGCTTTGAAGCTCACCACATAATTATGCCATGGGACTGTATTGGATACATGTTACTGAAGATTGATAGGTGCTTCCTTTAAGTGGATTGCAGCCTTCTTCAGTTTTAATGGCCATCTTATATCATATGACCTTAGTACTCAGTTTCATTATTCCTATCTAGTCCAGAGCTAGTATTCATAGGATGTAATCATTCTTGACTCTCTGGAAAGTAGATTGGCTCTCAATCCTCAGTGAAAAATTTCCCATCTAGGAAGTGAGTGAGAATTATTATCTATTATGATTTGTTTCTACCCACAGAACACTCTGACACCAAATGTATAAGGGATTTTTCCCCCACACCAGCTACTTCCCTGACACCAGGTGGGTGTTCTATAATTCAACTGTACTCAATTTTGACACTATCTACCTGGAGTTACTGTTAGATCCCACAAGTTAAGGGCTTAGTGCCACAAGACTGCTCCCATTTCAGACATCAATTACAAGTCCCAGGCCTTTCATACTTAGGACCAACTGGTTATGTATCAGGGGTTCCCATGACCTCCTCTCAGATTTTGCTAAACTGGCTCATAAAACTCAGAAAAATAGTTTACTTACATTTACTGGCCTATTATAAAGAATACAACTCAGAAATAGCCAATAGAAGAGATGCACAAGACAAGGTATGGGGGGATTCATGGAGATTCCATGCCTTCCCTGGGCATGCCACTCTCCTAATATAATCAGCCCTCCATGGTTCCCGCATCCACAGATTTAACCAAACTCAGATAAAAATATTTGGGAAAAAACAATTAAAAATAATAATACAACAATAAAAAATAATGCAAATTTTTAAAATACAGCATAACAATTATTTATATAGCATTTATACTGTATTAGGTATTATAAGTAATCTAGAGCTGATTTAAAGTACATGAGAGGATGTATATAGGTTATAGGCAAATACTGTGCCATTTTATATACAAGACTTGAGAATTCTACATTTTGGTGTCTGAAGAGGGTCCTGGCACCAACTCCCCCAGTGGATACCAAGATACTACTATACTTTGATGTGTATGCCAGCCTGGGAGCTTTCCAACCCCTTTATTTAGAATATCTATGTAGGGTCTATCACTTAGCCATGATTGATTAAGTCACTGGTCATTGATGATTAACTCAATCTCTAGCCCCTCTCTCCTCTTGGGGGGGTCAGGGGATGGGGTTCAAAATTCCAGCCCTCTAATCACATGGTTGGTTCCTCTGGCAATCAGCCCCCATCCGGAAGCTATCTAGGGGCCCACCAAGATTCATCTCATTAGCATACACTCAGGTATGGTTGAAAGGAGCCTATTATGGATAATCAAAGACACTCCTCTCACTTCTATCACTCAGGAAATTCCAAGGGCTTTAGAAGTTTTTGTGTCAGGACATATGTTTATTGCGGCACTATTTACAAGAGCAAAGACTTGGAACCAACCCAAATGCCCATCAATGATTCACTGGATAAAGAAAATGTGGCACATATACACCATGGAATACTATGTAGCCATACAAAAGGGTGAGTTCATGTCCTTTGCAAGGACATGGATGAAGCTGGAAACCATCATTCTCAGCAAAGTAACACAAGAATTGAAAACCAAACACTGCGTGTTCTCACTCATAAGTGGGAGTTGGACAATGAGAACATATGGGCACAGGGAGGGGAACATCACACGCTGGGGCCTGTCAGGGGGTGGGGGGCAAAGGGAGGAATAGCATTAGGAGAAATACTTAATGTAGATGGTGGGTTGATGGGTGCAGCAAACCACCAAGGCACATGTATACCTATGTAACAAACCTGCACGTTCAGCACATGTACCCCAGAACTTAAAGTATAATTAAAAAAAAAAAGTTTTTGTGTTAGGAACCAAAGAGAAGACCAAATAGACATACATACATACATACACACACACACACACACACACACACACACACACATACACACATACATTTATATATATGTTTTTAATTTGCTTTTTTGAGACAAGGTCTGGCTCTATCATCCAGGCTGGAGTACAGTGGTGTGATCTCAGCTCACTGCAACCTCTGCCTCCCCAGCTGAAGCTATGCTCCCACCTCAGCCTCCCAAGTAGCTGGGATTACAGGCATGCACTACCACACCCAGCTAACTTTTGTATTTTTTGTAGAAATGGCGTTTTGCCATGTTGCCCAAGCTGGTCTCAAACTCATGAGCTCAAGCGATCCATCCACCTCAGCCTCCCAAAGTGCTGGGATTACAGGCATGAGCCACAGTTCCCAGCATAATATATATTTATTATAGCACAATGTCACACCATACTAGACACTCAAAAGAGATGGGGAAAAGGTAAATCTAAAGTTCAAAAAAATGGAGCTGGGGACTCACTTAGAGACACAGCCTTCCAAAAAAGCTAACAACTTTACATGCATTTCAGAATTTATAAAAATTAATATATGCCATAGCATTAGTCAGGACTCAGGGTAGCAAACAGATACTCTGTATTTTAAGAAGGAGGAAATATAATACAAGGAATCAAGTGATTTCAAAATCACTGGAATGGCTGCAGGAGCAGGTTCTGGACAAGCCTTCTGGAATGACTCCCAGAACCATGTAATGCTGATACCCAGGGAGAATGATGAAAAAGAATTATAGAGGCTATTGCAGGACAGTAGCCATTTATGTAAATAACATCTTAAATTAGGATTAGTCCTACTAGTTGAAGTACCATCATCATGTAACATAGGTCTTGATGTAACAACAAAACCAAAACCAAAAATAAAAACAACTGGCCGGGTGCAGTGGCTCATGCCTGTAATACCAGCATTTTTGGGAGGCAAAGGCAGGTAGATCACTTGAGGTCAGGAGTTCGAGACCTGCCTGGCCAACATAGCGAAACCCCATCTCCATCTCTACTAAAAATACAAAAATTAGCTGGGTGTGGTGGCATATGACTGTAATCCCAGCTGCTTGGGAGGCTGGGGCAGGAGATTTGCTTGAACCTGGGAGATGGAGGCTGCAGTGAGCTGAGATCATGCCCCTGCACTCCAGCCTGGATGACAGGGTGAGACTCAGTCTCAAAAACAATAATAATAATAAATAAAATAAAATAAATGTTTTAAACCTTCCTCACCCTGATACCCATGCACATTCTCCAAGGCCCATTTTTTTCTATGATTATTGCTATTCTGAGGTGGGCATTCTAAGACATATGCACAAGTAATAATAAAATAGTTTATCTAATATTGTAAGGAAGTTAACAGTATGTATTTATCTGGGCAGATCCCAAAGGAGACAAATTGAAAATAGCTGGCTGTCCACATTATAATCACAACACCATAATGAGAAAGCATTAGTTAATCTTAGTCAATATATTAATTGCCTTAATCAAAATTTGAGACTTGAGGGAGTCATTAAATGTATTCTAAGACAGGGGTGGGTAAACTATCACTACACCTATTTTGTAAATAAAGTTTTATTGGGGCATACCTACATCCGTTTACCTGTTGTTAATGGCTGCTTTTGGACTCCAGTGGCAAAGTTGACGAGTTGCAACAGAGCTAGTATAGCCTACAAAACTTAAAATATTTACTATCTACCCACTTTAGAGGAAAGTCCACTGACCTCTGATTTAGAGTAGCAGGGACCACCTAAAAGATTCACAGACTCCAGTTCTCAATATTAGTACAGATTGACACACACTAATTGTCACCAAACCATTCAAACACTGAATCACAATGGAGAATCAGGTTTTCCACAAGAAAAGGTTATTTGACAATACAGACTTGCTTTTTAGTTATCTGCTGGACAAAGCAGGAAGCACTGTTCTTAAAAATTCTGGCTACTGAAGGAAGGTAGCTTTTTTCAAAGATTCTACATTCAAAAGAGGAAAGGTGCTTTCTAGAGCAGAGCTGTCCAATAGAACTTCCTGCAGTGATGGGTAAGTTTTAATATTCAAGCAGTACAATACACCTGAACTGAATTTTTAATTTAATTTAATTTTAATTAGTTTTAATTTAAATAACCACATATTTCTAGTGGCTGCTATATTGGATAATGCAATTCTAAATCATAACCTTAAGTCTTATATTCTCCTCTTTGTTATGTCATTAATAAAACTTGTTTAAAGACAAAAGATTTCAATGTAACTGATAGGTAAATGGACAGACTCACAAATCAATAAAGATCTAAAAAATATGTTACAAAATTCATCTGGAAAAATTTTGTATAAATGAAAAATGCCCTCTTATTTACTGCACATAAAAATCTGTAAAGGCAGTGAAATGTGGTAGAGTGAAAGGGTGCCATTAGGCCTCAAGTGTTGAAAACATTTTCAGCCTTTGGGGGACTTTGGTTTCTAGGACTGAGTCTCTTTTTGCATGAACTAGAGTTCAAGTCTTTAACTTCATTCATAAAGAAATATTTTAAATCATTGATCAGTTCCAAATATGCAGATTTACTGCTTACATTTTCCTTTCTGGCTCACATCATATTTATTTGTTAGATTTGTTTTTCTTACTAACTCAAATGCTGTTCTTTCTCATTTGGACAGCCAATTACTTTTGAGGAAGTTACATCATATCTGCTTTTCACACTTAACCATCACCGCAATAAAAAACACCTAGAGTACTACCTCAAATTATGTCTGAGTATGAACATTCATTTCTCTTCTTCCCTATTGCATCTCTCTGGGTGTGAAAGAAACAGATTGGAAACTCCCAACATACCCACTCCTGACCAACTCTAAGGAATATGAGGAGTGACAACCCAGCTGCCAACTTCCCCTGTTCCAGACTCACATGTCTGTCAGATTAACAGGACATGGGCCACATTTCTCCAGCTGGACATCTGGGCTCTGCAGCTGCTGCAAGGACCCCATGTGGCTAGGAATGTCAGCCTAACTCTGAGATCAAGTCAAGCAAAGGAGAAATGGCAGGATTCTGTGTACCTGAGCCACCCCATGTGACCACTCCTACCCCATACCTTTGTCAAATCTCAAAGGATACAATATACACCAGAGCCAAAACTATGTCACAAAATGCCAAAGTGCCATGTTTGGGAAGTAAGCAATAAAAAATTGCCCCTGTGACTCGGAATAAGTTCTGTGGCTATATCCAAGCTTTGGGGCAATTGTTCTTTTTGAAACTTAAAATCTAAGAAAAGAAAAATGACTTGAGGTCTATTTCATTATGTCTAACACCCTTTCTTCTTCTATGTAGAGACACTGACAAGGTGGGCTATATTCAACACAGCAGTGCTCAGTGATTCAGTTTCTCAAACTTCAGTTGACAATCTTTGTAGCATTCTCCTTTCAAGATGATAAGGACTTCTCAAGGAAACCTCATGCATTTAAGTCTCCAAACAAAGGAGAAATCTAGAAAGTTCTAGAAAAGAACAATGGAAAAGTCCTCAGCAGCAGCAACCTTGTTCACTAGGTGTTAGGACAAGGGAGATTTCTTCCTCCACCACCTCAATTAGAAATCTAAAGGAGACCTATTATTACGCCTGTCACTGATAGTCTTATTTCAAGACCATGCCATGGCTTTAAGGCCCTCAAAGGGATGTTTTCACTCTGCAGCAGGCTGGAACTCTCGCCTTAGGTGTAATGATAACTGCGGAAAGTCAAAACCACCAGTCCATTCAGGTTCCAATTGTAAACAAAACGTCTGTGTGATAGATACAATTTCTGACTGTGACTGTTTCTACATTCGCCATGGCAGTGCAAGTTTCCAGAACGATTGTGGTTAGAATTTTGGTCTAAACTGATCAGTCATGGTTCCCAAAGTCACTGTAAGCACAGTAACCAATACTCCTGTGTTTCTGCCAATTGTGCTACTGTGTAGACAAACCACAGATGATAAGATTGGCTTAGTTGCAACTGGAATGGTCTCCAGTGGGCTAAACTGCCACATGCAAAAGGCCTTGTAATTTTTGTCAAGGCAGAGGTGGCTGCTACATCCCAGAGCTACTGTGCTTGAGTGTGTTGTTCCTGGACTTTCAGGGGGAAAGTCCCTCAATGAGGGCACAGATGAAAGAAGAAGGAGTGCTGGATGTCAGAGGCCCAAAACCTACAAGTCTCCTAACCTCTCTGTGCATCAGTTTTATTATTTGTAAAGTGGGCATATGAAAAGCTACTTTACAACTTGTTTTAGGAATCAAACAACATAACATACATGTTATTGTCAAATGGTGAGCAATAAAAAGTACCAACTATAAAATGCCTTGATTTTACTACTGAATGGGAAATAACTCTATGATGCCAACCAAAAATTTCTGCCAAAACCAAGTGTTTTCAACTTCTCCTCTATCTGGAGGTATAATTTCGTACCTCCAACCCTTTCCTTGAGCCATAGAAGCAGTATCTATTCTGGCTGCCCCATCTTACAGTGTGTATATAAAGTCAGCCTTAATACTCTGATTGCAGGGATAAGGCTTGTCCCTGTGGCTCACTAGAAACTTATTTCCTGCTGTTGTTGCAGTAACTCCATTTTTCCCAAAGGGGTCATGATACAAAGGAAGTCACTATGTAGCTAAATCAGCCTGCAGCTAACAGACAAAATCCCCAGATGGACATTCAAATTCCAATCCATTATATATCATTCCTTCCCCAATCAGTGTCATACCCACTTGCCCTCTGTTATGGGTTGAATTGTACTCCCCCCACCAAATCCATATGTGGAAGTACTAACTCCCAATACTTCAGAAAATGAACTTATTTGGAGATAGTATCTATGCAGAGGCGATTAATTTAAAAAGTGGTCATTAGGGTGGGCCCTAATTTAATAATGAATGACATCCTTATAAAAAGTGAAAATTTGGAGACAGACACACAGGAGGAACACAGCATTAAGATGAAGGCAGAAAGCAAAAAGAACAAATCTGTAGGCATCACATTACCCGACTTCAAACTATAATACAAGGCCAGAGTTGAGTTACCAAAACAGCATAGTGCTGGTATAAAAATAGGCACACAGACCAATGGAACAGAATAGAGAACCCAGAAATAAACCCAAATACTTACAGCCAACTGATCTTCGACAAAGCAAACAAAACATACAGTGGGGAAAGAACACCCTGTTCAACAAATGGTGCTGGGATAATTGGCAAGCCACGTGTAGAAGAATGAAACTGGGTCCTCATCTCTCACCCTATATAAAAATAAGCTCAAGATGGATCAGAGACTTAAATCTAAGATCTGAAACCATAGAAATTCTAGAAGATAACATCGGAAAAACTCTTCCAGACATTGGCTTAGGCAAAGACTTCATGATCAAGAACCCCAAAGCAAATGCAATAAAAACAAAGATAAATAGATGGGACTTAAACTAAAAAGCTTCCACACAGCAAAAATAATAATAATCAGCAGAGTTAACAGACAACCCACAGAGTGGGGGAAAATATTAACAATCTATAATCCAACAACAGACTAATATCCAGAATCTACAAGGAACCCAAACAAATCAGCAAGAAAAAAACAACCCCATCAGAAAGTGGTCTAAGGACATGAAAAGACAATTCTCAAAAGAAGATACAAAAATGGCCAGCAAGCATATGGAAAAATGCTCAAAATCACTAATTATCAGGGAAATGCAAATCAAAACCATAATGCGATACCATCTCACTCCTACAAGAATGGCCATATTCAAAAAATAATAGATATTGGCACAGATGTGGTGAAAAGGGTACACTTTTACACTGTTGGTGGGAGTGTACACTAGTACAGCCACTATGGAAAACAGTGTGGAGGTTCCTTAAAGAACTAAAAGTAGATCTACCATTTGATCCAGCAATCCCACTCATGGGTGTCTACCCGAAGGAAAAGAAGTCATTATACGAAAAAGATACTTGCACACACATGTTTATAGCAGCACAATTTGCAATTGCAAAAATATGGAACCAGCCCAAATGCCTATCAATCAATGAGTGGATAAAGAAAATGTAGTATATATAAACCATGGAATACTACTCAGCCATAAAAAGGAACAAAATAATGACATTCACAGCAACCTGGTTGGAACTGGAAATTATTATTCTAAGTGAAGTAACTCAGGAATGGAAAAACCAAACATTGTTTCTCACTCTTACGTGGGAGCTAAGCTATGAGGATGCAAAGGCCTAAGAATGATACAATGGACTTTGGGGACTAGGGGGAAAGGGCAGGGGATTGTGAGGGATAAAAGACTATACACTGGGCCGGGCCCGGTGGCTCACGCCTGTAATCCCAGCACTTTGGGAGGCCGAGGCGGGTGGATCATGAGGTCAGGAGATCGAGACCATCCTGGCTAACAAGGTGAAACCCCGTCTGCGTCTCAAAAAAAAAAAAAAAAAAAAAGACTATACACTGGATACAGTGTATACTGCTCAGGTGATGGCTGCACCAAAATCTCAGAAATCACCACTAAAGAACTTATTCATGTAACCAAACACCACCTGTTTCCCAAAACCTATTGAAATTAAAAAAAATGTAAAATAATAAATAAATAAAAACAATCTGATACCTTAAAAAAAAAAGATGAAGATAGAGATCGAGTTGATGTTTCTATAAGTTGAGGAATACTAAAGATTGTCAGCAAACTACCAGAACTTTGGGAAGAGGCCTGGAATAGATTCTTTCTCACTACGAGAAAGGTGAGGTTATCAATGTGATGATAAAATGGCTAAAGAAGGAGCCAACCCTGCTGACACCTTGGTCTTGGATTTCTAGCCCCCAGAACCATGAGTCAAATCTGGTGTTTAAGCCATTAAGTTTGTGATATTTGTTATGGCAGCCCTCACAAACCAATACACTCTGAGGGGTTATTCTCTAACTGAGAGATATGGGTTATTTTATAGAAGAGAGGAAAGGCAATGAGGGGAAGTGTAGTAAGCCATTCTCACGTTGCTATGAAGAAACAATTGAGATGGTGTAATTTATAAAGAAAAGAGTTTGAATTGGTTCACGGTTCTGCAGGGTGTACAGGGAGCATGGTGATATCAGTTTCTGGGGAGGCCTCAGGAAACTTACGATCATGACGGAAAATGAAGGGGAAGCAGGCACATCTTACATGGCTGAAGCGAGAGGAAGAGAGAGAGAAGGGAGGTGCTACACACTTTTAAACAAACAGATCTCACAAGAACTCACTCACTAACATGAGAACAGCACCAATGAAGAAGTCCACCCCCATCATCCAATCACCTCCCACAAGGCCCCTCCTCCAACATTGAGGATTACAATTTGACATGAGATTTGGGCAGGGACACAGATCCAAACCATATCAGGAAGGATCTAACATTGCTTGAAAACATACTTTATTTCAAGGGTTTTGCATTGTTATGTTACACCATTTGATCCTCATCAAAACCCTGCAAAGAAGGTATCATCTCCATTCTGCAGATGAAGAAACTGAAGCTCAGAGAATTTAATTAATTTCATAATATGCAGCAGGCAGCAAATAGCAAAAGTAAGCTCTGTCCCTTTGTCCCCAGGCTTGGTTCTGAAGACCTACATGGTCCCCACTTCCTCACTGTGCCATCTGACCCTTGGAGTGGAGTCTCACATCAGCTCTAGACATTTTGGAATTTCTTCTGTCTTGTATTGTCCTAATAAAAATTCAATTCCTTGCTCCAGTAATTGAATTTTTATTTTATTCAACTCCATACATTCACACTACCTGGAAGCTAAACCAACTGCAAAAAGAGAAGGTGATGTTTTACATTTGACATTACCTTCTGGTTGTGTGATCATTTTCCAATCTGCTCAACCGTAACCAGAATTTTCTTTCTTGAAGAAAGCAAGATTGAGTTTTTCCTAATTTTCCTCAGAGTTTGAAATGCAGAAGGTGAAGTTGTCACTATGACAGCACAACAGCTAAACCATGAGAAGAGAGTTGATATCAGTTTCTGATTGGCTGGAGTGGCATGAGGAAATCTGGAGACCTTATACATTAAACCCAGTTTCCTGTCAGAACTCACTCAGTCTCCACTTGGAATTCCATTGTTTTTGCACGGACCATCCAGAGAAACACGCTTGATACTGTTTCTGCTCTCACTTTTATATCTTAACTTTTCGGAGGCTGAGGGGTAGTGGAGGGGAGAAATGTATTAGCTTTGTTTCTCATGTACACAATAAGAGTTCCTACGGGACCTGTTGGAAGCCAATCCAGAGAAAACATAAAAGATGACAACTCCTCTCTGCCATTTGCAGTCTGTGCAACATCGGTTGCATAGCCAGCATCAGTTTTCTGGGTTTTTTTTTTGTTTGTTTTTTTTGTTTTTTTTTTAGGAAGGAAGTCGTGGAAAAATAAGGTAGCTATGAAGATGTCTGTCCTCAACTCTTTGAAAGCTATATTAGCTTTCAAAGTACACTGGGGAGCAGCATGGAAAATGAAGTGGGATGTTAAAGTGGTTAAGAACTCATGCTTTGGGGTTAAAACTGGGTTCAGATTCCAGCTCTTCTTTATTATCTGCAGGAAAAATACTTAGTTCCACCAAGTTTAATTACTTGAGCTTTAAAAAATGCATGGGGGAGAGGGGAAGGGTTTTTAATTTAACTCCACAAGACTGGCAAAAATGATTAATTTAAATGACACAAAAGTGTAAGGGGCGTGGCATGCATTAGGTACTCAAAAATAGTAGCTTTTAAAATGATGAGATTAGAGAGTGTGTTCCTGGGCTTCCTCCCTTGTCTGAGCCAGGGTGGACAAGTCATCCTCCCTGTACCACAGATCCTGACTATAAGCGGGGACTGGCACCTCCTTTGCTCACTTAAACCATGCTGCATTTTGGGAGAAATCCCTAGGTGAATTTTGGCCTTTGTAATCTGTGCTATGTGGCAATTATGCAGCAATGCACTATATATGCAAGTTGGAGCACTGCTGGCAAAGACTGCAGTATATGAGCTCAAGCTAGACCCTAGCCTTGACAACAACCAACCAGCAGCAGCAATCTGACCTTCGGTCAGGTACCCAGTATGAAAAAGCAGTCAGAAATATATCTTCCCTCCACACCCTACACTTTCCCACCAAACTACAAGGAGTGAGAGTACCGCCACCCCTCCCAAGAGGGCAAACGGGGAAGTCCAGGAGGTCTGGGTTGTTGGCCTAGAGTTATAAAGCAACATGTTGGAAGAGTTGAAAAATGGAGCTCAAGCCTCAGAAATGGGGAAGGAAGGACAGTGTCCTCCTCTTAGGGAGAGGCTGAAAACTCCAAACAGATGACTCCCAGGCACTCCTCCATCCCGGAGTAGACCTCCTGAGGCCCCAATTACACAAGGACCCGTGGATTTCCCATGGCTGTCATTGCCTTTAAGAGATTTGAGCCTGGAGGCCACCTCCCTGGCATTGCCAAGGGTGAGTTTGTCTCTGCAGCACAGAAGGAAGAGGATGTCCACCAGACATGTGAATAGATGTCATCCAGACACCCAACAAAACAAAGAAAATAATGATGACAACCCAAGCTGAATGGTATGATTTAATTTCTAAATTGAGATGATTTTGGAAACTTACCAAATCTCCAGTGTCCAAGCATTCATCTATTTGTTCAATAAATATTTTTTCTGTACCAAAGACACATCAGGCTCTGTGCTAAACACTGGAGATATAAAGGTAAATGATACAGATATGTCCTAACCCCATAAAGGCTGCAATCTAGTCAGCAAAGATGGACAAGTGCAATGTTAGGACAGTAGAAGGTGACATGCATTATTTATTTTGGTTTCCCCAGTAGAGGCTGCTCAGTGATGGGCACAGAGCAAGAACTCAAGAAATGATGTATAAGTGGCTGAAAATAACTCACATTTATTGAGTATATACTATGCACCAGGCATTGTTCTAAGCACAATGTATGAACTCATTTTATACATGTAATATATATTTAATGAATTGATATACATAATTAAATAGATTTAATTCATTCATTTAAGAAATAAAAGTAGTAAATGAACAAGTGACGGACACTCAGCTCCCAAAGCTTCCATCCTGAGCACATCTTGAATCCATACAAGAAAGGACAAGAATAAACAATAATGCAGATGAGCTTTGGGATAGGCATCAAGAGACCTGTGTAAGCATGAGAAGGAAAAATGGCTTTTGCAATTGCCACAAGAATAAGCCGGGTTCAAATCCTAAATTCACCCTATAGCTGAGTGATCTCATTCAAGTAATTCAACCTCTCAGACCTCCAATTCCTAATCTATAAAACAAAGTTAGTGCACCTACCTGATGGGGCTGTTCTGAGGGTCACATCAGGTTCCATATACAAGAAAGTGCTCCAGAACTGGGAGGCACACTCAAAACAGTAATTGTTATTATTAAGGCCCTATTGAGAGGCAGCAGAACATGGAAGAGAAACAGAATGAGAGTCCCTAGTTCTAAATCTGTTGTCCATTAGCCAGTTGAAATATGTAAACAAAAGGATTAATTGAGATGATGTGGGTGCCTTATATCACAACACAGCTACTTACATATACAGAGCTACTGTTGTATAATGGGTAGGGGGGAAAGCAAGTCCTTCCTTGGGAATGAGTCACCACAGGCTTTCTAAGGCTCTCTGGATAATCTCTGTGAGCCAGTTTAAAAGAACGGAGTGAACTGGGTGAACTACCAAGCCCCTCCTCTCCTGGGAGCCAAGGATCATCCCATGTGGGTGTGAGAAGCACGTGACTGACTCAAGGTAAACAAGACCCACCTGTGTCTGGATTCCTGGTGCCAGCTGTGGCTAACAGAGGCGTTAATGCTCGCTTAACAAGGAATTGAAAGGGCAGGGAGGTGCGGTCTTCTTCATTGTCAGAGAAGGGCTGTCTGCAGGTCCAGGGCAGGAGTGGGACAGTCTTTTCAGAGGCAATCCTGTTAGAGAAGCCTTCTCGCACAGTAAATCCCCAACCCACATGGCTAGAGGAAGGATAGTGCTCTTAACTGAGAGGAGAAGTAGCCAGGAAGTTCAGTTAGTATCTGGGTGGGAGCTAAACACACTAAACTGTTAAAGAAAGAAAACTACCCATTTGCACAACAACATCAGATTTTGGAGGGGGAAATTAACAGAATGTCCTTGTTGTGAGCACAGAGTCTCTTCCTTGAATAAATATTCACAAGGCATAGGCACAGTGGGTTAAAAGTTCATACAGACAGCATTGTGTGAGCTTTACAATAAATTCTTACTTGCTTGTCCTTGACTCACTGAACATGAGACATGTTTTGTATATATTATTTTTGATGTTTTATAAAGTGAATGCAGACTCAATAAACCTTCAAATGCACTGCATGAGTTAATTAGGTGTGTTTGACCCTGCACTTTTGAATGCTTGCGTACTAGAAAAGAACTATGCTACATCTGCGGTTGGGTTTAAAATTAATTCACTAAGGCCTTGGTTCAAAAAGAGTTAATTGATGTCAAGAGCCATCTCTTCAGACTCTAAGCTGCTTTTGAAAATGGACTTGATACCACAAGAATTTCAATTTGGGGTTTCAAAAACTCTAAACCTGTGAGGTTACAAACTTGGCAGAACCTGCTCTGCCTTTGCTGTGAACAGAACACATGCTATTTTGAAATATAAATCTACACAAGCAGACTGTGATTTTGATCCACAAGCAGAATTTATAACTCCTTAGGTTAACTGTTACAGAAGTTATAACAAACTGGAAAATATGTGCAGCAAGTAATTGTCTGATTTACAGGGGAATATTGTAATGGGGCCCCACTAACCTAGTGTTTTAGAAAGCTTATTTTTAATTTTTTAAATGTTTTTGGTCTACAAGCCCTGTTGCTACTGTCCTGGTCAGGTGAGAAGAGCCCGTAGAACTGTACACCTGGGATCAATATAATGACTCACCTGATGTTAATTTTCAGCCTGTGCCTGCTAAAATTCAAACCAAACCACAACTGCAGAAGTTCCAAGACACCTCTGCCTGCCACACAGCCCTTCATCACTTATACTGATGTACTGTGTTACAAATTCTATCTAATCAACTGACAATTTAAGGAGTGGAGAATTCAACAAGAATAACAACGTGGTGACAATTTAGTTTTCTGCCCCTTCCTTCATAAAAACAGCGTCTTCTATTTGTTCCCCACCCAAGTTGAGGCATTTCACTAATTTGCTAGTCATTAAAAAGATATTTTTATACCCAGTCTGTAATATTATACTCTTCAGTGATTATGATAGCTCCCAACAGAATTCCAGACTCAAAAATGAAAGCCAGGAAGCTGAATTGTAATTATGATACTTCAAATAATCCCACGAAAGTAGAACCACTGTTAAGTAATTTATGGTCTTTGATCTTGTCACAGATCTACTGAAATCTTCACATCACTCAAGCTAAATATTTTCCATCGGAAAAAGGATAGTTACTTTCCCCTCTACCACCCACATCCCCAAGCTGAAGATACAAAAATAAAGGTTCCAGATGTTTGTCTTGTTTTGAGGTCAGACCCCAAGATGGGCATTTCTGACAGCCTTATCAGGTATCTGCCAGAATCAAGTATTTTGGTCGACATTTGACTCAACTTGTCTGATTTAACCATCTCTAAAATAGAACTGAGAGGAGGTGAGAGAACACATAACTTTTGATTGAATTTCTCTGAATTTTTGGAAGAACTAGATCAGGGCTGTCCAATGTTTTGGCTTCCCTGGCCACACTGGAAGAAGAACAATTGTCTTGGGCCACACATAAAATACACTAAAAACAGCTGATGAGAAAAAAAAAATACTAAAAAAAACCCCTCACATTTTAAGAAAGTTTACAAATTTGTGTTGGGTTGCATTCAAAGCCATCCTGCATGTGGCCCATGGGCTGTGGGTTGGACAAGCTTGAACCAGACATATGGCTCTCAAACCTCACTATACATTAGACTCACAGAGCGTCCGGCACCAACTCCAGAATTTCGATTTCAGGAGATCTAGGGTGCACGCAACAATTTGCCTTTCTCGTAAGTTCCCAGGTGATACTGATGCTACTGGTCTAGGGACTGCATTTAGAGAACCCATGAGCTAAATCTATGGCTTCTGTTTCCTTAGACAGAAGGAAAAAGAAATTATGACCTGAAGGACTTTGAATTCTTAGGCTCCATCAGGGCTGTCTTGGGATAAGTCTCAGGAGGAAATGGGGCGGCGCTAAGTCTCTCCAAGGCCAAATCTAGAGTTCATTTAAAGAAGCAATCCTGTTAGAGGAGCCTGCTTGCATTGTGAAGCCCCAACCCACATGGCTAAGGGAAGGATAGTGCTCGTAACTGAAAGGGGAAGTAGCCTGGAAGCTCAGTTAGTACCTGGGTGGGAGCTAAAGACACCAAATTGTTAAAGCCGGCAAATTCATAAGGAAAATACAATCTCATCTCACTAGAAGAGAGAAAATCAACAAACAATAAAAAACAGGAACAACAAATCAAGATGGCTCTGGCTCAAGCCCTTCCTGTGACCATGTCTTTTATCCTTAAACAACCCTTAGTTATGTATTTCAGCCACTTAACTTTTAGAAATATGATATAAAAATGAAGTTTACAAATTTAGTTTGGATGTTCTTCATTTGCAGACATTGGCCAAATCTTGTTTGCTAATTCATATGACAGCAATGGTTGCATGGAATTTGTTTGCTGAATTTGCTTTCTTTACAAACATTTTAGGGATGGGAATGGGGATGGGTGCCAAAGAGATTATCAGGACATCATTTAGCTTTAGAAACAAAGAGATCTCAAACCAGATGGAATTTCACAGGCTTTCTGTTGATTTGTTTGCAAAGTCTGCACTAGGAATCCTAGCAAAGAGTTAAGTGATGATATCACTGTTCCCTGACAATCCTCCTGAGTAATTATCCCCATTTTTGCCTCGGGGATCTACAGAACACTGGCTAAAGCAGGTGGGTTGTTTTGCAATAATTTTCCAGATAACTATAGTTGAGTGTATCTGAACAGAGTAAAAAAAAATACCTATTAGAACAGAAAATGTTGAATTCTGTTTGAAGGACTTTGAAAGAATATTACAACTGTTAACTTATAAGCAATCTTTAAAGGCAGACTCTACCTAGGGTAGAGGGGAAAAAAAGGATAACAATCATTTTTGGCTTGTTTTTATTATAAAGGAAATGTTATATTTTAACATTTCCAAATAAAAGTAAACTACCAGGAGACATCCAAAGCCTATGAAACCAAGCTGGTAATAGTAGTAATATCAGACATTTACTGAGCACATACTCTGACCTTCACCACAATCCCAGGAGGAAACACAGACCTGGAGAGATTGGGTAACAAGCCCAGGGTCACATGGCAAGTGGCAGATCTGCAACCAGTGTCTTCTGACTCCAAGTCTCTGGTAGGCCAAAGAGCAGTTCAGTATTTGTAAAATAAAACCGTTTGTTTTCCATAAAGAGTGTTATTGCTATTTGGGGGAAAAGTGAAAAGATGCATATAGAATATTCTTTTGTCTTATAGTTGTGTATACAGGTGGAAGCTATCACATAAGAGCTCCAGTCACTATGGAGACAGCAAATATCAGTGGTCAGGTGCAGGGGAGTTACACCCACGTACCCAGACCTCAGAACCCAATTCGGCTCATTTCCATTTGCTGTCATTCAGGCAGTCATTGTCTCTAATGCTTCGTTGTGTCACACAATTTGCTGAAGGAGCTAGGTGCTCTGCAAACCATGGGCTAAACATTTCGTCTTCCTTGTGATCCTACTAAATCTCTTTCCCAGATCTTGATAGCTCCAAATGAGAAACCACTCAATTATTAACATTCTAAACACTCTTGGTTTAGTAATTTTGATCATTTTTCAAAAGGCAGAAAATATATTTAGCATTTGGCAAGTATGACGTAGCTGAAGTTACCTGTGAGTTTCTCAACTCAGCATATAGCACCTCTCTTTACCAAGCCATAAACTTAAAAGTCATTCTTGTCTCCTCCTATGCCCCTCTTTCTCTACATTTGACCCACCAGCCACTCCTAAAAACTATCTCCAGACTGTATCTTGATTCCATTCACTCTTGTCATCTCTGTTGCCACCTCCTTAATCCAGGCTACTGCCCCATCCCACCTAGACAAATCCAATCACCTTCTACACAGTCTTTGCCCAGCAGCCAGGGGCATTGTTTTCTACTCACCCTTCAAAAAGTACCTTTTCTTTTTAATTATACAACAAGCACATAAATGCACTGTGGTCGTCTGAAAATAAGCCCCCAAAAGATAATCCATGTCTTAAGCCCTGCTCCTGTAAATGTGATCTCATTTGGAAAAAGGGTCTTTGCAGATGTGAAAGGATCCTGTATTGGAGGGATGACCCTGGATTACCTGGAGGGCCTGAAATGGCATCACAAGTGTCCTGGTGAGAGAAAGACAGGGGGATATTACACACACATAAGAGGAAGCAGCAGTGTGACCACAGAGGTAGAGATTGGGGCAATACAGACCCCAGTCAAGGATGCTGGCAGCCACAGGAAGCTGGAGGAGGCAAGGAACAGATTTCCCTATCAGCACCTTGACTTCTGCCCCATGAAACTGATCTCAGACCTCTGGCCTCCAGAACTGAGAGAGAATAAATACGTACTGTTTCAAACCAACAAGTTGTAGTAATTTGTTACTGCAGCCAGAGGAAACTAATACATGCATTATGAAGGTAAAATTGAAAAATCACAGATGAGATTCAAATACCTCTCAATCATCTTCTCCCCTCCCACCTCATTCCATTCCCCTCATCTGGGGTGTCCACTCTCCTAAGTTTTAAGGTATTTTCTTATCAGCACAGTCCTTTCGCTCTCCATTTATATCACATGGAAATACTAAAGAAGGAGGCTACTTATTGTCATATTTTAGTGAACCCAAATTGCTCCTCCAAAATGTATAGTTTACCTCAGTCTGCTTTTGAACTTTACATAAATGAGATAATGCTGTGTATCTTCTTCTGTGACTTTTCTTTTTAATTTTTTTTTTTTTTTTTTTTTTTTTTGGAGACAGAGTCTTACTCTGTTGCTCAGGCTGGAGTGCAGTGGCGTGATCTTGGCTCCCTGCCACCTCTGCCTCCTGGGTTCAAGTGATTCTCCGGGCTCAGCCTCTTCACTAGCTGGAATTACAGGCACACGCCACCATGCCTGGCTAATTTTTTTTTTTTTTTTTTTTTTTTTTGCATTTTTAGTAGAGACAGGGTTTCACCATATTGGCCAGGCTGGTCTCAAACTCCGGACCTCAAGCCTGCCTCGGCCTCCCAAAATGCTGGGATTATAGGCATGAGCCACTGTGCCTGGCCTTGTTCTTCTGTGACTTGCATCTTTCACTGGAGGATATGTTTTTAAGATTTATCCATATTGCTATGAATACAGATTTATGGCCCATTTGTTTTCTCTATCATATATTCCATTCTATGGATACATGATAATTTGTTTATCCACTTAAAATCTGGATTGATTTTAAACAAGGATAAATTTCACCATCATGCTTCCTGCCTTGAGCCTCCACTGCTTCCTACTGCAGTTGCAGTAAGTTAGACCCTTCCCAGTGGTCCACCCTGTCTTTCTCTCATCTCATTTCATCCCAGTCCCCCTGATTCTCTGGCTTTCTCTGGGTTCCTTGAACACATCAAACACACTTCTACCTTAGGACACTCCCTGGTGTTCCTCCCTGGACCACTCTACCCAGAAATTTGCATTCTTGGACCTTTCTTTTTATTTAAATCTTCTCAAATTTCATTCATATCACCTCTGCAGCCTTCCCTGAGCCCCACCCCCCAATCCAAATTAGCACCATCTCCAGTCATTTGTTCCCACACCCCTTGTCTTACTTTCCTCTGTGCACCTCTCCCTATCTGTATTTGCTTCCTGGTCTGTTGTCTGTCTCTGTCCCTAAACTATAGATCTGTGAGATCACAAACCTGTCCTATCCACCACTCTATCCCCAACAGCTAGAATAGCACCTGGCATGGACTATATGGTTAGCATATATTTGTTGAATGGATAAATAAATGAGTGAGTGAATGAAGGTGTGAAAAAATGAATATCCTGAGAGTAGATTAGAGTGAACCAAAATTCAATTGCCATTCATTCCTTGCACAGATTTTACCAAGTGCTTATTTTATGAAAGTCCCTGAGGTGGTACAGGCCCTAGGAAGACACAGTGTGCTCACTACAAATGATTTCTTGATCAACAGACCTGGTCAGTGAGGAAGATCCCATGGAATGTGGTGAGCTGCCATGGCATTTACTGAAATGGAGTTTTAACTTCTTCTCTAACAGCATGCTTTTCCCCTCTCCTATATTTTCAAGTAGGGTAGAGTGTGTGCTCCAGAGGTGACTAAGCCACCTATTATAGGCAAACCAGGAGGTGCTGGCAACCACACCAACCAGGCCTCTCCTTAGGCCAGAGAGAGAGGCTCTCCCCAAGCCTGTCTGTTGCTGTGTGCAGGATTCCACCAGTGGAGGGACTGTCCCCCAACTAACCCTGCCTCCAAGGAAACAAAACATCACGAGAGGCCGAAGACCAGTTTGGGGGCTGGGAAAGAAAATAACAAAAAATAATTTGCCTTATTATTTACTTCACAAGCTTTCAGAGCCTCTTATTACTCTACACTCCACGAATGTGATTCCAAAATGCATCTAGTTTTATTGCAGACAGGTAACATTGGTAATTCCTTCTAGACAGTCCACTTTTTAGACCTTAATTATTTCATCATCTGTACAGCCAGAAAATACACTCACTGAAACGTGTGCAGGAGAAAATTATGGCAAATGATTTTAGGGTATCTCTCATGCTCCCCCCTCCTTTCTCAGCAGTGTTTTTCCTCTTGCTTAAAAAGTAATTCTTAACTATTAGGCTTTATTTCTTTTGATGTTAACTTCAAAACCCAAACACCAAATTAGTATAACAAAGAAAAGCAAAGGGGACAAGTAGTTACAAAATGTATTAACTATGGGGGCTCTAGGGGAGAGGATGACTCAGGAGACTAGGCACAAATAGCAACACCTCTCAAGCCTGAACCACAAGTGAGGCCAAATCTCCATGGACAGAAGCCACTTGGAGTAGTTGGGTACATTAGGTAGGGGAGAGAGGCTTGTAGTGGAGCATTTACCTTGTGGATGAAGTAAGTTGGGTTCTAGTCTTCTCAGCACAACTTACACCATGCAGAACAAAGAGAGATGACTGGCAGCAAGGTCACCTTTACTAACAAGTCACCCTGTGTCTAAAGGTCAAAAAGGTAAATATCCATGGGCACGAGACAGACACTTCAGTGAGTCAAGTTGGCTAGGTTAAGACCATGCTGGATTGGAGAGATGTTGTCCCTCCAAAGGGGATGGGGCCACCAAGACCATTCATAGGCCCTGTATTTCTGGGTTGTCAGAATTTCCAAGAAGTCAGAAATGCAGACATTTTCTGAAGAATCTCTAGTTCTGAATGTTGGCAGCACATCTGAATTCCTTTCAAAATATTCTGGAGCCCACACCAAGCATGTCTACAGGCTGAATTGGCCTTGGGAGCCATCTGTTGGCAACCTCTCGCCTGAGAGTGGTGGCCTCCAGGGCACTGTGAACTTGGTCACAGATATCAGTAGCAACCCCTTTCTTAACAAATATTTTGAAACATCTTCCTTCCCATCATAAGCTAAAATTTAAAGATAACATAACCTACCTATATACCTAATTCAAAAATTTAAATATAATGTTCTAGCTATAATATAAAGGAGAAGTAAAGATCGGTACTTTATACTAAAAATATATGTATTTCAACATGTAAATGCTGGGACACAACCACCCAGGAAAACACAGTGAGGTTGTCAGATGCTTGCCCCATAGAGCAAACTGCTGAGGATGTGACAGCAACAAATGCAGTGATACAGATATATTGGTTAGCAACTCAAATATAATCATGAACAAATGTCTCACTTACAAACATCGACGTCCAGTAGGATGTTTATAAGACATGCAGGATGCAGGACAGTTCCCTGTAGCCTAGGACTGTCCCACAGGACTGTCTTCACATTGCAGGCTGCTCCTGGCTGCTGATCACTGTGACAACCAGAAAGTGTTCCTGCAAAATTCCAAAGGTCCCTTAGAGGGTGGTGCCACCTCTGTTAAGAATCACGGACATAGACTGACCAAACAAGGTGACCAATACACTTGAGTTGGTATCAGATGATACTCTGTTATCATTGGGTTGGTATCAGATGATACTCTAAGTCATCATTCTTCAGTCTGAAATGATTGCTAATTCTGATTATTCTTTGCTAGAGTTTGTTAAGGAAATGCGGGCAAAAAGGCAAGTCCTACAGAGATGCAAAGCCTCATTCATGACCCTGAACAAAGTTTTCCATCATTTTGCTGACTCAAATTCTACTTCGAGGAAAGCCACAAAGATAGTACTGTGTCCATTTTTTTTCAAGCTGTTTTTGTTTCAGCACTTTCTGTTTTTACTGTACAAGAAAATATAAAGCGATATTGCTACCATATCACATGTGATAAATCAATTTTCTCATCTTGGCTCATGGTCTCTTCAGGGAAAGGCCCAAGTATTATATTATACTTTTTATGCCATTACCGGTACTTAACATGGGGCTAAGGACAGTGAGGGTTCTTAATTAACACGTGACAGTCACATACTGGTGGAAATTTTCTGTCCATATCTATCCATCCATCTACACGCACACAAACACACACACACACACACACACACACACACACACAGAGAGAGAAACCTGAAGCTTAGGGCTTCTATTTCCTGTCTCCCCACTCCCACCCCCAAGATTGGATTGCACATTCCCTGGGGTTTATATGGGCACTGCTGGCCTGAGGGCCTTCTCCTGTGAGCTGATCACCCTCACTATCACACCAGCCCTGAGTCTATGGCTGAACCCTTCTCTACCCTTTGCATCGACCCTGGTAGGGAATTCAGCACTGTTCTTGATTTCCGCAAAGCTTAAACAAAAAAACAAAACCAAAAAGCATGCACACAGAGAATTTGTATCTATTGCAGAATTTACTGAAGATCTGTAGCGATAATGGATGTTTACAGCTCAGAGTTGCAAATTACACAGCTGAACGTGAGATCCCCATTGCTTGAAGGTTTTTTGGCCACCCTGTCATGATGCTTTACTCTCCTCTCTCCTTCCAGTCTCCCCCCATCTCTAGTGACCCCCAGAATCCTTTCATTTTGTTTTGCAGAATAACTCCACTGTCTGTAGCCCCTGCCCCATGCCAGACCCTGTCAGACCCCAAATCTCTGCACATACTGTAAAATCTGCTCCAGGCCTCTCTCTTCCTGCCTCCCCATCAGGCTCAGCTAGGGGAATTAAGCCACCCCCCCCACACACAAAAGACAGAAGAAGCCAAAGCCAGCATTGGCTTTAAATAATCATTTTTCCCTGCTATTTTAGAGGGCATTTGTCACTAAGGCACCATGTCTTGATCTCAGAAGATGAGAGAGTTTTCAGGTTTTTACTCTATTGTGAGATACTTACGTGGTATGGTAGGTTCTCAAGACATAACAAATCATCATCCAACTACTTGCTCTAGATAATAATTCCACGCTTGATTTGTGAACAGAATTTGTCAACCCGACCCTGTTGCCCCAGGAAGGAGGTGGCTGTCTGTGAGCCAGGCACTGATACTCTGCACCTCAGGCTCACCTTCATTAAAGGGTGAGGAGGAACTAAATGAGCCCGGTAAACTTGGAGATGCATCACGTGGTACAGTGGACAAAAAGGCTGAGAGGCACTAAGTACATTCTGATAAATACCAGCAAAACTAAAATCATGTTTTTCAGGACATAGTAAATTAAAGGTGTTTTTATGGCTCTATATTTATATTTTCAACATTCATGTTATTTCGTAAAATGGACTTAAGTCTACCAAACTAACAATACAAGCTAGGATAAAATACAGCAAACACAAATATTAACATTTTCAGTAAAGTCACCAACTGAAATATTTTTTCACCAAATTTAGGCCCAGTGCCATAAATTGATTCAGTCAGTATTAACCTTATATATTTTTCTCATATTATTGAACCAGAAATGTATGAAACAACAAAATATGCTTTGAGCTAAGCCTAAAACAAGCTAATAGTTTATTTAGTTCAACTCATGGATTTCCACGTTAAGAACAAACAAAAACAAGCAACATTGAAATATTTTTCTTCTCTAGAGGAAAGTAAAGTAAATATTCATGTTTTTTCTTCACTTAAATTCTGCTATTCAGTGATTAAAGTGCCAAAAGAGAGAATAATTTCCCCTGGTCCACAAAAGGTTGATTAATCATAACTCAAGTTTTATTTTCTCCCTACCCTTCTAAAAAAGGAAGAAAAGTGACAACTTTTTAAGTAACTCAAATGTAAGACCTATAGATATGCAAAATTAAAAATTTGAGGCAAAACCCCAAAGTAAACAGACACAATTTAAAGATCTACACAGAATATAGCAAGAAATCTCTTCCAGCCTTGTGTTCCTTCTTAGTAGTACAAGAGATACTTTATATTTTCTTGGCTGTGTTTAAGCCATCCAAGCACTACTGCTACAATGTTTTTGTCACTTCATAACCTTTATTTCACAGTTTCAACTTTTAAAAGAACTTTATTCATCACCCCCCTCAAAAATTTGTAGGCACATTTTAAGCATGCTGCCACCAAGTGGCAGTCCTGCTACAGTCACCTGATCTAAATAATAAACACTTTGGCTTTGCCTGTCATTCAAAAGTAGATCTCTACTAACACCTTTCTCTTTAGAGACTTATTAGGCCTCTTTACTAACTCATTTTCTCTACCATGGACACATCAAAAATAGCTACACTTGCAGTTACCTAATAATACATTTCCTTGTCCTCTAAGATAAATTCCTTCAGAATGAAAATTCTAAGTAGAAAGAAAATTGTCTTCCATATGTGAGACACGAATAGCCATGTTTAAATGAATCATCACAAAGATTATATTTTATATCAACTTTTAAAGAAATGAACATCTAAAGTACAACTAAGTACCTTCTCCACAAATTCTTAGCTTTTTTTAAATTGCCTTGTCTGAATTGCTAAGCTTGGCACCAAAATCCCTTCTCAGCAATTTGTTGAAAACTTCTGAGTTTCTTTGAATTGAAATAGCCCTGTGGGTCTTGCTAACACCCATATATTCTCTTTCTGTACCACTAACAGATATTCTATGCACCTCATCCAGGCTAATGGAATGAATTCAGTGCTCAAAGCCTCTTCTTTTTTTTTTCATGTGGCAATAGAGAGTATGCAAGCTTGCTTTTTTTGTTTCTCTACAACTACAAGTAGCTAAGTTTTCACTTTATTCATTTTTGTCCTAACTTTCCTAATCCCCATTCAGCCATATCCAATAAGGGCATCTGGCAGAACTTGCTAAAACTAATTTCTATAGAGGACTTAATTAGTTACATAAAGCTCTCATCTACCTTAGCAAAATACGGTTAGATCTCTCAGCCTTGTGAACTGTCTTAGTGATATTTTTTTAAAACAAAAACCTCAAAAACTGTTTTCTGGAGGCATTTATATCCCTTAACCATAGCAGATATCTTCTACAAAAAAAAAATTATATCATTTTTTTGAGCAGAGACTTAAATTGTGTCATGATAGAGGAGTTTTCCATATTGCTTTGGGATATATTTTACAATCCATTCAAACTCAAAACAACTATATGCTCAGCCGCTAGAAGAAAATGAAAATGGGATGACTTAAATATTAATAAATTACAGAGGTAATCCTCATCTAATATAAAATGTCTAAACCTTTTTATTCCTCTTCTACATTCTCTTTCTCCACCACCTCGCCCTTCCTCCTCTACCTCCCTTTCCCCAGTCTCTCATCAACTTCTTCTTTCTGTTTAATCTTTTCTCAAAGCCCAGTCTTGCCTGCAATTCTTTGAACTGGGCTCAATATCCAGCCACATTTAAGTCATACTCCCAGTTGACAGCAGCTCACATATTCAGCACCTCTAAAACCCCTGCCTCTTTCCCACAATTCCAGCCAGTCCCATTGACAGTCCTGCCCCCATAAGAGAAAAACCCAACTGAGACACAAATTTGTCTTTTTATTGCAGAGAAATAAAGGTTTGATTCACCCACCAATAAAATCCTTACATTTTGTTCCCTCTCCTTCATTGCCATTTCCACAGATCTAGAAGCCAAGAAGGCTGTTTCTGATACAAACTCAACCTCTCTGGAGTATTTTTGCCTGTGAAGTTAGACAATTAGACTAATTGAACTGGAAGAAACCTTCCAGCTTAAAATTAATAGACACATCCTTAACAAAATGAATTCCAACAATGTCTGATTAAGAATAATAATATATAACAGAATATCATTTTTGGACTGCCTCTATGTACCAGGCACTACATAGTCTATATAATCTCAAAAGCCATTAGCTTCTATTGTGTGATCACTACATCAAAGCACTTTTTATTCATTATCTCACTTGGCCCTTCAACAGCATTGTGAGGCATGTACTATCATTATCCCCTTTTTTGCAAATGAGGGAACCAAGGCACAGAGAGATTTTAAAACTTGCTGAAGGTCACACAGCTAGTAAGTAATAGAGACAGAATATGAGCCCAGTCGGTCTGACTCCAGTATGCAAAGTCTTAATCACCGCACTCTACTCAGAACAAAACTGTGAAGATGGTATTACTACCACCATCTTGTAAGTGAATAAACATTCACACCCTGAATTACCTCCCAGGAACTATCATCAAGTCATTAACTGAGACCATGCATAAGTTCTCACCATGGTTGGAGAGTGTCGTGTTCTTGTATGAATTTATAGCTAAATGGAAATGTTAGCTAAAAAAATGGAGTTGCCTTAACCAAATATTGTATCAACAGAATGTTTCACACAAATTAAGACCTTATAATGGAAATGGTATAAAAAATGTGTCGGTGATGACATTCAGTGTAAAATGGTCATTAGAATATTACTATATTTCTTACTTCTAGAAATTCTTTTTACCAATCTGCTTACTCTTTAGTAATATTTTATTTCATCTTATAAAAGATATTATTCTGTATTCTGTGGTGGATCTTTCCAAAATCTGAAGGTTTTTTAAAGGTCTTGTTGTGCTATCTGTTGTTTCTGCTGGCTCTTGCTAATGTCTTCTTTGTAAACTTTACTTAATGATTTTTGACTGTAAACAGCTAATTACTCTCAGAATTTTACCTGTGAAAAAATTTTGAGCCCTAGAATTAAGATGAAATTTTCAAATAATGATTTATATTTGTTCTCTCAGTGAATGGAAACATTACCACTACTGGAAATTTTTTTTTTTAATTTCATCAGCTTGAGAGTTTTTAGGCCACTGAGGTGATATCAATTTGATCTGTAAAGCTTCATGAGAAATGGCTTATGGTTATCGATTTTCAAAGAAATTTTTTCCCTTATTAGTTCAGTGCCAAGGTTTGTGACAGTTTGTTTTGAGGTCCCCTGAGTGAACTGAGAGGTTGTTTTATTTTTAATGTATCCTGGCACTGAGAGTATAGTCTCACGGAGCCCCAGCTTTCCAGAGGGTCTTCTATTAGATTCCTACTTCTAGTTGGTCGTGAGCTTTGTCTTCCAAATCTTATTAAGCCCCACGAGGCCTCAAAAACTACACTCAGTTTTACCCAGAAAAGTGACCTCATGTCAGTAACTGGACTTTACTACCTCTCTGGGCTCCTATTTTCACCCAATTTTTGGTCTGAGTATTCCTTACTTTCTTGCAAGCTCATGGAAAAATTATAGAAATATTTCTTAAAATTTTATTCTGCATATTTTGTTGTTTTCAGTGGAGGATCAGTTCAGGCATCTTGTCTACCATTTTACCATCTGGAAAAGTTATTTTATGTGATTGAAACACAATTTGCGTATATACATATGATGGATTCAAATTAGTGATACGATTAAGTTCATAGCTTGTTATTAAGATTGAATGAGATTAGCTATATGAAAAGCGGTCTTAACATTGGGTGCTACAAAAATTAGCCACGCATTTACTCCTTCTTCTACTCATTCACAAATGTTTATTAAATGCCTACCATGTGCTCAACACCATCCTAGGTGCAAAGTATACGGCAACGATAGAGAAAAGAAGAGAGGGAAGGATAGGGTGAAGAAAAAGACAGATAGAAAGTAATAGTGTATTTTACTCTTTTAAAGTTTCTGAGGCCCCGCCTGCACAGGGGAAACTAGAGCTATGCATTCTGATTAAACCCCATTGATTTCCCTTGGCCAAACAGGACTTGGGTAGACAGACTGAGAGCATCTTTGAGGTACAGGATGTTTTATGAATTAGCAAGTCTAAATCCACAGTCAAAGGAACCTCCATGGTAGGGCTGAGGGTGCAGGTGCAGGGTGGGAGATTGTTGCTTTTCATCATAATTCTGAACTCTCTGATTTCTTGCTATGTGTAGATAGTGATTTATGACCATTGGCTAATAAAATCTAATGAGTATGATGCACATTTATAAGCAGGAAAGGCCTGGAGCCTGTGTTGGTCACCATCTCCTGAAGATTTCCTAGAACTGGGCATAAACCCTGAAAGCTCCCCATAGATATTTGTGAATGAGTCAGTGGATGAGCAACTTGAGGAATGAATGAAATCAAGTCATGTACAGAATGGCAACATAGGTAATGGTGAAGCCTGAAAATCACATAGTCCACAGGTTGCCTACATGGGAATTACAGAAACACTGTTCCTGTAATAGCAAATATACCTGCGCCAGAGTAGAGACTTGGTGAACTGAGCTTGGGCTGAATTTCAGTTCCCACTAGCCCTCTAAGCTGAACCTCTTTAGGCAGTGAAAAACCTGCTCAACTGTACAAGGCAGCTCTGAGTTAAGAGTGAAGGTTTGAAACCAGATGCATGGGTTCAAATCCTATCTTCTCTTCTTACTAATACTGTGACCTTGGACAAGTAATTAAACATCCAGTTTCCTTGTGAGCAAAGTGAAAATAAAATACTTCTCCACTAGACTTGTTATGAAATTCCAATGAGTGAATGCATATAATATGGCACTGAGAACATTGTTTTTAGCTAATACTTGGTCAATCAAGATTTGCTATCTTTCATATTTCTACCTCATTAACTTTGGGTACATTTGCAAAATATATTTCAGTTTGTGCAATGACTTAGCTGTAGTATATGCATGGGTTTTGTCTTCCAGTGGATAGAGCATCGAATGTGGGGTCTGAAAACCCCTTTCCCAGTGACACGTCTTTCACACATAAAGTCAAAGCTAAGTGACTTGGAGCAGCTCACTCCGCCTCCTTAAGTATCAAGTTTCTTCAGCTCTTAAACTGAAATCATAATGCCTCATAGTCTTGCTCTGCAGTTTAAATGAGATAGTGCATAAAAAAGTGTTTTATTTTCATTTTAAAGCCCTATACAATCTGAAGATATTGGAGGTAATTGAAGAGCATAAAGCATAAATCCATTCCTACTCTTCTCCAGTAGCCATAAATGTGGAAGGCATTCAGTACATATGTCTGAATAAATAAATAAATAAATAAATAAATTTGTCAGTGAATGAGAGTTTAACAGTGTTTTTTCAAAAGGGGATCACCTGCATCAATATTATCTGGAGAACATGTTAAAAAATACCCTTGCGGGAGAGCTAGACCAGAGGTTCTCAATCTTCACTGCACACTGCACTCACTAAGGAGCTTTTAAAAATGGCATGTATCCCAACCCCAGAGACTGGAATGAAATTTGTCTGGGGTGTGGTTAATGCTTTAGGATTTTTAAAGCTCCCTTGGCTGATTCAAATGTGCAGCCAAGGTTGAGAATTGCGGCTCTAGTTTATTGAGCCTGATTGGTAAGGCAGACACTAATATTTGGCAACTCAGAAGTCATTTCGCATTTCTTCTTCCTTACCACTTCCCTCCATGAAGCCTGGAAAGAGAAAGAACTCATTTCCTCAACCTTCACTGAAGGCAGGGTGACTGTGTGCCCAGGTCTGGACTGAGGGTTGGGACCCTCAATGTGGGAGGTGGAGGCTCCTTCCTGCTTTTACTCTTCTGATCATAGTGCCAATGTGTCTCCTCTCCCTTTACCCACTCCTGCCTTGAACACCACCGTATGGCTGGACCTGCCGCAGACCGTAAGAGAAAGGCCAACCAAGTGGACCTCAGAGATATAATCCTTCACACTGTAGAACCTCTGAATCAACTTCAGCAGTCACTCACTTCTGACCTTCTTGTTGAGTGAGAAAATCAAACTTCTAATTTGTTTAAGCCACTGAAATCCAGCTTTCTGCTGCATGCAACTGAACACAATCCTAACTGACAGAAGAAGATCCTGTCTATTTTCTTTTGCCGCCATCTTCAGAAATGACACCAATATATTAAATACTTTCATGTAAACGTGACTACAAGTTTATTTACAAAGTGAGGAGTTTGCCTGAGAAGGAATTTGAAGAGTAGCTTAGTTGAAGGTGTGGACTCCTGTAATTAAAAACACTCAGAAATTGTCTCAACTGTAGAAATACCCATGACGGAAGAGGGACTTTCATCAAATGATTTCCTGGAAATTTTTCTCTCTTGATTATTCCTTTACAGAACTGCACAACATTTGGATTAAGGACAAGTACTAGAGAAAAAGTATACTCTCCATTCCCAAGCCACCATCCCTTCCCAAACTTGGGTGGCTACTCAAGGAGCAAAAAATTAGGTATCCCTGGCGGCTCTTTCTGGACTGCCTGAAAGAGCTAGCTAGCCCAGTGGCTCCCCATGTTCCCAACAGTTTCGTCGTGCCACTAAGTCTCCAGGTGCTATTCACACAGGTGTGTCACTCCTCTAAGCAGCTGATATTAACTCCAAGATGCCCCTAGCAGGGCACCTTCAACCATTCTCAGACTCTTGGTTAGGGTCTCTCTACTCCCAAAATCCCTATAAAAAGGGAAAGAAACAAGAGATCAGAGTTCCTCTCCTGGAGCATGACCCATAGAGTGTCCAACTGTGCTCAGTTCCCTGTAGGGCTCTACACAGGATGGGAAAGGAAAGCAACTGTGCTTATTCCATTGTTGACCCTCTGCCTATGAGTTCCATCCTGTGTCTTAGGACATCTGCAGTTCTTTTGTGGGCTCTTCACTCCACACTAAAGCAGATATCTTCGCACACTGATATGAGGTATCCAAGCCTCTTTCTCCTGCTTCCCGTCCCTTCAGTTGGAGTCTCTATCAGACTAGTCACTCAAACTCTACCGCATAATAATAAATTATCTTGACGTTCCCTTGCTCAAAGTTTAAAGGCACTCTTGTATCTACAAAATTCAAAATTTATGAATTGTCATGGAAGACTTCTCATATTGTAAGCCCTCATAATCCTCCCATGATGATCCCTACCACTCTTGAGTGAAGTCTTCATACCATATTGCTTTACGTCCTGCTTCTCAGACACAATCTGAAAATCTTAATAAGATTCCTGCAGTCAAGATAAAGGGCAGTACTTGGCAAAATTGCTTAACTACCGGAATTACCTGGGCAGTTGTTTAAAATATAATTTCCCAGAATCTGCTTTGAGAAAACTTGATCCTATTGCTCTGGGATAGAGCTGGGGATTTGCCTTTTTGAAAATATAAAATGTCAATTTTAGTGACTCAACAAATTTGAGAAATAATAATGAATAATAAAGAGGAAGAAATGTATTTCTTCTATCTTGATTCTGTTTGAAGCCTACCCCTACCTGTCCTTCAAAGTCCAACTCAAACCTCTTGTCTCCAAGGCCTTCAGACAGTTGGATCCATGGGCTTTCACTGACCTTCACAGAGCACCAGGCAGTCTGTCCTATGATCCATGTTGCTATTTAACCTTTCACGTGACTGTGCACCTTATGTCATTCACCCATGGGCCTTAAATAGAGGTGTGCATCAGAATTACTTGAGAAGTGCTTTCAGAGTAAAGATGTCAGGGAGTCTTTGCTTCTGTTGATTTTATCCAAGGCAGCTATAGTCTGAAAAAAGCTCTTCAGGTGCTGTGTTTTGGATGTGGTTTGTTTGTCCTCACCAAATCTCATGTCAAAATTTGATCCCCAGAGTGGTGATGTTGAGATGGTGGGATCTAGTGGGGGCCTTTGGGTCATGGGCATGGATCCCTCTTGAATGGGTTTGGGGGGCTTTCTCACAATAGTGAGTAAGTTCTCATTCTTGTGAGACTGGATTGGTTCTCAGCAAAATAAATTAGTTCCCACAAGAGTGGGTTGTTATAAAGCCAGAACACCCCACGGCTTTTAGTTTCTCTTTCTGAGTACCTGTTCCCCTTTGACTTTCTCCACCTTATTTTCACATAGCACAGAAGCCCTCACCAGAAGCTGAACAGATGCCAGTGTCATGCTTCTTGTATAGCCTGCAGAACCATGAACTAAATAAACCTCTTTTCTTTATGAATTACCCAGCTGCAGGTATTCTTTTACAGCAACACAAACTAAGACATCTGGTGATTCTAATGAGTGTCCATTGCCTTTTTAATCCCACCTCACACCATACTTGTTTGGGAATTCCTGTACTCATCATACTATGAGGTCCTTGAGGATAAGAACAGTATCTGACACTTGTTTCTAGTATGCACATGGCTTTACATCACCTTGAGTTTTGTGAAATGAGTGTTCTATCAAGATGTGTGGATTGTTTGATTAATTGATTGATTGACTGCAAAGGGTAAGAAATGGCCTCTGCAGTATTCAATAATTAATATTCATTCTGCTTCTATTCCTAGCCCCTATACTCATAGTATGCCTGTTAGCTACAAATTCTAAAATGTCTCACGAATCCACATGTGAGAATGTAACCACTGATACTCAAAATCAATAAGAGGTGCCATACACATTAGCATAATGGATGACCTCTTGCTTTTCCTAGAGCAGAAAATCAAGGGCACCCTCACCCATCCTAATGTCATATACACTGGAAACCCTGGGGCCAATCCAGGGGCACTGCCAGTATGAACATCCAACCTCCATGGAGGTTTTCAGCTACCTCAAAGGCTGCTCTGATGTTCTTTAAAAATCTTTCCAACAAGGCTGAATTGAAATTGCTTTGACTCTTACATTGAAACAGGTGCCATCCAGCAGGAAACAAAACCAGCAAACAATAGCATGTCACTGAGGTCAATCCTAGCAATTAGGTAAAATAATATGGCAGCCCAGATGGTATACTCTATAATCCTGAAATTGTATAAAGGTTTTTGCATGCTGAAAAATCCCTTTACTCTTGAATTGCCAAGGAATCTGTTGTAGCAGTTCCTTAAAATGTAGTGTGTTGCTAATTAATGGCAACCAGGCATTCACAGTGCATAGTGATTGATTTGTCATATTGGTTTTAGTTACTCAGTAGGACTTTGAGGACAAAAAAGTAAGACAGATAAGTTTTGATTAACTGGGAGACACCGGCAAGGGCAATAGGGCTAATGATGCCAGGGAAGGTTCTGGTTGGCTAGGACATGAAAATGCTGAAAACCAGAAAGGGCTAAGAGAGGGAAAGGGAAAGTGCCAAAAAGAAGTGATTTAAGAGCTGAAGGGGACATACACTGACTCTAGGTATCATCGTTCTAAAAAGCACTGGGAACACGGATGTACCATGTTTGGGATTATGAAAGTAATGTTTAGGAAGTTTTATAAATATAATTTCCAGGATCTAAAAGAGACCATCCAATGTAAAGCTCCAGAAAGTCACACACACAGACCATCCACTACAGATGGGGCTCACCCAGTGGACATGTCTGCTTCACTCCAAACATCAGCCAGCATTCACTCGTCCGGACCACTGAGACACTCTTAGTGTAATGGGTTCTCTCATAATTAAACTGTTCATTAGTGGACCCATACCAACAGCTCCACTTCTCGTGGGCTGAACTCTCATCGCTGGGGCTGTTTATGCAGGGACAAACTATTTCTTCAGTGTGGAATTTTAAAAACAAGAAATTCTTGAAAGCCCAATGAAATTAAGAAAGCGGGAAAAAGAGAAAGAGAAGAGACAAAACCAGAAACTGGGCAAAAGGAAAGGAAAGACAGTAGGAAGGGAGAGGGAAGAGAGGAAGGAAGGGAGGAGAGAAGGAAGGAAAGGAGGAGGGAAGGAAGGAAGGGTGGAGGGAGGGAGGGAAGGAAGGAAGCAAGGAAGGAGAAGGAGAAGGGGAAGGGGAAGGAGAAGGGAGGGAAGGAAGGAAGGAGGGAAGGAAGGAAGGGGAAGGGAGGGAGGGAAGAAAGGAAGGAAGGAAGGAAGGAGAAGGGGAAGGGAAGTAGAAAGGAAGGGAAGGAAGGGAAGGAAGGGAAGGAGAGAAGGAAGGAAAGGAGGAGGGAAGGAAGGGAGGAGGCAGGAAGGAAGGAAAGGAGGAGAGGAAGGAAGAGAGGAGGGAAGAAAGGAGAGGAGGAAGGGGAGAAACAAAAGGAAAAAAGAATTCCAATACTTTGGTCATAGTGTTCATATGATCTTGGAAGTCTCCATGGGGGAGGTGTGGCCTGAGTTGAGCAGAAATTGACAGCAAGAACCAAGAAGCAGAACGACACTGAGGGACACAGTCCTTCTCATGGCCACTCTAAGGCCCTAGGCTTGAATGGCTTCCTCAAATCCAAATCATGTCTCTCCCAGTGTTTATTGGTTTCTTGAGCTGCTGCCAGAGCACTACCTCTGTCTGCAAGGTCTTTAGAGTGGATGTGGTTCAGTCTGCCTGGGGTGCTGAAAATTAACACAATTCTAACAGTAGTCCATGTTTTAACATAAACCAGAATTATCTGTGAATTCTGACTTCCCTGTCAAAGCAGGATCCTGTGTAAAATACTAAATATATGTGGCTATGTCAGATCCCTTCCAAAGAAAGCCAGAGTAAGTGAAGAATTCTGCAAATGTAGAAACATGGAACCTCTAAGGGTCCTTTCTGTGGGGAAAATCTCCTGGGGGATGAGGAAGAACTGAGTCTTTAAAATTACCTTTATTTATGTACATACAAGGAGTTCTAACTGGACTAATCTTTAATTGTATGAATTTCTACAACTCTTGTCCTTAAAACTGTTCCTTCACATTCTACTAGTCATGATCGAGCATATATATTCTAAAGTATGAGGCCTAGAAATTAACAGAAAAATTGAGAAAACGAATTGTGATGCTCATTTTATCTAGAAGCCATCATCCACATGGACACACAATGACGCAGTCCCATGAACAGGCTTTAGGGTCATTAGAGGGTGTCAAAGTCCAGGCTCTATAATCCACCAGCTGTGTGACAAAGGGAGAGTTCTATAAGATCGCTAAACCTCAGTCCCTCTTCTGTGTGGTAAGAACTACCTTCTAGGGCTGTTCTAGGGATTCAATCATCTAAATGATACTTACTATGATTGCGTGATAGTTAGGTGCAGTGTTTCAACTTGACTGGGCTAAGGGATGCCTAGATAGCTGGTAAAATATTATTTCTAAATATATCTGTGAGGGTGATTGGAAGAAATCAACATTTTAATCAGCAGACAGAGTAAAGAAGATTCCTTTCACCAATATAGGTGGGCATCATCCAATCTAGTGAGGACGTGACTAAACAGGACCTGACTAGTCAGGAGGAAGGGTGAATTTGCTTTCCCTGCTTGAGCTGGGATACCCATCTCCTCCTGCCCTCAGAAATCGGCATTCCTGGTTCTCAGGTTTTTGGGATTCAGCTAAGACTGAATGACACTACCAACTTTCCTGGTTTTCCAGCTTGCAGACAGCAGATTGTGAGGTTTCTTAGCCTCCATAACTGCATGAGCCAATTCTTATAATAGATCTCTTCTAATATGTATCTCTCTATATCCCATTGATTCTGTTTCTCTGAAGAACACTGACTAATACAGATGGTGACCATGGGGTCTTGCCAGGTGCTGGAAGCCCCTGTGATACACTGAGCCATGAGTCAGACAGCCTAGTTTATGCCCAGCCATGTGGCCTTCATTTTGTCTAGTTCCCCATCTGTGAAATAAAAGTCTTTGACTAGCTGATGCTGTGCTAGCTAACTAGAAACACATTGATTCTTTTGAAAAATAGTTTGTTTTTTTCTTTTTAAGACATTGGGGAAAATAGTGGTAGCTATAGAGAGGTCATGTGAGAGAAGTGACACATCTTGGAAGCTCAAATAAAGATGATCTTCATGGCCTTCCTCAAGGCAAAATTAGACATGAGTTAGATACTCCTAAACTTTGCTCCCCGAAATAAGCATTTCCAAAATGTTACCCCATGTCCACCTTCTTCTGCTGGGGCCTTGATAAATTTTTCTCTCCTACATCCCTGCCTCCCCCAGGTTAGCAGCTGCTAAAAATTTTATACACCTCACTTGACCCCTCCATTCCCTCATCCCCATCTCTCAACCCCATCTCAATGAGCCAGGAGCTTCTGCAGAACTGGTTTAGTGAAATTATTGGGTGGGGAAGTTCATTCCGTCAACACCAAATAGTTAACAGAAACTACTCAAGTCTAGCATTAGGTGGGAGGCAAAAAGCTCATAATAAAAGAACGTGATTTGGACCGAATTTCAAGACAGACACAAGCATCATATTTCTCAATGATGAGAAAGGGATGAAGTCAAAATCCCACTGGGTGGGGCAATGTGAGGAGGGAGGAACAGAGCTACTTAGTTCCAAGGCTAAGAGCTCTCAAAAAGCTGATATAAGTGTGTCCTCCTTGAAAGTAAACTCTTTAAACTTGAAGTGTAGATGTTTACCAAGCAAAGATCAGAGCCTGAAGTTAAGGTCTCTCTACAGAAAATTCACAAGGGGGAAATAAGTCAGAGTGACAATTTTTAGAGAGTTCAAAAAAACTGTAATGAAAGTGTCTCTTGATATGTATTCTTGCTGTGTTGTAATCTTCCCAGCCATACTCAAAATGACAAATCAAGGACTTTTAACTTGTAACAGAGTTGCAAGTTAATCAGTCCAAAACTCTGCCTCCTTGTAGGCAAAGTTTCCTCCCTTGTTTCCCCCATGAAAAGTTTAGACCCTGAAACATTAAGCTAAAGATGTATGGTCACACCTATAGTTAGCAGTAAACAGCAGAGGGAAGTGAAGTGTATTAGGGTTGATGTCTCATAAGGGCACTTAAGTCCTGATGAGCTCTTGGAATAATTTTTATAATCATCTGAAAGAATTAGTGTCAGTTTAGATCTTCCAGGGACTAGCCTAGATCAGTGCTTCTCAAACTTGAGCATGCATCAGGATCAACTAAAGAATCTGTGAAAACACAGATGGCTGGGCCTCATCCCCAGAGATTCTGACTCAGTAGTTCTGGGTGGGCCTGAGAATGCATTCCTAACAAGTCCTGTGGTGATGCTGACACTACAGGTCTGGGATTGGCCTAGATAATTTGGCTGGGGGTCTGATTCCCTAGAACATTTCTTGGAGCCTGATTTTTATGACTAGTAGGCAGCCTCTGTCCAATTTACTCCACTCAACTTCCCACACAGGTCGAGAAAAGTGATTTCAATCTTTGACACAGAATGATGTCCATGGCATGATGGGGTAAGCAATTCAAACACATGAGCAAAAGCTAGAAAATGATGCATGTGTGCATCTACTTTCAGAACTCCAAAAACTCTACAGATAGGCTTTGCCTCAACTCTGGGTTGAACTCAAGATATGAGGCCTAGAGTAAGTACTATTTATATCTTGGAAATAATACATGGGTTCTGTAAATGCCTGCCTTTTTTCTTCCTTCCTTCCCTCCTTCCTTCCTTCATTTCTTCTTTCCTTTCCTCTTTCCTTCCTTCCTTTTCTCCTTTCTTTCTTCTTTCCTTCCTTCTTTCCTTCCTTCCTTTCCTTCTTCCTTCCTTCATCCTTCTTTCTCTCATCCTTGTTTCCTTTCTTCTTCCCTTCTAAAAATTACTGAGTCAAAAATAAATTTTAAAAAGTAAGTTAAGCTGACAAAGCACAAGTTGGAACTCATCTCAAAGCTATTTATCCTAAAGGCCACCATTCTGGTTTTCCTGAGCTTTTTCCTAATGGGAAGAAATGACAGTCCATCCTGGAGACCTTCATGGCATCCTTTACAAGTGGGAAATTCCCATGGCTCAGTCTCCATCCTACTTCAAGTAGGACTTTAGGGTCTGGCCAGCACAAAGACAAGGACAGCCATGAAAGTCAGAGGTGGGGGAAGTCATCCATCTCACTGTCAATGGCACACATCACTCTGATGTTTCAAGCCCTATATACACACATCATTTTGCTTGATTTATGGCCCTAATTAGATCCCAGTGGCAGTATTCCATCAGCTAACAATGCATATCCTAATCACCTTTTCGTCATACAAATGATTTCCTTAACTTTGCATGCATAACTTAACAGCTTTTATTTTAAAAACTCATGTTAACAGCTTTCCTGTGGTAACCAGTAGGGGTGCTATGATAAGAATCTAATTTGCTGTAAAAATGACTCATTTGTCAAATAAGCATTAAAATAATTGTTCCCCTTTTGACTGTTACCCTGCTGTTTCCAGTCATTTTCCAAAACTAAATTATTTACTCATTTGAAAGTTCAGCTGTGCGTATTTTAATTGATATTCCCTCATAGGACTCATATTGTTAATGACAATAATTAACCCGAAAAGGCTGCTAAATAATTATGCTGGAAAGATATGAAGTATTTGCACAGAAAGTAAAATCAGTGTTTGAAAAACTATCAAAATGTAAAACTTTCATATTTTATGGCAAAGCATAGTAATAGTTCATAATCAAAGAGAGAAAGGGAAAATGTAGATTGTATGATTTGATGCAGAGTACTTTATGTTTTCAATATAGAAAAGTAGTATAGCTAACAAGATTACTCTGCCATCTCAGTAAGCTCCCAATATTACTATTGTAGCTGGCAATATAAATTGTTCTTCAGCACTTAGCATGGCTTAGAATTGGAGCAAACTAGCTCTTAATAATAATACCTAACACATATTTGCTGCATCTCTGCTAGATAAATCTCCCCTGTGATGGACTTAACAAGCTCCACCCACACCTAACAGAGACACAAACAGTAGACAGACTGTAACCCTTACCCAAGAAATGCAGCTGTCTCTCAATGTGTTGAGAAGTTCTCAACATAAGTGGCAACTCCTTACTCTCTGGGACCCAATAAGAGTAGAATTCAGAAGAACCATTTGTTTCTGTAAGCTTGCCAAATTAAACAAAGAAGGGAGAACAGAGGGTTTAGACTTAATATGCGGTCTTCTCTTGCCAGTCTACCAGGCTTCTAGTCTCTAGAATCCATCAACGCTAGTATGCCAATGGGGATAGTTGGAGACCATTTACCCAAGTAGACAGTTAGGACTGCTACACTCACAGAGGTCTTGACATGGGGTTCAAGACCTGGTTATGCATGTTACATAAATGCTTTTGAACTAAAACAGGAAGCAACTTTATAAAGCACAGAAATGATAGAACTTCACTTAAGGTCTTGATGCATGCCTCTAATATGGCAAGAGCAGGTAATTGAACATCAAGAAATGCCTCTGTCATTGCGTCAACTCCCTTTATTTTTACCTTACTGGTAGCATAATAATGTTGTAATGAAAGTGATAATTGGCATTTTTTAAATTTACATTGTTCTATTTATTTTTCTCACAGGTGCAAAGACTAATGCTAATAGGAAGCAGAAGAGTAACTTATGAATACATGGGCTTGCCCTACTTCCACAAATATCTCCTGCAAGCACTGAATACATGGGATAAATGGATGAGTAAGTATGGTCCTAATTATGCTTGTCATTAAAAAAATGCAACTTGCATAAAGAATAAGATTTGATTTTAATACATATCTAGATTGTTCATTAATTATCTATATTATTTCTTTGTCATCTATTATAGAAACATTAATTTAGTAGCTATTCTATGCTTAATACCAGCAATATAGTGGCCAAGAGGATAGACAGATGCTCTACACTCAAGTTGCTTACGTTCTGGCAGTTAAACCAGTAATTTTTTTCTGGTCAAGATGATACAGAGTGAGAAACTTTGATGCAATCCCTCTCTCCAAATCTTCAGAAATCATCCAAAGACATAACTGAGCTCAGTAGTAGGATAAACATTCTTGGGCCAGAAATGCAAAGTGGTGGGCTTGGCTATAGCAACTGGCCAACAGGGTTCCAGGTCTGGAAGCAAGCATCAGAGCCAGGAACCCAGCTCCATATTAAATGAGAGGTTGAAGCTAGGGACTAGTGTGAGGCTGCCCTGTAGACAAAATGAAACTGAAAGTCGGGGAGGGACACTACCACCACATTGTGCCTAGCATTAGGGATATGGGCCCATGGAGCTAGGCAGAGATATAATCAGCTTCACAAACAAGAAAGGAGCTAAGCCATCCATCCACTGGCTTAGTGCCTGGCTTTGCCACACTCTTAATATTATCTTAAGGAGAAGACTAAAATGCTGTTATTACAAGATCTGATCCTAAATTTAGGGCAGACGGAGGAGGGTAAGGCGGAGGCCACAAACCCACTAGACAAGGAGAGGTGATCACTAAGGGAGAGAAGTGTGTATGTGTGAGTGTGTGTGTGTGTGTGTGTCTCTGTGTCTGTGGTAGGGAGGGGAGGGGAGGGGGAGGAGCCCACTCAAAATGAGTCTCTATAACAAAATTCCAAAATATATTAGATAATCTAGTGCTAAGAAAAGTAGCTAAAAATTAGCAATAGGAGTATGAATTCATGCCAGATAAAATTGATTTTATAGAACAGCATAACAAAGACTTTAAAATAAGCGTATTTAAAGTACTCAATTAAAAACGAAGTAATAGCCTTTATTTAAGAGAAAAAAGGCTAGGCATGGTGGCTCATGACTATAATCCTAGCACTCTGGGAGGCCAAGGCAGGTAGACTGCTTGAGCCCAGGAGTTTGAGACCAGCCTAGGCAACATCTCTACAAAAAATACAAAACTTAGCCGGGCATGGTGGTGTATGCCTGTAGTCCCAGCTGCTTGAGAGGCTGAGGTGGGAGGATCGCCTGAGTCCGGGAGGTTTAGGCTGCAGTAAGCTATAATCATGCCACTGCATTCCAGCCTGGGTGACAGAGCAAGACTCTGTCTCAAAAATGCACACGCACACAAAAATCAGAGACAACAAACTGTGAAACAAGAACAGGCAGAAATAATATAAGATCATGTAAGTCTGCAAAAGAACCAATTAGAAATCTTGGAAATGAAAAATAAAGTCACAGAAATTATAAAAGAAACTTGTAAGGCAAGTTAAAATCTAGACTGGACAAGATCAAGAGTAGAATTCTGGAACTGGAAGATATTATTGAGGAATTCATCCAGAACAAACCCCAGAGAAATCCAGGGAACAATAGGAGAGAATAGCTAAGAAATACAGGTTACAGATTGAGATGCTCTAATGCTGGGATTAGTGAACTATGGCTCACAGGCCAAACTCAGCCCTCTGCCTGTTTTTGTACAGCCTGTGAGCTAAGTGGTTTTTACAGTTTTTAATGGTTGGAAAAAATCAAAAGAATAATATGTTATGACACATGAAAATTATATGAAAATTCAATTTTGGTATTCATAAATAAAACTTTAGTCTCATAATGAATACCATAAATAAAATGACCACATTGGTCTGCTTTAAACAACCACGTTGGTCTGTTTACATATTGTTTATCACTACTTTGTTTTTTTTGGGGTGGGTTTAAGGAGCAGAGAGGGAGAGTTTAATAGGCAAGAAAGAAGGGAGAAGAAAGAAAGAAGAAGCTCCCCTGTACAGAGACGGGGGCGGGGGCGGGGTGGGGGGTGCAGTTCAAAGCCGAGAGAGTAGATCTATCACTACTTTTAAACTACAATGGTAGGGTTGAATAGTTGCTACAAGAACTAAATGGGCGACACAGCCTATTTATCCAGCCCTTTACAGAAATGTTTTTAGATCTCTGCCCTAATATCCCAGTTTCAAAAAGGAGGAAGGAAATGGCATAGAAGCTAAATATGAAGAGACAATCACTGAGAATTTTCCAGAATTAAAGACTTGGTGAGAGAGATTTAATACTCTGCCACTCCTTAACTGTTCCTTATTTTAAGAATATTGATGGGACATTTGTTGGACCATCACTGAGTTTTATAATCTAAGGTTCCTGGCCAATTGTACTATATCACTGAACTGACCCATTAATTAGACAACTCATCAATCCAGTCAACCATCTGTTGTTGGTCCACTGAAATGTTAGTTTAATTCTGCTCAGTGGCATCCAGAAACTCAAACCTTATAAATCTCAAAAAGTCTCCAGGCTTCTATTCATCCATCTCATTAAATTTCTGCCCTCTCTTGAGACATTGCCCCATAAGATACCTTGCTCAGTCAATTCCTTCCGCCAGGTATGTCCTTTCCATGGTTCTTTATGCTGCTATCTTCCAAGTTTCAATCTTTCCAGATATAGCTAACACATTATCTTATTCATTCAGTCTTAGTCCTGCAAATATTTAATGAGTGTCACACATGGAGTAAGTGCTCTTCTATATGCTAGGGAGACAAAGGAAAGTAAGTAACAGCCCTTGCCTTCAAGGATCTTACTGAATTTGAAAGACAAGCAGGCAATGAAAATACACAATAAGTGCTGAAATCAGAAGAAGAGGAGCAGATGAAGTGCACATAATACTTGGTGGCTTGATGCAGTCAAGAAAGGTTTCTTGAGAAAGTGAGATCTTACTTGAAACATCAAAGATGAGTAGGAGTTAGCTGCACACGGGTGGTGAGGAAGAGAGGAAAAAATACTAGGCAGAAGGCATATCATATACAATGGCCAGGAGGTAAGAGCATATGAATAATTTCAAAAGCTGTGCAGTTAGAAAGTAGAGGCTGTGGTATAGGTAGTGAGTTAGTCATAAATGAAGCTGGAAGGGCAAACAGGAGCTAGATCACTAAGAACCATTTTAGATCTGGAGTATTGGGCAGGGAGCAAAGTGGTCATATTTGAATTTTAGAAAGATTTCCCTCAGCAGAGAGGAGGCTGGCTTGGTAGGGGCAAGATAGGCATGGATACAGGCAGATAAGTCGATTTGGTGGCAGGAAGATAGAGAGATACTATCTTGCACCTTCTATTTTCTCTGGGAAGTCAGATACAATGCCATCTACTAAGAGGAAGGAGATGGTTGGCTAGGTGGAGGATCTTTGTCATAAATGTCATGAAAAATAGGATAAAGAGATACACAGCTGATTAGGAAAATACAAAGAACTGCCAAGCACACTGAGATTGTAGACCTTTAATTTTTGGCAGCCCATTTACTCAGCAGTCTGGCATGGAGATGACAGATAGTGAGAATTCACAATTGAGAGTTTTACTTAGCCTATGTGATCAAAGTATATTGAACCCAAGGAGTTGAAGAGGCTTGCAACAGAGTGGTTTTAAATGGACCATGAGACTAGGATGATTAGGGAAGAAAGTGAAGATAAGAGAAACTAGAGAGCTGGAGGACTGGAAAATGCTAAGCCACCTGAATAACAAGGACTCTGAGAGCCCCAGATGGAGAGGAAGACATGGTTAGATTGTAACATGGCAGTGGTTTCATCAGCAAAACAGCAGTGGGTGACACCAAGATCAGAGAAAACCATGGGATACATAGACAAAACCAAGAAGAGGCTAAAATTAGGAGCTGAAGTGATAAAGGAACTGAGTGGCCAGGGTATTAATGGGTCATCACGCAGATGATGTTTTCACTGTGGATGATGGAAGATCTTGGCTTGGGGATAGAGAAGACTAAAGAAGCCTTCAGTGAAACAGAAAGAATCATGCAGAAGGTGAAATATTACAACAAGGAGAGGCAGAGGGCAGTTTAATTGAATGGCATAATTGTCAGAGAAGAAAAGGCAATTTTGTATATAAAATGATAATGGAAGTGTCATCGCCAAAGTACCTCCCAGACCAGAGTCCTGTCATGTGAGGGTGGTGGAAACTAGCTGCAGAAAGCCATGTGTTCAGGGGAAACCTGGGTTTTTTAGCTGGATTAGAAAGCGGATGCCAGTTTAGGGAAGAGATTGAGAATATAAAAGAAAGAACTTATCCCTAAAGGGGGATTCTAGAAGGCAAAGTGGAAAGGTTTTGGAGAGTGGGAATTCTGGAGAGGATGAGTCAATTCAGTTTCTATCACTTATTCATTCAACAAATAGTTGTGAATTCTAGCCCTTGGCGTACATGTATTTGGTGCTAAGGACTTATAAATGGAGAAGATATGGACTCTCTCCCTAAAGCACTCTTCATCCATTTATCATAGGCCATATTGGAGTTCTTTCAGAGTAATCTCCCCATGACATCATGGTGGAAGCAAAGACTATTGGGAGACTTTCAAGAAGAGATCACGGTTCACTGTCAGGTTCCCAAGCAAAGACATGAGATGGTGAAGGTGTTGACTTCACATGAGTATCCTACAATGATTCTATTGCCATCCAAGAAACAAGGCAGCACAACCTACTGCTGACTCCGTACAAATGCAAGAGGAGGGTGAAACCCCATACCAGGTGTCCCCACTTCCATCTCCACAAGATGCTTTCTTTGAGGTGCCAGCATGGAACAGTGAACAAAGAGAACAAACGTGAACTTCACTATCACAGGGATAACTGTGCTCTGTTTATGTGATTATCTCCTCCACCAGATTAAGAGCACCTCAGAAATAGGTGTCCTGCCTTATTTCTCTGTACCTAACACTGCACTTAGCACAGCATCTGGTACATAGTAGATAGTCAATAAAAATGTGTTGGCTGAAATGAACTGAACCATACAACTCACATTTGCATGATATTTAACAGTTGACCAAGTAGCTTCACATTAAATATCCCAGGGTTATACAAACTTTGCAAAGTAACCATTTGCATAGCTCTACTTTGTTGAATGCTCTCTACCTGTTAGAATCAGCATAATTATTTTCTTCACTTTACATATGCAAAAAGTGAAGTTCAAAAATTAAACAACTTGCTGTGGGTTATACAGTTAGCCACCCGTGGAGATAGAACTAGAATCCAGAGAATCCTGGACAGTTTCTGTTACAAAATGCTGTAGCCCAGAGGAAGTTAATTCCTTGGTGGGCAGTGAGTGTGAAAAAGGAGAGAAGTAATGACATTATGTAGTATAATAGTATTGATACAATTACATGATATACAATAGTGTTGATACTATTATACTATAATAGTATAATGATATTACATAGTATAATAGTATTGATAGTACAGTAATAATATACTATTAATAATTATAATAATTTACTACCCCTCTATTCTCTGCAGCTTTTACCTATACAATCTCTAATATAAAAACCTGTAGAATACCTATTATTATTCCATTTTACACATGAAGAAACTAAGAATCAGAGAGCCTAATTAATTTACCCAAGTTCCCAGAGCAAGAAACAGGTACACTGCAGCTCCAAACCCAAGTCTGAATTCTTTCTCCCATTCTATTCTGCCTCACAAATCATCCCAAATCAGTCCCTGAATGTTCTCTTGCCTAAATCTTCAACCCTAAGTATACTAAAATGTATAGCCAGAAAGAATTTTAGCAGTTTTGTTTTTGTTTTTTTGTTTTTGTTTTACACCAGTGCTGACAGTCAACCAGCCACACTTAACTGACTACTATTCATTATTACTTGGGGGGATAAACAAAGAGGTGAATAGAAAAAAGAAAAGATCATTAATTCTTTCTTTCTTTCATTCATCAAATATTTATTGAGTGCTCATCATATGCTGGTCACTGTTCTGGGCATTGAGGATGAAGAATGAAATAAAACAGAAAAAAATCTCATTCCTCATGGAACACCGATTCCAGCCAGTCACTGTCCTCAGTGGTCCTTACTCTTGTTACAGGTACCCTCCCCCACCACCCCCCATCCTCGACACACACACACACACACACACACACACTCATAGAGCCTTTCCCACCTCTGCAAATGGCAATCGTGTTCTCTGGCCCCCAGGTTCTGAAGAGAGACAGGCTGCCCTGTAAACACAGCATCCGCAAATGATGTCCAGGGACTGGATTTTTATAGGGCCTAGAAAATTGTACCCCTATGGCTATTTGAGAGAACCTGCAGCCATCATTTCCCTTAGTCAGGGGGATGTAGAGATAAGGGAAGAAAGCAGATGGCAGGCAAGCTGCAAAATACCATGGCTGAATCACACGTGCTCAAAAAATGAGCTGCTCTACCAGACCTCAGCTGAAAGCTACCAAGCTGAATCTAAGGGTTATGTTGAGATATTGTCTTGCAACCTCAGCCCTCAGAAATGGTTGTGTTTCCTTTGAATGCTGTCTACCTCTCCTCCCACGTGGGCAGAGCTCCTCATTGCCAAGCCTATTTTTACGGTTCATCTCCAAAACAAGTACAAAATAGTGTGGGTCTCAGATGAGTCCTCCCTCTCACTGGCCACTGGAACACCATCTGCAAGTTGAGTGGGAACAGTAAACACTGCAGGTTAAGTAACTTATTACTAATATTTTCCTTGAGCTCTGAAACTTTTTAAACAAACAACAACAACAATTGTATCATAATAACCTTCCAGAGGTTAACAGCCGGCAGGTGGTCCAGCTCAGTTGAAATGCAAACCAGACAGCTGTTTGATTATAAACTGTTGATTCTTAATGGTGATCTGGGGAAAACTTCTTGCTGAAAAAGGGTCTTCTCTTAAAAATCCCTAATGAAACAACACATAAATGTCAAAATGACAAAAATAAGGAAGTGTGTCATAGACTAAGCATTTTAATGTCCTTTCTGGCTTCCTCCAGAGTGTATGTACTCTAGACCTAGCCACATTTAATGGCACAGATTCCTAAAGAGGCGGTGCGCAGCATGAATTTTTACGACCCAAATAAAACTTGGAGAGTCACTTTCCCTGCCATAGTCAGTGTCCTCAGCAGATGTGTGGGAGGCTCGTGTTTCAAACCAGCCACCGAGCCAGCACTTTACCTGGACCCAGAGGCTATGCAAAGAGTGAACATGTGAGGAGGATATTAGGAAACGGAGTAGTGTAGCATTATCCTGTCTGTCTCCAAGCCATTAAAACCTGGTGGGGATTCCCCTGGGAACCCTTGGTAAAATTAGAGAAAATTCCAAGGACTGATAAAATGGTTTGAGAATGGAGGATAAAAAGTTTCTAGTCAAAACCTTATATTAACACCACAGGGCCCCACAGACTGATGGCCATGACTGTTTTCTTCCCCTGATGATGAAATGAGACAAAAGAAAATCACTCTTTAAATCCATATTTAATTACTTGTCTATTACATTACAATCAGAAACATTTCAGAAAGTTTGCAAAGAAAAAAAGTCAATCTCATGTACCTCATAGATATGTGCATAAAAATATAAAAATTGTTTTAAAAAGAAAAGAGTCAGACTTTTTTATACTAAAATCTATGGCAAGGGGTGAAATGCAAAAACCTTAGGACAGTAAAGAAAAACAAACTGATATGACAACCATCTTTTTTAAAAAAAAAAACAGAAATAAGGAACAAAAATGAACAGCGTAAAAGGGAGAAGTTCGTATCTCCTAGCTTAGTTGCAATAAATTAGTAGAAACTTGAGATCACAGGGTGTGAAAAAAAGATGTTACTTGGTTTTGCTCCATGTTTGATGGGGTTTTCTGACCTGACCAAGGGCAAGAGCAAGGGGTAGCAATGAGCTGGACACCCTGGGATAGGATGGGTAGGAACAGAAGGAAGCACCCAGCATGCTTAGCAGGCCCTAAATACCTTCTAATACCATCAAAGGAAAAACAGAACTAGAAGGAGTTAAAGCGCTAAAATGAGATTTTATTCAGAAAAATTATTGCAATGAGTGAAAAGGGACCTCAGTACGGAACTAGGCTCAATTCTCAACACAACAAAGAAAAGTGGGAATTTGTAGCCAAGGAGTGGGTTGGGGGAGGCAGGGGGATATGGATGGAAAATTCCTAAGAGCAAACATGAAGGGACGGGGGACTCTGGCTAAACAAACCTAACAGGACTCTTGCTGAAGGCAGGCAGGGTGACCAGACATCACCTGGGAGGCGGTGGAGGGTGAGGAACCTGGTCAGATACGGAGGGGGTCAGAAATCCAGGATGGGGTATTCTGGCTAAACTTAATAGGATTCTTGCTAAAATTGGACAATACAGGGATGAATACAGAAGCCTAAAAGTGAAGATCCATTGGAAAAAAGATTCAGAGGAGCCTGATTAAAATTTGTTCAAGGACAGAAACTTTATCACTAGCTTGTAGAAAGAGGGATACAAGGGTGGTAGTGATACATTCTGATAAAACAGTCTAAATCCTTTTGAGGGCTTTTTAATTTTACCATACCAGAACCAAACTAGGGTTGCTTCTTAATTCCTGAAGCCTCTGAAGGTGAGACAAAATATAATTTAATAAATATTTATTGATGCTTGGCATACAATATATACTCTGCTAGGCAATATGGAGCTACAAAAACCAAGTCAATTCTATCCTGTCGTGTTCACTATTATACTCCAGGACTCTTAGAATGATGACTAGCACATAGTAGGTGCTCAATAAGCATTTTTATGCTAAACAAAAAATCAAGGACAGTTCTTGACCTCAAAGAGCTTTCAACCCCCAAGAAGGAAAAACACATGAATAATGAACTAGAAGAGAAAACATAAAGGCAAGAAGATTCTTCTCTGTACTTTACTGTCAGGTTTGTTATATTTGTATCTGCTATGTAGTTAAGGAGCTTCCAGGAATGCTACATGGGGGAGGGACACTTTGAGCTTGACCTGAAAGTTTGAGAAGGATTTCAACAACGAAGGTTAATTCCAGAGACACAGTAAGTTAAGAAACATAAGTGCAGATAGTAAAAACTGATACTGAATTTACCTAGTCACAACACATTTCTTCATAGATTGCTCCCATTGCCTTTAAAACTCTAAATATTAGTAATTGATACCTCCACATATTTTTCATGTTAAAGAATTTTTGTTTTAAAAGTACAATCATGTAGTTTTCTCTCTGAAATAGTCATCCCTCAGAATCCCTAGGGGATTGGTCCCAGGACCCTCTTGGATACCAAAATCCATGGGTGCTCAAGTGCCCGATATAAAATTATATAGAATTTGCATATAACCTATGCACATCCTTCCATATACTTTAAATCATCTCTAAAATATTTATGATGCCTAGTATTATATGCCTGTGTCCCCACCCAAATCTCATATTGAACTGTAGCTCCCACAATCCCCACATGTCACGAGAGGGACCCAGTGGGAGGTAATTGAATCACGGGGGTGAGCTTTTCCTGTGCTGTTCTCATGATAGTGAATAAGTCTCTCGAGATCTGATGGTTTTATAAAAGAGCATTTCCCCTACACATGTTCTCTTGCCTGCCACCATGTAAGATGTGCCTTTGCTCCTCCTTCACCTTTTGCCATGATTGTGAAGGCTCCCCAGCTATGTGAAACTGAGTCCATTAAATCTCTTTTTCTTTGTAAATTACCCAGTCCTGGGTATGTCTTTATTAGCAGCCTGAGAACAGACTAATACATAATACAATGTAAATGCTATGTAAATAATTAATATACTGGATTGTTTAGGGAATAATGACCAAGAAAAGAATTCTGTACATGTTCAATATGGATGCAACCATCCTCGTTTTTCCAAATATTTTCTATTTGCAGTTGGTTGAATCTACAGATGCAGAACCCAAGGATATTGGGGGGGTGACTGTAGTTGCTTACCCTACAATTAATTCAGATATGATTATTAGCTAGCTGTTATTACTCATAATGTAACCATAACCTCACTTCTTGAGGTTATATCAAGCAATTCCCATCCCACATGTGCAATATAAATGTACAGTTCAGACCTTCAAGCCTCCTTGGTATACAAAGGTGACATTTGCATTTTTGACATTACCTCTCAGTCAAAGGTGACAGTACCTTCCTCAAGAAGTCTGATGAGTACCAGGGCTTCATTTTTACTACTCTGCTCCTTTTGTCTCATTTGGCTTTTGCCCTTTCTGTTTGACTCTCACTGCCTTCTAGCTCCTACCATCACTTGGCTTAACTCTCATTCCATCAGAGCCTTCCTTTTGTTGAGAATCACAACTCTTGAGGTTGGTAAGACTTCAAGAAAAGTTCTTCTGCTGACTCATGTAAGCCTCTTGTATGAGTTTGCTGGGGCTGCTATAACAAAGTACCATAGACTGGGTAGCTTCAGCAACAGAAATATATTTTGTCACAATTCTGGAGGCTAGAAGTCCAAGATCAAGCTGTCAACAGGGTTGGTGTCTTCTGAGACCCCTCTCCTTGACCTGTAACTGGTTTCCCTCTCTCTGTGTCTTCACCTGGGCTTCTCTGTGTGCATCTGTGTTGTGATCTCTTCTTCTTATAAGGATACCAGTCATATTGCATTATCTCTTTAAAGCCCTATAGGGGTTAGGACTTCAGCATATAAATGAGGGAAGGGGGACATAATTCACCTCATAACAGTATCCACATCACTAAAATTCCCTGATCATCCATTTCTATCTCTCTAGAAAGAGGCAGATTCTTTAGAGAATGACCTAGGTATTTTTCAGTTCTATGAGACCAAGGGTTGAGACACTTGCCTACCTAAGGCCTATTCCCTGGCTACTTCCTATGGGAATCACTAGTTTGTCTCAGGTCTGATGTCATCATTAAGTAAAGCATGAAAGTTCCCACTTGATGCCAACAAGGTAGCTGAGATTTAAAATAGCTAAGGGATTTGACAGAAATCTTTTCAGTTAGTTGAAAAAGAAAGGGCTTTACAATGCAGTGCCTTATATAAAAACAGATAAAAATAAGCTAACATGTCATCCATCAGTTTTTTTTAAAAATGAATTTTAACATTAGTTTTCTAGACATAATTAATACCCAAAATTAACCCTAAACATCATAATTTAAGCAGAAGTGCTGGTCTTGCCAAGTGGATGTTTATCTTTACGGTATTCTTTTGAGATGGTCAGGAAGGCTGTGTTACTCAAATATTTAACTCTTCTACTTCTTGCTGCAAGATGGCTGGAATTTCACCTTTAGAACATAAGTTATTTAAGCTAGTGCTTTGTTTTGTTTAATTGTATTGCTTTTGATAATGGAAATTCTCAAATATAATAGTAGAGAGATTATATAATAAACCACCATGTACTCACCATTCAACTTCGATAATTATCAATATAAAGCCAATATTACTTTATCTTATAATAAGAAACTTTTCATAAAACTATTTGGTTTTCTAAAGCACAGAACATGTAGGAAAATCAGGAAAGGTGAATGATTATTTTCCTCTACTTATCAGTTTTTAAAATGACGCTGTTTCCTAGTATTCCCCAAAGGTGACCAATAAGGTATTTTGAGTTTTTTTGGGGGGTGGGGAGTTTTTTCTTGTTTGTTTGTTTGTTTGTTTTTGTTTGTTCATTTTGTTTTAAAGTATCATTATGAACCATGGGTTTAAACATATTTGTTATACTCAAATTCATTATATTCAATTCTTATTTGTGCCAAAATAGTCCTGTATTTTCTAAGTGGAAATTATTTATCTCTTGAGTCCTTTTGAAATAATCCCCATATGACCAAGAGCTTTATTAAAAGATGTTCTCAACTCATTTTGTACATTTCTTTCTCCATACATGGAATTACCCCTTTCTCCAAGGAGCTGTAGTCTCTTGATGGGAAATGGCATTAATATTTAGTAAACAGAAACCAGAGACAGAGTACACATTAGTACTGGTGTAGTCATTATATTTAGGTCTTTTTTGAGAATAGAATATAAAATACATCTTTTTTAAAAGAAATAATATTATGAAATCACATGAATTATTTCCGTTTAAATTCAAGACTACAGGATTTTTCCTTTATCTCATTGACCTTTCATCTTTATTTCCTTAAACCTCTCTGAAAACCTCAATTCTAAGCAAGCCAAAATAAATACTCATTTGAATTATCCCATACAAACACACAACAACTGCAAGGTAGCAATATCAGCACTATGAGCAATAATTTGATGTGAAACTACTAAATTTGAATACTGCAAAATAGTTTAAGTGGTTTTTTTCTGTAGATCTTTTTGCTATTAGAGTATACCCCACTGGGGTTATCCAGTCAAATCACTCTGTTATAAAGTTAAGCTAGAGTTTTTGATGAAACAAGACATTTTGACAAGACCATTTCAAAACAACTCAAACTGCTGAAGCATTGTTTTTATTACCAAGGTATATTTGCAACAGAAACCACAATCCCCACCCAATCTCTAAACCACACCCCAGATGGGGTGAGGTTCAGAAATGAGGTGTGTTCATTGTATACATTACAAAAATATATTTCTTAGGAGGAACTATCAGGTTCTTTTATTTTTTTTTCTTTCCAAAGTAAACATTCTTCCAGGAGGAGTAAAAAATCCAAACCATTACTGGTAACTTACCCTTTAGTATTAAGGGGCTCTCAAAGAACTAGGGGAAAAAGTTTGAAGTCACTAACTAGCCAAGGGAAGGAGGATCAAAGAAAAATGTCAATGCAAAAAGCAGAACATTAAGATCCTCAGATTGCGACTCAAAAATGTTTCTTTCATCCTACTTTTCCCAAGAGTCATCTCTTATAAAAATTACCAGATAGAGAAGTGGGGGAGATTTCATGGCAGTCAACATCCTTAAACCTCCTCTAAATCACTAAATTGCATTTGAGAGGCACAACTTATTTCCCCATAGGTATATTTATGTTCCTTCCATTTCCCCCTTCTTTTTTGACCTCTCTTTCCCCATTTCCTGAGCCAGGGGTTGGCAAACTACAAAGAGTGACCAAGCCCAACTGATACCATTTTTTTCTAAATAAACTTTTACCGGAACACAGCCAGGCCCACTCATTTACGTATTAACTATGGCAACTTTTCCACTCAAATGGCAAAGCTAAGTAGCTGAGAAAGAGACTGTATGGATCATGAAGCCTAAAATATTTATTATTCAGCTCTTTACAAAAAAAGTGTTTGCCAACATACTTTTGACCCTAACTAACTTCAATTTCCCAGGGTATAGCTTGGCCCTTCTGAGCTTGAAAGATTGCTAAGCTTTTATTTAAACTTTCCAATGAGAATAGGCCAACTATCTAAATAGGGCAGACTATAGGTTCTAGAAATTATGCTAAATTCAAGTTCAAGAGCAGTGCCTGCTGGAAGGGATCCAAAGTCATAGGTTCAGCTTACAATTTTTTGAGAGTTCTGAAATGAACTCAAAAGTTTCTTTTAGGCAGAATATAACCAGAAATATTTAAATATTTCAGTTAAGGATAGTAATGACTACTATCATTGCACATGTTTTATGTATTAGGTACCATGATACACACTTTACAAGTTATTATTAATTTATTTAATTCTTATATCAACTCTAGGAGATGGGCACTCTCATCATCCATATCTTATCACTGGAAAAATAGACTTAGGAAGAGTAAGAAACTTGCCAAAGTTCATATCAGTAGAAGGCAATGGAGCTGGAACACCTACTCAAGCCTTCTCAAAAAAAGCCTATGATTTAAAACCATTAGCCAATGGCGCTCCTAAGCCAGGATGCTGGAGTTTTCCATTGCCCAAGTCTAGAATTTCCTGAGAAAGAACTGACCCTTCTTGTTCAGGGCTCAGACTGCTTAGAGAGAGAACTAACCACATGAGAAGGAGAGGAATCTGTCATCAAAACTATGAGATAACTTCTTTCATTAAAGAGACTTCCAGTTAAATATGGCAGCCCAACCACAGACATGTATCTTTTCTTCTATTTAGGTCCACTAAAATGATGAGAAAGAAATAAAAGGGTATAAGTTCTCATGAACTAAAGAAGCAGGAGATGAGGCATGAGCAGATAAAAAATTTTTAAGACATTCTTAGAAAGAAAAGAAATCAAGAAAAACGAGTAATGACCAATCTAGCTGCTTAGGAAAATTAGCACCAAATGTGCCTACAGGAAGAGATACCAGTGGGAAGAGGGTGATCATCCCCAACAGAATCCCTAAGAGACTCAGGAACTAAAAGTTATGGATATTGCACAAGGCAGGGGTCAGGCTCATGTCTCAATAGGGATTTGGTGGGTGATAGTAGAGATCTGCATATAAGGTGGTTGTATCCCTCAATCGCTTCCCTCACACCACATAGTCCCCAGGCAGAAGGCTGTAGTCCTTCTAAAAGGAATAAAATGAGAGGCTCAAGGCATAGCAAAGGAAAAGGATAACACAGGAAGATAAAAACTGGAGGCTTAAGAAAGCTTTGTGGGACTGCCAACTAGCCTCCTTTACTTGTCCTTTCCCCAGAACACCTACAGCAAAGTACATGCCCCGCCGTCAGGTCTCTTTGCTGGAGACACTAAATATCCCCAGACTACCATGTGTGACATGTGAGGCATTAACCAATGAGGATGCCACTCTCTGCCCAGTGACCATACAGGGAAGTCCATCACTTGACAGGCCCACAAAGCTTTCACAAAAACCTCATTCTTAAATAGAAACAGAAATTCAATGACCAGACTTGAGGAAGGCCTCCAGAATAAAAGAGATAAGAACAAACCAACAGAGAAAGGGGGACACAGTTGAAATACAGATGATGTAGAAACAAACAAAAGAAAGCTTCACAAACTATAACAAATAGTCTCAGAAAGATAAGAGAATATTACACCTATAAAACAAAATTGGATGCCACAGAGGAAGCACAATCAGAGAAAAAGAAAGGGTTCATGAAAACTAAATTTATGCTAGATAAACCTTTAAAAACTCAGTAGAAGATTTGGAAAAAAAGCTCATGGAAACTTCCTTAAAAAAATAACAGACAATGGAGAAGTGAGAAATAGGAGAGAAGCAAGGAGATAATAGAGCATCAATCTGATTATTCCAATGTCTAATTTATTAGAAGTTCCTTAAAAATAAAACCAAAAAATGAGGAGATGGAAACTATCAAATATATAATACAAGGAAACTTCTCTAAATTAAAGTTATAAATCTTTTGGCTACCCCACCCCCTACCACCATACCACAATCCCAAGTGAACACAGAATATCCAGGAAGAAAAAACATTTTTTAAAAAACTCATACTAAGGTACATTATTGTGAAAATTCAGACTAAGAGTAAAGTGAAAATTCTAAAAAGATTCTACTGAAAAACTTCAGTTCATGTGCAAAGGTATAATAATCAGAATGACATAAGACTTCTTAGCAGCAATAAAATTGTGAATGTCAATGAAATGATCTCTTTAAAATTCTCAATGAGAAGTGATTTTTAACACAGAATTCTTTATCCAGCTGTATTAGGCCATTTTTGCATTGCTATAAAGAAATACTGAAGGCTGGGTAATTTATAAAGAAAAGAGGTTTATTTGGCTCATGGTCCTGTGGGACGTACAGAAAGCTTAGTGCTGGCATCTGCTTCTGGTGAGGCCTCAGGAAGCTTATGATCATGACAGAAGGTGAAGAGGGAATAGGCATGTCATATGGCAAGAGTGGGAGCAAAGTGGGACGGGCCCAGACTTTTAAACAACCAGATCTCACATGAACTGAGTGAGAACTCTTCACCAAGGTGGTGGTGCTAAACCATTCATGAGGATCTGCCCCCATGATCCAATCACTTCCAACTATGCCCAACCTGCAACATTAGGAATCACATTTCAACATGAAATTCGGAGGGGACAAACATCCAAACCATATCACCAGCCAAATCAAAAATCAGATGGAGGTATGGAAAGGAAGACTGCTGTGAAGAACTCAGATACGACTTCCCTGGATCTTATAGCTGACTGTACCCTTTGTAGGAACATGCTGGAATGGTACCTCATTATTAAAAAGGAAAAATCAAGAAGGAAAAAGATTTAAGGAGATGCAGAAAGCAGGGGATCCAAACCAAAGGAATGGCAAAGGGAAGTCTTCTTTGTGGCAGCTGTGCAGTTCTTATGCAGGAGGCCACCAATTTTTGTTCTTGTTTTTTAATGGAATTTATTAAATGACAAAATCACACATTTGGGGAAAACAGAAAACTGAGAGATATATAATAGATCTGACAGATCAATTGGGGGGAAAAATTAACAAAAGATTCAATGATAATCTTAAATGCTTCTCCCAAATATTTTTAGCTCCTGCCTTTGAAACACATGATAGAACTGCTCTTCAATGGTACCTTACAAGGGGTGGAGCCACTTGACCAGTTCTGGCCAACAAATTGTGAGTAAAAGTGATGTATATCACTTCTGGGACACAGCATTAAAATTTTGGTTTGTTGCTTTCCAGAGCATTTTCTTTCTGGCATGGAAACTGACTGGGTTCAAGGTGATGGTTGCTCTAAGAGCCTAGGACCCTTAGAAACCACAATAAACAGAATCCCTCCTCCATTCCCTTTTGTCAACCTACAGTAGACATATAACATGAACAAGACATAAACCTCTGCTGTTTTAAGCCACTAAGATGGTAAGGTTGTTTTTAACTAAAGAAAACCTAGCCTATCCTGACAAGTACATAGAAATCCATGTGTGAAAATAGGACAACAGTTAAAATCATTAGGACAAATATCTAATGCATGCTGGGCTTAAAACCTAGATGATGGGTTGATAGGTACAGCAAACCACCATGGCACATGTATACTTATGTAACAAACCTGCACATTCTGCACATGTATCTCAGAACTTAAAGTAAAATTTAAAAAATTATAGTACACTACTGCTTCTACACTGATAATGTTTATATCATTGTAGTAATGAAAACTCTGACTACTAATTTAATAAAAAATCTGTATATGACTATAGTGAGAGGTTGGAGGAGGAAGAAGTAAGGATGTGATCAAAGAGAACCAACTCACTATCTGTCATCAAAAAGTGCTTACAGATAACGCCTAAAGTTGACAAATTAAAAAACAGTAAAGATTTCTTATTTTAGCAGTATGGAGATAAACACCAAAAGAATCAGTTTAGAGTATTAAAAGAGATTTTTTTTCTCTGGGTAATGGAACTAGGTAGTCATGAGAATGGAAGCAAGGAGCTGCTCTCTTTATATGTGATCTAGTATCATTGATTTTAATTATATGCATGTATCACTTAAATCAAAATGAATCTCAACAGTGATTCTGAACACTTAGCTTTATTTGACATTTCTATCTTAAGAGTTGAGCACTAAGTTGGGTTTTCTCCCCATTTCATTGAGTTCCTACCATGGAAGGCAGAGTTGTATATATTCTTTCTCACCCTCTCTCTTGAGCCCTCTCCTGAATTGCCTTGAGATTCCCAAGGCTAAGGGGCTGTACATAAGGACTGGCCAAGGCATCCAGGGTCCCCTGGGAGCACAACAGTAGCATCAAGTCTGACTCATCTGAAAGATAAGCCCTTCTCAGAACCACACCTGGAATTGTTGCTGGGGAGAAGGTGGAAGAAGCAACACACTTTTCTGGACGGATCATGATGTCTGGCAACACAGCAAGCACTGGTGTTCTGAAATTTACTCCTGGTCTAAGAGTTTCATCTTTGTTCATAAATTTACCCACAAATAAATACATGGGTAAACCTCGGTATGGGTATAAGTTTACCCATAAATAAATATATGGATCATTCAAGTCAGGGTTTCAAAAATATCCATCCTTTCAGTGGCCTGCATCTCAAATGGGATAAACTCCTAAGAACCAAAGAGCTCAAAGTAGCATGCAAGGTTGTGACCTTTGCATGCTGCACCCTCCCAAGCTGCACCCTGGGCTAGGCTTTGTTGACTGAAGGGAAGAGAAGTGAAACTTTGTGGGGTGCTAACCCAGGAGGATGGAAATAGCAAGGCTCAACATGCCATTCAAATAAATGGCTGGAAACACTCTAAGAAATATGTATCATTAGGAAGAGTCTTAGTATTTCTTTAATAATAATTGAAGAAAGAAATAATAGCCTTGTTATGCCCTAGGAACTGCTCTAATTGCTTTATGTGTGACCTCATGTGGTTGGTATTATTATGATCTCCATTTTACAAATAAGTTACCCAAGGTTACAAATCTAGTAAGTTGCAGAGGTGCAGTTTAAATCCAACTAGCTGGCTGGACCCAGAACCTACAATGAGTCAGTGATAATATTTGAAGTAAGAATCACTTTCCTAAATGCCACTCAAAGTTCTGCACCAGATAGAGTGGGGGCTGCTTTTCAAAGATGTCATTGCTACTGGCAATTCACAACGCAGGGATGTATGTGAAACAATCATTCCCCAACTCCATAGGTCTACTATTTATATGAAGCTATTTAACTTAATTACAAATAATTTAGGCTACAGATGGGAGCAAAGCAACATTAAGGATCTTGATCTTGAAACCGTTCTAAAATAGCTTTTAAAATCTGGGAGGCAAATTGTCTTTCCAAATCAAAATGAATGTGTGATGCAGTGAAGTCTTAAAGTTATTAGCATCTTTTTGCTGAGCTCCATCTATTTCCTTTGTCATTTACACAATGTACAGTCTTTAATTTCAGCTCTGTGATCAAAGAGATGAAACTAGAGAAGCTCACTATTAAAATCAATGACTGTACTTGGCATGAGGAATGGCGGCAATGTGATAGCTGTACCTCACCTACAAGGGGACACCATACTCTGTTAATGGCTTCAGGCTCTAAAGAAACCCTGGCCCAGGCTCTAAAGGAGGAGTGTGAGGTCAAACACACACACACACACACACACACACACACACACATGGGTCAAGAAAGGCACTCCCGCGCCCATCCCATTCCACCGTACCTGCGAGGGCTCCACTGCTGCAGGCAGTGCCAGGAAACATGTTTTTAGGAATTCAAAGTATCACGTTTCATAATTTGATTTAAATCAATTATCCCATCCCTCCCTGGAACAGGCACAAGCTCCAAAAATACAAAATGTAAATGGAACCAGCTGCAGCAAAAGCCTTTTGCCAGGATGGATTTCAGTCAACATAATCAGCCTCCTTTTCGAGGTACATTATTGTCGAGACCCAGAGATTGTGTGAAACACTTCCAGTGCTCTGGGAGGGACCAGAAAGGTAACCAATTATGGGAGAGAAGAAATAGGAGATAATCTTCTCTGTCCTGGCTTGCCTTTGCCCCGAACTCTTAAAATAATTAATTCACTTCTCTGGGGGATACTGGGAAACTGAGGTCGTTATTGGCAGTCTTCAAACACTATCCTTAATTTATGGATATTTACTAAACCACATAATCACCCGAAGTTATCCCATTACAGGGCTCAGCAAAGCCCAGGTCTGCAGCCCTGTGTGTGAAGCTCAATTGTGAGAGCTTTTGAGAGTGTTTATTAAAGAGGGCATGAGTGTGCCCAGCCATCATGTGGACCATTTAGGCTCCCAACACACAGCCCAGCGAATGGATCCCATGAGTAGGATTTGGCATTCTTCCATTGAAATCCTTCCCTTTAATTGATTTAAAATGATAATTCAATTAAAATAATTATTCTAATCAAACTTCATATCTTTTTGGCAGGTTCTGGCGGGGGGCTCTGCCCTCAGTGTTATTTTAGTATTTGCTTCATTTGTTTTCTCACCAGGCTGACTTTGGCTCTCTGACTCTTTGGAGAATTTGATGTCATTGGGCAATCACTGCACCCTTCCGGAGCTTTCCACTCAAGATGCAGAGAATGAGGGAAACAAAATATCCCAGAGAAATGTTATACTTTGAATTCTGACCAGCAGAGGACAACAAATAACTGAAAATGGGGTACAGTCAGGGTTACCGACTCATTCACCTAAATGCAAACCTCCAAGTGGCCAGCCAGCCTGTGTTAAAGCTGTACGGTGAGGATGAATGATAGTCTCACTCTCTGATTCCTATCTTTTAAAAATTTTTTTCATTTTTCTTTCAATGGCTGCTGTACTCTTGAAATACATAACAGTTTTATCAGATCAAAGGAAATCTCTGATATGGTTTGGCTCCATGTCCCCACCCAAATCTCATGTTGAATTGTAGTCCCTACATGTCAGTGGAGGGGCCTGGTGGAAAGTGATCGGATCATGGAGATGCTTTTCCCCCTTGCTGTTCCCATGATACAGTTCTCATGAGAGCTGATGGTCTAAAAGTGTGGCACTTTTCCCCTCACTCTCACTCTCTCTTGCCACCATGTAAGACGTGCCTTGCTTCCCCTTCGACTTCCATTATGGTTGTAAGTTTCCTGAGGCCTCCCCAGACATGAAGAACTGTGAGTCAATTAGACCTCTTTTCTTTATAAATTACCCAGTCTTTGGTAGTTCTTTATAGCAGTGTGAAAACAGACTAATACAATCTCACATAGCATTCTAATTTTTAAAATATTATAACCGTTATCTCATTTCTTTCTTTCTTTTTTTTTTTTTTTTTTTGAGACAGAGTTTCACTTAGTTGCCCTGGCTGGAATGCAGTGGAATGATCTTGGCTCACTGCAACCTCCGCCTCCTGGGTTCAAGCAATTCTCCTCCCTCAGCCTCCCAGTAACTGGGCTAATTTTTGTGTTTTTAGCAGAGATGGGGTTTCACCATGTTGGTCAGGTTGGTCTTGAACTCCTGGCCTCAAGTGATCCATCTGCCTTGGCCTCCCTAAGTGCTTGGATTACAGGCATGAGCCACTGTGCCCAGCCTCATTTTTTATACAACTATCTTAGAAGTTACATAAGGCAGATCCTGTCAGGCTCATTTTAAAGAAGAAAACAATGTTACACACAGAGAGTAGGTAGCTGTACCAACACTGCACAGATAATATTAGGAGGGCTCACAGTCTCTTTCCAATTGGTGTACCATACAGCAATGTGAATGAGTGAAAAACAAACTGCTTCTATGTTTTAATTTTTTAGCAGTATTACAATTTGCAAAGACCTTGGGTGAATATGATTTGTAAAATTACCGATTTTTGCTGTGAGAAATGCTTGTCTGTCCTGAAAAGAAAAGCAAAGAGTTCAAGTGCATTTCCGCCTGAGGGATGCCATCCTCTCAACCTAAATCACTGATGCTTGGGACCTCTCCTACTCCTCAGCCATTCTAATGGGCATGCTCCAAAGATCTGCCATAGAAGAGATAGGCCATTTTCTGGTCCCACTCTGGGATGAATACTGGGCCAGGAGTCTGGAGACTGGATTCACCAGCTCTGCCACTGACTTGCTGTGTGACTTTGGGAAATTCTTATCTCTTTGGGCTTCCATGTGCCCACTAGACCAGATGATTTATCAAATTATATTCAGATTCTAGGGCCTCAATTTTCAAGATTGCAATATGAATCCTATTTGAAAATTCTCTCTAAGAGAAAAAATTAAGTTTCAATAGTGCAACAGGCCAGGCTTGATTAGCACCTTCCTGGCAGAAATTTGACCTCTTGCTCCAAGGGAACTAAGTATACTTAAAAAATAATAATAATAATAACCTTGGAGCATCTTTGATGATGCTTTGACAGAGTACAAATTTTATAGATAGCAAAATACAGACCTGGAGAGATGTCATGAGTAGCTTCTCATGCACCTGAAATCAAGGCAGAGTCTGAAAATGAAGAAGAGGAAGGTGTCATGGCCCAGGGAGCCAGAGCAGGAAAATCAACAAGAAACCCATGCAAGGGTTCAGGCACTTCAGGTCCCGGTCCTCTGGCCACTCGGTTATGGTGCCTCTCTGTTAACCCTACTCTGAGTGGATTCTACCTCAGGATTCTATTAAAAGCTGTCTGGGTGGATCACGAGGTCAGGAATTCGAGACCAGCCTGGTCAACATGGTGAAACCCCTTCTTTACTAAAGATCAAAAAAAAAAAATTAGCTGGCTGTGGTGGTGCATGCCTGTAATCCCAGCTACTTGGGAGGGTGGGTCAGGAGAATTGCTTGAACCCAGGAGGCAGAGGTTGCAGTGAGCCAAGATCGCTCCATTGCACTCCAGCATGGATGACAGGGCGAGACTTTTTCTCAAAAAAAAAAAAAAAAAAAAAAAAGCTGTCTGGGAAAACCTGGGGGAGAAAAAGGGGCTGTAGGAGAAAGTAAGGGCATTAAAACATCATTAGAAAGGAAACTCAGTCAGACAGAGTTTACTCCAAGCCTCATTCTTTCCCAAATTACTTCTATGCAGGATGACCCATTTTAGAGGAGCCAGCTGCCAGAGAGGACCCCTTTGTGCACAAACATACACACATGAACACAAACACACACAAATTTGTCCATCACAATTGTAAGAGTCCAGCAAATTAACAATGATTCATATGTATATGAAAACAATTTTTATGTACATATATACGATTCAGACCAGATTGTAAGTTCATGGAAACTAGTGTTTTAAAAAGTGTACTGTTCTTTTATTCTTTTTTCATGACATTTTAAACATCCAGAAAGATGAAAAGGAACATACAAAAAGAAAGGCCCCTTAGGAAAGTAGCTGAAGGGAGCGGAGCTAAATCATCTCCTAAGAACTTTTTTTAATGCAAAAAGTCTATCTGATAAACTGTTTCTACTGTAGGAAAACATTTGACCAGCTGGCCCATTAAATTCATGGATATGAGTATGACCTAGGGTATGTACAGAACATGGAGATTCCTGGGCTGGGGCATGGTATTTGATTCAGTAGTTCCAAGGAGGAGCCCAGGAGTTATGCTTTTTATTTTATTTTATTTTATTTTGTTTTGTTTTATTTTATTTTTTTGAGACAGAGTCTGGCTCTGTTGCTCAGGCTGGAGTGCAGTGGCAAAATCTTGGCTCACTGCAACCTCCACCTCCCGGGTTCAAGTGATTCTCGTTCCTCAGCCTCCCAGGTAGTTGGGACTACAGGCATATGCCACCAGGCCTGGCTACTTTTTTTTTGTATTTTTAGTAGAGATGGGATTTCACCAGGTTGCCCAGGCTGGCCTCAAACTCTTGAGCTCAGGCAATCCTCCTGCCTCAGCCTCAAGTTATGCACTTTAAATAAGAGCCCAAGCTGCTTCTCATGGCATGTGGCCCACAGACCATATCATCAGAACCACTACCCTGGATACTATTTCCTGAAGACTCTAACTTGTAAGATGCAAATAAGTTTATTTGCAACTTCTCTCACTTACCAGAACTTCTCAGATTTATCTCTAATAGAATTACAGAGGAACAAGTACTGGGCTAAGAAACAAGAGCCGAATTATATTTTCATAGCTGCCAATAAAAAAATTGGATGGCCTCATCTCTCCTGCTATAAAATGAGCTAATAAATGCAATTATTACTACACAGGTGATCAATCTCTTGACCACAAAATCTAGGGGTCTCTTTTCTAAACAAAGAAAATCAACATCAGGTATTGCAGTAACCCTGGTGTGGTGCTTTAGTCCCCTTCCTGGGCCTGCTTTGCTTCACCTGCTAGATATTGGGAGGAAATATTCAACTCAGTTGAATGCAAATGATATTTCTCAAACACCTGTTCTGGGCCAAACCCGAACTCTGAGCAAGGACAGAAAGAAATAAGACATGCCACTTCTCCTGGAGAGCTCATGTGCAACCTCCCAGAATTGATACTTTATTAGAATTTCTTAGAATTAGACGCCATTTCTTGTTGAAGTTATATGAAGTGCATTCAGAAAGGCTGAGAGCAAAGAAAGAAGTGTTTGGTATGGAAGGAGTGCGTCTGGGAGGTCTTTATGGAGAAAGTTAAGTGATGGGTAAGGTCTTAACAAGACATGAGTTTTGAGTTCCTTAGCAGGAATAAAGTCTTGAATCCTGACTATGGCTGTACTGAGACTACCTAAGACCATGGGCATAACAACATGTCCCTCCTTGACTGAAGCAGCTCTTTTCCCTCTCCTACTTTATTGTCCAAAACTAGACTGATGCTAAGAATAAACATACCTACACACATACATACAACCATCATTCATTCATTCACTCTCAGTCTTCATATCAGGAATGACTATGCTTTTTACTAGAATGCAAATCAGATGAGGCTACTGTGCTGCTCTCAGAGTTTAGAAGAGAATCACTCAATCTATCACAGAGAATTACTCAGTGGCCACTAGGGTGTCCCAGTGAGTGGGATTAAGTAATTCATGAAGGTTCTCTCTCCTTTATACTTTTTTGGGGGATTAATTCATTCTGCCAAGTAGAATAGTGACTGGAGAGATAGCATAAGGTTATGATTCAGGATATGGATTCTGGAGCCTGAATCCAGTCTGGTATGAATCCTAGCTCTAAGTAAATCACAAATCTCTGCCAGCGGTGTGACTCCAGATTACTCATAGAACTTGTCCAGGCCTCAATTCCTCATCTGTGAAATGGGTACAATACGTCAATATATGTAAAGCATGGACAGCAGTGCCTACAGTCTCCACACGGGCATTATGGGAGCATTTGTTCTTAAGGGGGTGTCTCCTACATGTTGTCAGCTGCTTGGTAGCAGGAAATTTGTGGCCCCTCAACTCCATCACAGATAGTCATCCCCAACAGAAGAGCATCTAGTGTATTTTAAACACTTGGTTGTGTATGTGATCTTACCTGAGAGCTCTTTCTTTAAGCAAACCTGTATTTCCTTCTGATGTAAGGTTCCTCATCTTCAGTAAGACAGAAGAGAAAACTGGCAAACACCCTTTCCACAGTAATACTCCTAGCACTTGATGACTAGTCTCAGGTGATCCATCAGGGTTTTCCCTTCCAGGCTAATCCATTCTTCAACATTGCCACACACAGACACTCTCTAGCCCTTTATTCATCTCCTGAGCCAGAGCCTTCCCAAGTTCTCTCTGTCTGTGTTGCCTGGGGAAGCTCCACTTAAGACAAGCACATGCTATTCCCCAAAAATACCTTCTCCAGTTGACAGTTACGACAAATGTCTTGCTGCATTTAAACTGAGATATTTCTGAAAACATGACTCCATATACTTTCTTACTATTTCCTTCACCTTAACTGAATGGATCCAGAGGTCCCAAATGGAAAGGACCTGACTGTGCTTCAAACTGAGAAAATGTATGTAAGCTGATAAATATCCCTGCCCATTAAAACGTATATCAGGGCTGGAAAATGGGCTTCATTTCATATGTCAACCCCAGTTCCTTGTGGTAAGGGTTCTGTTAGGGGGGGATTCTGAGGTTGGGTCCAAGCTCAATAAGAAAATGTGTTGTGATCAAATATAGTGTGTTCCATGGGCTCAGGGGTGGGGAGCAGCTTTGGCATTTGTTACACCTCCTCTAGATCCTTCCATCAGTCTGTGTAAAATCTTGAGAACATGTTACTATGTATATGCTCTGATTTGAAGAATATGACTCTTCAGATAAAATGTTTTCTTAATTATTTTGATCTCTCACTCATTACTTTTAGAATTGAAAAGCTTCAAAAAGATCCCAGTTACCTTTAAAATGTGTTTCTTTGGAGGAATAACCTAAGGGTTTTTTGGGGGTTTTTTTGTTGTTGTTTTTTTAGACAGTTTCGCTCTTGTTGCCCAGGCTGAAGTGCAATGGTGCAATCTCGGTTCACTGCAACCTCTGCCTCCCAGGTTCAAGCAATTCTCCTGCCTCAGCCTCCCGAGTAGCTGGGATTACAGGCAACGGCCACCATGCTTGACTAATTTTTGTATTTTTAGTAGAGACAGGGTTTCACCATGTTGGTCAGGCTGGTCTTGAACCCCTGACCTCAGGCGATCCACCCGCCTCGGCCTCCCAAAGTGCTGGGATTACAGGTGTGAGCCACCATGCCCAGCCTGCCCTTAGTTTTTATTAGCTTATCACTATTCCTTCCCTGAGTAACTAGCTAGTTACCTAGCAAGGACTTAAGGGAATAGGACCCGGACAGATAAGTTTTGATGTGGAGAGATTAAAAAAAGAAAGGAGTTTGGAGAACCTTCTCAACATAAACACAGTGATTGGGTTCCACAGTATAGCCTGGATAGGCAGCATGGGGTATGAAGCCACACAGTATTAGGGAGAATTGTCAATGGAGTGCCACAACAATAAATTGGATTCAGCAAGATGGAGATGTCTGAAAAGCATATACCATCCATTTCACAAATATGCTCATCTCAGAACTTTGAAGACAATTTTAACTTTCCAAAGCGCATAGGAGACGTGGAGAAGGCCAGAGCCACCTCTAATCGCCAGCTGGGTGAGATATAAAGGAAGGCCTACTCAGCTCACTAAAGAGAAGCCCAAGGAAGTTCTGGGCATACATCTTAGTGTGCTGATAAAGAGAACTGGATGAAGGGCTGGTCCTCTCTGCTGCCTGCTAGGATTTGTAGATCTTTGACTACTGTACCTCACCTATTCTTAAGTTGTTCATGTATTAACATCTGTAAAATCAAAATGCATCTTACAATCAATGGCATAACATAATTTAATAGGTGACTACTTGTATTTCTTAGTGAAACATAAAATAATGGCCTCTATTACACTGGATGGATCCTTAGATACAATGAAATATGGTATATGGGGAGGGGTTATAATCCATGGGACTACACAAGAATCTTTCTCTGGGGTTCAACCCCCATCAGCACAGCCCTCCAAGCCTCTGTCTTGAATCCATCATGTGTTTGTGGAGTCCCCAAATCTTCCAGACACAGTGATTGTGCTTGTGTGGTTACATAAAAAATCTTGTCAGGAAGGGAAAAGCAAGGCAGCCCTATTTATTTTAATATGTCTTCAGGTATTTTAAAGGTTTTTTTCTTACTTCTATGTTGGGGGTCTTTCTACTAGTTTAGAAGAGTTCCCTTCTCCCTCAATTCCCTAAATGCACCAGTTAGACTTTAAATTTAGGCATTTTCTATGTGGCCCCCTATTTCTATGAGATCCGGGAGAAGCCGCAGAGGAAGAAGGGAATGCTTTCAGAGTGTCACTTACACTCCAGAGGCTCTGTGCCACACAATTTCTTCCCTCTCTGTCTCTCAATGGATCAGAGCAAAATTAAATATCCAAACTCACCCAGACACTCCCAGTTGCTCCCAGCCTTTGGTCCATCCTTTGCCACGTGGTGAGAAGTACAGCTGAGTTGAGCTTTGGGAATATAAAATAAAGTTTCTATTTGTGCTGTGTCAATCAACACCCAATCCCACACCATGAGAGAATGTGCAGCCATGTGCCTGCCATATGTAGAATGTTACTCAGCCACCTTGGGGAGGGAGTACAGCCCCTCCAGAGAAATTCTTATAGCCCAGACATTTGACTCAGGGATCCAAAGGAGGTGTGGAGATCAATATTGACCATTCAACTATGCATGGGGAAGAAAAAGAAGAAAGAGAACAGAAAACAAAACCACAGAAAGAAGAGATGAGAGAAAGGATGTTTCCTCCCAAAACATATTGGGGAGTGAGGGGTGTATTCTCTAAAAGTGTTGATTTTTAAAAAATGTCCTTAAAGTAATACATTGGCATCACTATTATTAAAAATATATATGGGTGAAAAGACATAGAAGAAAACAACGTGAAAGCAAGGAGACACCTATGTTGGAAAACCTAGAAGGAGAGAATAGGATTTTCTGTCTTCATAAATCACACCACATGGCAGCCACAACTGCTTAGGAGTCATGAGATGGTGATAAGGGAGAACCTACTTAGGTTAGGATAGTCATGCAGGCTTTCTAGATCAGCCTCAAGGAGTTTATACTCAGTGAAGGAGAAATGTCTTATTAATTATCTAATAAAAATTATATACATGATATGTGCTTGCCCTCCAGAGAATATAGCAAGTGCTCTCTCCCTCCCTCACTTTCTCTCTCTCCCTCCTTGTCTCTCTTTCCTCTCTCTCAATTGATTGACCTGAATCAATGTCAGCTGGGAAACCCTAAAGGAGGATGACACCTTCTCCAAACCCTACCTTCCCATGTTGTTTCCCTTCAAATTACATTTGTTCATGTCTACAGAGTATTAAGGCACTTGCTGATTTATCAAAGGCACTCACAGGAATGAAACAATCTTCAGACTGAGACTTTAACAGAATTGACAGATCTGGTGGTTCCCTATAGACCTAGCTAAGACATGCAGAAGAACTGGAATATCATTGTCCTAAATTATCTAGAATAAATTGTCCAATTTCCCCACTTGTAGCATATGAACACGTCTCTTTCTCTGGGAATTGTGTGAGAAGCAAAACACACCTTTCCCTGTCTGATCTACTCCTTTGTGGATTTAAGTGGGGAAGAACAAGTAAGTATCCTTATCAAAAAGAATATTTTTCTTTTCTAGCTGAAAAAGCTTAAGTAGCAATCATTCCTTATGTGTGTATAGAATTTTATAATCTTCCAAGTACTCCCAACTTTGTTATTACATTTGATACTCATAGGCATAAAGCCCATAAATGTGATGTATATTTACAGTCATCTTAGCATCACCAAGCAAATCAACAATATTTCTGGAAACATTAACACCAGCTGCTCATAACCTCAAATAATCTCTCTCTCCATCCACTGTCCCACTCTTTGCTATACTCAACAGTTCTTTTTCTCTCCTGATCAATTCTGCTTCCTTTAAAACCTTTCTTACTGTTGTTGTCATTGTATTATACACATAGGTGTTTGCAAGTCTGTTGCCTCCAAGGATCTTTAATCATAAGATAATGAGTCTCAACGTTTTTCTCTTTTTCCTTTCTTTTTTCTCCCTCCTTTGTACTGCAAAAACGCTAATCAAATAATGCTCACATATTTCAAAACAGATGTTGTTTGTCTTCCCTTCACAACCACCTTCTCTTGGCTGCATCCTTTGGTGCTTGCATTTGCTCTTGTGACTTGTGTGTAGATCATCTCCAAGGCCCTCCTTGCCCCTTGCTACTCTGCTTCTATTTCTGTTGCCACAAAGATAAGTTGATGGTCTGTTCATAAATAATGCCACATGGCAGCCACAACTGCTTAGCAGCCAAGAGATGGTGATAAGGAAGAACCTACTTAGGTTAGGATAGTCCTGGCTTTCTAGATCAGCCTCAAGGAGTTTACGCTCAGTTATGCTCAGTTTAGCCTCGAGTTTATCTATCAGCTTCTAAATGAAAATTACTCATTTGTACAGAGAATTCTTTCAAAATTTTTCTTCTTACAAACTCAGCCTTTATTTTCTACCCTTGCCCATGAGATTTTAAAGCTGAAAGAAACCTAAGAAATCCAATCTAACTTTCTCATTTAGAGACAAGTAAACAGAAATCCTAACCCAGGTCTCACCAGCCCTTTGGACTTTGGAACAGACATTGATTTCTGGCACAGTCAGACCTCTCATCTGATTTTCATACTCATAAATTACTTGACATTGTCCCCTGGTGGCCCGTGTGTATTTTGAACTCACTTAAACTCAGTAACTGAGTTTACTCCTTGCAGCAGACAGTTCTCTAAAATAAAAATGTGATCCGGGTGGAGTCAAGATGGCCAAATAGGAACAGTTCCAGTCTACAGCTCCCAGCGTGAGTGATGCAGAAGACAGGTGATTTCTGCATTTCCAACTGAGGTACCGGGTTCATCTCACTGGGGAGTGCCGGACAGTGGGTGCAGAAGAGTGGGTGCAGCGCACCGTGAGTGAGCCAAAGCAGGGCGAGGCATTGCCTCACTCGGGAAGCACAAGGGGTCAGGGAATTCCCTTTCCTAGTCAAAGAAAGGGGTCACAGACGGCACCTGGAAAATCGGGTCACTCCCACCATAATACTACGCTCTTCCAACAGGCTTAACAAACATCACACCAGGAGATTATATCCCGCACATGGCTCAGAGGGTCCTACGCCCACGGAGCCTTGCTCATTGCTAGCACAGCAGTCTGAGATCAAACTGCAAGGTGGCAGTGAGGCTGGGGGAGGGGCACCTGCCATTGCTCAGGCTTGAGTAGGTAAACAAAGCACCGGGAAGCTCGAACTCGGTGGAGCCCACCACAGCTCAAGGAGGCCTGCCTGCCTCTGTAGGCTCCACCTCTGGGGGCAGGGCACAGCCAAACGAATGACAGCAATAACCTCTGCAGACTTAAATGTCCCTGTCTGACAGCTTTGAAGAGAGTAGTGGTTCTCCCAGCACACAGCTTGAGATCTGAGAACGGGCAGACTGCCTCCTCAAGTGGGTCCCTGACCCCCGAATAGCCTAACTGGGAGGCACCCCCCAGTAGGGGTGGACTGACACCTCACAAGTTCGGATACTCCTCTGAGACAAAACTTCCAGAGGAACGATCAGACAACAGCATTTGCGGTTCACCAATATCCGCTGTTCTGCAGCCACTGCTGCTGATACCCAGGCAAACAGGATCTGGAGTGGACCTCCAGTAAACTCCAACAGACCTGCAGCTGAGGGTCCTGACTGTTAGAAGGAAAACTAACAAACAGAAAGGACATCCACACAAAAACCCATCTGTATGTCACCATCATCAAAGACCAAAGGTAGATAAAACCACGAAGATGGGGAAAAAACAGAGCAGAAAAACCGGAAACTCTAAAAATGAGAGCACCTCTCCTCCTCCAACGGAACGCAGCTCCTCATCAACAACGGAACAAAGCTGGACAGAGAATGACTTTCACGAGTTGAGAGAAGAAGGCTTCAGAAGATCAAACTACTCCGAGTTAAAGGAGGAAGTTTGAAACAATGGCAAAGAAGTTAAAAACTTTGAAAAAAAATTAGACGAATGGATAACTAGAATAACCAATGCAGAGAAGTCCTTAAAGGACCTGATGGAGCTGAAAACCATGGCACAAGAACTACGTGACGAATGCACAAGCCTCAGTAACCGATGCAATCAACTGGAAGAAAGGATATCAGCGATGGAACATGAAATGAGTGAAATGAAGTGTGAAGAGAAGTTTACAGAAAAAAGAATAAAAAAAAAACGAACAAAGCCTCCAAGAAATATGGGACTATGTGAAAAGACCAAATCTACGTCTAATTGGTGTACCTGAAAGTGATGGAGAGAATGGAACCAAGTTGGAAAACACTCTGCAGGAAATTATCCAGGAGAACTTCCCCAATCTAGCAAGGCACACCAACATTCAAATTCAGGAAATACAGAGAATGCCACAAAGATACTCCTCGAGAAGAGCAACTCCAAGACACATAATTGTCAGATTCACCAAAGTTGAAATGAAGGAAAAAATGTTAAGGGCAGCCAGAGAGAAAGGTCAGGTTACCCACAAAGGGAAGCCCATCAGACTAACAGTGGATCTCTTGGCAGAAACTCTACAAGCCAGAAGAGACTGGGGACCAATATGCAACATTCTTAAAGAAAAGAATTTTTAACCCAGAATTACATATCCAGCCAAACTAAGCTTCAGAAGTGAAGGAGAAATAAAATACTTTACAGACAAGCAAATGCTGAGAGATTTTGTCACCACCAGGCCTGCCCTAAAAGATCTCCTGAAGGAAGCACTAAACATGGAAAGAAACAACCGGTACCAGCCACTGCAAAAACACACCAAATTGTAAAGACCGTCAAGGCTAGGAAGAAACTGCATCAACTAATGAGCAAAATAACCAGCCAACATCATAATGACAGGACCACATTCACACATAACAATACTAACCTTAAATGTAAATGGGCTAAATGCTCCAATTAAAAGGCACAGACAGGCAAACTGGATAAAGAGTCAAGACCATCAGTGTGCTGTATTCAGGAAACCCATCTCATGTGCAGAGACACACATAGGCTCAAAATAAAAGGATGGAGGAGGACCTACCAAGCAAATGGAAAACAAAAAAAAGGCAGGGGTTGCAATCCTAGTCTCTGATAAAACAGACTTTCAGCCAACAAAGATCAAAAGAGACAAAGAAAGCCATTACATAGTGGTAAAGAGATCAATTCAACAAGAAGAACTAACTATCCTAAATATATATGCACCCAATACAGGAGCACCCAGATTCATAAAGCAAGTCCTGAGTGACCGACAAAGAGACTTAGACTCCCACACATTAATAATGGGAGACTTTAACACCCCACTGTCAACATTAGACAGATCAATGAGACAGAAAGTTAAAAAGGATATCCAGGAATTGAACTCAGCTCTGCACCAAGCAGACCTAATAGACATCTACAGAACTCTCCAGCCCAAATCAACAGAATATACATTCTTTTCAGCACCTCACCACACCTATTCCAAAATTGACCACATACTTGGAAGTAAAGCACTCCTCAGCAAACATAAAAGAACAGAAATTATAACAAACTGTCTCTCAGACCACAGTGCAATCAAACTAGAACTCAGGTTAAGAAACTCACTCAAAACCGCTCAACTACATGGAAACTGAACAACCTGCTCCTGAATGACTACTGGGTACATAACGAAATAAAGGCAGAAATAAAGATGTTCTTTGAAACCAACAAGAACAAAGACACAACATACCAGAATCTCTGGGACACATTCAAAGCAGTGTGTAGAGGGAAATTTATAGCACTAAATGCCCACAAGAGAAAGCAGGAAAGATCTAAAATTGACACCCTCATATAACAATTAAAAGAACTAGAGAGGCAAGAGCAAACTCATTCAAAAGCCAGCAGAAGGCAAGAAATAACTAAGATCAGAGCAGAACTGAAGGAAATAGAGACACAAAAAAAACCCTTCAAAAAATTAATGAATCCAGGAGCTGGTTTTTTGAAAAGATCAACAAAATTGATAGACCACTAGCAAGACTAATAAAGAAGAAAAGAGAGAAGAATCAAATAGACGCAATAAAAAATGATAAAGGGGATATCACCACCGATCCCACAGAAATACAAACTACCATCAGACAATACTACAAACACCTCTACACAAATAAACTAGAAAATCTGGAAGAAATGGATAAATTCCTCGACACATACACTCTCCCAAGACTAAACCAGGAAGAAGTTGAATCTCTGAATACACCAATAACAGGATCTGAAATTGAGGCAATAATTAATAGCTTACCAACCAAAAAAAGTCCGGGACTAGATGGATTCACAGCCAAATTCTACCAGAGGTACAAGGAGGAGCTGGTACCATTCCTTCTGAAACTATTCCAATCAATAGAAAAAGAGGGAATCCTCCCTAACTCATTTTATGAGGCCAGCATCATCCTGATACCAAAGCCGGGGAGAGACACAACAAGAAAGAGCATTTTAGACCAATATCCTTGATGAACATTGATGTAAAAATCCTCAATAAAATACTGGCAAACCGAATCCAGCAGCACATCAAAAAGCTTATCCACCATGATCAAGTGGGCTTCATCCCTGGGATGCAAGGCTAGTTCAACATACGCAAATCAATAAACGTAATCCAGCATATAAACAGAACCAAAGACAAAAACCACATGATTATCTCAATAGATGCAGAAAAGGCCTTTGACAAAATTTAACAACCCTTCATGCTAAAAACTCTCAATAAATGAGGTATTGTTGGGACGTATCTCAAAATAATAAGAGCTATCTATGACAAACCCACAGCCAATATCATACTGAATGGACAAAAACTGGAAGGATTCCCTTTGAAAACTGGCACAAGACAGGGATGCCCTCTCTCACCACTCCTATTCAACATCGTGTTGGAAGTTCTGGCTAGGGCAATCAGGCAGGAGAAGGAAATAAAGGGCATTCAATTAGGAAAAGAGGAAGTCAAGTTGTCCCTGTTTGCAGATGACATGATTGTATATCTAGAAAACGCCATCATCTCAGCCCAAAATCTCCTTAAGCTGATAAGCAACTTCAGCAAAGTCTCAGGATACAAAATCAATGTGCAAAAATCACAAGCATTCTTACACACCAATAACAGACAAACAGAGAGCCAAATCATGAGTGAACTCCCATTCACAATTGCTTCAAAGAGAATAAAATACCTAGGAATCCAACTTATAAGGGACGTGAAGGACCTCTTCAAGGAAAACTACAAACCACTGCTCAATGAAATAAAAGAGGATACAAACAAATGGAAGAACATTCCATGCTCATGGGTAGGAAGAATCAATATCGTAAAAATGGCCATACTGCCCAAGGTAATTTATAGATTCAATGCCATCCCCATCAAGCTACCAATGACTTTCTTCACAGAATTGGAAAAAACGACTTTCAAGTTCATATGGAACCAAAAAAGAGCCCGCATCGCCAAGTCAATCCTAAGCCAAAAGAACAAAGCTGGAGGCATCACGCTACCTGACTTCAAACTATACTACAAGGCTACAGTAACCAAAACAGCATGGTACTGGTACCAAAACAGAGATATAGATCAATGGAACAGAACACAGCCCTCAGAAATAATGTTGCATATCTACAACTATCTGATCTTTGACAAACCTGAGAAAAACAAGCAATGGGGAAAGGATTCCCTATTTAATAAATGGTGCTGGGAAAACTGGCTAGCCATATGTAGAAAGCTGAAACTGGATGCCTTCCTTACACCTTATACAAAAATTAATTCAAGATGGATTAAAGACTTACATGTTAGACCTAAAACCATAAAAACCCTAGAAGAAAACCTAGGCAATACCATTCAGGACATGGCATGGGCAAGGACTTCATGTCTAAAACACCAAAAGCAATGGCAACAAAAGCCAAAATTGACAAATGGGATCTAATTTAACTAAAGAGCTTCTGCACAGCAAAAGAAACTACCATCAGAGTGAACAGGCAACCTACAAAATGGGAGAAAATTTTTGCAACCTACTCATCTGACAAAGGGCTAATATCCAGAATCTACAATGAACTCCAACAAATTTACAAGAAAAAAACAAACAACCCCATCAAAAAGTGGACGAAGACATGAACAGACACTTCTCAAAGTAAGACATTTATGCAGCCAAAAAACACATGAAAAAATGCTCATCATCACTGGCCATCAGAGAAATGCAAATCAAAACCACAATGAGATACCATCTCACACCAGTTACAATGGCCATCATTAAAAAGTCAGGAAACAACAGGTGCTGGAGAGGATGTAGAGAAATAGGAACACTTTTACACTGTTGGTTGGACTGTAAACTAGTTCAACCATTGTGGAAGTCGGTGTGGCGATTCCTCAGGGATCTAGAACTAGAAATACCATTTGACCCAGCCATCCCATTACTGGGTATATACCCAAAGGATTATAAATCATGCTGCTATAAAGAAACATGCACACGTATGTTTATTGCAGCACTATTACGCAATAGTAAAGACTTGGAACCAACCCAAATGTCCAACAATGATAGACTGGATTAAGAAAATGTGGCACATATACACCATGGAATACTATGCAGCCATAAAAAATGATGACTTCATGTCCTTTGTAGGGACATGGATGAAGCTGGAAACCATCATTCTCAGCAAACTATCACAAGGACAAAAAACCAAACACCGCATGTTCTCACTCATAGGTGGGAATTGAACAATGAGAACACATGGACACAGGAAGGGGAACATCACACACCGGGGCTTGTTGTGCGGTGAGGGGAGGGGGGAGGGGGGAGGGATAGCATTAGGAGATATACCTAATGCTAAATGATGAGTTAATGGGTGCAGCACGCCAATATGGCACATGTTTACATATGTAACAAACCTGCACGTTGTGCACATGTACCCTAAAACTTAAAGTATAATAAAAAAAAATGTGATCCTGCTACTACCCTGCTTAAAACTATCGACGAGTCCTCCCTGCCATTAAGGAGGAGTCCAGACCCTGAGCAGAACTTCAAGGCTGTCAGGTGTTTGGACCTTCCTGATCTTCAAGCTCGTTTTTGGCTGTCCTCACATTTCATTTCAAACCAGCCTTCCTTCAGTCCCTTAGATGAGATAAGCCACGCTCTTTCCTGCCTTGGGGACTTGGCACAAGGTATTTCCTCTATCTGCAAGATTGTTGTTCTTCTGTGTTATTTGTATAACTGGAAAACTCCTATTCATCATTTGGGTATCAAGTTTAGAAACCATTGCCCCAGATCTTAGCACAGCTCAGGCCTTACTTCATGTAGTCCTTTGCTCAAATGTCATCTTTCCAGAGAGGCCCTCCCTGAACCAGCACACCTTACTCACCATCGCTCTCCATCTTCCTGCTCTGATTCTTTTTTCTTCATAGCACATGTCACAGGTTCACAGATTATATACTCATTTGCCTATTATTTTCTCTGCATCCCCTCCAGAACCCACCCAGCACATGATACTTCAAGCACCATCAGAACAGGAACTTTGCCTGTATTTGTCACTGCTAAATCCTTAGTGCCTAGTAATCACTTTAAATATTTATTAAATGAGTAACTATTCCTGGCATTTAGCATAATATTTTGTGTATAGCAGTAGTCTAATAAATATTTGAGATTGAGGGAAGGGAAGAAGAAAAGGAGAAAGGGAGGGATGAAAATGAAACTTGGGGGTTCATAATGGCTTTCACCTTTTCTTCCTTTAAAAGTTGCGGCATCTTCTTTGCGTATTGTTTTTTTTTTTTATCATCTTTCTCCTCTTAGCCATGAAAAATAACTCCCAAGAAACAGATCAGGCAATCACCAAACCTAACACAGAATACAGGACAGCAGTGAAGCCTTCAGTTGTGGGAGCACTTCCAGATATCAACTCATTTCTAAAGCTTGGAGGCCTGCATCGAATCACTAATGGCTGCCTCCTTGATTGAAATGCCAGAATTAGTCCACAGCCTTGCCCCTTTCCCTGAGTTTCCTAAAAACGATGACATAAAGGACTCCTGTGACATCCCCTTCTCTTATTACCACATCTCCCAACATACTCCCAGATGTGTGTAGGTGGCGTCATTATTCCTCCTTAACCTTCTCCATCCCTCATCACCTGCACCTCATTGACATAGAAGTCTTTCACTTGCTCTCTGACTTGTACTATTTTTCTCCACGTAGTTCATTTTTCTTTTTTTTTTTTTTGACAGAGTCTCACTCTGTTGCCAGGCTGGAGTGCAGTGGCGCAATCTCAGTTCACTGCAATCTCTGCCTCCCGGGTTCAAGCGATTCTCCTGCCTCAGCCTCCTGAGTAGCTTGGATTACAGGCACGCACCACCATGCCCAGCTAATTTTCGTATTTTTAGGAGAGACGGGGTTTCGCCATGTTGGCCAGGATGGTCTCGATCTCCTGACCTCGTGATCTGTCCACCTTGGCCTCCCAAAGTGCTGGGATTATAGGCATAAGCCACCATGCCTGGCCAGTTCATCTTTATTTTATGAAGATTATCTGCTTCATGTTCTGAGTTTCCTTGGAATCTTCCCCTTAATAATTTGTTTGAGAATCTTGCTCACCGGGCTGAAATTTAAGGGCCTCACCTTCCTTTCTTTTTTGAAGCAAGGAACTGTGCTGGCCCAGCTCCCACGTGCTGATCCGTCTCTCATCCCCTCCACAGTTGGTCCATGAGCACTGGCAGTGATCTGCCTTCTTGCCTTCTCATGTGCAAGAACATAGAAATGCATCTGCTCCAGCCAGGAAATTAGAATTCATCCAGAGCAGGGAGGTCCCCGGATCTGTTCATTCACACTGGGCCACAGTTCCTTCCTACTGATGTTTGTTCTTCCTTCTACAGCCCCAGCCTCATTCCTTTTGGCAGAAAAGATGAATGTAAAATAGGACTGACGGAGTTTGCTCTGTACACTCATTCATCAACAGTACCATAGTGCTGCCAAGCACCCAGCCAAAACTGTTTCTTTTCTTCTTTATTCCATGCTTAGTTTTAAATCCTTTTCCCTATACTAAGCATTTTTGAAGGACTTGGTTCACTTTGGGCTTTTCTAGCTTTTTAAAATATTTTCTATTTCTTTTCTTTTAAAAAACCAAAAAAAAAAAAACCTGCTGGTCATTTTCCTTTATACATCCCTGGTTTGAGTTTATTCTTTTAAATTTGTATATATCTTTAAAAATCCATGTTCATTACAGCTGGACCTATGGAGCCAATCTGATTCTGTGGTTTCTTTCATTTTTTTTTTCTTTCTCAGTTAGATCCATCTCTCTAAAATCATCAGAATAGCATCAGGATGGAATCAGAACTGGGGTAACACAGGACATTTTCATTTACTTTTAGTGTACTCATTGCAGCCTGATTCATAACACATTGTAGAAAACACAGGAAATTGGCTGCTCTGCCTATGGAGTAGTAATTCTTAATTTCTTTACAAAAAAAGGGAAAAAATAAAATACTAGAAATCAAAAAGAAGAAGATTGAATTCATCTAAAACCTGGCCAACAAGGAATAATCACCATTTATATTTTAGAGTATACACTTTTAGGGTTTTTTTCCCCCCCTCCCATGCATTAGCAAAAAATGAGATTGCTTTTGTATGCAATTTTGCTGCTTCCTAAGTTCACCTACATTCTACTATGCATATTTTTCTGTGTCACTAAATATTGGTCTACATCATTTTTAAAGGCTATCTAGTATTTCATAATATAGATAAGCTATTATTGATTCAACAAATGCCTATTGTGAGACAGGTTGGCTCTAACATTTAGTATTAGAAACAATAATTGTATAATGAACATTATTGTACAAAAATCTTCATGTGTATCAGCAATTGCTTCTTTGGGATTCATTCCTAGAAGTGACCTCCTTGGTCAAAGGATCTGAATGAAGTTAGGGGATATAGATCATAAAATCACCTTCCATGTGGGCTTTACATTCTCCATAAATGTATCTGTTTCTATTCTCTGGAGATGAGCATGTGCACTTCTCACCTCCAGGACGACAGTAGGTATGACAATTTTTTAAAAAATTTTATCCAATTTGCTAGGTCATAAATGATATTATTTGCTGCTTTCAATTGCATATATTTGATTAATAGTAGGTAATAATATTTTCTATATATTTATTGACTTTATCCTGCTTTTGTGAATTATCTATGTCCTTTATACATTTTTGTCTTTTTCTTAAATCACAGGAGTTCTCTATACCTCAAGAATAGTAGTAGAACTATCCTTATAAATATTTTATTCCTAGTTTTTCACTTGCTTTTAAATTTTTATCACTTTTTATAAAAAAATAGTCTTTAGCAATTTTAATTAATTATCTTTTTCTTATATACTATCTGCCTGTGGTATCATGCCTTAAACATCTTCTCCACCAAAAGATGATTGTTAACAAATCACTCATATTTTCTTCTAGTATTTTCACCTATTTAAACATTGAATTCATATGGGACGTAATTTGGTAAATAGTATGAAGTAGAAAATCTAATTTTTGCTCCAAATTGCTAATCATTTATTTCAAAAACATTTATTAAATAATCCTTTCTTTCCGTAGTGATTTTAAGTACCATATTTATCTTACACAAAGTAATATTTATACTTAGTTCTATTATAGCTTATTTTATTCTGTTAACTTGAAAAGAGTTGGTACTTTTGCTATTGTCTATTGTCTTCTTCTTCTTTTTTTTTTTTTTTTTTTTTTTGAGACGGAGTTTCACTCTTGTTGCCCAGGCTGGAGTGCAGTGGCGTGATCTCAGCTCACCGCAACTTCCGCCTCCCGGGTTCAAGCAATTCTCCCGCCTCAGCTTCCCGAGTAGCTGGGATTACAGGCATGCACCACCACGCCCAGCTAATTTTGTATTTTTAGTAGAGATATGGTTTCTCCATGTTGGTCAGGCTAGTCTCCAACTCCTAACCTCAGGTGATCTGCCCACCTTGGCCTCCCAAAGTGCTGGGATTACTGGCGTGAGCCACCGCGCCCAGCCTATTGTCTTCTTATTCAGAAAGAAGGTAAATATTTTCATTCGTCAAGATATTGTTTCTCAATAAAGGTTTTTTTTGTTTTTTTCACGTGAGTCTTTAAGGTACTCTGAACACATTTTATGTTTCCAGTTGCTATTGTTAATGGGATTGTCATTCATCATATTTTTACTGGCTTATTGCTAGTATATAGGAACTGCAATGGACACTGTGATGTGCTGCTCAGGCTCTCACTCTGGGCTTAGGCAAGCATTTCGCCAACTACTGGGTGTTGATGGATGACAGATTTAAATTGACTTCCTCTCTGGGACTCCCTTTAGCAGAAAAGAGCTGCTGTGCTCAAGGGCTCACTTTTCCCCGAGATAGCCCATATCCAGTGACTAGTAGGTTATGGGTATCGAGATCCAAATCCCTTGCTTCATGGCAGGGAAATGCTGAAGAACCATCCCAGCTCCAGGTCTCCCCATGAGAGTGGTTATGAGGTTCTTGTGGCAGTTGCATCACAGTTCAATATTTCCCTCTTCTCCCCTAGAGGTATTGATCCTGAGAGTACTCATCAATAAATATCCTGCACAGAAGCCTTCATTTCAGAGCCTATTTTCCTAGGAAGCAAACCTAAAACAATTGTTGCCAGGAGTGATCTGAGGAGGAAGAAAACTGAACTAAAATGCAGTTTTGAAACTGGATCACCTACTAACCCGCTGGCAGTGAGGACCCCATTCCTAGTGGTAGGTGACTCGCTGAAAACTACAGGCATGCTGTAGCAGTGCAATTGTTAAAGCTTTTTATCAGCGATATCCTGCGATAGAACACCCTTGGAAGAAAATGCACTGGCAGATGCAGTAGCTTAAGCTTTCGAGAGGTTCTGAAGAAGTACTAATTATAAAGACAATGGAATCCAATGGCTTGCTGAGTGGCACTGATGCAGTGGAGAGAGACAAGAAAAGGCTAAGGGTAATTAATCACTAATTGAAGGCTAAGTGTGAAAATCAGAGGACCTCCTTGGCAGCATGTAAAGAGGCTCTGATCCCTTGATCTCCTGGGGGAGGAGAAGGTTAAGGATCAAGCCCGAGACTTAATTATAAGAGTAGCAAAGCTCCAGAGAAAGTTGGATTCTCTTCCCTGGTAAGTCTCCTATGCCAGGGTTAGGGCCCTAATTGAGGAGTGGAACCCTGAGACTTGAGCTGGGTCATTTGGGTCAATGCACTTGAAAATCTTTACACTCCAGATTCCCCTGAACCCCTTGGGTCTATAGTCCCCAATTTCTTAAAGATGATTCAGAGACTCCTGTGCTGCAGAGCAACACACAGCCTCCCTCAAGTTCGATCCCCACCCAAACCCCTGCTGGGGTTTGTAACTTGACCTAGCATCAAGTCACAACACAGTCTGGCCAATGATATGCTGGGCAGGCAAAGGAAGGAGAGGGACTCTATTGCCATGATGCTCTGAAAACCTAGCCAATTTATACTGAGAGAAGCCGAAAGAGTGTGTATGGAACTGGGTCCTGGGGATCTTGGAGCAAGAGTGGGTGTGGAATATAAAGTTGAGGGAGGGAGAGTTTATCAACATGGGAACACTCTCTCATAATATAGGATTTAATATCCTGGCCCAGGAAATGTTGCTTACATGTGGTTAGGATTGCTCTGAAGATGAGAGAAAGAAAGAGCCCAAACTTAGTTAAGTAGAAATGCCAAAGCTGCCATAGCAGATGGTAGGATGAGGAGCTTAGAAGCTTGGGAAGTTGGCACGCTAGAGTGGATATGGTATGTAGAGCAAGAAAGCTCATCTGGTGGCAATGTTCTGCAGGAGGGCCCAGAGGACACCCCACTTAGCAAAGCAATAAGGGAATAAGAAATGGGCCAGAGAGAGGGGCTGTCCTCTGTAAACTAGAGCTTAGGGAAGGAGATGCTATTGCAGAACTGGGCTCACTGGTAAGAAAGGAGATGATGATCACCCTGGTGGTGGCCCTTACTTGTCAGAAGCAAGGAAGGCACTGTCTTAGTTTGTTCATACTGCTATTACAAAAATACTATAGAGTGGGTGACTTAAACAACAAACATTTATTTCTCACAGTTATGGAGGCTAGACAGTCTAAGATCAAGGTGCTGCTGTCAGCACCTTCCATGTCTTGTAAGGGCCTGCCTTCTGGTTCATAGCTAGCTGTCTTCTCTCTGTATCCTCACAGGTTGGAAAGAGGTGAGAGATCTCTCCAGGGTCTCTTTGATAAGGGCACTAATCCCATTCATGAGGTCCCCACCCTCATTTTCTAATAACCTCCTAAATGCCACACCTCCTAATACATCATATTAGGGATTGGGGTTCAACATATGAATTATGAGGGGACACAAATATTCAGTCCATTGCAGGCACAGTGACTGTGATACATTGCAAAGCCCAAGTGGCAGCCAGGAGTATCTGATTCATGAAGAGCTAGGTAGATGGTTAACACAATAAGGCACGGTAGGGGCAAAATAGGTGGACAGCCAATAAGCCCATTGCTCAGTCTAAACCAAAGAAATCATGGATAGATGATAAGGAGGCTAAGGACAGACACTGTAATAAGAAGGCATGATCCTTTGTCTAGTTTCTGAACCTGAGCTAGTTTTTAAATTCAGAACCATTGACTGAAGGAAAAGCTGGATACCTAGAAGAAAAGACCCTGCAATACCAAGGCAAGTTTGCATGGTAATAATTTCACTAATTCTTCTCCAAAGAGATCTATGACCACTATTCTGGCAATCATACACTGGAAAAAGTAGAATAAATCAACTTTTCAAGAACTGTTGAACACAGGAGCTGAACTGCTATCTGGGTACACAAGTGTCCTCATGGCTACCTGTTATAGTGGGAGCTTATAAGGGACAAGTAATCAATGGAGTCCTGGGCCCAACCTTGCTCACAACAGGTTCACTGGGTTCACAGAGCTACCCAGTGGAATTTCCTTGAATCCAAAATATGTAATTGGAGTATACATACTTGTTGTTTGGCAAAATCCTTCCATGAGCTTCTTAGCTTTTGAAGTAAGAGCTATTGAAGTCGGGAAGGCCAAGGTGAAAGTCTCTAAAACTGTGCCTTCCAAGTCAAAAATTGTAAATAAAATACACTCTCATGTTCTGGGGAAAATGGAAGAGATTGGTCCCACCTCCAAATGCTTTATTGAGAACTAGGTTACAAGGGTGGTGGCCCCATTATATTCCTATTTAACTCACCACTCCTATTTCCTTAAAAATAAAAACAGATCCTAGAGGATAATAGTGGATAACATCAAACTTAGCTCCAATTGCAGCTTCTGTGTCAGGTGTAGTACCTTTTCTAGAGAGTAGACCAACACAGCCTCAAGTACATGGCCATTGAGCTGGTGAATGCGGCGTTTTACATCCTTATCAGGAACAAGGATCAGAAACAGTTCTCTTTCATTATGGAACAGGCAACAGAATGCATTTACATGATTGCTCCTGGGCTATGCTAACTCTCATGGCACTTGTAGCAGTGGTCCTGCATCTACAATTTAAAGGGATTGGAATCTACTGGACATTGTAGATATTGATGACACCACATTTATTGGACAAGAGGAATAACAAGTAACAAGTATGTGGAAGCCTTGATCATATATATCTCCAGAGGAGGGAGGGGGCAGAAATAAACCCTATAAAGATTCAGGGACATGCCATATCAGTAAAGGTTTTAGATGTCCAAGGATGTTGGGACACCCCTTTCAAAGTAAAGGACACATTATTGCATCTCACACCTCCAATCAATAAGAAGGAAGCACAATGCTGACAGGCCAGTTTCTGGAAGCAGCATATTCCATATTTGGAGATACTACCCTAACCTCCTACTGGGTGCCATGATAGCTACCAGGTTTAGGTGGGGACTACAGCACAAAAGGGCTCTACAAATAGGACCAAGCTGTGCTGAAAGTAAGCCTGCCACTTGGCCCATATTACCTGGGAGACTCTGCGTTATAGAGGTACTGCTATGAGAGAAGATGCCCTCTGGACTTGAGGAGAACCACAATGCAGACCCCAAGGGTACTGAAGCAAAGTCATGCCACCAGTAGTGGAGAAGTGGCATCTTTTGAAAAACAGTTCCTGTATGGGTGCTGGCTCCTGATATAGATACAGCATCTGACCATGGGACATCTAATGACCACTTGACTGTAACTGCTTACCATGAATTAGGTGTTGTCAAACCTATCAAGTAATAAGGTCACGCAGGCCCAGCAGCAACTCATCAAACAACCAGGGCCAGAGGCACAAGCAAGCAGCACAAGCAGGTGCCCCAGACCCCATTTCATTCAGTACTCTTATGCCAACGCCTTGCCCTCAGCTCACATCTGTGGTGTGGGGAGGGTCTTCATGATTCCCTCATGTGACCAGAGGATAAAAAAGACAAAAGGCTGGGTTTGGATCATAGATGTGTCTTCTCAATGTGTAGATGCAGGATGAAAGGGACCACTGCTACATAAAAGCCCCACTCAGAGGTGGCCTAGAAAGGCAATGGTATGAAAAATCCTCCCAAGAGGCAGAGCTTCAGAAGATACACTTGATAATGCACTTTGCATGGAATAAAAAGTGGCCTAAAGTGAGAACATATATGGACCCAAAGGCAATGGTGAGTGGCTTGTCTGGTGTGTCAGGAATCTGAAGAAGAGAGATCAGAAGAGTGTGCACAAGGAGAGATAGAGAGGAGGCATGAAGATGAGTCTATGTAAGTAAGTGTAAAATGTGAAGATCTTTACATCTCATGTTAAATAACCCACCAGAGAGTGTCTACCATAAAAGAGGAACTGAACAGCCAGGCAGGCAGTACGACTTGTCCAGTTGATGTTATCCAGGCCCTGCATCAGCCACCTCAGTGCTGGTGCAATGGTGCAGGAACAGAGACAGGGACAGGGCTGTGCATGGGCCTGACAGCATACACTCCTAGTCACGAAGACTTACCTAGCTTCTGCAACCATTAAATGTCAAGCCTACCAGCAATAGAGATAAATGCTGAGCTTCTGAAACAGCGCCATTCCTCAAGAAGACCAACCAATGATTACACTGCACCCCTTCCATCCTAGAAAAGCCAGTGATTCATCTTGATTGGAATTGAAACACACTCTGGATATAGGTTTCCCTTTCCTGTCTGCAGACCTCAGCCAGCACCACTACCCAAGAATAGAATATTTGATCCACTGACCCGGATTCCACAAGTATAACATTGGACCAAGGTACCCACTTTACAGCAAAGGAAGTACCACAGTGGCTTCATGGTCATTAGATTCACCAGGCCTGTTACATACTGCATCGCCAGAAGTTGTTGGCCTGACAGAGCAGCAGAGTGGCCTTTTGAATGTGCAATGGAGGGGCCAGTGTGGAGATGATACTCTGAGGAAGGCAGCCTCTCCAGATTGTAATAGGTGCTCTAAATTGATGAACATTGCACAGTGCTGAATCTCCACAGATAAAATATGTGGGTTTTTTTTAAATGACCAGAAATAGGAGTCACATCATTTATCATCATCGCAGTGACTCACTTATGGAAATTTGTGATTTCTTTCCCTAGAACCCTATGCTCTGTAGCTTTAGAGGCAGTAGACCCCAGAGGAGGAAAGCTTCCATCAGGTGACACAGCAAGATCCCATTAAACTATAAACTATGACTTCCATCTGTTTACTTCAGGATCCTTGTGCCAAGGCACCAGTAGGCAATGCATGGAGTCACTAGGGTAGCTGAGCCAATCGTCATGAGTAAGTAGGCCTGCTGGTATGCACTGGGCCAGAGAAGAATGTTTAGAAACCAGGTGATGCACTGGACTATCTCTTGGTACAACCTTGTACAATTTTGACAGTAAATGAACAAGCACACAGTTCTTGCCTGAGAAGCACATGACAGCCTGGGGCTCTGATCACCCAAGCGTGTGGGTCTCAGTCATCCTACCAGGTGAGCTACCTGTACTACAAGAGTTGCTAGACCAGGCTAAGAGGAAGGTAGAGTGGATGAAAGATGAGAAAGACAGGGAATATCAGTTGTAATCTGGAGACCAACGGCAGAAGCAAGGCCTGTCATTCATTCCACTTACCTACTTCTTCTAAGTCTCTTGTTTCTTTTTCATTAAATTATCCTTTTATATTTATTGATTTATTTTTCTTTTTTATGCTTTTTAATATTACACTGTTTTGTTGTTGTTGTTGTTGTTTTTGAGATAGAGTCTTGCTCTGCCGCCCAGGCTGGAGTGCAGTGGCGTAATCTCGGCTCACTACAACCTCAGCCTTCTGAGTTCAAGTGATTCTCATGCCTCAGCCTCCCAGGTAGCTAGGATTACAGGCATGTGCCACCATGCCCAGCTAATACTTTGTGTGTGTTTAGTAGAGACGGGGTTTCACCATGTTGACCAGGCTGGTCTCAAACTCCTAGCCTCAAGTGATCTGCCCTCCTCGGCCTCCCAAAGTACTGAGATTACAGGCATGAGCCACCATGCCCGGCCCATTTTTATTTCTTGAACTAAATGCTTAGCTTGATTATTTTAGTCTTTCTTCTCCTAATCAACACATTTATGATTATAAATTTTTATTTTGTTATAACTGTAGCCACATTCCATCAGTTTTTGTGTGTGGTGTTCTCATTTCATATATCTCTAAATAGTCTAGAGTTTTAATTTTTTATCTGAACTAAGATTTAAGGGTGCTTAATTTCATTTTTTACAATGTAATTAAAAATTTCTCTTGAACAAGGTTTGATTGTTTTTTATAGACTTTATTTCCCAAATGTTTATATAGATTCAGTAATCTGGTATCCTTGCTTTCCATAACCAAACCACTTGGCTTACTGGCACATTACTAAGCATAAATGATTTCTTAGCTTCCAGTTTTACCTTTTACCTTTTGGATTACCTTCATTCCAGTTATGACCCACTTTTCCACCTTAAATTTAAAAAAAAAACCTAAAACTTCCTAGCAGGTAGAGAAGCCACCCTTCAAATTGCTACAGCCCAACTTCCCATTCATATTGCCAAGTTCAAACCTCAAAGCAAGCTGCTTTACTGGAACTGGTACCACAAGTAAATCCTCCTAAACAAAGTCATAGTGTTTTCTGTACTTACTCTTTCATTTATGAATAGAATGAACAGAGCCTCTGACCCTAACCTGCTCTGTTAAAGCCCACCACATTCTTCCAGCAGTCCTTTTCTCCTGACAGAACCTCCACACCAAATTCAATTTGTCTGTGGCTCTGAACTTCATATTGAACTCCCTGCCTGCAGAATATGGTATACTATAAATAGCATCCATTCACTGAATTCATAATTACAGTTCCCACACTGCATTGTTTTTCCCTGAGTAGCTACTTTTTGCCTCAAGAGAGAGACCAAAGATTCAGGTCCAGTATGTGCCCCAAAGGTTTATTCCTGTTGCTTCTTCCCTGCTCAGGAGCTGCATGTTGCTTTTCTTTTCCTGAAAACTCGGAAAAACAAGGGATGCCTCCATGTTTTTGCTTCCTTCCTCTGCCCATGCTCCCTATGTCCTTCCCATTTTGCACCATGCCACAATTTTAGAACATTTTATCTTCAAAGACCCAGTATGAATGACCACTAGGACTCCCTCTTTGCCACAGCAAAAGACAGATGACAAAATCTTAGGGATACAGCTACATTCCTGCAGTAGTGCTTTTTAATTCTCTGATTAGGAGGACAAGTTGAACCCATCCCAGTCCCCATGAGCCCAAGCTGGATGCCTGGAAGGGACATGCAGAGCCCAGCTGAGAGCCACATTAAAATACCAAGACCAGAGCACAGAAGCCGAGCCAACAGCCAAATGAACTGGGCTGAAATGGAAGCAAGTTGGGCAAGACTGGCCACTGATTACATTGGGTACCTCCTGCTTCCCTTTGCTGATCAGTGAGAGTATGGTATGTGTGTATGGGGGGTCGACTTACAGAGATATTGTTGATGCAAACATATGCATCCTCCTGTTAATTTCCTGTTTGTGCCAGATTCTGCATGCCTTATACTCACACACTGCATTCCCCAGCTGCTTCCATTTCCTGAGGTCTTCCATTTTTACTACTGAGATATTTTATTCTTTTCCACCCATATACTTGGAAGTTCTGTTGGCCAGCTTTGTCTCAACATGTACTGTGCCTTCATAGGCAAAGCTCATCTTATCCTTACAAAAATCAGGTAAAACATGCAGGGCAGGTGTTTTGTCCATCTCACAGATAAGGAAACAGAGGCATTAAGAGGTTAAGTGACTTGTCCTAAACAGATTAGTAGCAGGGCACTCTCTGAGTTAGAATTTGGATCTCCTAACTTCTGCTGCAATTATAGTCACCTTAGAATTACGCTGATGTGTAGGATTGTATTCATCCACAGTGAGCAGCTTCAGTGCTATCTAGCCTTCTGCTCCTACGCAGTAATATGGCCCAAGCATAAACTCACCACCTTCTCAAATCAGACATGCATATTCTGTAGTCAGACATCCTCAAGTCACCAGTATACTCCCTTATCATGCTCAGATGACTGTTCTTAGTTTCACAATATTTTACCTTCAACCAGCAATATAACCCAGTCCTGCAACCTGCAACTGCTGTCATTCCTCAGTAGATTTTCTTGTCTAAATATTAAATGTGCAAAGTTCTCTAAATCTTAGAGATGAGAGTTACCCAAGTCCCTAGGAACAGCAGCCTTTCTCTCTTCTCTATGTTCAATCACATGGGCTGCTAATTTTCTCTAATATTAACTAGATAATTTCCATGGTGCTGTGTAATTGGCAGCAATTCCATTTAGGAAGGAAAGAAATTGTTTCCAAAGTCAAAGCTATAGAGAGAAAGAGAAAAAAAACAAGTAAGTCTTTGTGTTTAATTTCTCTTCTGTTTGAGCAACATTTTATGACTATGCCTATACACAGCTCATACACTTTGGCAGGACTACCCTGTAAATGAAATGTGCTATGACTTTCTGCATACGGTAAGAATCTGTAAAGTGCATACTTCCTAATATGTCAGAGTGTAGGTTCCTTCTGCCACAGCACAACTTCTGGCCTCAGTAATGCATGGATAACTTCTGAATAACACACTCATGGCTGTTGTTTATACCTGATGACAAACATTCACTTTCTGCCAGTTCTGGAGGACTCCCAGCTTTAGAAGGTTCTTGGGAGAATCCACTTCAGGCCAGTCCACCTGATCGATTGATCCTAAAGTCACCTGCTAAGGTTCTATGAGAAGCGAACAACACAACAAAACTTTTATTCAAAAAGTGTTCAGAACTAATGTGCCCATTCTTTAGAAACTTATCAGCAATAGAGAAAATCGGGCTTTAGAAATATGAAAATTATGTGTTACAGGAATCAAGGTGAAAATAACCTTTCTGCTTGTACCCACAACCACATACACTCATAATCACATAGTCACACAGAGGCTCCAGTCTTTCTCCAACACAGCCCATTCTATACATCTATATCACAGCTATTTATCTGTGATATTTCTCAAAGTCATGTTCTTCATATTGCCCTGTAAGTTATCAGAAATCCCATTGCCTAGACAGTTGAAGTGGGAAATTCCCAGCAAAAGGGCTGCCATGCTCTCCTCCCATGTCTTCCTATTTGACCATTGAACTCTTTTTTTTTTTTTTTTTTTTTTTTTTTTGAGACGGAGTCTCGCTCTGTCGCCCAGGCGGGACTGCGGACTGCAGTGGCGCAATCTCGGCTCACTGCAAGCTCCGCTTCCCGGGTTCACGCCATTCTCCTGCCTCAGCCTCCCGAGTAGCTGGGACTACAGGCGCCCGCCACCGCGCCCGGCTAATTTTTTTTGTATTTTTAGTAGAGACGGGGTTTCACCTTGTTAGCCAGGATGGTCTCGATCTCCTGACCTCATGATCCACCCGCCTCGGCCTCCCAAAGTGCTGGGATTACAGGCGTGAGCCACCGCGCCCGGCCGACCATTGAACTCTTACCTGCTGAACCCAACATTAGTCTGACACTCCCAAAATACGGTACTACAGACAAATGCTACCATTAGATCTTAGTTGCCAAGGGAGTAGAAATGTGCTTGCCATCTCTAGTTGAAATTAAATGCTTACACTTTGTTCATATTCAAGGCTTAGTCCTTGACTTACCACTAATATGTTAATTCATTCATTCATTCATTCAGCATTCATTGAGCTTCTATTATATACTGAGCACTATGCTTGATACTGAAAATACAGAGGTAAACAGAAGCCACTGTCAACATGTCTAGTCTATCTAGCGCCATGAGCAGGAACCAACTAGAAACTTTTAAGAAGCCTTCCCGGCCGAGCCCCATGTCTCTTGGACCACTACTACAGTATGAACCACTAGAACTTGTCTTTTGCTTTCAAGTATAGTATTTCTCATTTCATGTATCATGCTATCTACTTGTGACCTAGGTTTATCATGTTTCTCCAAATACATTACAAGCAGCAGCCATACTTTCTACTGTTTTTTACTTCTTTATTGTCTTGGACAGAAAGATATACAGAGTAGGAACCTAAATTATTGATAAAATGATGTAAATCCATCATCGATGAACAACTTAGAAAATCCTGACACATGTAGTCTCAAATCAACAGCTTATCTAATTAACTGCCCTTGTTTGACATCTTTAACACTTGAAAATCATAGTGTTAAAAGACTCAGATGAAAACAGGCAACCATTATTCACTTCTAAATCAGGTCTCATAAGCATCAGATTGCTGACACTTAATGAATATTATCCAGTTGATAAATTAAGTACATGATATTTAATGTCTATTATTATTATGAGATAAAATTAGAACTTTTTTTCATTCATTAGGATCAAGCTTGCAGTTCTCTGAAGAACAATCATGAGTTAGTTAGCTTAAGTAAATTTTTTTTCTAAAATAAAATGTCCCTACTATATCCCAGACATTATGCTAAATGCCAAGTATACGATAAAGAGACATAGTAGGTCACAATTTAGTTGGAGAGGTAGAAATATAAACAAATTCTGCTTTGCAGTGCTAAAAGTAGAAATATTACAAGGTACAGTAATGATTAAAAAAAGAGAGAAAAATCAACTCTAAGAAGATGATGAACAGGATCTTGAGGAGTTAAAAGGTCAACAGAGGGGGAAATATTACAACATGTTTGAAAAACTGCAAGTAGTTGTATATAATTGGAGAGCAGAAGGTAAATGGGTAGTGGCTAAAGATGAATTGAGAAAGTTCACTTTTTGAAAGGTCTTTTGTGGCCAGGTAAAAAGTTGGACTTTGGCCCCATAGCTAAGGAAGCCGTCAAAGGGTTTAATGAGAAAAGAGGCATGAACTCCCCAAGGGCAGATAGGGATCAAGTCTGCTTAATTCACCACTGTGTTATTTTGTGCCTTCTGCACAGCAGGTGCTCAACAGTATGAATTGAACAAATGAATTAATCTGTTGGTGTTTTGGGATGATCACTCTAAGCATAAGTAAGCATAAGAGGAAAAGAGGAACAAATTGAAGCCAAGGAACCCAGTAGGAGCCCATATCAGGTGAAGGTGGGAAGGGAGAGATGGGTTTGATTTGAGAGTGGGGATATAGGCAGGTAACAAGATTTAGGAGGGAGAAGTTGATGAATATAGGTTTGGGCATTTTTATTGGAAATTCTTTAATGACAATCAAGTAGAGAGGTCCATTAGACATTTTGATAGAAAAGCAGAAAAGGACGGGCTCAATCTATAAATATGGGTGTCATCAGATAAATTACGTGGGCTGAAAAGGCTGCCAAGACCAGACCCAGAAGCACACCAGACTATGAAGGCTGAGGACAGGGCAAGAAGAATGCTGAGGAAGGCCAGAGAAGTGGATGAAGAATTGAAAAAGCATTGAGTCAAGATACCTAAAGGAGCAGAGATTTCACTGTTTAGAAGATACAAGACATAAACCTTTTCATTTCAACAAACAAATTCTCTGGATTCAATAATCCAAAATATCTGTTATAGGTGTACCTTCAAGGAATAAAAAATTTTACAAGAGACTGTCCTGACCTTGCAGGACCTTAAGTCTTGGGGAGATGTACATGTTAATAGACATGATACGCAGGCATCTTATTTCTCATCAACAGTGAGTAATGACTGTGGGTTGATTACATATAAAGTATTTGAGTTAATGATAGAAATGAACAAAACACTGGCAAAGAATTGGCATTAGTGTTTTGTCCTTTTAGCCTTTAAATTATATGTGGTTCGATCCCCTTAGTGGGAAGTAAAGTCAGAGGGGGCATTGCCTCCTTGAAAGCATATGTGGTGGTTTATATTTCCGGAATGTGGCCAGGACCAAATGGAACATTTACCAAAGGCAGCTGAAAGCAATATAACTGGAAGGACAGTCTGAACTGTGGTCAAAGAAGGGAGGAAAGGGCCCAAACTGGAGCAGCAGCACCAGACAATTAGGCCAAAAGGATGAAGTAAGGCTATCCAGGATAGCTTTGAATGCAGCCCAACACAAATTTGTAAATTTTCTTAAAATATTATGAGATTTTTTGTGTAAGTTTTTTCTTTTAGCTCATTAGCTATCATTAGTGTTAGTGTATTTATGTGTGGCCCAAGACAATTCTTCTTCCAATGTGATTAAGGGAAGCCAAAAGATTGGACACCCCTGACCTAAGAATTCGCAGGCTTGGATCAACAGCCTGAAACACATCAGCTTCTGCAGTTCCAGGAATGGCAAGGTCTCAATGAAAGGAGACATCTCTACGTTTGACAGGCAACTGACTCCTCCCACTGAGTGGCAGCATCCCATTTTCCCCCTTTGGAGTCTCACATTGGCCTGGGATTGCTACTGATTGTGGCCAGGGGTGGCCTATTTGTCTTTGTCTCCTAGGCTGCAATCACTGTCAAAGACTAGGTATCGATGATGTATTTGTAAATGTCTAATAGGATATTGAGTGATAGGCGTTGCTGAATATAATTCTATAGGTAAATGAATGAAATACACCAACACATACCACGGCAGCTGAAAATGAGGGTCACTTGGAAATGTATCTTATTAAAAGGGAGAGTACGGAAAACTCTGCGTGGTTTTTCCCTTCTATTCTTTTCATTTACCTTTAATTTTTTTTCCCTTGCAGGTTAAAGCTGACTCCACATCCTAAGGGACCAACACAAGCCATCAAGTTAAATGATGTCCCTGATAGCTCTGTGGATCAATAGTTATATAGGACTATTCCTCATCCGAGCTCTGTCAGGGACCAAATTATACACCGTACATGAAAAGCACCTCCTGGATTTACTGCCCTTGTACCCCCAGCCATAGCAGGTGGCTTACTGCCCTGCTTTTATTTCCTTTAAGCTTTAAATAAGCCTTTGCTACTGATTTTTTAACATTTCCAAAGTGGCAGAGCAGCAATTAGCCTAATTCTCCTCCCTTCCACAAAACTCCAATGATTTCCTTGACTTCCACAGAAACTCTTTAATGTCCTGTTTTTCTCACTAGAGATAAGAAAGTTTCTAGTCAAAAGACACACATTGGCAAAGGGATTGCAATATCATGAAGAAGTAGACAAAAACTGGGCCATTTACAGTGTTTTTGATACCCCTCGGATAATCCACTAGAATCTGGACCATCCATATTTATGGGAAGTGGCTAGTGAATGGAAAATTCTAGTTCTACTTTTGATACCCAGGTGCTGGGTAAATCACCTCATCTCTCTGTGTCTTTGTTCTTCTCTCTCTTAAACGGGAATTATTCCATGTCCATACATTAGCTAATAGAGAGAATATTAACCTAAATCAAATAGAGTACACATGAAGATATTTCATATGCTTGGGAGTGAAGGCATCCTATAAATTCTGGGTTCTATTATTATTTCATATTTCTATACTTCAGATTGAGCTGGTCTCATGAATCACTTTATAACAAAGTGGACATGAACTACATTGAACTGTTTTTTAGCATCCTATCTCCCAATTGTCTCAGATGTCTGGAATTATAGCCCTTTAAATTAACGCATGAAGCATGGCTTTAAAGAACAGAGGCTGACTCTTATCTGTGGTTAAGAGACAACATGGCATGACTTTCTCATCTGTGTCCAAGGCCGGAAGGCTCACGGAGGTCAGCGTGGTGGCCAGAGCGATGAGTTACCTTACTTCTGTGATCTTCAAATTTGTCTCAGTTTGATCCATCTTTCTTTTCTTATCTTCTTGTATATGTTCTTGGGACACTTCTGCATATTGAATAGCAATAATATCTACTGCTTTAATCATTTAAAAAATAAATAAACCAAAGACCTTGTGTTCTGTTGATCCCAACATGTAAACATGGTTTCAACATATTGTTTCCCCATGCCTTATGCTATTGTAAATATTGTTTTATGGTCTAGTGCGCTGTTATCCACTTACCATCCCAGTTAAAACTCTGTCTTATACAGCTTTAGCTATACACTTTAACAATAAGAAAAAGTGATGCACTTCTCAATTTCAAGCATAGTTCTCATTAGCTACTGTACTCCTGTATCCAAGTATATCAACCCAATGTTTTCCACACCATCCTATTCTGAGTTCCCATAATTGCATTACGGCCTGTCATTTTTAGCTCATCTTAACCAATATTTATTTAGCTAATTGAAAACATTTGAGCACCTTCTCTAAACCTGACTCAGCTATAAAATTGTGGAAAAATGGTCAGTGCTTCTTTTGTACTTCCAGGTCCAGAACATAGTTTTGTGGTGATGTATACAGGTCAATGTCTAAATGCTTGAATTTAATAAGCATTCAATTTGGCAATCTGTGTAGAAAACAAATTGCAGACTTTCATTTACTCTGCTGCCTGTAGGACAGAGGATCCTTGCCATTTTTATTCACAGAGAATCATACCCTTTCCCCAGGAATCTCTGGAATTGCTTGGGGACCTCAAGGCCTGTGTTGGGCCTTTTGGCCTCTCCTGTACTGATAGTGACAGGAGGTAGACAAATCCAAGGCAGACAGGAGCAACTCCCTGGTGAAACCTGACCTTCAAGCCTAAGATAGTTCAAAGCCTGAAAACTAAGCTACAAGTCAAATCCATGGACCAGATTGAGAACCTCTTTTCTGGTTTGGCACAGTTTCCTCTGATTGGTCCCCACCCTTCACCTATTTTACATATACCTACCCTTCCCTAATTGGTTTTTATACTGTCATGCCCACCTTTGAGTTTTGTTTTAACCTTTTTTCCATACTCACAAACCAATCAGCACACACTCCCCATTCTAAGCCCATAAAAGCCCTGGACCCAGCCACATTGAAAGAGAAGTCACCCGACGTCAAGTAGGAGACCAGCCTCATGTCCCCTCTCCCCTGAGAACTGTTCTTCACTCAATAAAATTATTCTCTGCCCTCCTCACCCTTTAATTGTCAGTGTATCCTCCTCCTTCTTGGACACAGGACAAGAGCTTGGGACCTACCAAAATGTGGGTATAGAGAAGACTGTAACACCATGGCCCTCTGCCACAGGGCAGAGCTGTTAACACGCCACCGTCCACTGGGTTGTGGATGACGGGACTAAAAGAGCTAATTAGCATGCTGTAACACTCTCTCTGGGGCTTCAGGGTCATGGGCACTCCTGCCTGGGCACCACCACAGTCCCCTCTTCTGGACACCAGAGTCTACCATAAGAGTGGCTTGCAACACGCTTGGTCTGGCCACAAGCACTGCACAGAGCCTGCCCCTATGTCAGCACTTGGAGCAGCCAGCCAGACTCCACACTCCCTCACTTACACAACCCCTCTTGCTGGGGGCTAAGCACGCAGTCGCAGCAGCCGCGGGATCCATGCTGGAATGCAGGTCAGGTACAGCCCACTGGGCCTAGTGGGCAGGGCATCTCCTGTGGCAAACCCAGGCCTGAGCAAGGCCTGGGCAAGGGTGTCACCAGCTGGGGGTCTCCAGCTGATAAGTGACCAAGAAAAATCCTGTGTCAGTAATACCCAGTGAGAATTGGCACACAGAAACACATTCCCACATTTTGTTCCTTGCATATGTCAAATATATCCCCTCTCTCTCTCCCTCTCTGTATGGTTATGAAACTTAAGTGAAGTAATAGAATAATAACTAGCATGTAGACTTTTTTAGAATTTAAGGTGCCTTTCATATCATGAGCTTTGAAATTTTGCCTGTTATTAATAATAAAAATAAATAAATGTTTTATTCAATTTTTATTTTATTTTTGGGTGCCTCGCTCTTCTGAAACACTGGTATTTCAAATGTTGATGAGTTCCTCATTTTCCCTCTGAGCTCAAAAGATTTGAATTTCCTGACCACAATCTAGCCATCAGACTGGAGTATCATTTAGATCTTATTGTTTGGATTGACTTGTATTTATTGATACCCCAATTCAACTGTACATCACCTGTAAGTTTCTTATTCCATTTAATAGCTATAGCACTGTGCTTCTGAGCTGGCAGAGAACTCAAAGTTGCCCATGCACACCAAATGGCTTATAAAGTTAAATTGGTCCTGATGTCTGCTCTTAAAGCCAAAGTCAGTGCTATTTAGTTTTCTCCTTTATGGATTCAGTCTACCAGCAGAATTATAATAGACCATGCAAGTGTCTCTGAAATAGTCACTAGTTTAGGACGATAGCCTTTAATTTGAAGGTACCTCCCCCAGCTGAAAGCTGTAATAATGGTTCATTCCATTTGGCAACAAAACAAAGAACTGGAGGATTTAAAACTGACAGATCCTCTAAGAAGTGTGAGTGACATCACATTTGCATTCTATCACATGACTGGGTGACACATCTCATCACCTATTCTGACTTTGGGGCCTTATTAATAGCTAATTTGCACACAAGCAATGGGCATGATGACCCAAATCAATCATAAGTATGATTGAAAATTCTCCCCAGGAAAATGACAAAATCCATCAGCACCCAGGTTGTGCAGATATGACAAGCTATGAAGGGCCAGACCTGGATGTGCCATGTCCTAATTTCTGAAGATTAATCCAGCTGGTCTGGCAAACTGAGGTATATGCCCTTCCTCACTGCTCTACAAACATCCTCCTCCCCCAGCAACAGCCTGCTTATTGAAGGGAATGACTTTCTCAAATGAAGAATTCCAAACTGGGGCAGGGGGCGGGGGGCGGGCAGGGTTCTAATAGTTTAAAAGTAATCATGGAAAGGCCATGGTGGCAAAGTGACTTCCAAAAGAAATGCATATTGTGCCCCTTAGACCATGTGTGGCATGTAGACATGGACTGACTGGTTTGTAGACATGAACTTCAATCCTGCATTAGCATGTAGAGAGATAACTATCAGAGTAATAGTCCTGGTCTCACGAGCCTTACTCACAAATGGTTCACATCAATTGAAGGTGAAAGCTATTGGTCTACATTTCGTAGTTAGGAGAGAATTAATTCTTAGGAACCCTAAGAATTTGATCTCTTTTCTTCTCCTCTTTTTAGGACCAGAATAATGCCACAATCCTAGATGAGTGCATCTGCTTTTAAAATGCCATTCCCATAGTCAAGACTGTAAAGGAGGGAGCAGAGCACATCAGCAAGCCCATTTGGTTGCATTTTTAATGGTTAAAGCCAGCCATTTGATTTCTATATGACTGGCTCCAATGTTGATCTTTCATTTGGCTCTGAATTCAGGCAAGGAGGAGAGAGGTGTTATCTATCAGGCTCTTCAAACCCAACATCTTCATTAGGTAGCCATGTGACTTCAGGCAACCTTAACTGATATAACAGACAAATCCCAAAATTTCATTGGCTTAGAACCTTAAAGTCATGTAATAGTTCAATTTAGCATTCCTGGTTGGGTGGCTGGCCTCAAAGGAGTGAATCAAGGGCCCAGGCTCCTTCTGTGTTCAGGTTCTATTATATTCAGCATGTGCTTTCAAACCATCATGAAAGTCAATGCATTCTAACAAGCCAAAAGGAGAAGGGAGCTGGGAAGATGCATGTAGGAGGATTTTATAGGCCAGGCCTGGAAGTAGTGCATACTACTTCTTCTCACATTTCTCTGGCTAGAACACAGTTACGTGACCACAAAAGGGAAATGGATTTGACTGTATGCTCAGTAGGAGGAGGAAATGGGTTTGATGAGCATCTAGCAGTCTCTGCCATGGTGGCAGCTAGGAAAACAAAAAGCCAGTTGATTAGGTTTCAGATAATTGCCAGCACACTTGCGTTAGGAAGGAGATACCTCAAGAATGGTAGGTATAAGAATCCTCCAAATAATCTTCTCTATATGGCAAAAAAAACCTGTTATTAGACAACTCATCAAATGGTAGAGAGATCTGCTAAAAGCAAACCTTGGGATTCACATCATCTACCACACTACAAATTTCTCTACTCAGCCAGACTTTGAATTTTAGCTGCAAAAAAAAAGCCCTTTTACATGCATTGCCTGATTTTAATCTGATTCAAACCTTATAATAATCCAAAGATGTTGGTACCATTGGCATCTCCCATGCTAAAGATGACAAACAGTAGACTTTGTGGGGAAAAAAAAAAAGTATTTTAGGAACATCACATTGAAGGGCCTATATTTGAATCCTGTTATTCCTGACTCCTACATTTAAGCTCTGAAAAAAGCATCATGTATAATTAGCAATGATCTAGATTTAGATGAGACAGGAGTACACTAATTTAATAGTAGGTTTCCGGGTGATATATATTGATGTTGTTGAATGGAGACAATCTTTCAAGAATAATGTTATAGTTCAGTTCATCCACATGTACTCCCAGACCCTGTCACTTTTGGATAACCACAGTCACAGTCCTAAATGGTTTTGATTGGCTTTGCTGTTTTTGACCTATTTGGGGATCTGCTTGTTACCTCCTTGTCCAAATTCTAACATCTTTTCTATTTATTACTCTGACCTAATTTTTGTGACAATGTGAGGAAATCTCAGCCCCAAATGTCTGCCAATGATTTGTGGATGGAAGGTAAGCATATTAGCAGGCTGTATTTAATGCAATTTGAAATTTCTTTGTCTTTCAGTAAAAGGCAGCTGTTTCCAGATGTCATGAATCAACCTTTATGTCTGACTGACATGGTGTTCGCAGGGAACATCTTGCATTACTGTCACGTGTTATTGGGAGCTCTTGGACTATATTATTTGCAAGTCAGAACCTGCAGCTTTCTAGTGAAGTGTTATTTACATTGCTTCAGTAAACTCCTGTTAAGATGACAATAGGTTGACAATTCCATGGCTCATCTGCCCAGTTGATTCTCTCACAACCACAATGCTGTAGCCATTAGATATTAGGAACTTGACAAACATTTGCCAACAATTCAATCACACATCATATTTGAGTTACACTCTTGGTGAGAGCTAAATGGTGTTATTGTCAAGCCAAGTACATTTTAGTTGGTTTTCCTGGAATTACTTATCTTAATTTTGCAAATCCTGAATTTCCTTCTATTTCTGTAATGTTTTGAGTACTGACTTAATTTTTGTGTGCATTTGTCAATTATTCCCATCAACTTATCTTCACTTAAGTCACTCAATGTAAGATATGAATTAGCTGAGCAATTTTACTGTTTAGTCTGTAAGATCTGTGGTTATTTTTATACCACATAAGCCTTTCTAGGCTTTTGGTGGCTTTCCCAATTTTCCATCCCTTTGTTTTACTGTTTTTTACCCTATTCACCCATTTACTCCTATAATGCAAGTTAATGTAAGTCACTTTTCCTACTGCTCTAATAACCTAATAGTAAATGTTTTATGCATATTATTTTATACCTGCCATGTCATTTGTCTATGGAGGTAATGCATATTATTATAATAGCTTGATTACTATAGAGTAGGAAATTTTGGAAGCATGATGTCTTTAAGCAGGTCAGAGTATGAAAAATATTCAAGGCCACAATGAGTATAATTCTTGCAAACAAGTGTTAGGTGCCATGATTTTCAGAAACAATCAGTTTAGTTACATTTTTGTACCTTTCCTTCTTTTTTTTTTTTTTTTTTTTTTTTTAAGACAGAGTCTTGCTCTGTCGTCCAGGCTGGACTGCAGTGGCGTGATCGTGGCTCACTGCAACCTCCACCTCACAGGTTCAAGCGATTCTCCTGCCTCAGCTTCCTGAGTAGCTGGGACTACAGGCACTTGCCACCACCGCTGGCTAATTTTTTGTATTTTTAGTAGAGACGGGGTTTTGCCATGTTAGCCAGGATGGTCTCAATCTCCTGACCTCATGATCTGCCTGCCTCAGCCTCCCAAAGTGCTGGGATTACAGGCATGAGCCACTGCACCCAGCCTCCTTCGTTTTTTCAAGCTGTACAATGCCCTCTACCCTTCTCCACTTTTCCATTCATTGTTCCAGATTTGAGCTCTCACATGATAGTATATCCATTTCTGACTCAATAACTAGGCTTCTCTTTACCATGATCACCTTCAGATTCACCACATTTTACTCACTTAGCCTGGCTGTCAGCTCAAGATACTTGGTAATAAAATGTGGCTACCTTGCAGGTCTGCATATGGTCACTTCAATTCCCAATAGAGAGGTATCCAAATAACTGTGCATCTATTGGGTCTCCTTTAATACTCTGTCAGCAATCCCACTCAAGTAGATGACTGACTGTCCACCAGAACACTTGGGACAGTCACAGTTCACTGGGCTTCAGTGCTTCTTAAATCTCTGGTTCCAGACCATCAGGCCAATTCGGCCACTTGCAACTCTTTCCAGCATCTAAGGCCATTTCTGAGTGAAAGGTTTATCCATCTCCCTCTAGACTCACCTCTAATACTCCTTTTCCCTGGCAATGTGGCTACTGGCCCCATGAGGAGCTCCTAAGACTTTATGGGGTCTCCGAGCTCTGTGAAGTGACTGTGGCACAGCTTGCCTCTCATGCACAAGGACACTGAGCTGGGTTTTAAGAGGCTTCTAATTAGTATAATTACTTTATTTTGATTGCTGAGGTTAACAACATGGGCAATGCCCAAGTATATTATCATCATCAATTGATGAGTTGAAATTTTAAAAATCTGATTATATGACATGTGTTCAGCCATATCACCCTCTGCGCTGCTGTTGGGGAATTACTAATGCCCTTAAAATGCTTAAATAATTTTGCCCATGATGCTATGCCAGGTGTGAGCAAACCTAAAGAAATGAATTCCCTGAATGCTTTGCTGTGTGGGTGTGTTTGGTTTTGCACGGGTGCCTATTTTTAAATGCTATCCAAGACAGCAGGAAGCTCATCATTCAGTTGATCAGGAGCATGTCAGCTGAGTTCACAATATCTTTGTGAGAAAGACATTAGAGTTAATTCTTGACACCTAAAATGTAAATACTGGTTGAGTATTTCTTATCCAGTATTCCTTATTCCTTCTGCTTGGGACCAGAAGTGTACTGAATTTCGGATTTTGGGGGATTTGGGAATTTTTGTATATACATAATGAGATACCTTGGGGATGCACCTACATCTAAACATGAAATTTATTTAGGTTTCATATACCTTATACACATAGCCTAAAGGTACTTTTATGTACTATTTTTAGTAATTTTGTGCAAGGAACAAAGTTTTGACTGTGACTCATCACATGAGGTCAGATGTGTAATTTTATACTATTGGCATCATGTCAGTGCTCAAACATTTTCAGATTTCAGATTTTTGAACTAGGGATATCCAACCTGTACTACTTGGAGAGGTAGACTTTCAATCAATCACATCTTAGCCTAAGGTAGTTATAAAAGTTTGCTGGATTTCTTACACCTACTCCAGATAAGCATGGGAAGGTCAGGAGGGGGAGCTACAGGTGAACAGGTCTCATAACCCTCTGATCTTCAAAAATTAAGACCTTTCTTCAGAGAGGCCCAGGAGCCCAGAATTCTGGTTTTAGCTAGCCACACCACCCCACAAGTGGTCCAGAAATCTATACACACAGAGGACAATGGCGAGAACATTCATCCTTTGCTAGTAGCTGATGCTTTGGCCCCAAACCATAAGGTAGATCTCTAACCCTAGTTAGCTCTGCTGCCTGTCAGAACTCCCCTTTGCTAGACTGGGAAGGTTGAAGTGCTTGCTTTCCCTTGAACGTTACTTTAGCTTTCACTTAGCTTTTTAAAGGAAGTGGGAAGAGGACTACCTCTTTCATCATGGAAAAAGGGTACTTCTTACCTCTGGCCTCCTAAAGGGCAAAGCTTATAAAGAAAGAGTAGGCAATACATGGGGAGAGACAGAAATAGGCAGACAGATTCTACCAGGCCAGGACTCTCTATGCATAGTCAAGCACAGCCAAGTCTCCACACAGCCTCTGCCTTGTTCCTCTAGGTCCTTGGAAGGAATTGTATCCGGAAAGACTAAGGGAGTGGTTGCCACAAAATGGGCTTATTTACCCCATTCTAGATAAGACTCTATCTCTTAGAAAATGAGACCCAATGAATGCCTTCAAGCCTGACCATCCATGCATAGTTAAATTCTTCCTCTTTGGAGGTGGAATCAAAGTGTGGCTGGGGGAGCTAGGAGCCTCCCTTGCAGACAATTAATTAAAATAATTGACAGGGTTTCAATGGAAGAATGGAGGAGCGAGGAGTCAAGCCATTCTCGATGTGAGGCCTTTAAGGGGAAATAGGTCAAATGGACACATAGTGTAACCAGGAGGCAACCTGAATGCTCAGGGCATGAGGAAAACGGGATCAAGGAATCATAAAGGAGCACAGAAAGTGGCTGTGAGAGAGCGAAAGACTTATTTTCAAACTTGCTTAGACCAGCCTAATGTCTGAAGGTCTCTTAACATCAACAGCTCTGTCACCAAGGTAGATATCCCTGCTCTCCAGGGATGACCCCTCAGTCAGCTCTCTTACAGAGACATCCACCCACACCCAGAGCCTCTAAGCCAAGAACCAACTCTTCAAATTGCTTCTCAGGCCAGTTTAAATTATGGCATTTTATTTCACAGCCCCAACCTATACAAATCAGAGGATGCTGAGAAGATCTGAAGAAAACTCAGAAGATAGCTGCCACTGTGGATTTATGACCAAAGCTTCAGGAAGTAAGACAGGCTGCAGCAAGAGGTAGGTAGTTTGAGCAGGTTGATACTTTCTGGAAAAATTAAAAGCCACTATTTGAGATTCACTATACAATCATGTAGGCTCCACTTCAATATCCTGTGCAGGTTAATAATGGAAAGGGTTTTCACACGTGGGGGATATTTCCCACATTGCCATGCTAGGACCCTTGGTAGCAAGTTCAGCATTCTTGTCTACCAAAAATTTCTTCCCAACTACCCTTGCTTTGTCCCAAACCTGTGAACAAGCCCATTATTGGATTGATTTCATGAATCAATGGTTCATGAATGCTTTCTACTAAAGAGGAAAGAGGCTGTAAAATGGCCCCAGAACTGCCGGCAGGAGTGTGGAAGAAGGTCTTAGGAAACTTCACCTAGCATATAGACAGCAAAACCCTTTATTCAATCTTTATTCTTGAAGATTTTTGCCTGGTGTGTCCTTGGGAGAGGATAGCCATAGAGGGAATGTAAGCCAAGATTAAATCAGGAAATACAGAATTATTGCATTCAGGCTGAAAGCAGTTAATTTAGAATGCTTTAGGTAAAAGTGTTTGATTAGGAAAGTAGCTGGGGAAGAAGTTTCCAAAGTAAATTTGCCCTTGGTATGAGGATACAAATGCAAGGCTGGCTGCTCCTCAACAGGGAAGTTTCTTCAGCTTTCATCATCCCTTTGAATTGGGGTCAGTCCCAGGGATGCGTCTACAACTCTAAAGATATACATATGTGGCATCAACTGAATGGGGCAGCTTGCTGGCAAGCCATGAAAATAACTGCCCACCCAGCAGAGCTTGTCTCCAGATCTCACAACCTGCCTTTGTCCTTCTGGCTCTCCTTCCCTCCACTATTTTGTCTCATCTTAGTTCCTTTTCCTCTTCCTCTTTTCTCCTCTGTGTGTCCTGGGCTCTTCCCTGTGGGGCTGATTTGACAACAGCAGCCAAGTTTTAGCTTCTTAATTTGTTTCTCTTAGAGTTTTCCACTGTAAAACCTTCGGGTTTCCTCTCCTATTACAATTCCGATTAAGTGGCTCCTGTCTTGCCTCCCTCCTAGGCTTGTTATAAGGACAGAAGATGATTGGGTTCTTCATGTCTATAATGGGCCCAGAACTCCCCAGAGGGATGTTTTATACTTAAGGCAACAAAAATAACTCTCATTACAATTAATAAAAGAAAAATGAGGCTCCCCATGTAGAATCTAAATAAGCCTCCGGTATATTAAACATTCAGGAAAGGGATTTGCTGAAGCTCAGCCTGTTATGGCCCAGGAGGGGCATCATTATTAATGGCGCTGGGAAGCAGGTAACACTGGGTGGTGTTTAGGGTTGCTATGTGCCACCACATCCTGGAATATTTCCAGCAAGCTCTCACTCCTACATTAAACGGCCCCATCCTGGAAGGAGAGGTGATTCTCTGGCAACCATTCTCTAATGCCCTGTCCCTCCCCTCCACTAGGTGTAAGGCTTGGAGAGGCACTTTTAATATACTCATCATATTTAACCTTATGCTTGCTCCAATATAGGACACTTTTCCCCAAACAATAATGTAGCTTTGAAATGAGATGACCCATGGTTTGAATCCAGCCTGTGCTGTGATATTTCAGTGATTCTGGCCAAACTATGTAACCTCTTTGAACCTCAGCGTCTGCACTTGGAGATTAGGATTATGTGTTTGTCCTTTTTTGCTGCACAACAAATAATCTCAAAAATCTCAGTCCCTTAAAAAGCAGTTATTCTCTCGCTCACAGATTTGCCAGTAGTTGAAGGTCCACTGGGATTGACTGGAGTCAGCAGGGCTGAGCTCCAGGCTGTGGGTTGATCTTCTTGGACCAGCAGCAACACAGGGATGCTCTTCTCATGGCAAGCCACAGGAGCACAGAGGGGCAAGCCAGGCTGTGCAAACATATCTAAAGGCAAGTCACATCTCTGAAGATCCAATTGGACAAAGCAGTAACATAACCAAATCTCAAGCCAAGTTGGGAGAAAGTGCACTCTGCCCCCATGAAGCCTTTGTAAATCCATAGAGGGAGTGAAGAACTGAGATTCAAACTACCACAGTCAAAATAACTATCTCATAAAGGTGTTGTGAAGATTAACGAGACCAAAATATCTAAAGCCCAGGACAGTATAGGAGTTAAATAAGTGATGGCTATTATTATGGGTTAACAGTTTTTCTAATATCTATGCCTATCAACACACAAGTGTTAAAATGAGACTGTTAGACATTAATTTATAATCTCTTAATGAATTTTATTAACTGTAATTACTAAAACATAGCCCAAGGCTTGTGTTCTCTGTCTCTATGCAATTCTGATGATACAAGGAAGCCAGGGTAAGCTACCAAGGGGCTCTACACAAACTCAGAAGCTTGAGAGGCTTGGCTTTCAAACACCCAGTCTCCCTATTCTGAGCAGCTTCCTCCAATTGCTCTGGCCTTATTTAACACAGCAAAAGGCCTCTAAACACTTAGTTCTATGTCTCTGCCTTAATTAGAAACCATTAGTACCTCTGGAAAATTGACGCTCCGTTCTCTATATTCAGAGGGCTAATGGGGGAGCAGGTATGGTGGTATGATGGTTGATGTATAGTTTCCTCTCACATAATTTTGTCTTTTTTTTCTCCTCTTCCTATAGGGAAGGACTTTTTGGTTTATAGGGTCCAATAGTTGGGGGCAGGTGTGTTGTAATCTCTCAGGATGATCTTAGAGCCCCTTTTCCTGGATCCACAGCCCATCCCTCCTGCTCCATTTCACATACACAGTACCCTTCCTCCCACCCATCTTTCTCGGGGAACCTAAAACCAAGTTACCTTCAAAATCGGGAATCACAGACCATTCAAGTTAGCAGGTACCTGTGAGGTTTCAGAACATCTCAAGCACCCTAGAAGAGTGAAGTCTTTTAACCTGCCATGACACTCCTGGGTTGAACTATCCACTCCTTCCCCTCTCAGCTGGACTCAGGTCATGTTATTTGAATTCTTTAGGACATCTTCTTAGCAATTACAAAACTGGATTTAAAACACCTGCCTTATAATGTCACTGATGGAATCGCATGAGATCATTGACTGCTGAGAAAATGTTTATCAAGTGCTCGTGTGTGTCTGGCCCTAAGAATGGAAACAGGGCCACTTCCCTCCAGAGTTTACAGAATGGTCCTACACACAGAGTGGGAGCCCATCACTATTATTTTCATTTGCATTGATCTAGTGGTAAGGCGCACTGTAGTTAACAAGTGGCACAGTCAGAGCACCCATCTACAGGAACAAACAGCAGTCTTGGAGCTGTAGCAGCCTTGCAGGAGGCCACCTGTTATGCCAGGATGATCAGGACATCCTGGGGGCCCAGAGGTAATGACCAGAGAGGCTGTGGTAGCATGACCACACAGGAAATGTGAGGCAGCAGCTCCTTACCACCCAGTAGAGAAGTGTTTCCACATTTTAACAAGTGGTATGTCATTACCAGTGATATTATTACATTTTAAAAGATAAACATGAAGTTATCATTTAAAGTCATATCATGCACTATTATCATTTCATATTTCTCTTTTCTACCTAAATGCTACAATAAAGGAAAAACGCTGCCTTCCTTTATTGCAATGTATATTGCTTTTACTGACCAAAGATGTAAGGAAAATTTATCCTGAGTGAAGCTGATATTTCCAGTTCTGGCTTTGAAATGTGTACCTGGTATGGCCAAGGAGAAGCCATCCTGCCACAGGCACCAAAGATCCCTCCCCAATTGTCACACACAAGCAGACTCAATTGGCTCCAAAGTCAACATTGAAGGAAGCATCTGTAGTTGAGTGTCAGGGATTCCAAGCCAATCCATTTGGATGCTCCACCCTCCCAAGAGCCTCCAGGGCAGTCCTCTTTGAGGATTCACTTCCTCGTGGATGTCTGAAGTTTTTCCCTGAAGCCCTCAAGTTGATAAATGACAAAGAGGGGATAAGGGGTACCAACTGTAGAAGGAAGGGGAAAAGCACAAGAGATCTGTTAAAGAAAAGAGGAAGAAACCTCCATGACATTTACTCCAACCACAGTAAAACACTGGCTTGAAGCAGCACCAGCCTTCTGCCAGTATCATGTGTTTACATGGCAGCATTTACCCCTTCTGCAAAATACCGAGGACTGAGGTAAATGAAGTAACATATTTCAACCAAAAAAAAAAAAAATTCTAGTCAATGAAGAGTGAAGAATTGGAAAATTCCCATGCATAATGCAGAAGATTCTTGCAAGGATGTCAGCAAGTAATGGCACATTCTTACCTAATTCTGGCTTAGGGTCGTGGCAGTTCAGGGCTTAAAGAAATCATTTGGTCCATTTAATCTGGAAAACTGAAGGCCAGAGAGGTAAAGTACTAACTGAGCACTCCTAATCCTCAACCTAGAGGCTGTTTACGTCGTACAAACATTTCTTTCTCCCAACTGTGGAAAACAAGCATATACAGAAAAAAAAAAAAAAGGAAGACATTGAGGAATAATCAATGCATCATGAGATAGGCATTCTTGGAAAAGATTTGTGATAAAATATTCTCCAAAGAATATACAAACACAGACACTTAAGACTATTATTCTAGTTGCCAAGACAACAAAAGAATAAAATCAGAGAAAGAAATAACCCAGAAATCTTCCCAAAACTTCTACATCCAAAGCACATCAAGACTAAGTGTGAGGCCCCTCTCGCCTGGGGATTGTCGACCCAAAGACAGCACCCAGAACCAAGGTATGTGCCTCTGATCACAGAAACCTGGGCTGCCCACAACCCAGGAAGTACTACAGACTAAAAGTATTCAACAACAGTGTGCAGGAGGTCAGAGTGATCAGAAGACTAATTCCATTCACATGTGCCTAGAGATTTGTTTAGGGAGAAACAATCCAAAGGCCAACTGCAGAGTTCATTAGAATAGCACTGAGGTTTGTGTGCATGTCTAATCATGAGATTAGCAAATTACATGCCTGGTGCACGGACCATATGACCGTTGTGGGATTGTGGAACAACTGAGAGCATTTGGGAGAAACACTGAGAATGGCAAATTCACCGAGCAGAAGGCCAGCTTCCAAAGTTCTTGCACAGGGCAGATGAGCAGCAGTGATGAGCAATGTGTTATTGAGCATCTTCTAAGCCTGGGGCACTGAACTAGGCACTGGGGGAGAATTAATTTCCTCCCAAAGTCACCATAGAGGAAACTGCGTTAACTCCTTTAATGAATGGGCAGCCCTCAAAGGAGGCTCTAAATGTTTATCATTAAAGGCAGGCCAGAGACTGCAGAGGGGAAGCCAGTTGGGAACAAATCTCCTTTCACCCCTGTCTGCCTGGCTGTGCCACCTCCAGGCTCTAGGAACTCAGGGAATAAAAAGAACTGGAGGTTCTTGAACTTTTAATGGCCCAAGTAATTAACTAATACCAATTCATTAAACAGACAAAACATTAACAGGGTCACTGATGATGAGTAAAGAAAGAAAGAGCTAAGTTACACATCATTCCTACTCTGTCTTCCATCTAGCTCTGGTTTCTACCCTTCTGTCATTGTACTCATCATTTCCACACATGAACATGGGCAAGCACACACACACATGCATATACACATGCATGCATGTGTATGTATGTATGCACACATGCATATACACATACACACATGCATGGATGCACGTGCATGCACATACACATATACAGATACACACATATGCATACAAAGAATTATCATTTTGTAGTAGCAAAAAGACTTGGGCAAAATTAAGTCCTGGGGCTGGAGCCAAGATGGCCGAATAGGAACAGCTCCAGTCTACAGCTCCCAGCGTGAGCGACACAGAAGATGGGTGATTTCTGCATTTCCATCTGAGGTACCAGGTTCATCTCACTAGGTAGTGCCAGACAGTGGGCACAGGACAGTGGGTGCAGCGCACCATGCACGAGCCGAAGCAGGGCAAGGCATTGCCTCACTCGGGAAGTGCAAGGGGTCAGGGAGTTCCCTTTCCTAGTCAAAGAAAGGGGTGACAGACAGCACCTGGAAAATCGGGTCACTCTCACCCCAATACTGCACTTTTCCCATGGGCTTAAAAAACGGCGCACCAGGAGATTATATCCCACACATGGCTCGGAGGGTCCTACGCCCAAGGAGTCTCGCTGATTGCTAGCACAGCAGTCTGAGATCAAACTGCAAGGCGGCAGCCAGGCTGGGGGAGGGGCGCCCGCCATTGCCCAGTCTTGCTTAGGTAAACACAGCAGCCAGGAAGCTCGAACTGGGTGGAGCCCACCACAGCTCAAAGAGGCCTGCCTGCCTCTGTAGGCTCCACCTCTGGGGGCAGGCCACAGACAAACAAAAAGACAGCAGTAACCTCTGCAGACTTAAATGACCCTGTCTGACAGCTTTGAAGAGAGCAGTGGTTCTCCCAGCACGCAGCTGGAGATCTGAGAATGGGCAGACTGACTCCTCAAGTGGGTCCCTGACCCCTGACCCCTGAGCAGCCTAACTGGGAGGCACCCCCCAGTATGGACAGACTGACACCTCACACAGCCAGGTACTCCTCTGAGACAAAACTTCCAGAGGAACGATCAGACAGCAGCATTCGCGGTTCACGAAAATCCACTGTTCTGCAGTTACCGCTGCTGGTACCCAGGCAAACAGGGTCTGGAGTGGACCTCTAGCAAACTCCAACAGACCTGCAGCTGGGGATCCTGTCTGTTAGAAGGAAAACTAACAAACAGAAAGGACATCCACACCAAAAACCCATCTGTACATCACCATCATCAAAGACCAAAAGTAGATAAAACCACAAAGATGGGGAAAAAACAGAGCAGAAAAACTGGAAACTCTAAAAAGCAGAGTGCCTCTCCCCCTCCAAAGCAACGCAGCTCCTCACCAGCAATGGAACAAAGCTGGACGGAGAACGACTTTGACCAGTTGACAGGAGAAGGCTTCAGACGATCAAACTACTCCAAGCTACAGGAGGAAATTCAAACCAAAGCCAAAGAAGTTGAAAACTTTGAAAAAAATTTAGACGAATGTATAACTAGAATAACCAATACAGAGAAGTGCTTAAAGGAGCTGATGGAGCTGAAAGCCAAGGCTCGAGAACTACGTGAAGAATGTAGAAGCCTCAGGAGCCGATGCGATCAACTGCAAGAAAGGGAATCAGTGATGGAAGACGAAATGAATGAAATGAAGCGAGCAGTGAAGTTTACAAAAAAAAGAATAAAAAGAAATGAACAAACCCTCCAAGAAATACGGACTATGTAAAAAGACCAAATCTACGTCTGATTGGTGTACCTGAAAGTGACGGGGAGAATGGAACCAAGTTGGAAAACACTCTGCAGGATATTATCCAGGAGAACTTCCCCAATCTAGCAAGGCAGGCCAACATTCAGATTCAGGAAATACAGAGAACGCCACAAAGATACTCCTTGAGAAGAGCAACACCAAGACACATAATTGCTAGATTCACCGAAGTTGAAATGAAGGAAAAAATGCTAAGGTCAGCCAGATGGAAAGGTCAGGTTACCCACAAAAGGAAGCCCATCAGACTAACAGTGGATCTCTTGGCAGAAACTCTACAAGCCAGAAGAAAGTGGGGGCCAATACTCAACATTCTTAAAGAAAAGAATTCTCAACCCAGAATTTCATATCCAGCCAAACTAAGCTTCATAAGTGAAGGAGAAATAAAATACTTTATAGACAAGCAAATGCTGAGAGATTTTGTCACCACCAGGCCTGCCCTAAAAGAGCTCCTGAAGGAAGCACTAAACATGGAAAGGAACAACCAGTACCAGCCGCTGCAAAATCATGCCAAATTGTAAAGACCATCGAGGCTAGGAAGAAACTGCATTAACTAATGAGCAAAATAACCACCTAACATCATAATGACAGGATCAAATTCACACATAACAATATTAACTTTAAATGTAAATGGACTAAATGCTCCAATTAAAAGGCACAGATGGGCAAATTGGATAAAGAGTCAAGACCCATCAGTGTGCTGTATTCAGGAAACCCATCTCACATGCAGAGACACACAAAGGCTCAAAGTAAAAGGATGGAGGAAGATCTACCAAGCAAATGGAAAACAAAAAAAGGCAGGGGTTGCAATCCTAGTCTCTGATAAAACAGACTTTAAACCAACAAAGATCAAAAGAGACAAAGAAGGCCATTACATAATGGTAAAGGGATCAATTCAACAAGAAGAACTAACTATCCTAAATACATATGCACCCAATACAGGAGCACCCAGATTCATAAAACAAGTCCTGAGTGACCGACAAAGAGACTTAGACTCCCACACATTAATAATGGGAGACTTTAACACCCCACTGTCAACATTAGACAGATCAACGAGACAGAAAGTTAACAAGGATACCCAGGAATTGAACTCAGCTCTGCACCAAGCAGACATAATAGACATCTACAGAACTCTCCACCCCAAATCAACAGAATATACATTCTTTTCAGCACCACACCACCCCTATTCCAAAATTGACCACATACTTGGAAGTAAAGCTCTCCTCAGCAAATGTAAAAGAACAGAAATTATAACAAACTGTCTCTCAGACCACAGGCAATCAAACTAGAACTCAGGATTAAGAAACACACTCAAAACCACTCAACTACGTGGAAACTGAACAACCTGCTCCTGAATGACTACTGGGTACATAACGAAAAGAAGGCAGAAATAAAGATGTTCTTTGAAACCAATGAGAACAAAGACACAACACACCAGAATCTCTGGGACATATTCAAAGCAATGTGTAGAGGGAAATTTATAGCACTAAATGCCCACAAGAGAAAGCAGGAAAGATCCAAAATTGACACCCTAACATCACAATTAGAAGAACTAGAAAAGCAAGAGCAAACACATTCAAAAGCTAGCAGAAGGCAAGAAATAACTAAAATCAGAGCAGAACTGAAGGAAATAGAGACACAAAAAACCCTTCAAAAAATTAATGAATCCAGGAGCTGGTTTTTTGAAAGGATCAACAAAATTGATAGACCGCTAGCAAGACTAATAAAGAAGAAAAGAGAGAAGAATCAAATAGACACAATAAAAAATGATAAAGGGGATATCACCACCGATCCCACAGAAATACAAACTACCATCAGACAATACTACAAACACCGCTACGCAAATAAACTAGAAAATCTAGAAGAAATGGATAAATTCCTCGACACTTACACCCTCCCAAGACTAAACCAGGAAGAAGTTGACTCTCTAAATAGACCAATAACAGGCTCTGAAATTGTGGCAATAATCAATAGCTTACCAACCAAAAAGAGTCCAGGATCAGATGGATTCACAGCCGAATTCTACCCGAGGTACAAGGAGGAAGTGGTACCATTCCTTCTGAAACTATTCCAATCAATAGAAAAAGAGGGAATCCTCCCTAACTCATTTTATGAGGCCAGCATCATCCTGATACCAAAGCCTGCCAGAGACACAACCAAAAAAGAGAATTTTAGACCAATATCCTTGATGAACATTGATGCAAAAATCCTCAATAAAATACTGGCAAACCGAATCCAGCAGCACATCAAAAAGCTTATCCACCATGATCAAGTGGGCTTCATCCCTGGGATGCAACGCTGGTTCAATATACACAAATCAATAAATGTAAGCCAGCATATAAACAGAACCAAAGACAAAAACCACATGATTATCTCAATAGATACAGAAAAGGCCTTTGACAAAATTCAACAACCCTTCATGCTAAAAACTCTGAATAAATGAGGTATTGATGGGACGTATCTCAAAATAATAAGAGCTATCTATGACAAACCCACAGCCAATATCATACTGAATGGGCAAAAACTGGAAGCATTCCCTTTGAAAATTGGCACAAGACAGGGATGCCCTCTCTCACCACTCCTATTCGACATCGTGTTGGAAGTTCTGGCCAGGGCAATTAGGCAGGAGAAGGAAATAAAGGGTATTCAATTAGGACAAGAGGAGGTCAATTTGTCCCTGTTTGCAGATGACATGATTGTATATCTAGAAAACCCCATTGTCTCAGCCCAAAATCTCCTTAAGCTGATAAGCAACTTCAGCAAAGTCTCAGGATACAAAATCAATGTACAAAAATCACAAGCATTCTTACACACCAATAACAGACAAACAGAGAGCCAAATCATGAGTGAACTCTCATTCACAATTGCTTCAAAGAGAATAAAATACCTAGGAATCCAACTTTCAAGGGACGTGAAGGACCTCTTCAAGGAAAACTACAAACCACTGCTCAATGAAATAAAAGAGGATATGAACAAATGGAACAACATTCCATGCTCATGGGTAGGAAGAATCAATATCATGAAAATGGCCATACTGCCCAAAGCAATTTATAGATTCAATGCCATCCCCATCAAGCTACCAATGACTTTCTTCACAGAATTGGAAAAAACTACTTTAAAGTTCATATGCAACCAAAAAAGAGCGTGCATTGCCAATCCTAAGCCAAAAGAACAAAGCTGGAGGCATCATGCTACCTGACTTCAAACTATACTACGAGACTACAGTAACCCAAAACAGCATGGTACTGGTACCAAAACAGAGATATAGACCAATGGAACAGAACAGAGCCCTCAGAAATAATGCCACATGTCTACAACTATCTGATCTTGGACAAACCTGAGAAAAACAAGCAATGGGGAAAGGATTCCCTGTTTAATACATGGTGCTGGGAAAACTGGATAGCCATATGTAGAAAGCTGAAACTGGATCCCTTCCTTACACCTTATACAAAAATTAATTCAAGATGGATTAAAGACTTACATGTTAGACCTAAAACCATAAAAACCCTAGAAGAAAACCTAGGCATCACCATTCAGGACATAGGCATGGGCAAGGACTTCATGTCTAAAACACCAAAAGCAATGGCAACAAAAGACAAAATTGACAAATGGGATCTAATTAAACTAAAGAGCTTCTGCACAGCAAAAGAAACTACCATCAGAGTGAACAGGCAACCTACAAAATGGGAGAAAATTTTTGCAATCTACTCATCTGACAAAGGGCTAATATCCAGAATCTACAATGAACTCAAACAAATTTACAAGAAAAAAACAAACAACCCCATCAAAAAGTGGGCAAAGGACATGAACAGACACTTCTCAAAAGAAGACATTTATGCAGCCAAAAAACACAGAAAAAATGCTCACCATCACTGGCCATCAGAGAAATGCAAATCAAAACCACAATGAGATACCATCTCACACCAGTTAGAATGGCAATCATTAAAAAGTCAGGAAACAACAGGTGCTGGAGAGGATATGGAGAAATAGGAACACTTTTACACTGTTGTTGGGACTGTAAACTAGTTCAACCCTTGTGGAAGTCGGTGTGGTGATTCCTCAGGGATCTGGAACTGGAAATACCATTTGACCCAGCCATCCCATTACTGGGTATATACCCAAAGGACTATAAATCATGCTGCTATAAAGACACATGCACATGTATGTTTATTGCGGCACTATTCACAATAGCAAAGACTTGGAACCAACCCAAATGTCCATCAATGATAGACTGGATTAAGAAAATGTGGCACATATACACCATGGAATACTATGCAGCCATAAAAAATGATGAGTTCATGTCCTTTGTAGGGACATGGATGAAATTGGAAATCATCATTGTCAGTAAACTATAGCAAGAACAAAAAACCAAACACCACATATTCTCACTCATAGGTGGGAATTGAACAATGAGAACACATAGACACAGGAAGGGGAACATCACACTCTGGGGACTGTTGTGGGGTGGGGGGAGGGGGGAGGGATAGCTTTAGGAGATATACCTAATGCTAAATGATGAGTTAATGGGTGCAGCACACCAGCATGGCACATGTATACATGTGTAACTAACCTGCACATTGTGCACATGTACCCTAAAGCTTAAAGTATAATAATAATAAAATAAAAAATAAAAAATAAAAAAAAAGATTAAGTCCTGGAACTTTGATAATAAGCTATCTTGAGAGATATCGGAGATGTCAGGAAACAAGGACGACTATATTGAGTAAGCCTGAATTATAGAAAAGAAATGTTTAGAAATCTTTTCTCCAAGAGAATTCCCTGGAACTTAAAACCTACACCAACATACGGCAATCTTTCCACCTTTTATTTATGCTTCCCAAGGATACAGTCTTTGCTAAGGACTCATTTCTGAGCATCTAAGAAGCCAGACTTCGTGAGCCCACTAGCCTCTGAGTTCCTCAAAGGCACAGGCTACATTTCTGTCAACTTTGTGTATCAGCACCCAGTACATAATAGGTCTTCCTAGATGCCTATTGTTGGAATGGCTTCCCAGCCCTTCTGTCCACCATATAATGAGGCATTCAATTCCCCAGTGCACACCTCTGCCTTTTACATGAGATTAGGCAGTGCTCAGTAAGCCGTCACTAATATCATTTACATTGATCTGGTGGCAATGAGTGAGATAGTTATCAAGTGTCATAGCACAAGGACACACTTACAGGAACGAGCAGCAGTCTTGGAGCAATGTTGCTGCAGCTATATTCAATATTTTTGTAGCATGGTACTAGAGGCCACCTACTATATACCATCCACCCATTCATTCAACAAATACATATTGGATACTTATATATGCCAGGCACAGGTATTGGCATAAGAAATACAACCCATCCACGGTCTTCCTGAAATGGTCAAACAGCCAGTCCTAATTTTGGACCAATCAGTAAATAAACATTGATCCAAAAAGCAGCCAGCATGTGTTAGAATATAACCTAAGCAGTTTTAGGAAATTGATGCAATAGATGCTAACTATGCCCTCAAGAATCTAACAGACTAAAGGAGTAGTTGTCACTACAAACAGCAAAGGAAAGTTGGGAAAACTTAACAGAATGAAGACATATCCAACAAGAAGAAAAGTCATTAAATGTCTTGGTGTACAGAGGAGGAAAAATTCTGTCCAGCCTCATGTGGCCTGTTAGATCTGGGGCTTTGGCAGAGTTGGTTCTCTGAAGACAAAGATCAGTAGGGTCAGCCCTGATCAGAAATGTGAGGAAAGGAAAGAGGAACTAGCCTTGATAAAACAGTACGGCAGGCTTTTACAGCCGTGACTTCCTATAATTCTCGTAGCAGCTATTTGTCATGAACTTTTGTCATTATGCCAGGTTGCTCAATACCCAAGCCTTGTAAAGAAACTTGGCTGGGCACAGTGGCTCTCTCCTGTCCTGTAATCCCAACACTTTAGGAGGCCAAGGCTGGCAGGTCGCTTGAGTCCAGGGGTTTAAGACCAGCCTGGGCAACACAGTGAAACCCCATCTCTACAAAAATTATCCAGGCATGGTGGTATGCACCTCTAATTCCAGCTACTTGGGAGGCTGAGGTGGGAGGATTGCTTATGCCCAGGAAGCACAGGCTACAGTGAGCCATGATTGCACCAGGTATTCCAACCTGGGCAACAGAGTGAGACTCTGCTTCAACAACAACAAAAAAGGAACTCTCTACCTTCTGACCAACAGGATATGCAGCCCCAGGCAAGCTTTGAATAAGGAGCAAGTAACACCAAGAGGAATGACCTATGAGCCATGTGTATCTTTGGGGGTGCATGGAGAGGTAAAATGCAGGTCCTAGCTGCATTTTAGCTGAGGTTCTGGCTGCTCAGCTCCTCTTGGTCTCTGCCCATTTTGCAAGCCTGGTTCCAGCCTTCTCCTCAGTTCTGTGAATTACCTGATACGCCTCCAATGAAGCACTTTTCTGCTTAAGTTAACCAGAGTCATTTCAGCTGCTTACTACCAAGAATGTTGACTAAAACACTGCAGTATAGACACTATTCACTGAGTTCTACAGATAAGGAAACCAAGACTCTGGGAAGCTAAGTACACGGCTGGTGAGTGACACAGGTGTGGTTTAAGCTCACGCCTTCTGACCTCGATCAAACCCAGAGATGCTTCCCCTAGTGCTATGTTAGTCAGGGCAGCTTTGGTTGCAAAATGACAGAAAAAATAGCAACTGAAACTGGAGTAGAAAAAAAAATAGAAAAAATGATCTTAGTAGAAATATAGAAAGCACACCTGGCTTTATTCCCCAAGGGCTGCTGAGTCCATCCAGCTACATATCCCTGGTGTGTGTTCTCACCTACGTGGACTTCATTCCCAGGACACCCTTCCAGCAGGGTGGTCCTCTCCAGGCTGAAACTCTCACAACTGCAAGCACAGGAGAAAAGGGACAGTTATTTTCCTTGTAAGTTTGAATGAAAGTCTTAGGCTTGACGCTCCCTGAACCATCTCAGTGGCCAGGGATAGGATGTATTACTGGCCAACCTGACTCATATGTGCCCTTCCAAAGTCAGTGGTTGACTCAACACCACTCAAACTTTATAGGCTGAAGTTGTTGGAACAGTGGTTCCAAAGAGAAGAATCAGATTACCTTTACCAGAAGAAAGGTGAATGGATATTGGGTGGCAAAAACAACAGATACCCCCCAGAGTCTACCCCTTCTGCAGTATGGGTGGCACTCGTCTTTCCAGCTTTTATCTGCACTGCAGTAGAGCCTTTCTCCAAAACTGAATCCCACCAGCCACAAGATCTATCTTCCTCCCAAAAAAATTTCTTTCCAATTCTTTTGCACATACTATACATGCTAGAGACTTAAATGACTCCATCCATGGGCCTTTGCATTTTGAATAAAAGCAGAAAATATTTCTGGGAGCTATTGTGAAAGCTATATGTTAAGGGAGGAAATTTGGACATGGAGTACTGATTGGCTCATTGTGGCTTTTCCCTAAAATCCTATCACAGGGTCAGCCAGCTACTCTGGGGTATGAGTCAGTAGGGGCTTTGTGACAGGCAAGACCTTGGCCCTGAGATGCCAGAGCAGAGGGTAAAGTGCCACATCAGGTCCAAGGGGGAGTGCTATGGGTCAGAGCCAGAAAATCATGCCCAAGCAATTTAGAGAGAAAGAAAGCCTTGAAGCTGGAGCTTGAAGCTAAGGGATTAGAAGTATCTAGAGAAGATGAGATCAAGGAGCACAGAAAGGGGCAGAGTCTAAGTTGAAGCTGGAAACACCATGTGGATTGAGCAGAAATGGTTGTGCTCCTTGTAGCGTGCAGTGGGGTGGGCCAGCGCTACTTAAGGGGCTGGATTGAGCAGAACCTTGACCTCCATGGAAGGCCAGCTCCGTGGCCTTGCCCACTTTGCTCTTTGTTCTCCCCGCTCCCACTCTAAAGTTTTTCTTAGAACTGAGCCCGCACTCTGAGGCTGATCTTAAGTTGAAATTGCAAAACTTCAATATTTACTAAACACCAACAGCTAAGCCCTAGGCTAGGTGATATCCAGTACACAGCTGAAGAGGACGCAATTTTCACCCTGGCAAAATTTACTGAGAGTGGGAGAAGCAACTGAGGTTTTTTTAATGATGATAAAAATATTAGTTCTATAATAGAGGTTTATACAAAGTTACCATAGGAACTCAGAAAAGGAGCAATTAACCTGAGTGCTCCTTAAGGTTGTGGGAGGGAACAGTGGGTAATAAAAGTAGAAGGGAAAGTTGGACCTGATTCTCAATGGAATGGCATAAGTTGAGAAAGGAGAATCAATAGGAATTAAGAGTTGGATCAAAAAACACTCCACACCATGACCTTCAGTTCCTCCCTAGAGTAGGAGCCATCTGCAGTGTATGCCTGGAACCTGGAATGGGGCCTTCTACCTAGAGGGGACTCAGTAAATGTTTGTGAATTAAACAAACAAACTCTGCTCTGCCTTTGGAACAGAATGTAGACCTCCAACATCATGGGACACTGCTTCCTAAAATATTATTACAGTCTTTAATTTCCTAGAGAGTCTTTATGACTCTCTAGGAAGTTTAATTAATAATTGCCATGGGAAGACCAAGCAAAGTGATAATTAATAGCTATTGGCCAGAGCTATTGCTGAATTAAGAGTCCAATTATGAAACGAACAAAGCACACCCAAAAGGAGCAAGAATTCCAGGAGCAATGAAAGGCCATGGGGATGCTGCGGGATCTTCTTAATCTGAGCAGCAGTTGGGTGAGGTGTGCTTCAAATAGGAAGAATGGAGAAATGACAAACTTGAGTGTTTGTCAGGAAATGACTCCTGCACCATACTCTGCACTTCCAAACATTGCCTCTAGGTTCTGTGTCCTCCTAACCAACACCGCAGAGTGAAATAAAAATAGAAGAAAAGGAGCAAAGACTAGGCCACCTTATCCAGGCAGCCAAAGGCCCAAGATGCCTCCAGCAGCCCCTCCCAGTGCCTCTGAGGTCAATAAAACCTCATGACTTGATGACTCTTTGAGTCCTCCTTCAAAAGGCAGCACAATCACGTTGCCAGAAAGATGGTGACTAAAGGAGTGTTTGTTTATGTCAAACCTCAAAAACCCTTGGGGTTTGAATGGCTGGGTGATTGACGGTTCCCTCTGTCCCTGCGGTGAACCGGTATATTTGCCCTATCCTTCCCATCAGGGGCCCTCCTGTCCTATCCTTTTCATGCTCTCTTACTCTCCAGTTCCAGCTGGCTTCTCCTCACAAACCATCTCTTCCCCACAATGTAAGTCTTCCATTTTCAGTCTGTGGAAATTCATTTCACCTAAACCCTTCACATAGCTGATGTTTATACTTTCTTTTCTGAAAGAGCCTTCTATGAAATAGGATCCTTAGAATTAAGTACTTAAGAGTCTCTAAACTTGAATCGTTTAGGCTGTAGGTTAAATACAATTTAAATACAAAGGTTCAGATCTTTTTAAAGGAGAAAGGTGTAATTTATAAAACCTTGTACTAAAGAAGGAATAGAGAAAAGTTGGCATACAAATCCTTTAAACACTGCAAATAATAAACCAGGGGGAAAATGGCAGAAGAGAAGAAAGGGGATTTTTTCAATGCCAACGATTTCTATAGCTTGAGAAGTGCTTTATTCAAGCACCAGTTGAGATAATTCTGTTTTGAAACTAGCTCCTTTAAGAAAACTCTTCTTTTTCTGCTCCTAGGAAATGCTGACATGCCGAGAAGTACATGATGTAAAGGTGACATTCTGTGGCAGAGCCAAGGAATTGCAATGCTTTGATCTAAACATCCTGAGCTCTCACCTACCCTTCCTGTTCCAAGCTTCACAAACTTGTAAACTGGAGGGTCAAGGTTAACCTAATAAACTATTTGTGAACTTCAACTGGTGTTTGCCTGTAAGCCTATCTGGTTTCTTTGTAGGTTAAGGTCCGGGAGGTTACACCAGTGGTTCATTTCTCCCTCATCAGAGGCAGTTTACATAGCAGAAAGAGAGGAAGGATTGCCCTCAGAAGACTAAGGTTCAAGTCCTCGTTCTGGTGTCCCTCACTGCTCTCTTGCCCTCTCTGAGTCTCTCTTTTCTCATTTGTAAGCGATGATTGCTTGGGCCGCTGCCTCTAGCCCTTGGAGAGGCAGGCATATGTTGGGGTCAGGGGTATGATGCAGTATAAATGCTCCACCAAGACAGAATATCTCCACTTCTGATTGGAAAAGCACCTCTTTTCAGGCAGAGAACTCAGCTCACTTGCAGTATCCATACCTGCCCAGTAGATTCCATAGCTCCTTCTCTTTGTGCCCTTTCACAGGGCCCTCCAATCTCACTGCCTCCATCACAGACTTGAGTTTCTGGTAATGTCTTAGGCACATCATAAAAATAATCTCTTCCTCTATAGGAGGCATGTTGCAAATTCAGTATCTAGTTCATCTCGCAGGGCATCGGTTTTCAGGATCAGTATATTAACATGTCAATGGATGTCATAGAATCGCACATGGAACTTGAATCCAGATTCCTGAATTTAGGAGACTGATGTTCCACCAAATTTATATTCCAAGCTTCAGGGTAACATTCACATAATCTGATCCTTTTCATTTCAGAGGCCGGGAATGACTCAAGGTCTCACTTGGCTAAGTATTTTCCAGAGTGTGGAGGCTTGCTTACATCTCCAGCTAGTTTTATTATGACAGGCAGAAGTTTCATTTTCCAGATGTTCTGTGGGAGCTTAGGATTTTTATTTTTCTCTAAAGCAAAAACCAAAACCATGAATAGACTGAAACTCTAAATTGATTAACTCCCAACACTACCTGGATCAAATTCATCTTTGTATTGCTATTGCTGTCTTCTCTCCTAGTCTGCTCTTTTACTTTTACTGGATTTCTACCTCCCCGTCTATAAGATAAGAGATAGAAAAAAGCAAAATAAGGTGTAGACTTATATCAAAACCTATGACAACTTTGGCCCTTTTTGTTTCTCTTACCAAAACAAAAACATAAATGCATATTTGGGGAAGTGGAGACAGAGTAATGCATTGGTTACTGCCTGCACTGAAATACAAATAAAATGAGAATGAGTATTTCACTAACGATAGATGATGAACTAAGGCCTGAAGTGGAGAAAGGTGATAGAATGCGAAGACTGGTAAGAACTATGCTGACTTTATTTTCATCAGTTTTCATGAATACGTAATTTTTGGAGTTGTCAGTTGTTTTGAGAGATTTTCTCCCTTTCTTCATTAAACGCCAAAAAAAAAAAAAAATGCCCTCAAGGGTAGGCAACCAAGTACTCTGATAACACACAAACAGAAGCAGCCCTGTAGGGCTGTGAAAGACTGGATGTTTTTGGAACAGATTTTTCTAACACTGGGATATATTTTTCCAAGTGAGTATAGCTGGTATCTGCTTAAAGGAGAATGAGACACAAGCATCCGATTAGAATCCACTTTGTAGGAATCTGATATTGGAGAGAAGGCTGGCTGAGGACAGGCCCGCCAGCTCCTGGCTCTGACGCTGTACATTCCCATACCCACACCCACACCCACAAGCCCTCCAGACAGGTTGCATCCTTGTCTCTGGTGAAAACCAAAAGTCTAATTTTTATGCACATCCTGCCAGAGCTTCCTCGCTGCAACAAAGGTATGCCTTAAAAGGTTTTACTGAAGAGCTTTGCTATTTATTAAAGGCCAGAAGGAACTGCTCTCACTAAGCACAAAGTTCAAATGTCTTTGGACAGGTCATTTAGACAGGTCATTTAGATAGGTCATAGGGTGTCTCACAACTTCTGTCCCAACTACTCAACTCTGCTATTGTAGGGCACAAGTAGCTACATGTCAACAAATGAGCATGGCTGCGTGCCAATAAAACTTTATTTACAAAAACAGGCAGAAGGCTGGATTGGCCTAGGGGCCACAGTTTGCCAAGCCCTTCATCATCAATAACAAGGCTTCTCTAGATGAGAAAGGAGTTTGTATTAAATCAGGATTTCTATTGAGGCCACTTATTTAACATTTAGTGCTTCATAGATTCTTCAGATTCATAGAGCCTCTTTCCTCCATTAGAAATGCTGCAGCTATAGATAACAAAAAACCAACTAAGCTGACTTCCACAAATGTCAATTTATTATTTCATATAACAAGGAGTGCAGTTAGGTGGTTCCTGCTACTGTTTTGTTTGCCCTCCCTTGCTGCTTTCTTGGGCCCGGGGTTCTTTCCTTCCCCTGCTAGAACTGTGGCAAATGGATGGCCATTCATTATTGGCAAAAAAAGATGAAAATTTACCTCTGTAGCCTCTAGAGTAGAGAAGAACAATGGGAAGAAGTATTGGGAATGGAAACCAAGACAGCCAAACTACACCCCTCTGTAGCACATTGGAGACAGGACACTGTGTTGATGGTAGGAAATAAATGCACCCTAGGACTGATATTCAGGCACATGCTAAACACAGAGCTATAATAGCAATTTTTGATGAGAAGGTATTGCACAATGCCTCTGTTAGGAAAAACCTTAATGACAATTGTACAGGTGCTTCTTATGGACTTCATTAGTATTGGTGTTTTATTCATATCAATAATGATCAAGTGCCTATTAATCAAATGTTCCTATTGCCAAAATATGTGACTTTCCCCTTGGTCCAAGGAAAGCATAAAAGAAAGATTTTTTTTTTTTTTTTGAGATAGAGTTTTGCTGTTGTTGCCCAGGCTGGAGTGCAATGGCTTGATCTTGGCTCACCGCAACCTCCGCCTCCCGGGTTTAAGCGATTCTCCTGCCTCAGCCTCCCAAGTAGCTGGGATTACAGGCATGTGTCACCACGCCCAGCTAATTTTGTATTTCTCGTAGAGACTGGGTTTCTCCATGTTGGTCAGGCTGGTCTCGAACTCCTGACCTCAGGTGATCCGCCCGCCTCGGCCCCCCAAAGTGCTGGGATTACAGGCATGAGCCACCGTGCCCAGCAAAAGAAAGATTTTGCTGTCTGTGACACACATACACACACACACACATTATATATTATATAATGTGTTATATATTATATATGCATACATATAAGATATCTTATGTATAAATATATGATATATAATATAGATATCATATATATGTATAAAAGGTAGCTAACATAATTAGCACTCTGCTGTCACGAAATGCAGCTCACCATAGCAAGGCAAAGGTAAAACATATCATATAGCTGAGATTCTGGGGAGGGAGTATTTTTGATAACTAGAATGCAGTTGTTCCAATATTAGCATAATATCAGGGTTAACTTACTGAATACATTTTTGACAAGAGGCAGCCTTGCCATTTTAATAGCCACAAGTAGCTGGCACTTTGGTTTTCAGCACTGTCCTGAAAATAGTATGACACATGCCTTCAAAACATGATCTCATAGTTTAACTCATTCAAATTCCCAGACATTGCTTTTCTGTGAACATTCTACTAGCTCGGGTTCAGAGGCAACTCTCAGAACACTGCAGTTGTTCTTTTCTTAGGTTTTGCCCTGTAGGGAAAAACAGGCTGGTTAAATTACGAAGAAGGTTATTTCCTGGACGAGAGATGGAAAAGGAGATGGCCAACCATACAACTATGTACACATGTATGTGAAATGCCACCATGTCTGAGCTGCATCTTTATTTTCAAGGCAATGAAAATACACCTATGATCATGAAAGTGTTACAATTATAACCACATATAAATATAACCACTATAAAATATAACCACAATTATCTAAAGCCTGTTTTCAATAATGCCTTTTCCTTTCAAAGCAAGCTCATTCTGATCATATTTGATCTGTGTGGTAAGTGTGTGGAGCACGTAGGGCCTATCTGTTTATATCAAAAGGGAATTCTACATAGAAAAGGTAAATGATTTGCCTGAGACCTCACAGGTTCCTCCCATGTCCTTGAGTCCTACTCCAATAGATCTCCTTATTTTCTTGCAAATATTGACAACTGATTCATGTCATTTTTGAGATCATTTTGCTTCTCCATGCCAATTTGTTACTGCTTTGCATAGCTTTTTGAAACATTTATTAAGTACTGACCTTGTAATTTGCCACCTAAGCACCTGTTTTCCTTTCTATTCTGTACATGAATGTGAGCCTGAACGGGTTCTACAAGCTCTAAAATATGCTGGTTGGGTCAGCCTGACAATAACGCGCTGTCACTTACATATACACAAAAAAAAGTTGAGTTTTTCCACTCTTTGGGTTCCAAATCCCCCAGACTAGGTGAACTTTCTCCTTTTTCCTTTTCTGGCAGTTAGGGATGAAGTTTCATGTCTCCGTGCCACACCTCGGTGGAGAAATACAAAGGAGGAGAAATCCCAAATAGGTAGTAAGAATAGGCAAGCCAGGTTTCAGAGGCCAAGCCACACCTCAGAGACAAGCTAAGCTGAGCCCATTCGTGATGTCTTCATGGGAAACACAAGAATGGCTTGGGAGGAGCCACCCCTCCCAGGCTGCAGCCCTGCTCCTGGGCCTCCTCCTGCCAAGCCTGCCTTCTAGCTGGACGCCCTGCTTGGTGAATCCTATCCCCTTCCTTTTGTTTTATGTTCATCCATCCAGCCCAATAAAGCCTACTTTTTGCATATTAAAACAGTATTTGTTTAAGGACAAACAGTTGGAGACCTGCTTCTCAGGGGCCAGAGTGACAGATCGCAAGAGGGGGCTCATCGGCCTTGGGGGCTGGTGATTTGGCAGGTCCCCATCTCTGAGGAGAGAGCGCATGAGCTGCTCACTGTCAGGATTCCAAAAGGCATTACCCTGAGCTCCAAGGTGGAGCTGTTTACCAATACCGTGATCTCTCCCCAGATGCCGTTGCTACTGCAGCTAATTAAGAGAACAATTAAGACTAAGGCAATCAGTCAAGTACACAGACCTCAGTCATCTTCCCGCTCTCGGATGCTGCACTGCTCCCAGAGGGCTGAACTGTATTCAGTCATTCAGAAAATGACAGGAAGAAGCTATTAAATATCTGAAAACCATAAAAACGCAATCATACTGTTCTTTAGCTGAGCCATCCGCCAGAGACCAATGCCCAGCAACTTTAGAAACTTAGCAAGCCTCTTGAATTCACACACTCACAAATAAGAAGATTAATCAAAAGCAGCTCAAATCAAAATTGAATTATAAGGTGGAGCTAGGAGATGTTGCACTGGTCATTCTCAATTTTTTTGTGTTTGTTTATGACTGATCAATACCTCTCATATCAGCCAAATGCATGGCAACGTCCATGGGGTGTCTTTAGAAAGGAAGTAACAGATTAAATATTGAGCTAAACAATTTAATCTTCTGGAAGGATTTTCAGATATTCATAAAGGTAAATCCTATTAGGGGAAACAGTGTCCATGTGCTGGATTACAGAGTCTCGTTGGGAGAAGTTCATAAAAGCAGATAACAAACCACTGAAACAAAACTTCTCTTAATAGCATAGCAAATGAAGACCAGAAAATAAAATGTCCTCAGAAAGAAAATCATAAATGTGTATGTTAATTATCTTACATTTCATTTAGTAAACATATTGCAAAATACTCAAGATTCTCCTATCAAGTGCTGGCTTTACATCTGCGTAAGCAGTTATTCTCTTTGAACCCTCTCACAACAGAAATGGAATTTTCTGGTGACCTGGAGCTAAGAAGTGAGGCTGAACATCTTAGAAAAAAAGCACCATAAACAGTGTTACCAAAAAGGTTTTTATTAAACATCTACTGTATGCCCTGCAAGGGATACTAAAACAATAAGTAGAAAGTATTGACATATAGAGCATGGACTGTGGAGTCAGACCTGGGTTCCAATTTCAACTCACCACAGGCTAGCTGTATGACTTTGGGCAAGTGACTAAACTGCTACTTGTGTGTCCTCATCTGTAAATGGAGCTTATACTCTTCCTAGCTTAGGGAGCTGTTTAAGGTTTAAATGAGCTAATGTTTGTAAAGTTCTTAGAACAGGGCTCAACACACAATAAGTACTCAATAAAGCAATGATGATGATGATGATAATTTCAAATAGCTGCCATTTATAAATGACCTGACCTGTCATAATGTCCTTATGTGATCTTCCTGAGTACTCATTGCAACTATACAGTGAATATTATTATCATTATAGTCACTTTACAGATGAAAAATCAGACATTATGAGGCAAGGCCACTTACGGCAGTGCCTGGAAATACCAAGGGCCCCAGGCTTGAATTCACAAAGGGCCTCCATTTTAGACCTTTGTTTTCATCTCTAAATGAGATGACACCTCACAGACAGAAACCAAGACCATTAAAAGTAAACAGCTTAACCTTTGTCTCTGGTTAAAGTCTAGGACACATCTTTTCATATACTATGAATTAACATTTTTTTCTAAAATTTAAAATTATCTTGTGAATAGCAGAATCACAATACATTGTACCATGTATATTTAAAATATACCATAATTTTTCACCAATTTTGGCATTCTTGAGATTTTTTTTAATATATCAAAAGCCTCAAAAACAAAAAAAAGAAGTATCCTGAGTCTCTATCTACCTGATTTCAAGTTACCAAGTAGATGTCACCGAACATAGAGTTGGGAAGAGATGTGCAATAGACAATATGATATAGTGCCTTCACCATAGAAACATGGTCATTGCAATTAAACTCAAAATCATCTTGTAGTAAAATGTGGTAAGTTAATTAGGAAGCAATGAGCTTGAGGTATTCATTACCTTTGTTTTTAATATAATTTAATTATAAGTTTATATAATTTAATTTTTGATAATGCCTGTGTTTAACAACCACCTTGTAAAATTTCTCACAATCTAACAATGGGCTCCCATGAGCCAAAAGGGGACAGCTCTAGCACATCATTTACTCCACATGATTCTCCATGAATGCAAACATGAACCTTTCAGCAAGTGTATATATCGATAGAGTGACACTTAGAGCGAGGTGCTTCTGAATAGGCACATGTTTTCATAAACGTAGTCCAGTTGCATTTATTTATATATCTAAGAATAAGTGCCTAATACCTAATCCAGGTAGGTTGTCTATGAACATCGTTTTCTCAACCTCCCCAACATGTTAGTCCATGTGCACCAATCTTGTACTGTCAACTACAGATCTTCGTTGTGAGGAGCCTGGAATAAAATGTGCCCACATTCTTATACAGCTGATGAAATAGTTGGGCTTCCCTTTGTTAGTTCTTGCCAGGCCCAACCCAATGTCATAGATAAGCTGGTGACTTGTAGATGGCCATTTGTAAGCTACTTCCTCCTCATTTGGTAAAACAGATCAGAATGCTCCCCAACGTTATTTGTAAAGTCTGCCCAATGTTCAGAAATTGAATGGCCAACATGCACTCAGATCAGGGATTATTTTTAACATTACTGTCTGCTCACAGGTACACACACATGTATATACACTCACTCTAAAGAAAGCTAATGTTTTAAGCTAAATATGGTACCACTCTTCTGAAATGTATAAGACCTGCAGAGCAATATACTGTAGTCATTTCCTGATATAGAATGAGAGCCAAAAAATACATTCTTCTAAGAACTAAATTCTGTGCCTGCCTGCATTCCCACTATGATACTTTAGTGCACCCATGTTACCATTAAAAATTTTTAAACTACCACCTCAAATATCCTTATAGCCAAACTACTACTATTGAAAAGAAATGTGTTCAATTATTATTGCTTTTCCCTCCCTCAGAGATGAGAAGCCAACTGATCCAAAATCAATGGCTCAGATCTCCACTGTGGCAAGCAGAAGCAAGTTCAAAGCCTTTTCATTTATACTCCAAATTTTAGAAATGTCCACAGTGGACAAAACTGTAGGAATTCAGAAGGCAATAGTTGTTAGGCTCTGCATTTTCCCTGACTAATTCAAAATGATTTTATAATGAATTTTTCCAGGCCATTAGCTCAAAATACTGTCTGATACCTGTGACGATTTTGAAAGGGAAAAAGAAATTAAGCAGGGAACAACCACTGAATTTAGAAAGAGAGGTATGCTTTTATATAGCAGCATTTTTATCTTGGCCCACATTGTAAATAATTTTTTTTTAACCAGAAGAACCACTGGTTCCTACTTGTAAGGTGTAATCCTCTTAGCCAGCATTTTCAGACCAAAAAAAAAAAAAAAATTGATCTCTTGACTCAAATAGAATCAACTGATTACCAAAGTTCTTTGTTAAGAATCTTCTCTACTGACCATTCAAATAAATGTTGATTAAAAGGAAGGAAACAAATACTGTCTTTTACAGCAAAGGAAAGCCCTTCATCATAGACAACAATGCACCTTCCTCTTCAGGGTGACAAGAACTTGTTCACTTATATTTTAAAATGTGTTGTTTAGAAACTGGACAGAAATGTCAAGCAAATCCAAAGTGGTGAACCTCCACAAAGACCAAATTGTTGCAACATTTCTTGAGTAGCAGAGAGAAGGGAAGAAATCTCCCTACGCATTGTCACTTATCCCCTTCCCACCACAAATACCCACACAGAATTTCCCTGGGCAGCCATGTCTCTGAAAACTTAATTTCTAGTCTTAAGCACAAATAAGCAAATTTAGAGATGAAATATGTAAATCCAGATTATATTTAGGCAAACTACCCATTATTTTGTTAAACTACTCATTATTTCTTTACTAACCAATTACAAACTATTTGACTGAGTTCATCCAGTAGTTTAAAAAATATCTAGTTGTTTAACCAGATGCAATTTTTATACATCTTTCAGCATTTAGAAAGAATGTAGAAGAGTTATCTATAATTTTTGCAACACAAGTCTCTTTGGGGATTGTTACCTGGACATTACTAGAAAAAAAAATCATTTTGATATGTAGATTGCTTTAACTGACCTCAAAGATAAGTCCAAGGAAGTTTCTAGTAAAATAACAAAGAAATATCTAAGAGATAGCTGTGCATGGTGCCATGTACCTGCAGTCTCAGCTATTCAGGAGGCTGAGGCAGAAGGATCACTTAAGCCCAGGAGCTCAAGGCTGCAGTGAGCTAGGAATGTGCCACTGCACTCTAGCCTGGGCACCACAGTGATACCCCGTCTCTAAATAAATATCTAAGAGGAACACTCTGATCATTACAAACGTCTGGTTTCAGAACTTGATAAGATTTGAGCAAAACCTGGGTATCAACATAGGTACTATGCATTTTCTGCCAATATTTAGTAGGCTAATTTATTTTGCCTATTTTCTAAAAATAACGAAATGAAGAGTGATGAAGGTTATATGCCCAGTCACGGGGCATATTATTTAAATCTCATTCTACTTCACATCTCAAAACTCCCCGGTTCCAGGCTGTTTGTAAGTGTGTTTACTTGGAAAAAAAAATCAAAGAGAAATTAAGAGAGCTTAGAATTGGCCCAGAGATTCAAGGATGGACCAAGCACCAACCTCTTTTTTTGTCCCAGACCTGAATTATGATCAAGAGCCACTGAAAACTATGCCTATCAAGGTCATTGTCTTTCCCAACAATTGGTTTTCTCTCCCAGGTTTCCTGTTTGGGTCAGCGTAACCTACAGTCTTTGGCTTTCACACACTACAGACCTTGAAGTCTTCCCTGAAACTCCCTTCTCCTCTGCACTTTGATCTGTCTCCAGGTCTTATTCATCACCTACTCGAGTTATTCCTCAGGTTTAATCCTTTCTTACCATTTCTATGGCCATCTTCTTAGTCACACCCAAGCAACAAAGGCAATGTCACACCTGGTTTCCATGGCTGCGGCCTCTACCATAGCAATAGAGAGGGCACACCACATTTAAACCAAATCCTAAAACCCTGCTGTCCTCAAGTCTTTCTGGCTGTAGAATCAATAAAGGTCTCCTGTCTAAGTCCTCCTCTCCTCCTTTCATGTTACTACAGCCTCCACAATTGTGAGACATGGCTAGATGTCCTCCAATATCCATTGTCTTCTTTTCATAATAAAGCCCTCAATTATACCTGGGCACATTGCCACCTGAATAAAGGACTCATTTTTCCAGACTCCTTTTGCAACAAAGTGTGCCCCTGCAGCTAAATTCTTGCCAACATGAAATGAATAGAAGTATTACGTGCAACCTCTAGGCCATGTCTTCAAAAGGAAGGGGTATGCACTGGCATTCCTCTTTTCTCCTTCACATTGACTGGGATGCAGAAGTGATAGCTAGACCAGGAGCAGCCACTTTAGACACAGAAATGGAAGCCACATATAGGTGATTGTAGAGACACTCTACCAGCCCTTACTAACTCTCTGCTTTCAAACAATTAAGTAGAGAGAAATTAATTTATACCTTGTCTAATCCATCAAGTTATGCCTTTGCAACAACAACCCAACTCATACCCTAACTAACACACCACAGTATGCTATATACTCAGTTGTTGGGTAAAATTCACTAGTATTCATCACTAAAGCAATTTTTAGTTATAAAGAAAACCGTAGAAAATGGAAGAATGACCTGGACCTTTTACTCAAAATCATATTCCCATTTGGCAACCAGCCCAACACACACCAGCAATATGACAATATACTCATCATTTCAAACCATTTTCTAAAATCTCTGGTAAAAATGAAAATATTTTATTTCATATATTTCATTTCAAATACTTTGTTATTAATAAAAAAATATTTAATAACAACTATAATACATTCTGTCTTGATCAGTGGCTAGAGGGTGTACAGCTGGACATGGGTTAGAGCTGGAATGCTCACCAGAGAGTTCTACAAGTACAAATTGGTTCTAAGCTCAAGCTATCATGAGATTGCTCCCTTTTCCACTCTCCCCAAGAATCGTAAACTCAATGTGGAAATGTAAGAATGCAGCCAGCTAAGAGACTGAGAAAAGTCATTAAAATGTACTTTGTGTTCTAACACTTTATTTGTTAACATATATGTGTTTCATTATCACATGTTCAAGGGACAAGGCATTTCTTTGTCACTGGACATCGCAGACAACCTCGTGTGGGTCAGACAGCTCCATTTCACTCAGACTCTGATGCCCCTACCGCTGTGCAACAGGGCTTATGAAAATGGCCACTTGCCACAAGTTACATATTTATAGGTTGGGTTTTTTGGGTTTTTTTTTAAAATTCAAAACTTCTAGGGAAATCTAGATTCAATTTCAAAGTCTTCTTTTTCTGCCTCTGATTTTATTCTTTAGGTTTTACCTAATTTCTCTTAAGCCCCACATCATCTCTGGGGTCTGGTAAGTGTGCACGGATTACACACATTTTGTTTCAAAGCATGCTAATGGTTCCGACTTTTTTCATTCCACCTTTTCAACAGAGTTAAGGTAGATATTATCTCCATGTTTTTACCAACTTGATTGAGATACAGTTTATGCATGTAAAATGCATTCATTTAGTTATACAGTGATTTGTTTACTTATGTTATGATTTGTTTGTCCATTGGCCAGTTGATGGACATTTGAGTTGTTACCAGTTTTAGGCTATCCTAAGTGAAACCACTGCGAAGATTTCAAGTGTTTGTGTGGATATCTCTTCGATAAATATCCATAAGTGGAAATTTAGGGGTCACAACATAAGAATATGTTTATTTTTATAAGAAACCACCACTCTTTTTTTCAAAAATTCTTATACTACTTGCTCTATGCCCTCACCAGGACTTGGTATTGTCAGTCTTTTTAATTTTGGTCATTTTTATGGACTTGTGCTGGTATCCTATTGTGGGTTTGTATTTCCCTGATGACTAATGATGTAGAGTATCTTTTCATATTCATGTTAGTTATTCATGTATCTTCTCTGGTAAGTGTCTGTTCAAATGTTTTGCTAATTTTTCTTTACCTTTCGTGCTCTTACTATTGAATTGTAAGAGTTTTTTTATATTCTATATATACATACTTTATCATAGTATTTTGACTGTTTTCTGCCATATCTCATTTATCTTTTTATTTATTTAATGGTATTAGTAAAAAAGCAGAAGTTTTAATTTTTATGAGATGCAAATGTATCATTTTTAAATTATTTACACTTTTTTCTCCCCATATAAGAAATCGCTGCTTAATTAAAAGTCAAAAACATTTTCTCCTGTTTTCTTTTACAAGTTTTATGATTTAGCATTTTTCAGCTTCCATAGTCCATACAGAATTACTTTTCATGTGTGATGTGAGGCAATGGTCAATATTCATTTTTCCAGATAAACTACAATTACTTCATCATAATTTTTTAAAAATATTCCCTTTCTTCAGTTAAAGTTTCTTGACATCTCTATAAAAAAAAAAACCAATTGACCACACATGTGGTGATCTATTTTTAGAATCTCTATTTTGTTCTATATTCTGAAAATGTCCACGTCTGTCCTTATGCCAATACTACACCATTGTCGTTAGTATATCTTTATGGTCAGTCTTGAAATCAGGCAGTTGGGATTTTGATTGGGATTGAATTGAATATGTAGTTTAATATAGGAAAAATTGACAATCTTAACAATATTAAGTCTTCTGATACTGAACAAGATGGATCTGCCCATTTCTTCGGGTCTCCTTTAATTTCTTTCATCAATATTTTATAGTTTTTTAGCATATAGGTCTTAACACATATTTTCTTAACTGATTAATAGGTATTTCATGTTTTTTGATGCCATTCCAAATGATATTTTCAAATGTTTAATCTCCATTTGTTACTACTATAGATAAATAAAATTGACTTTTGTACTGTGACTTTGTATCATGTAACTTTGCTAAACTCACTTTTAGTTCTAGAATCTTTCTTGTAAATTCCTAAGGATCTGCTATAGACATGACCACGTCCTCTGTAAATAAAGAGAGCTTTATTTCTTCCTTTCCAATCTATATGTGTTTTCATTTTTCTTCTTTCCTTATTGCACTGACCAGGACCTCCAGTACAACAATAAACAGAAATAAGGGATACAGACATTCTTGCTTGTTCCTGATCTTAGGGACAAAGTCCTCAATCTCTTACTATTAAATATAATACCACTTGGAAGTATTTCACAGGTGCTCTTTGTCAGGTTTAGGAATCTGATTTTCAAATGTTAAACCTTTTGTGCATTACTTAGGATAAATCCTACACAGTCATGAGTTATATACTAAATCAATCAGTTATATACTGCTCAATTCAATTTACTAAGATTTTGTTAAGGAATATTTGTGTATGTTCATAAAGGTTATTATTGGTCTATAGTTTGTCTCATAATGAATTTTTCTGATTTTAGTATTAAGGTAATACTGGCCACACAAAATAAGTTGGAAAGTGTTCCCATCTCTTCTATTTTGTAAAAGACTTTGTATTGGAATAATGTCATTTCTTTCTAAAATGTTTGATGAATTCTTTAGTGAAACTATCTAGGACTGGGATTTTCTTTACAAGGTTTTTTATTAGAATTTCAATTTAACTAGTAGATATAGAGCTATTCAGATAATCTACTTCATCCTGAGTCAGTTTTGGCCAATTGTGTTTTTCAAGGACTTTGTCCATCTCATCTAAATTGTCAAATTTATTGACATCTATTTATTTCTATTATTTCCTTATTATCCTTAATGTATCAAAATTTATAATGATATGTCTCTTTTCATTCTTCATATTAGTGATTTGTATTTCCTCTTTTTCCTGATCAGTCTAGTTATAAGTTTATCCATTTTATTGATCTTTTTATAGAACCAGTTTTTTTGCTTAATTGATATTTTCTATTGCTTTTTTCTGTTTTTTATTTATGTTCTTACTCTTATTATTTCCTAATTTCTACTTATTTGAGGTTTAATTTGCTCTTTTTTTACTTCTTAAGGTAAAAACTTAAGCCATTTATTTTGAACCTTCTTTTCCAACATAAATATTTAATGGTATACATTTTCCTCTAAATACTGCTTTAGCTCTACCTTGTAAACGGTGATATGTTCTCTTTTCATTGTCACTTAATTCCAAATAATTTCTAATTTTTCTTGTGTTTTTTTTCTTTGATTTGGGGAAGTGTTTTATTTAATTTCCAAATATTTGTGAATATTTCAGATATTTTTCTGTTAATGATTTCCAGTTTAATTATGTTGTTGTGAGAGACTATATTTTATGTCATTTCAATTCTTTTGTATTTATTGAGATTTGTTTTAGCCTAGCATATGTTGGTTAGTGCTCATACACACTTGAAAAGAATGTATATTCCATTATTATGTGGATTTGCTTGATGGTGTCATTCAAGTCTTCCATATATTTACTGACTTTACTGATTTTTCTGCCTACTTGTTCTATTAACTACTGAGAGTAAAATATTCAACTATGATGAAGAAGTAACTATTTCTCCTTGTAGTTTTGTCAGGTTTTGCTTCACATATTTTGAAGCTTTGTTATTGAGTGCATTCATTTTATGATTGTTATGTGTTCTTAATGTGTTGATCCCTCTTTCATTATGAAATGTCCCATTATGTCTGGCAATATTTATTTTCTGATGTCTACTTTGGTATTAACAACTCTTAACTTTCTTATGATTAGAGTTTGCATAGTATATATTTTCTATCTTTTTTTTTTTTTTTTGAGACAGGGTCTTGTTCTGTTGCTTAGGCTGGAGTGCAGTGGTGCAATCCTACCTCACTGAAACCTCAATCACCTAGGATCAAGCAATCCTCCTGCCTCAGCCTCCTGAGTAGCTGGGACTACAGGAATGTGCTACCACAACCAGCTTTTTTTTTTTTTTTTTTGGTAGAGATAAGGTCTTGTCATCTTGCCCAGGCTGGTCTCGAACTCCTCAGCTCAAGCAATCCTCCCCACTCAGCTTCCCAGAGTACTGCGATCACAGGTGTGAGACACTGTGTCTGGCTCTTTATTATCTTTTTATTTGTGACATTTCTCTGTTTTTATATTTGGAGTGTGTTTCTTCTAGACAACATATAATTGGGTCTTAGTATTCTCTCCAATCATAAAATCTCTGCATGCTAATTGAGGTATTTATATCACTTTCATTTACCCAGTACAGTTGACTTTCAATCTACCGTCTTGTTATTTCCCTTCTATTTCTTACATCTGTTTTGTGTTGCCTTTTCCCTCTTCCCGTATCCTTTTAGACTGGGCAGTTCTTAATTTCATTTTATCTTCGCTACTGTTTTATTAGCTAAAACACTTTGTTTTTGGTTCATGGGTTTTGTTTTGTTTTCCAACAGTTTCTCTAAGGTTTTCAGTGGGCATCTAGAAGTTAGATGCTCTACCTTCAAATAGTATTGTACCATTTTATGTATAATGTAAGAACTTTATGATGAATACTTTTATTTCCTCCTTCGCATTATTTGTACTATTTTGTCATACATTTTACTTCTGCCTACTTTACAAGCTTCTCAATTCAATATTGTTATCTTTGCCTTAAAAAGTCAAACATTTTGAAGACATTTAAATATAAGAAAAATGTGCTTTATATTCCAAACATATTTCCCATTTCAGGTATTCTTCACTCCTTTATGCAGATATAAGTCTCATCTGGCATCATTTTTCTTCCACCTAAAGGAATTTCTTTTACATGTCCTATAGTGAAAGTCTGCTGACAACATATTTCCTCACTTTTTGCTATTCTGAAAAAAAAAAAAAAAAAAAAAAAACCTCATTTTTGACTCCAGTTTTGAAAGATTTTTTTTGCCATGCAAAGAATTCTAGGTTAACAGGTTTGCTCTCTTTTTTTGTTAGAAATTTAGGCCGAGCGTGGTGGTTTACACCTATAATCCCAGCACTTTGGGAGGCTGAGGCGGGCAGCTCACTTGAGGCCAGGAGCTCGAGACCAGCATGGCCAACATGATGAAACCCTGTCTCTGCTGAAAATACCAAATTAGCCAGTCACAGTGGCGGGCACCTGTTATCCCAGGTACTCCGAGAGGCTGAGGCAGGAGAATCGCTTGAACCTGGGAGGCGGAGGTTGCAGTAAGCAAAGATCGTGCCACTGCACTCCAGCCTGGGTGACAGGGCAAGACATCATCTCAAAAAAAAAGAGAAAGAAAAAAAGAAATTTAAACATGTTGTTACATTTTTGGGAATAGGATAACTTCACACTTACTTACTGGTCAAAAATATTAAAGTTCTTAAAACTTATTGTTTCTGCAATGCTTAAACAATTGTAATACACTTCCTTTGATCATTAGTTTCATGTAATTTTATTTTGTCTCCTTCAGGACATTGTAAACCTCTTCATGAGAGGAAAGCCATGTCATAGTCCTCCTTTGTATGTCCTGCATCATCTAGAACGATACCTTCTATAGTGCATACTCAATTATTTCTTCATTTCTTGGTACTTGGTCAACTCATCAAAGAAACTTTTTAATATAGTTGGCTTGATTTGTACTTTGTTTTTTAGGTACAAATCCCAAATCGTGTTAGTACTATATTAGGTATTTTTTGCTAAATTTCTACAGACATAAGCTCCCCAAGGACAAGGATATGTTTCATGTATCTGTGTCTCTGCTCAGCATACAGCATGGACCCCAGAGGAGCCACTGACACAGAACCAATTGTTGGCTTCTGAACTAGATATACAGGCACAGAGCCCAAAAGTGAAGAAATTGCCTACCAAGCCTATAGGTATGCCCACTGACCAGCACAAGCTACACCAAGCTCCACCCATCATGGAATTTTGCATTCCAGGATTTTCTTCAGATATAACAGTCCTAAAGAGTAACAGCAAAACCTCACATATCTATACTTACATTGCAGTTTAAAGAGTACCTCTATTTCACATGTTAGTCAGGAAAATAGAAACCATTATTCGTTCTACAAACAGAAGAAAGTTAATACAGAAAAATCAGTTACATCAGTGAGGGAAAAGTTAGAAATACAATCAGGGTTATTGAGGGTGAACCCCGGCATTATCAACAGTAGGAAGCCATTATCAGCCCTAGGTCTGGAGGGACAGCAGAAGGCAGTGGTGTAACACAGTCCAGAAGCTGGGGCCCCACAGCAGCAGCTGGAGCCATGAAGGAAACTGAGTTGCTGTCAAGGATGCCACAGGAAGCCAAAAGAGGAAGAGAAATGCCCTGGCTACTCTCCACTGCTACTCTGCAATCTTGCCACTGCCTCTCTTGGGTCAAATCCATCTGGAAGCCAAAGAGCTGGAAAGTCTGGGAAAGAAATGTAGCTTTCTGCATTACAGAAGAGAGCAAAGGAAGGCAGAGAATGAGTCTGAGAGCAACCAGGCAGTTACTCTTCACATTTTATTTCACTCTGCAAGAGAAAAATGGAGACTTGGAGAACTCCACTGACTTACTCAGGATTGCATGGTCAATAAATGGTAGAGCTAGGATTTCTTTAACTACAAACCAGTTCTATACATTTTTTTCTACAGACTGTGATCTCCTCTTACAATAAAATAAGAGAGGGGGAGGGAAACTGTATCTCCTTGCCTGGACTACAATAACTGCTTCCTAACTGATTTTCCCACTTTCTGTCTCATCCCCTTGTCTCCTCTATTCTCACTACACATGACTGAATTTCCCACAAAGTGTTATTTAAAGCAGTATTCGCTTTGGAAGTCCTAAGCTCTTAGGGGACTGTCCTCAGGACCCCTCAGCAAAACATCTGGTGGCCCTCATTCCCTCGTCGCTCCCCACGATCCCGAGCTTCCAGAGCTCCTTCAGCTTCCTCCCCTCACGGCACGTGCCACATTGAGCAGCAATTATTTGTTGCAGGTCTCCCCTCGCAGACTGATGGGAACAAACTCTCAGCCATCTTGAAACTGACACAATGTCTGACACACTGTCCGTGCTCTACAACTGCTTGAAGGAGTGAATGGATATAACTGAAGATCTCCTTCCACCAGATAGTTGAGGTATTCAAAATTGAGACTGCTAATCTGTCCCTGAGTCTCTGAAGATTGTAAGATGCACCAGTTCACAGGTCCATGTCATCAGGAGGAGTTTATCCCTTTATTTCTAGTGTCTTAACTTTGGTGCCCCAGCATTACAATCATCCAAGTACAAGATTGTGGAGTCCTGCTTTTTCATTTAGTAACATGAGTGAGAAGGATGAGCATGAACAACGGCGCCTAGATCGAGAATCCATTCAGATGCTGAAATAAAAATAATTGGACAACAAAGCCCTGTGTTAGCACTTTCTCTACAGTGATACACAAGAGGCATTTGTGGGCCCACAACAATTTTGAAAGCATAGTTCTGGGGAATAGTACAATGTAATCATAAAATTACGCTGGAGATAAGATTTAATTACCATTTTCACCTTTCTAACACCTTTCACAAAGTAATGCTTAAAAGCTTTGTGAGAAAGAATACTACCCTTAAAGTGATAACACGCAACAATTAAAGCACAAGAAAGTCCAACCAGAGGGACAGACTTTTAGGGAGCATAGGTTCAGGAGCATTATTCGAAATTATTATAGGTGACTGTCATCTAAGGGAGTTTATAGATTGGCTTCAAAGGGAACACCAAGGGGAAAATAAATGGACCTGTTTCCTAAAAGAGATCTTTTCATTTCCTTCATACAGGGACCTGATGAAAGCTGCTGGCTACTATGATAAGCAGACACTGATCAAAAAATCCTCAATATCATGCTATAATCACCATAAATCATAACACACTCAGCATGGCCGCTGAGAGAGATGTGCAAAATAGAGGGAAGGCCCTGACCTGTCCTCAAAGGGTGGGATCCATAGGATGGCAACAGCTATGTGAAAATAGTTTTTCATGATTAATAAGATTAATCATGTCCTAATTGCATTCATGAACTTTCAACTAATTTAAAAAGTTACGCCTGAACATCAAGGTCACGAAAAGTAATGAAAATCCGAGGAAGTATTACAGATTGGAGAAATTAAGGAGATATGATAACTGCTATGATCTGAATGTTGGTATCCCCCCAAAAGTCATACATTAGAACCTAATACTCAATGTGATAATATTAAGAGGTGGAACCTTTGAAAGTGATTAATCCATAAGGGCTCCACCCTCATGAATAGGATTAGTGCCCTTGTAAGATGGGCTCCAAGGACTTATTTTTTCCCCTTCTACTATAGCAAGAAGGTGTTCTTTGAAGCAGAGAACAAGCCCTCATCAAACACCAAATCTGCTGGTGCCTTGATCTTGTACTTCCTGACCTCTAGAACTGTGAGCAACAAATTTCTGTTGTTTATAAATTACCCAGTGTAAGGTATTTTGTTATAGCAGCCCAAATGGACTAAGACAATGACCAAATGCAACATAGTATCCTGGATTGAATCCTGCACCACAAAAAAGTTACTAGTGGGAAAACTGGTGAAATCCAAATGAAACCCAGAGTTTAGTTAATATTAATATGCCAATGTTAATTTCTTAGCTTTGACAAATTATCTTTATATGAGACATTAATGGTAGAGGAAGCTGAGTGAAGGGTACGTAGGAACTTTTTTTACTCCCTTGGTAACTTTTCTATAAATCTAAAATTACTCCAGAACACAAAGATTGTTTTTAAGAAAAGTAATAGGCAAATTCCACTGGCTATTCTGGTAGTATTATCCCTTGGGTAATAGCAAATAGAACACTTCTTTCTAGTTCCCAGCTTTCCAAAGAGGAAGATATGGATCCATCAGACAACACAGACTACAGAATAATCAGGGCAGCCATTAGTTCTTGAATTGGGCCTACAGGTCCAAAGGAGAATCTACCACCCTTAATTTTGAGTGATGGCCTCAGCTGCTGAGGCTCCCAGAGGGATTTAGTTAGCCCGGGTCTCTTGACGATTCCACTTTTCCCAGTGAATTCAAACCACAGTCATCAAGGCTTCACCTAGAAATGAGACCAAAATATTTGTAACTCATTTGCATCTGTATATATACACTTTTTCAATGTAAATAATTTGTACTACAAGTTTATGTGCTCACCTCCCTTTCTTAGAATACCGAAGATCAAACTACTAGCAGGTATCAAGTTTTGACAGAAGAAGGGAAGAGTTCTGCCTTTAGGCTTAGAAGGAAAGATTGAGGTTGAGTTACAGAGGTATATCATAGATTTCCTTTTCTTTGGGGTATGTTATTGGAGAATTGTTGTGTTCCTTTGGAGGTGTCATACTTCCCTGCTTTTTCATAGTTTTAAGTGTGTGTGTGTCTCTCCATTGATAGCTGTGCATCTGGTAGAATAGTTCCAATTTTATGGAGTAGCTTTTGTAGGGAACAACATTTTTGGCTGGGCATGTGGCTCACGCCTGTAATTCCAGCACTTTGGGAGGCTGAGGCAGGCGGATCACGAGGTCAGGAGATCGAGACCATCCTGGCTAACACAGTGAAACCCGTCTCTACAAAAAATACAAAAAATTAGCCAGGCATGGTGGCAGGCACCTGTAGTCCCAGCTACTCAGGAGGCTGAGGCAGAAGAATGGTATGAACCCAGGAGGCAGAGCTTGCAGTGAGCAGAAATCGAGCCACTGCACTCCAGCCTGGGTGACAGTGCAACACGCCATCTCAAAAGAAAAAAAACAAAAACATATATATATGTAGATGCATCCTGTAGTGTCAGTTGGGTGGGGTGGTTTGGTTCTTGGTGGGCACAGTAATGTAGTCTCCATATGATTTATTTCGAAGTAATCAATGCCAGCAGTGTCTGCAAATGCCTCAGTTGCCTAGGCTATAGTCGTTTGTGGAGGCTGTGACAAGGATTTGCTGAGTGACAAGGACTTGCTGAGGACAAGGATGCTGAGCAAGCTGGTCCTCGGGCCCCGAGAGGAAAGGGGATATGTGTGCAGCATCTCTGCTACTGGAGGAGAATTTAATAAAGGGGCTGCTTTCCAAGAGATGGGTAAGATTTACAAAAACCAGAAAGCAATAGTGCAGCACCTCAGGCTGTCCACTGTGAAGAGCTGTTACTACCCCTACAATTAAGGGACAAAGGGAGGTAGAAGTTACTGAAAACTGGAGCGTTCCCTACATCTAGGAAACTGCCTGTATAGCATCCACTGGAGCAAGCCAGGGCACGGGAGTAGATACCCTGACCCCACTCTTCTCTCATCCTCTGATTCACTGCTGGTGCCTCCCACTGGCCAAATCCAACTAGCAACAGAGCACACAGGAGCCCACTTCTACCAGCCCACACAGGGAGGCCTTCCGAAGGCTGGGAACAGGATGAAGAAAGGGACAGAGAGTAAATAAAAGGGACATCATTTGCCAAACAGCTCAGGCTAGCAAAGTACAGAGGCTTCTGTATGCTTTCAACACAGGTGGACTTGGAAAGGATTGTACCCACATTTCCTAAGTGGCCTCACCTGGCTTCAAACAATAGTCTTCTTCCCTCTTTTAAGTCTGTCCTTGATATTCCCTTCATCTGTGAAACACTTTAAAGAAGCCAGCAGCCAAGATTTCTCCCTAGAGAAAAAGAGGAGGGATGGGGCCAGCAACAATGAAAATACCACTGGAACACAAAAGAAATAAATACCAGTAACTACAGACTTCTGACATGAATAGATTTACCCAGGTTTGAATCATTTGCCATTTTTCATCACCTTTGGATTTTTAATTATGTGTAACAAAAAACTCCAAAAGTGGAAAAATATATAAGGCAGTTAGAAGGGACAGGAGTGGGGCAATGGGGCTCATGAGCTGCATATGAGCTAAGGGGAAGATGGTCAAGGGAGAAAAACATGGGTGGGATCAAAGGAGAGAAGACAGAGAGGTGCAGCTCATGTTGGATATGGATTAACAAAGTCTCACCATCAGCGGCAGATGTTTGCCCAATGAACTGGGAGACTCATGAGGCTGGGGTTCCTAATATACATACAGAAAACCCATGTAAAGCAGGTATGACCTGCTTCAATAAACTGGGATACCAAGAAAGTCACATTCCTTTGATATTCAAGTTGTAATGACGCCGAGGCTCTACCTGCCCAGATTAGCTGTGCTTCTCTTTCCCAGATATGCCTAAGAACACACAGCCTGCTTGGTCTATAATGTTAGTCTTCAGCGTTTTTTTTTTTTTTTTATTTCACAACAGAATCTGTATTCATCACTCACTCATTCATTCGTTCAGCCAGTTAACATTTTTGAGCACCTGCTGTGCATCAGGTTCTGCTGTAAATGCTGAGGATACAGCAGAGAAAAGGAAAGTGAGGTCCCTTACTCTCATGTTCCTTATGTTTTAATGGGGTGAGGTAGACAAAGAAACAAAAAAATAGACTAAATAAGTTCACAGAGTAATGCAGCCTTGAAGAAGTAAAGTCAGATGGACTCTTAAAGACGGCCTACCAGCAGGAAAGAAATTAGATTGAGTAGTCTGAAAAAGCTCTCTGAGAAGGTGGTCTTTGGGCTGAGATAACAAAAAGGAATCAGTCATGCAGCAATGTGGGTGTGAACATTTGAGGCTTATGCCCGGAAGTGCGAGTGTAAAGGCCCTGAGAAGGAATGGGCTTGGCTGATCTTACAAGGGTGTTAGGGTCAGGAGGGGCTCAAACCTTGCTCACAGGTTGTGTCCAGAGCCAGCCCTTCCTAAGGACAACCTGGTGTGGTAATTCTGTATCAGGGCTCCAGATTCCTGCAGACATCCCACGCCCGAGAAAAAGTCTCTGACCTATTCCCGTTAGAACACAAATTTTATTTTATTTTTTATTATACTTAAGTTCTGGGATACATGTTCAGAACATGCAGGTTTGTTACATAGGTATACATGTGCCATGGTGGTTTGCTGCACCCATCAACCTGTCATCTACATTAGGTACTTCTCCTAATGCTATCCCTCCCCTTGACCCCCAGCCCTCGACAGGCCCCAGTGGTTGATGTTCTCCTCCCTGTGCCAATATGTTCACATTGTTCAATTCCCAGTTATGAGTGAGAATACGCAGTGTTTGGTTTTTCTGTTCCTTTGTTAGCTTGCTGAGAATTATGGTTTCCAGCTTCATCCGTGTCTCTGCAAAGGACATGAACTCACCGTTTTTTGTGGCTGCATAGTATTCCGTGGTGTATATGTGACATATTTTCTTTATCCAGTCTATCATTGATGGACATTTGGGTTGTTTCCAAGTCTTTGCTATTGTGAATAGTGCCACAATAAACATACATGTGCATGTGTCTTTACAGTAGCATGATTTATAATCCTTTGGGTATATACCCAGTAATGGGATTGCTGGGTCAAATGGTATTTCTAGTTCTAGATCTTTGAGGAATCACCATACTGTCTTCCACAATGGTTAAACTAATTTACACTCCTACCAACAGTGTAAAAGCATTCCTGTTTCTCCACATCCTCTCCAGCATCTGTTGTTTCCTGACTTTTTAATGATCGCCATTCTAACTGGCATGAGATAGTATCTCACTGTGGTTTTGATCTGCATTTCTCTAATGACCAAGGATGATGAACTTTTTTTATATGTTAGTTGGCTGCAAAAATGTCTTCTTTTGAAAAGTGTCTGTTCATATCCTTTGCCCACTTTTTGATAAGGTTTTTCTTGTAAATTTGTTTAAGTTCCTTGCACATTCTGGATATTAGCCCTTTGTCAGGTGGATAGATTGCAAAAATTTACTCCTATTCTGTAGGTTGCCTGTTCACTCTTACGATAGTTTCTTTTGCTATGCAGAAGCTCTTTAGTTTAATTAGATCCCATTTGTCAATTTTGGCTTTTGTTGCCATTGCTTTTGGTGTTTTAGTCATGAAGATTTGCCCATGCCTATGTCCTGAATGGTATTGCCTAGGTTTTCCTCTAGGGTTTTTATGGTTTTAGGTCTTACATTTTAATCTTTCGTCCATCTTGAGTCACTTTTTGTATAAGGTGTAAGGTAGGGAACCAGTTTCAGTTTTCTGCATATGGCTAGCCAGTTTTCCCAACACCATTTATTAAATAGGGAATCCTTTCCCCATTGCTTTTTGTCAGGTTTGCCAAAGATCAGACAGTTGTACATGTGTGGGGTTATTTCTGAGGCCTCTGTTCTTATCCATTGGTCTATGTATCTGTTTTGGTACCAGTACCAAGCTGTTTTGGTTACTGTAGCCTTGAAGTATAGTTTGAAGTCAGGTAGCGTGATGCCTCCAGCTTTGTTCTTTTTGCTGAGGATTGTCTTGGCTATATGGGCTCTTTCTTGGTTCCATATGAAATTTAAAGTGGTTTTTTTTCTAATTCTGTGAAGAAAGTCAGTGGTAGCTTGATGGGAATAGCATTGAATCTATAAATTATTTTGGGCAGTATGGCCATTGTCATGATATTGATTCTTCCTATCCATGAGCATGGAATATTTTTCCATTTATTTGTGTCCTCTCTTATTTCCTTGAGCAGTGGTTTGTAGTTCTCCTTGAAGAGGTCTTTCACATTCCTTGTAAGTTGGATTCCTAGGTATTTTATTCTCGGTTCACTCATGATTTGGCTCTCTGTTTGTCTGTTATTGCTGTTTAGGAATGCTTGTGATTTTTGCACATTGACTTTGTATCCTGAGACTTTGCTGAAGTTGCTTATCAGCTTAAGGAGTTTTTGAGCTGAGACGGTAGGGTTTTCTAAATACACAATCATGTCATCTGCAAACAGAGATAATATGACTTCTTCTCTTCCTATTTGAATACACTTCATTCCTTTCTCTTGCCTGATTGCCCTGTCCAGAACTTCCAATACTATGTTGAATTGGAGTGGTGAGAGGGGAGATCCTTGTCTTGTGCCAGGTTTCAAAGGGAATGCTTCCAGCTTTTGCCCATTCAGTATAATATTAGCTGTGGGTTTGTCATGAATAGCTCTTATTATTTTGAGGGACATTCCATCAATACTTAGTTTATTGAGTGTTTTTTGCATGAAGTGGTGTTGAATTTTATCAAAGGCCTTTGCTGCATCTATTGAGATAATCATGTGGTTTTTGTCATTGGTTCTGTTTATGTGATGGATTCCATTTGTTGATTTGCATATGTTGAACCAGCCTTGCATCCCACGGATGAAGCCGACTTGATTGTAGTGGATAAGCTTTTTGATGTGCCGCTGGATTCAGTTTGCCAGTATTGTATTGAGGATTTTCAAATTGATGTTCTTCAGAGGTATTGGCCTGAAATTTTCTTTTTTTGTTGTGTCTCTGCCAGATATTGGTATCAGGATGATGCTGGCCTCATAAAAAGAGTTAGGGAGGAGTCCCTCTTTTTCTATTGATTGGAATAATTTTAGAAGGAATGATACCAGCTCCTCTTTGTACTTCTGGTAGAAATCAGCTGTGAATCCATCTGGTGCTGGTCTTTTTTTTGGTTGGTAGGCTATTAATTACTGCCTCAATTTCAGAACTTGTTATTGGTCTATCCAGGGATTCAACTTCCTGGTTTAGTCTCGGGAGGGTGTTTGTGTCCAGGAATTTATCCATTTCTTCTAGATTTTCTAGTTTATTTGCACAGAGGTGTTTATAGTTTTCTCTGATGGTAGTTTATATTTCTATGGGATCGGTAATGATGTCCCCTTTATCATTTTCTATTGTGTCTATTTGATTCTTCTCTCTTTTCTTCTTTATTAGTTTCGCTAGCAGTCTATCTATTTTGTTAATCTTTTCAAAAAACCATCTCCTGGACTCACTGATTTTTTGAAGGGTTTTTCGTGTCTCTATCTCCTTCAGTTCTGCTCTGATCTTAGTTATTTCTTGTCTTCTGCTAGCTTTTGAATTTGCTTGCTCTTGCTTCTCTAGTTTTAATTGTGATGTTAGGGTGTCAACTTTAGATCTTTCCCGCTTTCTCCTATGGGCATTTAGTGCTATAAATTTCCCTCTAAACACTGCTTTAGCTGTGTCTCAGAGATTCTGGTACATTGTCTTTGTTCTCACTAGTTTCAAAGAACTTATATATTTCTACCTGAATTTCGTTATTTACCCAGTAGTCATTCAGGAGCAAGTTGTCCAGTTTCCATGTAGTTGTACAGTTTTTAGTGAGCTTCTTAATCCTGCATTCTAATTTGATTGCACTGTGGTCTGAGAGACTATTAAGATTTCCATTCTTTTGCATTTGCTGAGTAGTGTTTTACTTCCAATTACGTGGTCAGTTTTAGAATAAGTGTGATGCGGTGCTGAGAAGAATGTATATTCTCTTGATTTGGAGTGGAGAGTTCTGTAGATGTCTATTAGGTCTGCTTGGTCCAGAGCTGAGTTCAAGTCCTGAATATCCTTGTTAATTTTCTGTCTCATCATTCTGTCTAATATTAACAGTGGGGTGTTAAAGTCTCCCACTATTATTGTGTGGGAGTCTAAGTCTCTTTGTAGGTCTCTAAGAACTTGCTTTATGAATCTGGGTGCTCCTGTATTGGGTGCATATATACTTAGGATAGTTAGCTCTTCTTGTTGCATTAATCCCTTTACCATTATATAATGCCCTTCTTTATCTTTTTTGATCTTTGTTGGTTTAAAGAAGTCTGTTTTATCAGAGACTAGGATTGCAGCCCCTGCTTTTTTTTTTTTTTTTTTTTTTTTGCTTTCCATTTTCTTGGTAAATCTTCCTCCATCCCTTTATTCTGAGCCTATGTGTGTCTTTGCATGTGAGATGGGTCTCCCGAATACAGCACACCGATGGGTCTTGGCTCTTTTTTTTGAGACGGAGTCTCGCTGTCTCCCAGGCTGAAGTGCAATGGCATGATCTCGGCTCACTGCAAGCTCCACCTCCTGCGTTCAGTTCATGCCATTCTCCTGCCTCAGCGTCCCGAGTAGCTGGGACTACAGGCACCCGCCACCACGCCAGGCTAATTTCTTGTATTTTTAGTAGAGACGGGGTTTCACCATGTTAGCCAGGATGGTCTCAATCTCCAGACCTCGTGATCCACCTGCCTTGGCCTCCCAAAGTTCTGGGATTACAGGTGTGAGCCACTGTGCCCAGCCGGGTCTTGACTCTCTATCCAACATGCCAGTCTGTGTCTTTTAATTGGGGCATTTAGCCCATTTACATTTAAGGTTAATATTGTTATGTGTGAATCTGATCCTGTCATTATGATGCTAGCTGGTTATTTTGCCCATTAGTTAGTGCAATTTCTTCAATGTTGTTGGTCTTTACATTCTTGTATGTTTTTGCAGTGGCTGGTACTGGTTTTTCCTTTCCATATTTAGTGCTTCCTTCAGGAGCTCTTGTAAGGCAGGCCTGGTGGTGACAAAACCCTCAGCATTTGCTTGTCTGTAAAGGATTTTATTTCTCCCTCACTTATGAAGCTTAGTTTGGCTGGACATGAAATTCTGGGTTGAAAATTCTTTTCTTTAAGAATGTTGAATGTTGGCTGCCACTCTCTTCTGACTTGTAGGGTTTCTGCAGAGAGATCTGCTGTTAGTCTGATGGGCTTCCCTTTGTGGGTAACCCAACCTTTCTCTCTGGCTGCCCTTAACATTTTTTCCTTCATTTCAACCTTGGTAAATCTGATGATAATGTGTCTTGGGGTTGCTCTTCTCCAGGAGTATTTTTGTGGTGTTCTCTGTATTTCCTGAATTTGAATGTTGGCCTGTCTTGCTAGGTTGGGGAAGTTCTCCTGGGTAATAAACTAAAGTGTGTTTTCCAACTTGGTTCCATTCTCCCCATCACTTTCAGGTACACCAGTCAAATGTAGGTTTGGTCTCTTCACATAGTCCCATATTTCTTGGAGGCTTTGTTTGTTCCTTTTCATTCTTTTTTCTCGAATCTTGTCTTCACACTTTATTTCATTACTTTGATCTTCAATCTCTGCTATCCTTTCTTCTTCTTGATCAATTCGGCTATTGATACTTGTGTACGCTTCACGAAGTTCTCGTGCTGTGTTTTTCAGCTCCATCAGGTCATTTATGTTCTTCTCTAAACTGGGTATTATAGTTAGCCACTCCTGTAATCTTTTATCAAGTTTCTTAGCTTCCTTGCATTGGGTTAGAAAATGCTCCTTTAGCTCGGAGGAGTTTGTTATTACCCACCTTCTGAAGCCTACTTCTGTGAATTCATCAAACTCATTCTCCATCCAGTTTTGTTCCCTTGCTGGCGAGGTGTTGTGATCCTTTGGAGGAGAAGAGGCATTCTGGTTTTTGGAATTTTCAGCCTTTTTGCACTGGTTTCTCCCCGTCTTCGTGGATTTGTCTACCTTTGGTCTTTGATGTTGGTGACCTTCAGATAGGGTTTTTGAGTGGTCATTCTTTTTGTTGCTGTTGATGCTATTGCTTCCTGTTTGTTAGTTTTCCTTCTAACAGTCAGGTCCGTCTTCTGCAGGTCTGCTGGCATTTGCTTGAGGTCCACTCCAGACCCTGTTTGCCTGGGTATCACCAGCAGAGGCTGCAGAACAGCAAAGATTGCTGCCTGCTGCTTCCTCTGTAAGCTTCATCCCAAAGGGGCACCTGCCAGATGCCAGCTGAAGCTCTCCTGTATGAGGGGTCTGTCGACCCCTGCTGGGAGACGTCTCCCCATCAGGAGGGATGGGGTTCAGGGACCCACTTGAGAAGGCAGTCTGTACCTTAGCAGAGCTTGAGCACTGTGCTGGGAGGTCTGCTGCTCTCTTCAGAACCAGCAGGCAGGAATGTTTAAGTCTGCTGAAGCTGCACCCACAGCTTCCCCTTCCCCCAGGCGTTCTGTCCCAGAGAGATGGGAGTTTTATCTTTAAGCCCCTGACTGGGGCTGCTGCCTTTCTTTCAGAGACACTCTGCCCAGAGAGGAGGAATTTAGAGAGGCAGTCTGGCTACAGTGGCTTTGTGGGACTGTGGTGGGCTCCACCCAGTCTGAACTTCCTGGCGGCTTTGTTTACACTGTGAGGGGAAAACTGCCTACTCAAGCCTCAGTAATGGCGGATGCCCCTCCCCCAACCAAGCTCGAGCATCCCAGGTCAACTTCCGACTGCTGTGCTGGCAGCGAGAATTTCAAGCCAGTGGATCTTAGCTTGCTGGGATCCACTAAGCAAGACCACTCAGGCCCCTGGCACCAGCCCCCTTTCCAGGGGAGTGAATGACTCTGTCTCACTGGCATTCCAGGTGCCACTGGGGCACAAAAAATACTCCTGCAGCTAGCTTGTTGTCTATCCAAACAGCCGCCCAGCTTTGTGCTTGAAACCCAGGCACCTGCGGGAATCTCCTGGTCTGCGGACTACAAAGACCATGGGAAAAGTGTAGTATCTGGGCCAAATGCACCGTTCCTCATGGCACAGTCCGTCAAGGCTTCCCTTGGCAAGGGGAGGGAGTTCCCTGAGCCCTTGCACTTCCCGGGTGAGGCGACATCTCACCCTGCTTCTGCTCTCCCTCCATGGGCTGCACCCACTGTGTAACCAGTCCCAATGAGATGAGCCAGGCACCTCAGTTGGAAATGCAGAAATCACCCACCTTCTGCGTTGGTCTCACTGGGAGGGGCAGACCGGAGCTGTTCCTATTCAGCTATCTTGCCCACGAATCCAGAATACAAATTTTAATTGATTTACATGGCCTGACAAAGGCCACTTGAGAGAAAAAGATAATAGGATCCTTGAAAAGGAAATGTTCCACCTTCTCCCAGTTCCACAGCAGGAGGGAAACTTGACTTTTGAGTAACTAATTTTGTTTTGAAGTCTTTAGGTTTAGGTTTAGCTAAGGCAAGTTCCCTGAGAGTTGTGCCTGGTGGTGTTCTGCTCAGGAGGGGAAGGGCAAAACATATAAAATTAAGTGCAGCTCCTGGACAGGTGAATCAGGTCCAGCCAAAGTGACAAGATCTTGGGGTACAAAGAAGAAATAAGCATTTCAAAGTAGAGCAGGTCACAATCAATCAGCAATAGGGTGGTTTTCAAGTATGTCCACAAGTTTTTTGATACTCTTAGCTTCAAAGGGTGGAGACTAATTCCTGTACCCTTGAGTGTGAGTTTTCCTTGGTGACCTGATGAGTACAACATGGTGGAAGTAAAGTAATGTGACCCTCGGGATGAGGGCACAAGGGCTACAGGCTCCTCCTTGCTCTCTCTAAGATCACTTGCTCTGGAAAAATCCAGCTGCCATGTTATAAGTACACTCAAGCAGCCATGTGGAGGGGCCCAATGCGACAAGCAACTGAGGCCTCCTGCCAACAGCCATGTGAGTGAGCCATTGTAGAAGCTAATTCTCTAGCCCCAGTCCAGCTCTCAGATGACTACACCACAACTTACACGTGGATCATAATCTCAGGAGACACCGAGAGTCAGCCAGCTAAGCCACTGCCAAATTTCTAAGCCATAAAAAACTGCATTTTCTGAGATACTAAGGGTTTATTGCTTTTAGCCACTAAATTTTTAGGTAATTTGCTATGCAGCAACACAAGCAGTGAAATGTGGAAGCATTTATATGGGGCTCTGTAGGAAGGCACTGAGCCTTAGAATAAATGCAATGCTAGCTTTTAGTACCAAGATTCTAACTCCAGGCTGCCATGGCCCTGGGACACATTTATTATGTATGCAAGGGGAAACACATTTGGCATTATCAAATGTGTCTTAAATCAAGGAAACACCAGTTATTCCTAAGTGGAATTGTTAATAATCATATTGTGAATTGCTGTAGTGTTTTATATTTTCACACAATACTGAAAGAATGACTTAAAAACTTCTGACAGGCACAACAAAATACTGATATTAAGTCTGTTTCAAGACTGGAAGGGGTAACTTTAAAAAATTCGACCCAGAGTAAAAGATGTCAACCCCTGTGGCAGAGAATTTCCATAGATTTAACGGAAGCTTATTCATCTGGCAGCAGGTAAAACCTTGCCATCTTGAATCATCCAATTTACTAAGCCCTAGATTGACAATATCCCTCCGTGTGCTGGTGTCTCTCCATAGATTAAGAAGATAAGAAGATGCAAACAAGCAATATTATCTTGGAGCCAAGAGATGTTATTCTTGGGCTTAAACTTCTTCACCCTCATCACATCTGCTTCCCAAAATATCAAAAATATTGAAAATCAGGAACTGTCAAAGGCAAATCAACTCAGATGGTGCCTATTTCGAGACTAGCATGTCAATAGTGTTTATACCCCTTCTTACACCACACAGTCTAATTACCTCTGATTATATATTTAAGGAAACTTCTATGCACTGTAAACACTGCAAAAATAATCCCTTCAGGTTCACATTTTCTCCATCTGGAAGAGACTGGGAGTCCCCTGTCAGCTAAAGTCTTTGACTAGGACATTTCACCTATGGTTTAAGGAATAGGGAATAAATAACAAGAAGAATAATCACTCATGAGCAATGTCATATTTCTCCCTTATTGCCCGTCTCACCATCATCTAAACACCTCAAGCCTAGCAGAGGGTGTTCTCATGGCAAATTCAAAATCCAGATGGCACCTGCACTACTAAACATGGCCTCCCCGCAAACTGACTTGGGGACTAACTGCCACAATTCTTTGCCAGGTTCAGGGACAGAAATTAAAGGAAAAAACAACAGTCAAAGAAATTAATAAACTAGCTAGATGCTGACCCCAATATGGCTCTTTTTAGAGATTGTTTGGTGCCTTTTCCCCCCCTCCTTCCTTAGGTAGTTTTCCAATGAGTCCTGGGGAATTTTTGCAACTCAGATCCTCATCTATTTTTCCCTGTGTTCCTGTCGCTACAGTCTTAGAGACAAGTGGTTTAAATTCCCAATGGCAAATGCAAACCATTTCAGCTTGGGTTTTTGTTCCCAGAATAGACTAGGCTTCAAAATCACCCAGCAAACAAAGTCAGCATTCTTAGAGGGCTTCTCCCATGAGAGAGATCTTGATAAAGATTGAAGCCATTAAGGAGAGCAGGGGATCTCAGGAGTACAAAGAAAAGGCAAAATATCTCCAAAAGCATGTTATATTTTTATAGAGATAGACTTACCTCTCAAACAAGAGTCAGAGAAAAAAATGATTGTCATTTTTCTAATATTTACATGATCCCTAAGATAAGCCCAACAGTGAATCCAGCATTTCAAGTGTGCAATAAAAAGTAGACAACTGACACTGGTTCCCAGGATATTTTAACTTTCACTCAGCAAGAATGAATCATCAGATCATATACCCATGCCTTTGTATATTTATTCACTTTTTAAGCATCCTTTATATACAAGGCACTGTGCTAGGTGTTGAGTGAGCATTGTTGAGCAAAGAAAAAGACATAATTCCTGAATTCACAAAAGTTTACAGTTGAGAGGAAGAGATAGAAATTAAATGTGTGGGCCAGGTGAGGTGGCTCACGCTTGTCATCCCAGCATTTTGGGAGGCCAAGGCAGGCGAATCACCTGAGGTTCCAGACCAGCCTGGCTAACATGATGAAACCCCGTCTCTACTAAAAATACAAAAAGTAGCTGGGCATAGTGGTGAGTGCTCATAATCCCAGCTACTTGGGAGGCTGAGGCATGAGAATCTCTTGAACCCGGGAGGCAGAGATTACAGTGAGCCGCGATCACGCCACTGCACTCTAGCCTAGGCGACAGAGCAAGACTCTGTCTCAAAAAAGAAAGAAAGAAAGAAAGAAATTAAATGTGTGTGTGTGTGTCAGGGGAGGAGAGAGAGACATAGAAGTAAGTAAGTAATAGATGGAAACATTTATACTAAAATAGTACAATTGACCCAGTCAGAAAGACTAAGGAAAGTGTCTATGAAAGAAGGCTGATTGAGTTGAATTCTGAAGAACGAATGAATGTCTGGGTTATGTGGAGGGAGAACATACCATATTGTATTAGTCTGTTCTCACATTGCTATAAAGACATACCTGAGACTTGGTAATTTATAAAGAAAAGAGGTTTAATTGGCTCACAGTTCTACAGGCTGTACAGGAAGCATGATTCTGGCATCTGCTCGGCTTCTGGGGAGGCCTCAAGAAATTTACAATCATGGAGGAAGGTAAAGTGGGAGCCGGCACATCTCATGGCTGGAGCAGCAAGAAAGTGAGGCTGGGAGGTGCCACACGTTTAAACAACCAGATCTCATGAGAACTCTATCATGAGAGCAGCACCAAAGGGGCAGTGCTAAACCATTCATGAAGGATCCATCCCCATGATCTATCACCTCCCAGAAGGCCCCACCTCCAACACTGGGGATTACCATTGAACATGAGATTTGGGTGGGGACACAAATCCAAAACATATCCTATAGAGAGGGAGAAGCATGTACAAAAGACACATGGCAGAAAAGGAGAACAGCACATTCAAGAAACTGAAAGAAACCATGATAACTGCATTACAAAGACCAAGAAGAAATCTAATGTCAGAGAAAGCTATAAAGATGAAGAAGGAACAGACTACACAAGGCCTTCTAGACATGTATACAAAAGAGTAGACTCTTGCCTTAATGGTAATGGGAAGCTACTGGGAGGTTTTCAGCAAAGGAGAGACATAATTAGATGTTTGTTTTAAAGAGACCCCTCCAGCTTTATCATAAACAGCAGATAGAAGAAAGGCCAAGGGGATTGAAGGAGACTAATTGGAGCCACTGCGATTGTTCCTATGAGAGATGGATGCTTGTACCAGAGTGGGCCTAGGGGCCCAAATGTCAACGACTGACTTCTTGTCTGTCAGCACCCCACCTGCCTTTGTATACTGTGCTCTATTTTTGCTGGACTGTGAGTCTGTGAACTACAGTTCCCAGGTTCCCTTGTCTACTAGCTTCCTGTTAGGTTCTGCCAATAGGAAGCACTTAGAAAATATTCCTGCTTCTGGCTCTGACAGTGTCAATTGCCAACAGTCCCAGGTGGTTGCTGCTGTTGCAGCAGGATGAGATGATTCTGAACTGCAGCAGCCTGCACAGTTGTAGGCCTGGTTCATGCAGCTCTTCCTCACTGCATCCAGATATAACTGAAAAGTGTCTCCAACAAAGCAGCAGAAGAGGCAGCTTTATGGGCTTCACCCTAGGACACTGGCAGCCTCTTGTATCTCAGTTTTACCCCTTCTTCCTCTTACCTCTTCCATGCTCTGTCTACCTCCCTTTTGCTCTTCCAGCCCTTCCTACAAATGTATAACCAATTCCTTGCATTTAACTCCTTCTGTTTGAATACCTAGAATGCTTTCCTTCTGTCTGACTAAACTTAGACTAAAAGCAGCCCAGAAATTAAGTATTGGAACAAATTCACTAAATTCAACCTGTTGCCATTAAGTCATTCTTCATAACAGAAGTCTACCTGTTTGACTCCCTTTGGAAAATTCCAATGATACAGAGCATGATACTTAATAGGAAAGCCCAGTCCATTGACGGTACTCTCTACTATTAAAGTCTTCCTGAGACTAACTCAAAATCTAACCATCAATTCACTTTAGGTCAATTATCAGGTGCTATTTAGCATGAATCCTGTGTATACCTGACTTCAATTAACTGAAGACGGGCATCATGTCTTCTCAGATATCCCTGAACACCCCCAGTGCCTCTAAAAGCTCGTTATAATTTCTGAATTCCTCATTTCTTTGTCCATGTTCCTTTTAATTTTGTCCTAGCTAAAGAACTTTATCCAAATGAAATTGTATATAATAGCCTTCTGATATGGTAGAACTGCTCTTGAAGAGTTGGGGTGGGAAACTGAGCTCTATCCTCTCATGACCACATCCTCCTGGAATAGTGCACAATGCTTACAACATAAATGGTGCGGAGTTCAGAGTGATCACCCTGGATCTGAATGCACTACAGATGTCACACCGCCTAAGATAAGATTTTGCATTTTTTTTGGTTTTGAGAGCTATCATTTTATTTTTGGCTCATAATAACCAACAAATAGATTATGAATACACAGTGTGTACCTAACACACACTGTATAGGTCTTAAGGAGAATTTAAAAATGAGAAGAAGGAGGAAGATAAGAAGCAAAATAATAATAAGGTACAGTACTGCCCTCAAATACCTTAAGAACTAGTTGGAGAAATTATATATAAGATCATGGAAAGACGCCAAAGCATTATGGTTGTAAATATCAAGGGCTATGTAATTAGTATAAGCAATGCTTTATATTGGCACTCAAGGTAGGAAAGTTGCTTAATTTGGGGACAACTAGAGAACACTTCAACAAGCAATGATATTTGAACTTGATATTTTAGGATGAACAGGACTTAAACATGTGGAAAAGAATAGAAAACATATGTCTATCTAGGAGGATGACCTCCTTTGTTTATGCATTGATTTTTATTCCAATATCTATCAATAGCTTAGAATCAATTACATTCTAAGCACTTTGTTAAGTCCTGAGAAAATATTTTTGAAAGAACTATTCAAGGAACTCACAATTTAATAGGCAAAGATGTGGAGGAAGGAAAGTGTGATTTTGTTGTGGGCACAAAAAGCAGCTGGATTTTCAGCAGTGAATTCATAATGGAATAATTGGAGATGAATAGTTGGAAGAATAGTTTGGGACCACATTGGAGAGAGGCCATTAATGTCAGGTTAATAATCTGGAGCTTTACCCTTTTTTTCAAACGACGATGTCTGTGTTACAAATAACTCCAAAATTTATTACCATAAGGCAACCATTTATTGTGCTCACGGTTTCTGTGGGTAGGAATTCAGACAAGGCACAGCAGGCACAGCTTGTCTCTGCTCCACAGTGTCTGGGGCTGACCTTGAAGTTTGAGAGCTAAGATCTGGAATCATCTGAAGTCCCAGTCACTGATATGCTTCAGGCTGATTCTCATTGTTGGCTGCGGGTCTCAGTTGCTCGCCACAAGGGCCTCTCCAAATGGTCTAGCTCAGACTCCTTTATAGTATAGTGGCTGAGTTCCAATAGAAAGCATTAAAAGACATAGGGATAACCATATATCTATATCTATCTATCTATATCGAGAGAGAGAGAGAGAGAAGCTATATCGGCCAGGCACGGTAGCTCACGCCTGTAATCCCAGCACTTTGGGAGACTGAGGCGGGCAGATCACAAGGTCAGGAGATCAAGACCATCCTGGCTAACATGATGAAACCCCGTCTCTACTAAAAATACAAAAAGTTCGCCAAGCGTGGTGGTGGGCGCTTGTAGTCCCAGCTACTCAGGAGGCTGAGGCAGGAGAATGGCGTGAACCCGGGAGGCGGAGCTTGCAGTGAGCCAAGATTGAGCCACTGTACTCCAGCCTGGGCGACAGAGCGAGACTCCATCTCAAAAAAAAAAAAAAAAAGAAAAGAAAAAGAAAAGAAAGAGAGAAGCTATAACCTTTTTGTGACCTAATATTAGAAGTCTGGAAGTCACACATATCACTTTCATCCCAAACTTTTAGTTGGCGCAGTTACAAGCCCTTCTTGGTTGGAGGAATACTGGTTTTATTGTAAGAAGATAGATAGATGATAGAAAGAAAGAGAGAGAGATTAGATAGATACATACATAGATGATAGATAGATAGATAGATAGATAGATAGATAGATAGATAGACAGACAGATAGCATGTAGATGGAACATGGAAATGAATAAAACAATTACTAAAGTAAAACTAAAAGAAAATATAGAATTTGGTTTCTCGTATATAAAGAGTATTATTCTGAGTTTCATTCCTTTTCTGCCCCCAGCATCCTCTATTGGAAATCTTAATGTTATAGGTTTCAAAGGGTTTTCTGTAGAATATCAGTCCCATAAACCACTCCAACAAAAGAAGACCCTATGCTCAAAAGGATGTAGACATACCGCATACTTTATCCCCCTCTTGGAAACTCTCAATGTTCCTTAGCATATTAAAACCTCCCAGAAAGTCAGCAGTTACAAAAAAAATGTGTTTCACATTATTTTTTCCAGAGTATCTCTAACCTTTTTGACTGCTGAATTTTTTTTTCTTTTTGGCTTTTTGCTAATTAACATCCTGTAGTACTGGCCTTAAAGTACATTGCCTCAGTTGCCCCGGGCAGAAAAGTAAAAGGCCAGGCAACTAATCCATCAACAAGTCCTCATCAAATGCCTAATTAGAAATAAGACTGCAAATGAATAGAACATGTATTATATTAGCAGTATTCTTCACCCAATAAAGTAAAATTAATAAAATCAATGCAAACTTTAAGTTCTTTCAAGAGTGTCTAAGAAAGATTCTAGTGAAAGACACAAGATCGCCTTGAGAATTTAGATTTGGTAAAATGACACTTGCTGGGGAATGTTTTTATGCCTATCAATCCTCAGGCAAGGCTAGGGAAACTTTTTATTTTAAAATGTAAGATTTAAAAGTGTTTATCTTCCAAAGGTTTGCTTTGTATTAAGATGTGAGATTTGCTTGCCCACAAAAGGGAATTTTAAAAGGAAGTGTTCTATCAGCAAAGAACCCTGTGCATAGTAGAGTAAGCTCCTACAGCATGCAGGAGTACCTCCTATAAATCACCACTGGCATCTCCCAAAGGGGCTTCAGTTGGTAGAATGACGATGTTCTGGGAGGACAAGGCTGTGTCACTGGCCTCTTTGTTAGCATGATTGATCACACACAGAATCAGCAACTTTCCTTTGTGAAAGCTTGCTTTCTTCTGGCCCATTTCCCCTCACTCCTTTTCTTGCTTCTCTCTTTTCTCCAAGATCCTTGCTTCTGGCCCTCCTAACAAATACCTTAGCCTAGACAAGGCAAACTCATTCAAACAGAACTCCTTAATATCTCCTGGCCTGCCAGGTGCAAAGCTGATGTCTCAATCTGCTATCAAAAGCAGGCTCTGAGCTAGAACTCAGGCTGCTATTGCTGGGCTGCAAAATAAATAAATAATTAAACACTATTTAAAACTCATTCTACAGCTGCTTTTCAATCTCATAAAGGATTCTTGATCTCGGTTTAGTCCCGGGCTCTAACAGCTATCTTGGCATCTTTCCTCTAACAGCTTGAACCCTGTACTTGATCTTCAAACTATTGCCCACCTGCAGTCTCATTTCTTTAACACCTTATCCTTTTTTCCCAAATCCATTCTGAAAAACACCATCCCCAGATCAATGCAAGAATCTACCTCCCCTGCTCCCATTTACAGCCAGGATGATCACAGCCACTATAAACTCTGACCCCAGTTACAGAGATGCCACATCTCCAACCTCCAATTCTTACTCCAATTCTTGGTCAGCTCCCTGTCCCATTTACCAAAGTGACTGTGACAAAGTCCCCCACTCTCCTGAGCCACCTGCACAACACTTACCACACACCCTGAGTTCTAAGGGAGACTAGCTGCTCCTTGGGCAAGGAAACCAGAGCCATCCAGTGCAACTTCCTGAATCTCCAACCTGCCTACACCTGCAATTCTACATTCTTGCATGTCTACTCTTAATTCCATGATACTCTCTTCTTTGACCACTATGGTCTGGCCACACTGGCCTTCCTGTTCCTTGAACAAGACAAGCCCATCTCAGGGGCTTTGCTCCATTTGTTCCAAATGCTTAGAATGCTCCTTCCTCTGATCTTCATGGGCTGGCTCCTTCTTGGTATTGAGATACTTGCTTGAATATGTCCTCAGTGAGGTTTTCCCAAAGCAATCTATGTAAAGCAGTCAGCCAGGCCGTCCGTCAATTCACCCAACATTCCCTGCATAGCTCTCAGTAAGCAGTATGATGGTGCTTGTGTGTCATGTTTCCCGCTCTGTCCCCAGGGCTTGTCACTGTGCCAGACATAAAGGAAATGCCCACCAGATGGATCATGAATGAATGTGTGAAATAACTGGTTGGCGAGTGTGAGCCCGTATATACAACTAGGGGAGTGTGGCAGATTGCAGGGCGGTGTCGAGTACCCATTCCAGGCGTGTCCTTGTACATCTAAGGCATGGCTGTGTGTTGTTCTCTCGCTTGCTCAGTTGCTTGGGTGCAAGTATTGAGTAGACAGATAGACGGTGTTAAGCATGGTTGGGGTTTTGCCAGATGAATGTTACAGAGTAAGAGAGAGACCAAGAGGTCAAGGGCTTTACAAGGGAGTGTTTTTCATGTTGAATCTTGGAATCTGCGCTAAAAAAGGAAGTAATTAAGAGAAAGGGAGTGGGTGAAAAGTGAAAAAGTGGTAGGAACAAATAAATTAGCGGTCTAGATGAGGATGGAGAGCTGAAAGGTTAGGGATGCTGCTCACAGAATGGAAGATTTGGCACAGAGCTTTCAGAGGAACTGCAATTATTGGGTAGAGAAAGAAAGCGAGAAACAGAATCAGACCCTGTTCCAACCTGAGAGTAGAGCCACTGGCTTTAGGAACAAGCCAACTGAGCAATTCATGAGACCACCACTGACCCCCTCTCAGCATACCACCTGCACATTTCTGTGCCCAAGGAATCCCTGTTCTGCCTTATGTTTCACCATCAAACGCTCCTTCTGTTTGTCTAACTTTGGAACATGTCAGGCCCCACCTAGGGAAAGAAGAAAAATGAATAAAAGAAAACTGCCTCCTATTGCATTTCCATTAAAATTCAGGTTGTCACCTTCACAAGGAAGCTTCCCACACACATCCTTCTTCACTCCCCCATCAGGATTAGAGAACTTTCCTTACACACCAGAAAGCTCAGGGCATTTCTCTATCACGGCCTGCTGCACTGCTTCAAAACATCTATGCATGGATCTGTTTTCTTCACTAGACTTAGAGTTATATGAGGGCAGGACAATATTTTACTTATCTTAGTTTCCAAGCACAAAGCCTAGGGCTTGGGATATCATAGGCAATTATTAGCATTTGTTGAATAATTCAATGAATAAGCAAGCGCATGAATTATAGCACAGAACAGGAGACTGATATGCATGCTATAACAACACATACCAGGCAGACTCCTAGGTCATTAGATCACCTGTGGGGACCAGAAGTCACAGTGCTGTCTACCCCACCCTGCCTCATTGCACCCACCCTGCGTACCACTCAAAGAGTTAGACAGAGATGATCTGGGCAAGTCTCTCTGACTCAGTTCCCACATTCAAATACAGACGCCGAGTCGAAAATACTTCAGCATAAACCATCTACAAACACAGGTTTTATTGATGAACTGATATTTGCTCAGTTCTTAAAGGTCCTGGGGGAAAATAAACTCTAGGAAAGTTCAAAGCACAATTTAGCTCAATGGGAGGCAGCCCTATTTGTTTCTCTAGAAATAGGTCTCCTACCCCTACTTGAAGTTTGACTTATAATTGCCAAATCATTACTTCCAGTTATGAGCATTTATTGTTAAAACTAATGAGGTGACTCCAAAAAAATATTTTCACGACTTGGTTTTGAACATTCTAAGAAGTTCTTTCTTAGAAACTACAAATGGAGTCTTTGTAAGAAAAGCCGCCTCTTGCCCTGACCAGGTGGGCCAGTCCAGCTTCATGCTGACAGGAACGCTGGCCACTCTGCGGCAGGCAAGCAAGGGAGAAGCTGGCTCCTTTCCACCAGGGAGACCATCTTCTTTCCAGGCCTGAAGTTATTTCTCCAAAGGGCAAAGCCAGCAGCCAACACTTTGTGTGGTAAGAGAGAGACTTGCCTCACTATTCTCAAGAAACTCAGCCACCATTACAGTTCCCTGGGATGAGGACGTGATTTTGCCACAGTCAGATTGGCCCTCAGAGTTTTGCACAACTAAAGGTGCTTTCCAGATCTCCCTTCCCCAGGCTCGCCCAGGAGTGCCTGCTCTATTAAGAAGGCAGCTAAAAGCCTGTGCCAAAAACTAGAAATGTGTGCTGTAATGTTTCTCAACACAGAGGTGGAAATATTAGCAAAACCTAAGAAACTTATTAAAAATGTGCATGTCTAGACTGACTGCCTAAACATATCCCCTTCAAAGATTTCAATAAACCCTCCTTTCATGCCAGAAACCATAGATATTCTATTACATTTCTGTTATATTTGTCCTGAGAATACTAAGAGTAAAATAAGAGCATTTAAAATTATTTGTAAGTTTATAGTGGATACAGTAAAGTCAGCTGTCACCAGGAAGCTGTTCTGATAAGATGACAAGGAAGTTATATCCATAAGTCAGCTCTGGCAGTCAGCAAGGACTGCCATGGATTGTGAAGAACTCTGGGGACCATGTCCAAATGTAACAAGAGAAAATGCCAGGAGTGATTATTGATGTCTGCCATGGATCGCGGAATGTACAGCGATGGTATGTGTGCCACATATCTCCCTCTGCAAAGCCAGAAACAAAAGCCCAGCTCTCCAACCTCTTTACATTCCAAGTAAAATCCCTTCCAGGAAGCCAGAAACAAGTTCTGCTTCTGGATTTGCTAAACAATGCTCATTTAAAGATGCAATGAATAGGGCTGGGATGAAATTAAAAGAGCAAGTCGAGCCACATGCTTCCTGGAAACAGACCCCAAAGTATGAAGCAGAAAATCTTCTTCCAGAGAAAGAAGGGGAGGTTTCCTAGGAGAAGCACAGCTAGCATGTATGTGAGAGTGTTAGCAAAATGATGTCTGCCAGTTCACAGTGTTTTCTTTGCATTGCTCAAGGGTAAAGTGAAAGATAACAACACTGTTTTGAACATGTTTAGATGTCTTGTTACCAGAGGGAGCTACAGAAAGCCTGAATTCTCTGACTGAAATGGAAAAGAAAGAACAAAAAGGCACGTTGTGCATTTTGCTTATTGTCAGTTACTTCACAGCATTTCTTAAATACCTGGGGTGTGAGTTGGTGGGGAGGGATTGGTGGATATCATTTTAAAGGAAGTTTTCAGATTTTTTTTAAATGGCTTCAAATAAGGTTATTTGGGACACTTCAAGGACAGTGTCCAAGGCCTTTACTCATTGTCTGAGCATGCTGGACCAGAAAGGACCATGAGTGCCTAGCTGCACTCACTTTTCCCCAAGGCAGGCACCTCTGAGGGCCCATTCTTTCTGGCTCCCACCCCGCTCCTGAACGCTTAGCTACTCTGCTGTGTGAATTTACACCCGCCCCGGTGACTGTCTTGAATGCGTTGGTGCATGTTTACTGGAAGGTTAGATTGGAGGTGTGGGGCCAGATACTCCATGTGGGCTAAGTCCAGTGAGAGATCCGGCCCTACACATTCTTCCTAGTCATTTAACTGCCTCCATTTCAGTTCTATCATCTGAAAATAGAGATATTAATATCTTCTTCACAGGGTTTGTGGGAGGACTGAATGCCACAACAAAGCACTCTGTGTGTCAAAAAGCAAATGCAAAGCATCCCATGCCAAATTTCTCCAGCCTTCTATCACTGTGATCTCAGTTCAAATGGCATCTCCTCAAAAAGGTCTTCCCTGACCACTCTGTGAAAATTATGGCTCTTCTCCCTCTCTATCACCTTTACCTGCTTTTCTTCATACTGCTTACAACTCCCCAACACTTCATGATAATTTATATACTTAGTTGGTTATTTTATTGTCTGCCTCATCCACCAGAAATTCATGGGCAAGGACTTCTGTCTGGCTTGTTGCCTACTGTAATTCCAGGCTCCAGAACACACCTGGCAAGTAGCAACCGCTCAGTACCTGTTTCCTGAATAGATGAATGGATCTTTCCACACCTGGCTGATCTTTACCATCTAGCTGAGAGGACAAAGTAATGCTTCTTGGTGGCCTATCTCCCAGCGAATCACCAGAAACAAAGTAGGACACCCACTCAAAGCCAGAAATGATGTTTCCCTTTAACACTAATGTATCTGTAGAAAAGAAACATGATCAAAAATTCTACTTAATAACTCTTAAAATGCATCTTAGTGTGTGGAATTGATTTTAATGTGTCCAGAAGTTCTAAGTTCAACAACTATAAAATCGAAGGAATTTCTCCCTAGGAGGAAAGAGGACAATTTTTTTTAAAGTAGAATCCACTGTTTATACATTTGTTGCATAAGGAAAAATTCACTAAGAACAAAAGATCTAACACAGATCCAGTGCTATCTGAATAATAGCCAAACCCCTTTTCATAATGTTTGACCGAAGCTGGCCTTAACTGGTCCCTATAGATGTCAGCCTCATAGAAACAGCCCTTTGGAAACCAGAAAACATAACATCAAGGATCCGGTTAATCACTCACTGATGTCAACCACTTCTTATTCATGCCCAGGAAATAACCCCATTCATAGTGTCAAGACTAACAGAAAATCTTCAGAATTTCACATCAGCCCCTTTAAGGGTTCATAAATAAATATGCCCAGCTTGGGGGACAAGTGGTTCTTAGTTAGGAAATCTAAAAGGTAAAATAGTACAAATAATAACAAAGGGCAGTTATCTTCAGCCCCCACTGTGTCAACAAGGCCAACAATAGAAACTAGGGACTTCTAGAAGGGGAGGGAGGAAGAGGGGTAAGAGTTGAAAAACAAACTATTGAATACTATGCTCAGTACCTGGGTGATGGGATCATTCATATCCCAAATGTCAGTATCACACGATATACCCAGGTAACAAATCTGTACGTGTACCCCCTGAATCTAAAATAAAAGTTGAAAAAAAAAAGAAAGAAAAAAAGTTACCTTGTACCTGGCCTGCCAATGTGAAATGGAGAATTAAGTGTTAGGTCAGTTTTCTACAAAACTCTAAACCCTTGCCTTCCACTGAGAGATGCAAGAGCTATCACTTCACATTTCAGGATTCAAAAGAATCTGTTTGAATTGCTCCTGAAATACTTACCAAGCTCAATCACAGCTCTTAGAGAAGTGCCCATCCTTGGGTATTGATCCTGGCAAACATGAGAGCAGAAATGGAGAGGATGAAAACAAGTGTCATATTTGTATTGGGTGGAAGGCAATAAGGAAGTTGAAACCTCCTCTTGAGACCAGCCTAAACCATTCCAATATGTCTATTTCCCTTTAATTGGATTCTAATTTCCCATGATAGCCCCTCAAAACTCACCCCTTCACACATCCCAATATCTTTGTGTGAGATGTCAGTATACCTCTGATTCCACGTTTCCATTTTCAGATCTCTCTCCCAATGCACCCACTTAACAACATATTTTCTCTCCCTACTTATAGCAAACTATCTCTATTCTGGTCACCATTGTGTACTGACCCCTAGGAGACCCAAAAGATCACATGAACTGTTAGCTTGTTGTTCTTCTCACAAAAGAACACAGGCAGCTTTGGGGTGAGACGTGGATTCATAGCTTGCTTCTGGCAGGTCATCACTGGAAGACCTTGGGCCACTTTACAAGCCTTCAGCTTCTTCATATATAAAGTGGGTGCAGTATTACCTACCAATATAGGAATGTTATGAGGATTAAATGCTAGAGTAGATATGAAAAAAATGTGGCACACTGCCTGGCATATAGTAGGCCCTCAGTAAATAGTAGTTTCTTTCCTTCCTTTTCTGCCCCTTGCATTTAACTCTGAGGAGTTCAGAATCCATATTGATTATTATCAGATAGCTGCTTTATCACAAATATTAAGTATCTTAATTGTATTTTCAGGAAAGAAAATGTCCATAAATAAAGTACATTGATCATTGATCCTAGGTCAATTAGAGTATATGGTGTTTATATTGTAACTTAAAATCCATTGTGGAAAGTAGTTACTTATTTTCTATAGCAGGTCTAATGGAAAAATTTTAGAAATTTGGAAAATTCATCAACTTATTGAGGAAATGTAATTTGGTAGGAAAAAACAGAGGCTTCAAAAACGACAGATTCCCAAGTTTGTGTTCACCATGCACTACATGGATGATTCCACACAAGTTGATTAAATACTTCTAGGAACTAATTCCACATTTGTAAATTGGTATATTATTACCCATTTTGCATAATATTTCACACTGAGTGGACTTAAATAATATTTTTGTCAAAAGAAATACATATTGATGATCCTTTCAGCACTGACTTAAAACCTCCCAGACCTGTGGAACCCCAGAAATTTCATCCCTATTCTACTTTAGTACCTGGGAAATCAATACTGTAAACTAACCCCAGCTAAAAAGTCCAAAACCCTGAAATTCCCTCCTTTGGATAGTCCTTGCTTGTGTGCATGCTCACTCCTGCTAAATATATCCTTGCCCTTATCATGACAGCCAACCATTCATCCTTTCTCCTGGATCTTAATTTCTTCTGGACAAGGGCCTCACACACTTCCCAGTTTCATTTGCCCTACTGCCCAGCGGGGCCCAATGCCAGGCATTGAAGCCTCCTCCCTTGCAAGCACCCTAGAGTCCCTCGACTCTTTGACCGCCCACTGAAACTGCCTTGCCACTCTCCAGACCCTTGAAACACTCACCATTTACTTTAATCTAACAAACATTTTTAGAAAAAAGTTCTCAAACCATGCTAATTGAATTCAGTTTCAACGATGTTTCCCAATACTGGCCCCTCACTGCTGATGAATCTCCCCACTTGGCTCTTCTGAACTTGCATGTACAGCCCCATTTTTAACCCCCTAACCTAACTCCAAGCAGTGGCATTGCCCCCTGTACTGCAGAGGCGTTCAAGTTAATATGAAAGCATCAATCGCAGCATCGCTCTAAATGGACCCACTCACTTAAGGGTCTCTGGTGACTTTTAATAGCCACTTCAACAGCTTCTCAGCACTGTGTCCTGTTGCTTACCACTTCCTTCTTGAAGCTTGCTCTTTCCTTGTCATCCTTTACACTGCACTTAATTCTCCTGTTTCTCTCTTCATTGGTTCACCTTCCTCCTTCAAATCCTAAAAGCGTAAATTCCCACAATTCTGAACCACAGTCCTTGAACCTCTGCTCTCTGTGTCCTCATCGAAAAACCTCATCTATCCCCATTACTTTTGCCATTGCTTCCAAAGAAGTTGTTTCCATATTCCGTGCCTACAATTCCACCAAATACTCCAGAGGATTCCATCAGGATATTCCATAGCCACCTCAAACTCAACACTTTTAAAATTTATCTCGTTCCTCCCTCTCACCCTTTCTCTTAACTGTGTCTATTAAAATACTGCCAATCTCCCATTCACTCAATCATTCTTGACTCCTTCCCCTTCTCCTGTCCTTGCCAAATCACACCTATTCTAACTCTTGAATCCATCACTGCATCCTATTCTTCTTTTTACTTCAGTGAATCAGGTCCTTAGAAACTTCTGCTTGAACGATTACAAGAGCTTTATCACTGCTTCCCCTTCCTCCTAAGTCTCAGGGATTCCACCACCAAATTATGCAGCTAACAAATTAAATCTAAATCACAGTTTAGCTTGGAATTCCAGAACCTCCTTGACCTGGCCAAAACTTAGCCTTCTAGCTTAATCATTCTCTTCTTTCCTCAGTGAACCTGGAACCGACCTATAACTGCTGCCCACCAGTTCACTGTTCCCCAAACAGGTGCTTACATTTCCTGCCTCCCTACTTTTTTTTTTTTAAGACAGAGTTTTGCTCTGTTGCCCAGGCTGGAGTGCAGTGGCATGATCTTGGCTTACTGCAACCTCCGCCTCCTGGGTTCAAGCAATTCTCCTGCCTCAGCCTCCTGAGTAGCTGCGGTTAGAGGCGCCTGCCACCACGCCTGGCTAATTTTTGCATTTTTAGTAGAGATGGGGTTTCACCATGTTGACCAGGCTCGTCTCGAACTCCCGACCTCAGGTAATCCACCTGCCTCAGCCTCCCAAAGTGCTGGGATTACAGGCGTGAGCCACCACGCCCAGCCACCTCTCCACTTTTGTTCTCATCATTCATCTCATCCCATTTGCCCTCATCATATCATTCCCCCAGATTTCTGGCTGGAAAAAAATATCTTATGCACTCTTCTAGGCTCAGCTTAAATGTCATACATACCCTGAAGCCTTCCTGATCCACCATCAAACATGATCTCATCGCTTCCTTGTCACTAATAGGATGTAAAGCATTCTGTATGACTTCCTAATGTCTCCCGCTTATAGAAGTGCCTCCCTTAGCTGGACACTCCCTGTCCCCTTCCTCTCAAGCTCCCCGTACACTACTGCTGCTGACCTAGGCCACACTGCCCTCCTTCCTCTTTGTCCCCTTCCTTACTCTGCTATTTCTCTGTAGCCAAATACTCCAGCCACCACTATCACCATCTGCCGTCTTCAAATAGTGAATACCTTCTACCCATGCAGTCATAGAAATCTTTAATTCCATCCACACTGACTTTGAAATATGTCTCAGAGTCAAAGGTAAGCAAACAAAACCGTAAACTTGGCTACAGGTTCTGTTCTCAGGAAGCTAAAAATAATCTTACAAAGATCCTAACTCTACTTTGTCTTGCATATACAATCTTTAACAATCTAATTCTATCACACCATGTGTCTTACCATTTTCTTCTTTTCTTTCACAGGTGAACACGCTCATTTACCTGATGTAATAGGCCGAATGAGAGAGTAGGGTCTCCACTTACAACATGGCAAAAGTGCTTCAACCCATCTCATTTATATTCACTCGATAAAAGCCACACATTTGCATTCTCCTGTTTTTGACATTTGTTTTAACTAATCAGGGGGAACATTAGATAAAATATCTAAATAATTGCATAGACAAACATATTTACAGCTAGAGATTGAAACTGTTAAGATGCTGGCAGGCAACATCAAAATTTTGAAAGTTCCTATTGGCTCTTGTAAGAAAGCCCAAATTTGACCCACAAAAGATAGTTTAGGGGTATCAACTACAATGTGCAGAAGTGAGAGATTGCAAAAGCTGGGACTCACTGATGCTGTTCGCCCAACATTCAGGCTCATGTCCTGATGCCTCGGTAATTCCACTGCAGAACGAAGTGGAAGCAGCTCAAGATCTCACACATGGTAGTTCTGGGTTTTCACAGAACTGAGAAATAATACTTAAAATGGTCTTCACTTGTATTGTTTCAACTACATAAGGGGTTAAAGAAGTTTTTGTTGTCTTGCCTAGGATTATGATAGTATTTTGTAAACAATAAAGTGTTATACAATTGCAATGTGTTAGAACCTTGCTTATATGGCAAATTCATACCAAATTTCAAATGACTTCAAAATGCATTTTAAAATGTGTTTCACTGTAAGCTCTAGAAGGTTGGGCCCATTTCTTATTTACCTTTGCATCCTATCTCCCATAATATTTTTAATATAAATGCTCAAAAGTTCTTGTTTTAAGCATGACAAAATGAATTGATATAGGAGAAGGAAAGCCAGAATTAACCAACAACAAGTCTCTGAAAATGTAATCATTTGGCACTGCATTAAGCCTTTCTAAGTTACTTGAAATGGGACTATTTAAATCAGACTCCAAATAAGAAACAGAAAGCCTACAGATAAGAAAACAATTGTGTACATTTACATCTTCATCAGATTATATTTCCTCTCATGCAAATCAGCAGAATCAACTTGCATGGAATTTGACAGCTAGTCTTTCGGCAAAGGAAAATTATTCAGCCTCCTTGGCTCAAACGCAAATTTGAGCTGTAGCTAGAATAGAGAGGAAATAAAAGGCCAGAGAAGGCATCCATAGAATGTGGGTCCCTTTCATTTGGGGTTTTCATTCACTCCCTCACACTGGCCAATATGAGAGCAGGAAAATATTTAACTCATGTCTTAAAATTATGCCTTCATTGGTGCCCCTGCGCTTGCTATTCAGGAAATCACCTAGCTTGAGACCTCTGTGTCCTCACTGAATGAGTATTATTCACACACACACACACACACACACACACACACACACACACCATTTAAACCATCACTGTTTCTTCTGAATCCAGAGCTGGCTCCTCTACTGAGAATCTCGCCCCTGGGAGAGACATCAATGGAGCAAGGAAATTGCCTCTACCTCTGGGCCTGTTACCAGGGCTCCCTCTTTTCAAGGTTCGCCATAGCCATGCTCTGAGAAACATTGATCTATGCTCCCCTCATTGTCCCGCCGCACCAGAAACAAGGAGCAGTAAAAAGAACAGTCATTATTTGTATTTGGCAAGAAAGGCAGCAGTAAAAACTGAGAGGCAGTGGATATGTAAACGTCAAAGTGAGGATGTGAAGGAAGCAGGGACAGGAAGCACCGCGGAGCTGTCTCAGTGGCGAGGAGCTTCAGTTACAGAGAGATAAGTAATTGATGGGGAAGGAAGGAAAGAGGGAGAGAGAGAAAGGCAGAGGAGTCTATTACACCTCACAGCAAACAAACTTCAGATTCAGATGCTGTTTCCACCTCCCGAGATGAATGGCATAATGGCCGAGAGCCATGGAGGCACTGGAGCTGAAGGTCCACAGTTCACATCCTGATTCTTCCACTTGCGATTTCTATGATTTATATTGGTTAATTTCTTAATCTCTTTGTACCTCCGTTTCCTCATCTGTAAAACAGTGATGATGATAATAACTACCTGATAAAACTGTCATGAGGCTCAAATGAGCTAATACTTAGAATGGTTAATGTTAGAGCAGTGTCATTTCATCTTTTGTAGCAGTGGGGGTCTCACTATGTCGCCCACACTGTTCTCAAACTCCTGGCCTCGAGCAGTCCTCAAGCTTCAGCCTCCCAAAGTGCTGAGATTGCAGGCATAAGCCACCACACCTGGCCATTTCTTTCCCCCAAGGTGAAAAGCTAGAAGAATTTTAATTTGTGAGCTATGCTTTAACTAGAAAATACATTAGTTATAAAAACGTGTTAGGCAGACTACAAGAAAACCAGCATGGAAACCAGCCTTATCCAAATATAAATGAAATAATGATGAGTAGAGTAGAATATTATGTGAGCTGCTATTATGATGATGATCTGATAAGTCATTTCAACACTTCTGACTTCTTTCCCTTATTAAGGAAAAGAAAAGCAGCTAAACCGGGTAATTCTATCTTTAAGCTTCTATCACTCTGCCTACCAAGTATGAATAATTTGCCATATAACTTGGGAAAACAGTCACATGAGCACGTGGGTGAGAAGGCTCTGGATTTCCAGCATGCTGTAAGTTGAGACCCTAGGTGTCATTTAATACGAAACAAACCCTTTCCGGTGGCCAGAGTTGTCCTCACTCAGCAGATATTGCCTTGGGGGTTTCCAGTGGACCAGATTCCTGCCTGGGGACTGCGCCCAAGTCCCTGGGGAAAAAGGTTCTAGGAGGAGGAGTCACTCCCAAAATAGCACTTACTTCCACTAAGTGCAAATGCTACTACATGAAATAAAATAAGCATTGAGTGGGGTTTTTTCCTTGAAATTTGGCTTCAAGATGGGTTGTTTGTCAAATCAAGTAGAGATGAACTCTGTGATCACTCAGCCTCCTTTGGTACCCTACTCCAAACCCATTTTAAGTAGAGGTGGATTAAGAGAAGGTAGACTGCAGGGACTGATTTGTAAAGTGTATTAAAGTATCACCAGAACACAGAATGTTGCTAAAAATGTTATGAAATGGCTAAAAATGTGCTTGTCAAAACACTTTTTGGAAAGACTATTGTATGTGATCAGAAGAATACAGTAGTAATTCAATGATTCTATCTGGGGTTTGATGCTCTCCAGAGATGTCTGGAATTGGGTGGAGAGAAGGATTTGGGTAGTCACAACTATTGGGAGATCAAAAATGGCATTTAGCATGTAATGGGTGGGGCCAGGAACAAGAATGCACAAAATAGAAATTTTCTGTCTAAAATGCCATTGGATGTCTTGCTGAGAAACATACCATTAAGTGCTCCCAGAGATCTTGTACCTTCTGAGGAGGGCAGTCTAGCTAGCCCCTGGTCCCCCACTCCTACCTCCAGTACTGAGTAAAGTAGCTGAATTTTTATGTAATAAAGAAGATGTGGTCTCCTCCACTCTCTGGCCACTCTTCACTGGCTCCCAGGTCCCTGCACCTGGAATACAAGTCCCCAGGTACCTGGTTTGTGGAATGCAGAAGTGTACTTTGACCAGTATGCTGTAACTGACTCCCACATGGTCTCATATGTAATTCTCATGGCAACTCCTTGATGATAAGAGAGTAATGTTCACAGAATCTCTAGTAGGAGAAGAGAAGACCGGGATACTATGTGCCTAGGAACTGCATTCAAGATCTCACACAGTCCTGGTCCACCTGGACCACACACCCCAACCCTGGGATCGGGAGCCTGCTGTGGGACTGCCATCCCTGCTGAGCCCAGAAACTATAGGCAGCTCCTCAGAGACCCCTTCTTGGCATCACTAGTCCCCAAGCCCAAGTCCCACGGAGATGTATCTTCTGGGCAAACCACGGTCACATATTTGCACCCTAGAAGCAAACGGGTTTCAGTAAAAAGTGGGGAACAGTCCCTGACTCCTAACAAGATCCATCAGGTGCCGAATTCCTCAAACATGAAAGGGAAGCTCAGATTCCCAGTGGCCAAAAGGAAAGGCAAACATGGGAACACAGGACTGTGGGAGAGTCTTCATCTTCAGGGACCTTGACTGCAATCCTTCACTAAAGCTAAGGTGACCATTGACCTGTTTGCCAAGCATGGTCTTGTCTATGGCTATTGTCCTGGCTTAAATACTAATAACATCTTTTCACGCTCAGAAGTGTTGCATGGATTTGCATGTGTGTATGCATATGTGTGTGAGTGTGTGCATACCTGTACTTTTGTGTGAATGTACCCAAACTGTCACAAATTGTGCTGCAGAAACCAGGCTCCTGATAAAGTGGGCATTACCTCCTCTTCCAGGAACTACTCAGTACAATCTGAGACTCTGACTTCAGAATGATTCGAAGGAACCACTTCCGTAATAACAGCATTGCCTTGACTTGGTATATGATTTGTTGCTTTGCAGTTGGAAAACCGGGAAGTGATAATTCCTGGAAAAGATTCTTTCCACTGTGTCTGTTCTGTTAAGTGCATTTCTCAGACTCCGTTATTTTATCTCACTTCCCTCAGGAATCTGCCCTTAGCTGGCTTCCAAGTAGTAATATAATTCACCTTTTTGCTCTAACTTTAAAATGCCAGCATATTTTCAGTATTGGAGCTCTTTGGGGAAGAGTGGCTGGGGGAGGAATAAAAAAAGAAAAAGAGAAACCCAAAAAAGAACATTGAAGACTAAAGTAGAGAAAGGATGGGGAATAGAAGGAAGAAAGAGAAAATTAGAAGAGAAAGGAAGTAAAAAGGAAGAAGGAAATTAATTGAGAGGAAAAGAGAGAAGAAAGAAAAGAGAATCATTTTACATGATATATTATTCAAATGTTTATTTCTCTTGGCTCGGGACACGTGTGGGTAAAAGCAAGCAATTCGGCAAGCTTGGTGGTCTCCACCGGATTCCAGTGGGTTTCTCTGGCTAAACTCAGTCCCAGTGTCTGAGCCAGTAAGGGCTTCTGCCCCATGTTGCACCATCCAGCAAACAGTGCTATAGAGTGGAAGCAACGGATAGCTGGGTTTATCCAAGCTGAGGTTCAAAACACACACTGCACACGCCCCCCTGTGATGTCCTTCCCAAGGAGAAGCATACCCAAGAATGATCTAAACCCTGATTTTTAGTCCCAGCAAAATTGGGACCCTTCCCAAGCTACAGATCAACTTTATCTGGAAATACCACCTTCTTGAGAAAAACTTTTCTCATTTTGAAAAATCCTTGTATCGACTCCATTTGAGCATTCTGCTATTCCCAGTGATGTTTTAAAACAATGGTACCCAAATACATATTCCTAAACTGATAGATGGAGAAATCACACTTTGCAAATTAAGACTATGCCACTTCTCAAAATAAAACCCACCCTATAACCCTGCTATGTTACTGGGTAGCAGAACCAGCATTTTCTCTTCCTGTTTACAGGTAATTAAGACCTTCTGGCATGTTATAATCACTACATATTGAAAGATTTTAAAGCATCTATTTTAACCCACAACCTCATTCTAATTTGTACATGTCTGCAAGGATAGAGATGGGAAAAAATATCACTTCTTCTGAATGATCCAACCTCACAATTAATAATTGAGCATCTCTTTTTCTCTTTCTCCCTTGCCTTTTTTCTCTCCGAACTAGAGTGCACTCTTCAGCTTGTTAAGCTCAGTTCACTCCCACTGATAATTCACTAGAGATCATAATTTATGGACAATTGAAGCTGCAGAAACATCTCTTAGAAGGAATAGAGCAGATCCATAGCAACAATTCTTCAGGGGAATATTAATCCCCGGCTTTATGTAGTGCTAAGTGTACAATAGTAATCAGAACTTGAGTAGAAGCTGCTAATCATTGAGGGAAAAGGCTGTATAAAGAATTCATAATGGAATTAGCCTGCGGCAAACAAAGAAAGACAAAATTAAATCAGCCATCAAATTGCACCAAGGAATTTTAATTTACAGGTTAATGTAGGATTATGTAACTAATCACAGCTAACATTTTCAATGAACAACCAATAAAATTCTGCTCTTTTTTTCCTTTCTAATCTTACTAATGGTATTCCAATAACATGCTTTTATTACCCTATGATATGTTGGAAATGATTCTCAAAAATTCTCAAAGTCTTTCCAATTGTCAGAATCAGTGTAAAAATGGAGCTTTGAAATAATCCATCAAAAGTGTGGATCGAGGAATATCCACTCCTCCTTTTAGCCCAGACCTAATAATGTCTGGGTAAGTTTGCATAAAATAGATTTACATAACCATATAGCTTTAAAGTATATGCATGTTTTTCATGCAGTGCAGGGAGCTAAAATAAGGCAAAAGAGACTAAATTAAATATGTGAAACTAATTTGAAGCACAAAGTTTATCAGCTAATTCTAAATAAAACCACTGCCATAGACTTATATGTCAATATTGCAGACATATCTAATGACATACACACCAAGGACTGCTCTAACGGAGTTTTCATGGTTTATAAATGTGAACATCATAAAAAGAAATAAGGTTTCTAGGATAAAAAGTTGATTAGCATTTCCCATGGGAGGGGGTCAGAATCTTGTATCCTCCCCAGTTACATTTTGATTTCAACCAATGAATGGCAAAGACAGAAAAAAAAACCCTCTACACAATTTGAAAAATTATATGAAATCCAACTGCTTCATAAATATAAATATATAAAAAGACAGCATAACTCTTTGCACATTGGCAAGGAGAAACTCCAAAATTATACTGTATGCTTAAAAAGACATCAGTTTAATCAAAAAGATCTTTTTCCAACATATGGCAGAAGGAAAATTATTATAAATGGAGTAAAAAGTATGTTCATAAGCTTTACTTCACGAGGGAAGAATGCTGGGAAGAAAGGCGACGGCATTCTTCTTGCATATGTTTTTCTTGTCGAGAACAATGTGGGAAAGTCTCATTTTCCTTTAATCTAAATGTTCATTTTATGGAAGCAGCAACATTCGGCCCAGTTATTAGCAAAGGAGTTTTGTTGCTTTATAAAGTCTAATTTTAAGATGCGCACTTCCAAAAAAAACATTATGGTGTCAATTGCACTACCCTTCAGCAATCCTGTAATAACTTTATTCAACCATTTCTAATTATAATTATATTTTCAATTCCTTTTAGCTATAGAAACTCTTTATCAATCAGAGCACAAGACAGAAAATTACTTTATTACAGCTACAGCTCGTTAGGCTGAGTGCTCTTAATGAAGCAGCCTCATAATCAGATGAAAATCATGCTGGAGAAAACTTGCATCATTAGTCTGGGCCTTAATTACCAAGAAATATAGTCACTAACAATGATATTCCATTTCATGATATGGTGCATGCACCTTCTACACTAGTTGCAATTAATAATTCCACCGGCTGCTACAGAATCTTTTCTATTTATTCATAACAATGGAGGGGGGAAATTCTAAATTTAATTGAGCGCTTCAGATTGTGCTCTCTTTCTCCCTCGCTCTTGCGTTCAGATTAAAATGTCACAAGGCTAATATTCTATCTTACAATAATTCATCATTTTAATTACATATTTTATGTATGTGAAATGTCTTTTTCAGCTTTATAGTTGAGGCTGACATTTTTGGGGATGTATGTAGGAAAATGGGTGGCCTCTTGCAAAGGTGGTTCCTACCACCCAAGACCACATCAAGGAAATAAAAAAAAAAAATCACTGCCGTCAGCTCATCAGCACCATCCATGTTGGGAAAAGCTGCCAGCAAGAACAGGGACATTCATTGAAATTAATGTCAGCATCTTCTGATAGGCTTTGGATGGTAGAATGGCGATGTTCTGGGGGGAACAAGGCTGTGTCACTGGCCCCTTTGTTAAGCGTGATTGATCACAGACAGAATCAGCAACTTTCCTTTGTGAAAGTCTGCTTTCTTCTACTCTGTTTCCTTTCACCCTTTCCTTGCCTTCCCTTCTCACCAACATTCTTGCTTCTGACCTCCTGAGAAACACTTTCGGTGGCTTGGGAAGGAGATCTGACCTCCTGCCATCTTCTGCACACTGCTGAATCCCAGCAGATGCCCACCCAAATTCTTGATGCACTCTCCAGGCTGGCTGAAGGCTGGAACTCAAGGTACTGTTGCAACTGCTGCTCTTTTTCAAATGCAAATTAGGTTACTGGGTGAGGGCAAAGAGCACTTGTGGGAGGGCAGAGGGCAGTGGGGTTGGCATAGATAAATGACACCCCCATTTGACCTCCAAACCCAAGTGTGCCTAGAGCTGAACTTCCTGTCTGACATCACCTCTCATAGCAAGAGTTGTGAAACAGCTGATTTGATTAATCAGGGCTGCACTTCCCCCAGTCATCTGCCTTATGGACACCAAGCAGTTTGATAAATGAAATTGATAGAAGAAAAGAATGGCTTGGAAAAATCCATAAGCCACAGGAGGAAGGGTTGGCTCTGATATAAGAGAATGCCAAGTTTTTAAAGACCTTAGCATCTGATTTCTATGTCATGAATGTAGAGATCCCCTACTTAAAGATCACTGGCTTCACACTGATTAGGATTTAGCATGGGGTGTCACGGTTCTTGAGGCAGCATAAAGAAGAATACATTCTCCCCACCCAAGTGAGGTCCCTAAATAGATAAGCAAATGACTGAATAAATTAATCAATGAAAACTCTCCACAAAACCACCAGATAAGAATTAGCCTGAGGATGGTGAAGAACTGACTGTATCGTTAGTGATTTCTTTGTTTCTCCTGGCATGACTAAGGTTTGGAGGAAAGTAGTGGCAAGTTGTGTTGTATTTCACAGATTTCACAGGCAAAGTGGGTGTGCAGGAGGAGTGTGTAAGTAAGAGTCAGTGGGACCGGGAGCATCATGGGACAGAGCAGGAAAACGGGGGCCCCACCTGGAGAATAATACTAAGTGGACAAGAGGAGGTAGGCCTGGACCAATAACCAGAGCTGTAGGAAGCAGCAGGAAATGAAAAGCAGCCCAAGAAGGCATTAAGCAGAAGAGAGGGCACTAATCAGAACCATACAGAGCACATTTCCATAGGAAAAATGCTTGGCATTTTGGACAGCCCAACAGCTTGCAAAACAACATGAGATGTGCAGTGATCCCCAAAGAGAACGGGTTTGCAAAGTCCAGCCTGATACCCTTAGAAGCAGCCACAGGAGAGCCAAGGAAGAGTTAAAGGGAACCAGCTGAGTTTACACATTCTCTTATTAATGCAATGCCAGGAAAAGACCTCAGCATTATTGTCCTTGCCTTCAATCACTCCCTAATGTTTCCTTCTAACAGCATTTCATTTAAGTTCAGAAGTCACTGCAGGTATTTCCATCTGGCAGGAGCTACCAACACAGACACACTATAGGCCCCTGGTAAAGCTCTAGACCTTTGGAGCTATGCCCTGCACTCTGATGTGCCCATTCTCTGTGTCTGGCAATGTCCACATCCAGTTCCACAATGGAAAAGAGACAATAGCATACAATGCTGTAACCAAGGAGACTGGGGGTTCCTGAACCTTTGAGGGTTTTCAGAGAGAGGTACCCAGATAACAGCCTAATCATCCTTCATGGGTACAGTGGCTATAAGCATAAGATCTTCCTAGGCTGAGCCACATACTAGCAGGGTGACCTTAGGAGAGTGACTTACCTCCTCTGTGCCTCAGTTTCCACATGCCTGGAATAAGGACAATAATAGCATCCACTTTATAATATTGTGGCAAAGGTAATCTGAAATGAGGCATGTAAAAGTGTTCATAATAGGATCTGGCACATAGTAAGTTTCAATAAATGTTAGCTCTGATCAACTTCATCATTGTCATCATTGTAATCACCAGCACAGACAAGAAGCAGGCATGCCTTGCTCTGAAAATAGGTTGCAAGAATTTCAAACAGTGGTTTTCAAACCTGGCTACATATTAAAATCAGCTGCCCCAGATTCCCCAACCCTGGACCAATTAGATCAGAATCTCCCAGGTGGTATTGTTTAAAGCTCTTTACATGATTCCAGTGTGCTACCAGGGTTGAGACTCACTGATGTTGAGTCTCGAGGCTAATGCATGATATTTGAAACAATAAATGGCCAGCTACAAGGCCTGCATCTTGACACATGGCAAAGCCTTCATATGGGTCACCCGGAGAGCAATGGGAATCTGGAAGCTCCACTTTGAGATGTGAGAGTTTGGAGCATTTATGGCCCATAGATGAGCAGACACAGCTTTGGCTGAAACAATGTGCCTGGTGGCTTTTCCAGCTGGCAAAGTAGTCCATTTCCAAGATACAGAATATACTGCATGCAGCCAGATGTTCCCACAGGATGACCACCAGTGACTGGCAAACACTCCTGTCTGGTGCCAGGACATGCATATGCCACAAGGCACAAGGTCAACCATGAGCACCAGCACAAGGACTGCCTTCCCCCATGGTTTAGTGAAGGCAGCCCATGCAAAACCTGCCCAGAGGGATCCTGGGAAGGCCAGAGGGAGGAAATGCTTGCCATTCAGGTCTCTGAGAGTAAAGATTAACCTGTCAGAATGTACAAAGTTAGATTCAGGCTAACCCTGAATGAATGTGACAAACCTAACTGGTTAAATCCTTAGCTAGCTTGATGACTTTGGCAGCTGTTTGACATTTGCATTTACAGGATCTAGGAAAACTAGAAATTTTAACTACTTAGATTCCTTAAATCTAAACAAAACTGCCAGGTGCTCAAAAGATAATCCTCTATTTATTTATTTGCTTTTAATATTTAAGACACTTCCGTCATAGAGCGGCCTCTGAGAGTGTACATGAAATGATAGAAAACCACAATTTAAAAAAAAATTAAGAACACTAAGCAGTATCTAAACTCATCATTCAATTTAACTCATATTTTCTTCTGGCAGGAAGGGATTTACTTAGACTGTGGTGGTTACTGGAAAACCAAAAAGGGCCTGGTTCATTCTACAGTGTCTAGGTGAGCACAGTCACCCCGTGGGTCCTCTCAGGGATCCGGAAAGCAGAGGGAGGGTCCCTTGCCCTCCCATTCAGAGACAGCAAGTCCCCTTCTTTGCTTTTGCTTGCTGCTGGCTACTCTTTTACCCTGCAAAAGGATCCTGTGAGAGAGACAAGAGTAACAATGAGGAAAAAATTATCAACAGTCACAGTTGGAAATACTCGAAGACTCCTTTACAACCACGAAGTTTAGAACGGAAACTTAAAAGTCAGAACCAACACACCAAAGAACTTAAAATCAAAAACTGAAAAGGACAAGTATTAAGATCCCACTTACAGGAGGTACCAAGAACTGTCAGATTCCTGGAGACAGAAAGTGGGGACTGGGGAAGGGGTAGTGATGAGTTATTGAATGGGAACAGAGTTTATTTAGTATTTCATGGGGTTTTGCTTCAGGGATTTTTTTTAAAAGCAATACAAAAAATTTTTTAAATCAAGAGCCTAAAGCTCTTCCTTAAAATACTGAAAGCAGATCAGAAAAGAAAGATTTGAAGCATGAGAGATAGACTGAGTCACTGAAGATTCTGACCCTACTAAGCTGAGTGACCTTGGCCAAGTTACAACACCTCTTAAAGCTTGGTTTCTTCATCATTAAAACAAAAGAGTTAAAGATGATCACTAAGTCCACACCAATTCTAAAGTCCACAGTTATATATTTTCTTTCTTCTGCATCATTTTTTAATTCTACCTTGGTATCCATGGAAATATTTTTATAGAAAAGCCACAGTAGTCATTAGAGGCAAACATCAGTATTATTTTCCCTATTGGTTATAAAGAGGAAAGAGTTGGGAAAGATTCAATAAAAATAACTCTTCATTGTCAAATCTGCAGGTGGGGAACCCATAATATGCAAATGCAATGTTATTTTTCAATGTTTTAGTCTTTTATCAAAAGATATTTTTCTCTAATGAAAGTGATCTTTTTTTCAGGAGCATAGAATATCTGGTTAGAAGTCATTGAATCTAGGCCTGCCCTTGAATTTGTGGCTGAGCCTGTCCCTTAAATCAGGAGCCAGATATGTTCAGGATCATGAACAGCCAAGTTATTACCACAGCAGAATCACTCTTCCTGTGGCTCTATTTTCCCCCTGGTCTTTACTTCCAATTTTCTTGAAGTATCTCTCCCATTGTTAGGTTATTTCTAAATTCTCCTCCTACCATCCAACAATCTTGGCATTCAATGCCATGGTTTCAAGGAACCAGTATCCTAACCGTAATCTGCATTCTGTATCTATTCATCTGACATTGTCCCTTTTCCCACTTTGACTCTAAAATGTCAAGAAAGCAGAAACTCTGCAATGCACCTCCTCCCCAAGCCCCATGGCATCTAGGAGAAGGTAAGCAGTTAGCCTCAACCAACCTCTAAGTGCTACAAGCCATGCAACCTGCATTCAATTTTTTAGGCCAGTGTTTCTCATTGTGGGACAATTTGCCCCCTCATCCTCCACCAGAACATTTGGCAATGCCTGGATCCATTTGTGGTTGTCATAAATGAGGATAGGGTTACCGCTGGCACTTAATGGGAAGAGGCCAGGGATGCTGCTGAACATTCCACGGGGCACAGGACAGCCCCCTACACAACAAAGAATTACTTGACCAAAAATGTAAATAGTGCTGAGAAACCTGCCTTATACCATTGAAAACTTCACAGAAGTTATGAAATAGGTTTTCTCATCCTCATTTTGCAGATAAAGGTTGAAAAGATTAAGTAATTTCTTCAGTGACCTAGTAGGAAAGTAGAAAAGCCAGGATTGGATCTCAAGTATCTGGGTCCAAAGCCCCACTGCTGATTCTAGAAGGAGGGAGGGTGGGAGAATGAGCAGAGAATGAATATAGTCAGCTCACTGCTCTGAGGTGGGAAAGCCAGAAGAAGAAGGGCAGATTGCACTGGAGGGAAACCTGAGACTTCCTCTGGGTATCATTCCTGATGCTCCAGGCCACATGATCAGGCAAGATGTACTATCTTTCCATCACTGCTGTTTGGAACTTCCCACTCCAATGGGGTAGACAGAGTGAGGTTGACCAGTAGGACTATGTGTCTCCACAACACTCTAGCTTCAGGGGCCATCTGGAAAAGACACAGTTCTCTGTCCCCAGAGAAGCTCCTTAGAAAGCTGACAATTAGGGCTGCAGAGCTGCACACACAGAAACTACAGGCCAAGTTTCTGGTCTCCTGGGGTAGCCTCTACCTGCTGAATGGCCCTCTTAGATCCTTTCTTTCAGGAAATGAAGATGGATGGGAGGAGAGTGACCGGGAATGGTCCCTGAGTTTCCCCTTGGGGGAAAGCCACCTGTCCATCAGCTAACTGCCTTCATTCAGTCCCTTTGAAGAGCAAACTGTTCACCCAGCAGAATCACACACAAGACACTGATGGTTTAAAAAAAATAATAACAATAACTCTGGCTGAGCACAGTGGCTCAAGCCTGTAATCTCAACATTTAGGGAGGCCAAAGCAGGAGGATTGCTTGGGCCCAGGAGTTCAAGACCAGCCTGGGCAACATAGCAAGACCCTGTCACTACAAAAAAACTGAAAATCAGCCTGGCGTGATGGCTTACCCTCGTAGTCCCAGCTACCTGGGAGACAGAGGCAGGAGGATCGCTTGAGCCCAGGAGTTTGAGGCTGCAGTGAGCTATAATCACACCACTGCACTCCAGACTGGGTAACAGAGCAAGACCCTGTCTCAGAAAGAAAAGAAAAACCCTTCTTTTGTTCCCATAAAAAGCCTGCTTCCTACTACTCACTGTGATTTTCAAACATCTACAACAAACACCAGCCTTTATGGTGAAGTAGGGTAGGGAAAATCTGTTTCTAAACCCTGGTTGCTGGGGTCCAGGCTTGGGAAGCCCCTCTCCCAGCAGTGCCTCTTGCCCCCTCACATCTCCACCAGCCTCCCTTGGAAACCTGGGTCCACTGTGTGAGGCATAGCAGACTAGCAAGATGGATGGGCGTAATTTAGGGTTGCTTCTGTCAATCATTTCTGCTAAAAAGTCTTAAGGATATTTAATTCCCTCAGTCCCTGTACATTAATTAGGCCCTTTTTACCTGCACTCTCCAATTGTTCTGGAAGCAGAAGACTGCTGGGCAAGAAGAAGAGAAGTCCTATTGTATGCTACACGACAGACATTGAAATCAATCCATCAGGATTTTAAAAAGCACCTTCAAGGTGCCCAGCACCTCACCCACCTTCGAAGGCCCCTCTCTTGGGGATCAGACCATGGCAACAGAGATGGATTGGAGCCCACAGCAGTCTAAAGGGATACCACAAGTTTATCTGTGGTTCTAAGGTAACCTCCAAACCACCATGGCTGGTGGATTTTTTTTCCCCACTATTGAACAGAAGAAACATTTATTAAATAACATGATTCATTATTTTGGGCCAAGTGCAGTGGCTCACGCCTATAATCTCAACACTTTGGGAGGCTGAGGTTAGTGCTTCACTTGAGCTCAGGAGTTTGAGACCAGCCTAGGCAACATAGTGAGACCTCATCTCTACAAAAAATAAACAAAAAATTAGCCAGGTGTGGTGGTGCGGGCCTGCAGTTTTAGCTACTTGGGAGGTTGAGATGGGAGGATTGCTTGAGCCCAGGAGGTCGAGGCTGCAGTGAGCCAAGATCCTGTCACTGCACTCCAGCCTGGGTGACAGTGTGAGAGCCTGTCTCAAAAAAAAAAAAAAAGTGTTAAATAACGTGATCCATTTTTTTTTTTTTTTTACTATTGCTTATTTGGATTTCACTAGTTCTTCATTAACATCTTTTTTTTTTTTTTTGACACAGGGTCTCACTCTGTCACCCAGGCTGGCATGCACTGGCATAATCTTGGCTCACTGCAACCTCTTCCTCTCAGGCTCAGGTGATCCTCAGCCTCCAGAATAGTTGGGCCTACAAAATGAACCACCACACCCGGCTAATTTTTTTTTTTTGTATAATTTGTAGAGACAGGATTTCACCACATTGCCCAGGCTGGTCTCAAACACCTGGACTCAAGCGAGTCACCTTCCTTGGCCTCCCAAAATGCTGGGATTACAAGCATGAGTCACCGCACCCAGCCTAATGTCCTTTTTCTGTTCCAAGATCCAATCCAGGATAATTGACTGCACTGAGTTGTCTCCTTTGTCTCCTCTTGCATAAGTTATCTGAGTTTCCTGGCTTTCCATGATCTTGTTACTTTTGAGTACTGGTCAGGTGTTTTATAGAATGGCCCTCACTTTAGGTTTCCTTGTGATTAGACTGGGGTTTGGGGGAAGAATATCACAGAGGTGTGTGCCCTCTCCTCCCATTGCCTCAGGAGGTACATGATAGAGATCCACACAGCATCACTGAAGATGTTCCCCCCATCACTTGGTTAAGGCAGTTTCTACCACTTTCCTCCTGTGCAAACTTATGATTTTTCCCTCTATTCTTTCAAAGCAAGACACTAAGTCCAGCCAGTACTCAAGGGGGAGTGGAGCATTTTTATCACATTCTGCCTTTGGACTGACTCCTTAACAGGAAGTAGAAATCCATTTTGAAAAAAAGCACCTTGTGGAAGCCAGGGCTTTGGGCTCCAGTCTCAGCTGTATGACCTAGGCCACATCTGTCACTCAGTTGCTTAGAGTGGCTTACTGCAGTCTCCCCTCTGTAAGATGTGCAAAGTGGTCCTGCCTTCTCCAGTTAGATGCTAAGGGCTTGGATGTGGGAAGGGACTTTCAGCAGCCATGCTCCACCTCATGGCACCCAATTTGAATACCTGTCATCTTCGTAACCTTTCCCTGGGGCAGCCAGGCACATAGCCCTGGCATTCCTGGATGCACCCAACACTTGACTGGCCCACGTTTGGCCTCTGTTGTGGCCAATCCCTCTGCTAGAAATGCTCTTCCCTCACTGTTGGCAAAATTCTCTTCCTCACTTCACCTGGGTCTCTGCTCGAATGTCACCTCTGAGAAAGGTCTTCCTTGACCCTTCTACATGTCTGCAACCTCTCTATCCCTTCGCCTGGCAGTGGTTTTTTTGTGGCTCTCAACACTGCCCGACATTATATTCTGTATTTTTGTTTCTATTGTTTGTCCCTACACTAGCTTTTTTGCCCCATGAAGGACAGGAACTTGGCATGTTTTATTCCCCCACTGAATCCTCAGTGCTGAGGACAGAGCTTGGCATATAGTGGGCTGAGCCTCAAGATACATGTATTGAATGAAAGAATGTATGGGAAGTATATTTATTTTTTGCATCTCTGCAATGCCTGGGGCCGTTATAGATTCACAAACCATTGCAGTAACTCTGTACCACACAACCTCCCACCAGGCTGAGACTCACTGGGTGAACCTATTAGTATCTAAGCTTATAACTTTGGATGGACTGGAAATACTTTAGATAGGAGAAAGACTATACCATGGAGATGAAAAATTGGATTTCTCTTCAAAAGATATCTTCCACCACCCTTTCCTCTACATCTCCCCCAAAAGCAACATGATCTTTAGAAAAAAATAAAAATTATTATTCAGCCCTTGTTTAATCATCTGATTTCTTGGTCTCGAGTCCATGGAGATTACATATATGTCAACATTTTCTGGCACTTTAAGAGTTATCAAAAATGTCACCAGCCACCAAATGTTTCATTAATTATTGCAAACATCTTCAGGAAAAAAAAATGCCATAGTGGGTTTCTTTTACTGAGTGATTTATTTCAGACATAATTTTAGTTTAATTAATAGGGGATTTTGTTGTGACCTGGAGGGTGGGCGAACCAACAGAGAGTCTGTGGCTTGGTTAGGAAAGAGCTAGAAACCTGTCTGTGCCTGTAGAAGGAAAATTTTGTGGGGAAAAAAAAAAAAGCTGGCATTTTATTCAGTTGTGAATATCCAGCCCATTCCCTCATTAAGGCTACTAATGGATTATCCTGAAAAAGCAAATTAAAAGGAGGTGGGGGTGGAGCTAAGGGGTACAAAGTAGAAGGAAAAAAGTGAGATTTGGCTTATTTATACTATGCCTGAAAATAATTCCATTTCTTAGCTGTATTGTGATCTGTATCTGTGCCATATGTCCTTACAAAATCCTAAAACAACAAAAGCAACAAATCAACAGGATGATTGGTTAGGTCCTGTCTGGCACCATCCAGCAAAAGTCAAAAGACACAGTCCCTGCATTTGAGGAGCCAAGTCTTCCTTAAAGTGGCTTCATTTGAACTTCTGGCATTCTAAAAACGTTTAATCACTTATCCAAGCAATAAAGCTTATTTTTTTGAGGGGTACATTTGGAGAGGAGAAGGTTGTTGTTTTCAATTACCAATAAGCAAAATGCCTCGTCCACATTTCCCAAAACACCAGGTTACATTAGTTTCACTTTTAATATCCTGCCAAAGAGAAAAAAAAGTCCCCAAATATGGTGCAAATACATCTGTCTAATATTGCTGTTCAAAATGCCACTGCATTGAATAAAATTCCATGCTGTAAAATTTTGCAAGGTGATAAAACAAAAATGATAAAATAAATATAAAACATCTGTGTTTTTTTTTTAACAAGACATTTGGAAACTGATTTCATTTATATTTAAACTTGTTTTGAAGTGTCCCTAGTTTTGAAAAACATCTAGAGTATATTAGTTTTCTTTTCTCAAGCCAAAGATAAAAGAACTGATGCCCAAGTGAAGGAGGATGAGAGAGAAGAAACCACCATTGCATATTCCAGAATAAACCTTGTATTTGAGTCTTCAGCTGGCTTTCAGTCATAGAGGGGTACATGCCCTCCATCAGCAGTCCTGGAAAATGGATTCTCACATACACACAAAAATGTGTTAAAACAACATTAAGTTTCTGGCAACAGCTTAAGCACATATACCCAGGGAAGGGGAGAATTTAACAGCGTCTCTGACTCTCTCCGTGTGCCTAGGTGGGGCGGTTCCCAAAACACTGAGAGAATGGTAAGACCACCCACCGCTTTTGGCTGAGGCAGGCTTTGGTGTGGAGGGGTAGGGCTCAAATATGGGGAACTCTGCCTCCACCATCAGACTAGGAAACCCAGAATCTGAGCATCTGGGCATCAGACCTATAACAACCCCAAAAGGTCTCAGGTTTCCTTTCAAAAACCAAAGGAACACAGAAAAATGACATTTGAGGGAGAGTGAGAGAGAACAAAACATGTATATCCATTTGCTCCCTTCATTCTCCATAGCTAGGGAGGCAAAAGCATGAGACCTGAATCCACAGATGGGAGCTCCACCATCACCTACCCACCCACAACACCATTTTATCTAACACCCATCTTTCGACCAAAAATTCAGCTCTAGAATTGGCAAATCAGGAGTGAGCTCTTTGTTCATTTCATTGCTCATGGCAGATGGATAAATTGTGCCTGGAACAACCAAGAGAAGAGAATCTGGGCTGAAGACTCTCATAAATGAGTTTTCAATATTAATATTTGCTAACTTTTTATTGAGCACCCTTTTGTGCTAGCATTTTACAAGCACTGCCACATTTCATCCTCACAACTACATCTATTGTAGGTGATCGTTATCATCACCTTCCAAATGAGGAAGCTGAACTGCAGCGAGGCCAAATAAATTGCCCAGGGTCACACAGCTAGCAAGAGGCAGAGCAGGAAACTGAACCCAAGTGTGGATGACTGCAACATCACTACCGTCATTCCTCGGCATCTGGTAAGCAGGAATAGACCACAGCCCAAGTTTTCCATAGGAAGTTTACTGATTTCAGCTACTGAAGAGAGGACCTCTGAATGGACAAAAGTTCTACTTAACACAGCATTTGAAGTAAAATTCAGTTCTTAATATTTTTCTGGTAAGACTATATTTGGAACTAGGTTAACCACATGTTGTCAAGTAGAAGACGTTGGTGCCATAATGCACGGTTAATGGTACTTTTTTTCTGGTTTTTTTTATTATTATACTTTTAAGTTCTAGTGCACATGTGCACAACGTGTAGGTTTGTTACATATGTATACATGTGCCATGTTGGTGTGCTGCACCCATTAACTCGTCATTTACATTGGGTGTATCTCCTAATGCTATCCCTCCCCCCTCCCCCAACCCCACAACAGGCCCCGGTGTGTGATGTTCCCCACCCTGTGTCCAAGTGTTCTCATTGTACTTTGTGTACAACATATGACACTTACGTATAAATACATCTTTTAAGATCATTTGCAAAGAATTTGCTCTCATAAACTCAACCCTTTCTGTATTCTTATTTATTAATTTAGGAAACCTTTTCCTCATAACTAGTTCAAAAGTTATCTTCATTTCAACCCCTATTCAATTCAGACAAAAATGCTTAATGCACTTTTCTCCCAACACCATCCACATACTCAACTGTTCACTAAAATTTTCATTACATAATACATGCCATGACATTTTCTCCAATTACCTAAATAATTCAAGGCTTTGTATTTTGTTGTTTTGGGTTTCATTTTTTCATATGACCATGAGGGACCCTGTGATCACCTCCATAACATCTGTTCCATACTCCCCATGAAGGTTGGGTGGACTGACCAGACCTCCAGCTCCAGGAATTTGTTTCAGGCTGGCATGGTAAGCTTATTTCTCTTGAAATTCAGTCAACCTAAGACTAAACCAGCCAGCCTGGGGCTCAGAGACTAATCAAGGTGAAGCTCAGGAATCCTGTTTGAGTCTCCTAGGAGGGGACTTTCCCCTTTCCCAGATTTAGACAAGGAAGCAGGTGGCTCCAGTCATGGCTCTCTACTCTTTTGCTGTCAAGATAGGAACCACCTGAAAATGAACTGAGAATGATACCCAATCCTCACACAAAAAAAGAGAGTGGAGGAAACCTTAGACAAAGAAAGTCAGAGCCCTGCCTGAGCCATATACTGAAGCTGTACTTCTAAGAATGTGCAGCAATTTATCTCTGTATTGTTTAGGCCCACTTAAGCTGAGTTTTCTTTTTCTTGAAAGTAAAAGAATTCTAACTGGCACCCTGAATTTTCTAGAGCACTTGAAGAATGTAGTAGGCAACATCTAGCACTAAGTCACTAGTGTCCACTCAGTAAATAGTGTTGCATCTTAAGTCAAGATAATTTACAGTTTAACGTCATGACATGAGAAAAATCACAAAGAGCAAAATTTACTATGAGAAAAAAAACAAAAGATACTATGCAGTAAACGTAGTACAGTAATTCTTTTGCACACTAACATTTGAAATTCAAATGTGCCAAGAAACACTTAAACTTATTCCATTTGATGTATTTGTACCCGCGGATTAATATACCACAGCTCAGATTCAGAATTCCTACATTGAAACCTACTCCCTAAAGAGGCATTAAAGGTACTTCTTAATCTAACCCCATCTACCCACTTGCCTCAACACATCTCATTGTCTTCATGCTCTTGCACATGCTGTTTCCATTGAAGTTCACTTTGCATTTTTCTTCACCTGGAATATTCCTACCTGTACTTCAAGGTCCAACCCAAACACTGCTACCTGCCTTAAGTTTCCTGTCTCTTCTTTAGAGACTTAACTGCTCTCTCCTCTGGACTCTTATAGCACTTTGTTCACATTTCTATTAAACCACTTACTTTGTGGCATGGAACTCTCCCATTCACACATCTACCTAACCCATAGACCATGAAAAATTCTAGAGTGGGGGCATGTCTTATCCATCACTGTATCTCTTGCCTTAGCACATGGGACTGGCTCAGAGTAGGCACTTATTGGGTCTGTTGAATAAATCCCCTTAATTCAATTGAAGACATATCCTAAGTTTACCCACTTCTCTCCATCTTCACTACCCATGAATCCATGTACCACCATCCTCTCTTACCTGGTGACTGCAAATGATCTGACTGCTTCTATTTTTACCCTTTTCCAACCTCATCAGGGCCAGAAGTAGCTTCATAAGAATTAGAAAAAAGCACCTCTCTGAGCGGACAAGTTAGATAAAGATGCTTCCTCTAGGCTGATGTGACCTATTGAGAAATTACTTTAAAAGAGGCCTTCTTTTGTCACTGGGGTTACAAAATTAATAGAATGAAATCCTGGGTTGCTGGTGGTCACTTTGCTGCTGCATTGGTCAGGGAGAATGGGGAGTATTCCTAAGATTGAAGTCAACCAGGAGGAAGAAAGATAGAAAAGGTCAGATTTCTGATGTGCTGCAAAGCATCTAGGTACAGCCATATCTGAAAGAGTTATCCCTGAATTTCCAGTTACCTGAGCTGATTCAGTCACCTTTGTGCTCAGGCTAATTTGAGTTGTATTACAAATACCACCTAAGCAGTTCAGATTATATACCATTGCTAAATGCTAAGAGCTTAACATTAAAACATGACTCAGGGAAAGTGATTTTGCAAAGACCTAAACCACAGAGGACCAGAGACTAGACTGACAGGTACAGTAAGTCCTCATTTAATGTCCTCAATAGGTTCTTGGAAACTGCAGTTGTAAGGGAAACAAGGTATAATGAAACCAGTTTTATAATAGACTCATTGATATAAACAAGAGATAAGCTCCTACAGCATATTTCTGGTCATAAAAACATCACCAAACTTCTCTATAAAGACCAAAACACTTCTAGTAGTAAACATTGAAATGAACGTGAGTTATATATACATTAAGAAACATCATTAATAAAAACAAGTAAGATTTTTCCAGTTCAGGGTTGGGGGTAGATAAAGCCTGTCTCAGCAGCTCAAGGTGCAAGTCAGGAACCAGTCCTGGACAAGATGGCATGCCACTGTCGGGTGTACTCACCCTCACTCACACTGGGATCATGTAGACACACAGAGTCACCTAAAAGGGAACAGTTCTGGGATGTGGGAGGAAACTGGAGTTCCCAGAGAAAACCCATGCAGACATGGGAGGGAATGTGCAAACTCCACACAGTGACCTCAGCTAGGAGTCAATTGTTTCTCATCAGTGTTAGAAGGAAATGACGTTGAACAAGAAGATGTTATTCAAGGAGCCACTACCAGGCCTAGAATCTCCAAGGTCTGTAATTCAAATCCATTTGCAGAAACTACTTATGTCAGGACTTTACACTGTAGCTCTATGATTTGGATGCAGTACCAATGAGTCCCAAATCACATCACACTAATTCACCTTTAATTTTCAAACTGTTTCACTATATACATCATAACCAAAAGGAGATTCTCATGACAGGTCATCATAGACATCACTCTGTCTCCATGTGGGTCTGCCCTGAAGTCATCCCCAAACCAGAGATGCCTAATACTTTCCTCAAAGAGGAAACTGCCTGACCTTCTGAAAAGCATTCAAATGTTCATATAGTTTTATACCATTTTTTTTAAATGCTCAAAGATATAGATGCAATCCTATGAAATATTGAGCAGACAGCCTTGCAGGCAAGTCAAAAAGCATCCAATGGCTGGGCACAGTGGCTCACACCTGTAATCCCAGCACTTTGGGAGGCCAGGGTGGGTGGATCACTTGAAGTGAGGAGTTCGAGACCAACCTGGCCAACATGGTAAAACCCATCTCTACTGAAAATACAAAAATTAGCCGGGCATGGTGGTACATTCCTGTGGTCCCAGCTTCTCAGGAGGCTGAGGCAGGAGAATCGCTAGAACCAGGGAGGTGGAGGCTGCAGTGAGCTGAAATCGCACCACTGCACTCCTGCCTGAGCAACAAAGCAAGGCTCTATCAAAAAAAAAAAAAAAAAAAAGCACCTGGCCAGGCACAGTGGCTCATGCCTGTACTCCCAGCAATTTGGAAGGCTGAGGCGGGCAGATCACTTGAGGTCAGGAGTTCAAGACCAGCCTGGCCAACATGGTGAAACCCCATCTCTACTAAAAATACAAAAACTAGCTGGGCGTGGTGGCACGTGCCTGTACTCCCAGCTACTCGGGAGGCTGAGGCAGGAGAATCACTTGAACCACGGAGGCTGCAGTGAGCTGAGATCACACCACTGCACTCTAGCCTGGGCAACAGAGTGAGACTCCTTCTCAAAAAAAAAAAAAATCCAACTTCATTAGATATCATGCCCTAGTCTAACCAAGGTTGTGTAACTGTGCCTAAAAAGTGAGAAACTAGGCCAATGATTATTTATTTACTTATTTTCTGTTACAAGCACATTTGTTGCCCCCTTCCCATTCATGCACTCACCCTCTGAATGACTTGATCTAAGAGGACTTGTGGCATGGTGGATGGGCATTGGGCTCTTCTCCTGGCTCGGCCACTTATTTGCCAGGGGACCTAGGCCATCAATTTCCATCCCTTACTCAAGTTCTTCCTCTGGACAAGTAGGACCTTCATGTACAGGATCTTGTGAGGAGCAAATGAAGCACCCAGTTCAGGGCACCAAGAGCAGCATCAGAAACAGACCAGATGCTCCAGACGTATTTGTTCACTTGCTTTTCATTTAACCAATTGTGCTTGGGAAAAGTAGTCAGTTATTTTGGCATCAAATAGGATAATTTCACCACTTCTTGCCCAAAGTGTTCTCTGGCTGGGTAAATTGTACCAATGTCCACCCAGTTGCTCCTGCTAAAAGCAAAGCACTATCTTGAGCCTTCTGTCTCCTTACACCCACTGTTCAATCTATCAGTAAGATCTGTTGATTACACCCCTTATAAATATCTTAACTCTGACCATCTCTTTCCTCCTATTCCTACCCTGTCCATGTCATCATCTCTCAGCACGACTCTAGCTAAACAGCCTCCTAACTGGTCTCCCTGCCTCCCCTCTCCTATCCCCTTATCCCTACAGTGTCCACACAACAACCAGAGTGACCTTTTCTGAAGTGCAAATCATATCACTCTCCTGCTAAAATTTTCCCATACCTTCCAATAACATTATTAATAATAATAATATTTCTAATTTATTGAGCACTTAATTAAGTAGAAGGCACAGGTCTAAGCACTTTGCACATACCAAATTATTTAATCTAAAACAGCTCTCCAAAGTAGGTATGATTATATCCCCACTTTTTTCCATAATAAGGTCACACTATTAGTAGTGCAGCAGCCAAGATGAAGCCCAAACCATTTCCTTTCCTAAGAGCTCCAAGACCTAGCTCTACCCTCTAAAAGACCTAGCTCTACCCTGTCTGCCTTCTCATGTCGCCTCATAACACTCTCCTTCCCTTGCTCCCTAAGCTCTAACCACTCGGCCTTTTTCTGTTCTCAAACATAACACAGCTCATTTCTTTCTCAGGTTCAAAGACTCTGTCCAATTCTGCTCAAAGGTAACTATCTTGGAGAAACCACCGTTGACCACACTGATGGGTAGAATGGATGTGTGTGTTTTTACCACTGCCATTATAACCACCACCATCTCACAAGCTCAGAATTCCTTGAGAACCTCTTATTCTTTTTGCTTGAAAATCCTGGGGACTTCAAAACACAGGGAGGATATTGACTCAAAGTGCTATGATTTATCATTTATATCAGGTAGTTCATAAATCCCCTTGCTTCTGAATTTGATTCTGAACAGAAAAATGCCTAGGAAAGGAGTGGGAAGTCTATGGTGTATTTTTGCAAATTGCTTCTTAGAACCCTGAAAGTTTTTTTGCCCCCTTAGTGAATGAACTACTCTCTGAAAATTTCTGAAGGCTGAAAACTGACAGTACTGAAAACATTCTCTTAGAAAAAAAGGGCTTATTTTAACTTTTTAAAAAATATTTGTGTTTCTTCAAATATTCCTACAGTTTTTTTAAGGCAATTCAATTTGGGGGGAACATTACGACAATATGCTACTTCATGCCAAAGAAAGCTTTTTATTGGCCTCTCTCGTCTTTCTAGCTTTCTTTTTCCAGCTGTTATATCAGATATAATCATCCAAAACTGTGATTTGTCATCTCCATCAAATTTGGCTTATAATTCTCGATGTTGCAGTTTATATGAAAACATTTATGAATTAAAACTCAGAGTGAAATGAAGATTTCACAAATTACGGACAAGGTTAATATTCCTCAAAAGGTTCGATTGCAAGCAGACCTGAGAAAACACTGGAGTTTATCCCAGATGTTGACACGCAGTACTGGCTGTTCCACTGAAATGTGGTGGAGCAGTGAGACAGACACGATCCCCACTGCCAAGCCAGCCTGAGGACTTGCTTCCCTCCATCACGTCATGGGACGATCTCAGGCAAGGCAGTGAATAAAAATGAGTTCTTAAATCACTTGATCTACCAATTAAAATAGAAAGATCACCTTTAGGCCTTGATGAAAACTGACTGAATTGTCATCAGACTCTGTCCAACCCACAGCCACTGCCCATGGTAAGTACACATTGATAAACATAGCTACCATTTATTGAGTCATAATTATGTACCAGGCAGGGCAGTAGGCAATTTGCATGCCCTATTTTCTTTAACAAATACTCATTGAATAAGTGGAGCTTCTTTATATTAGGATGAATTATATGAATCTGACATTGTTGTAGATTAAAACAGTCCAATAGCAGCAATTCCATGCAGTTCAATCTAATATTTGTTCTGTCTCTCCCTGGACCCAGCACAATGCTTATGATAAACACACACAGTAGAGTTCAGTAAACTTTTATTCCATTTATCAAGTTTTTTTGTAGAAACAGCCTCTGAGAGGGGGAAAAAGATGGCAATATTTCAAGCAAGAGTCAATCCAGCCAACTCTGTTGCATTCATCTCTGTTGCACTCATCTCTGTTGCAGGTTTCCTCTGAAACGCCTCACAGTGCCCATGTGCCTCCACCTCCCCAAAGCTCATGTAGTAAAACAGCAAAACATGCCCATGTGCCTCAGCCCAGCATAACGGCAGGGAGCTATGGGACATTGCCAGCCCTCTCTAATTTCCGCTGTCCCCCCCTCTCTTTTCAGGCAACCTGCTTTTTCCTCTCCCAAAAGTCACCATTAAAGGCATTTTATGGTTAAATAACAGCAGAGCAGCAGCCCAGGAGAACTAAATTTGGTCCTGAGGTTAACCTTAAAAATTGAATTCTAGAATCATTATGTATCTGAATTAGTAAAATGTACATCATTTTTTAGGGGGTGAAAAGAGATCATTAGAAATAAGTGACTTAAGAAAACAATTTCATTCCTAAAGCAGCTGGGGGGGTAAACGGCTCAAAAGCCCCAACTGAAACCCAAGAAATTTAGACTAAATGTGAATTAAAAGCAGATGAAGCCATTCCAATGAGGAGATGGGAAGTTGCTCCATTTTAAACCATTGCCAGAGGGACTGAGAGAGTGCTTTGCCCAGCCCCTTCTTACCAAGGTCTTTACACTCTCACACCCCAACCAAGAAACAAAACTAAAGAAAACCAGAACATGCCTGAATCAAGAGGTTTCATTTCACCCAGATGCTAAACTTAAACCAAAGACCAATGGCCGAACAACAGAGCACATTTCCATGCCTCCCACTACCCACTTTAATAATTGTAGCTTAGTATCATAGAAAACAATGGTGACAGTCTCGATCTGGTATGTTTCAAATGAGGAATAATTTGCCATTTGGGGTGAGGGGAGTGGAGAGTGTCCCTAAGTCAATCTTTCTAGCCTGCTGGTTATAGAACTCATAGACAGGGAAACATCTGCTTGCCAGCTGTGACCATGAACCAGATGATTTATCTACAGACATCAGAAGCCCAACTGCCCGAACTACTGGAGCAGGAAGTAGGGGAGAGGTGGGAAGGGGAGTAGATGGGTGGGAAGGGGAGTAGACAGGTGAGGAGGGAAGGGAAGGAGAGAGGAGCACTTTCCAAAAGGGGGAGGAAGAGAAAGAAGGGAGAGGAGCACTTACTGGAACGTGGAGTCAGGAAAGTTTCTTTAAGGGCTCATTATGGCCTGTGGATATTTCTACCTCTTTTTTCCTCTTCCCCACTCCATGCCCCTATTCTCATAAGTTAACCTATAAAATGGATACATTCCAGGTTTTTAGCCATGAGAAAACCAAATAGGAGGTGTGTGTCCAGCCCAAATGACGACATGACCAAAGGGTATTATCTTAATTTTGTGAAAGAAAGAAAAGAAATGAACCAGTTGTGGCATAAATCTGTGTGGAAATGTGACATAGGTTGAAAACGTGTGCACTGAGTGGTGGTCCCCAGAGCTCCCCATTCTTCTGTCTGGAGAGCGGCCACCCCCAGCACAGACAAGGTTCACAATGGCACAGGTTAGAGTATATTCTCCACCGTCTCGAATACAGAGCCAATGCCACATGGGTAGGCACCAGGCTGAAAAAGGGTGCGTTTTCTTTATTAGCAAAGCATTCTGCCTTGTGAGCTAGGAAGTTCCACAACAGAAATGGGGATGCAGCATTCCTGCACAGGGGCAGCTGTCTGGAGTTAAAAACTGTTCATACCTCTCAAGCTTTACCACTTATAAAATCCTGAGCTGTCACTTCTGAGCATTATACGTAAGTCTGGAAAGGATGGCACTAGAAGAAATTTCATTAAATACCCTCAGGTCAAGACTTTTATTCTGCAACCCAGCCCACTTCCAAAATCGACCAAAAATGCAGGCTCAATCTTAGTCTCCTTCATGTTCAAGCAAGACATTCAAGGCTTATTCCAATAACCATCAACAAGACTGTCATTGTGGTTAGGAGCATGACCTTCAGAACCTGATAACCCATTATTGAATGCTGATCTACCTCTTACCTTCGGCAAGTGGCTTCACTTCTCTGTGCCTAGTTTCTTCATATGTAAGGCAGGGATAATAACTGCTAGAGTTGTTGTAGGGATTCAATGAGTTAATCTATTTAAAGGATTTAGAAAAATCCCTGGCACCTAGTGAGCCGTAAGAAATGTTAGAGGCAATCATCATCATCGTTGCCCATATTCTATTTTCAAAAAAGTGAAAAACTGTTCTTGGTGTCCTATAGTTCACAATCTGCTGTAAAGACAAGGTTGACACCAAAAACAACACGAAAATGAAGCCAACTCCAAGTCAGAGGCTGATGATGTGATAGAGATCATATGTTCTATAGGGGTCCAAACTAGGAGGGGCCGGCAGGAGAGCTGGAGGAGGTTCCTGGGGTTGGAGGGGGCGTCTGTGGGGGCCTTGCACAATGGTGGCATTTTGATAGATAAAAAGAAAGACAACAAGGAGCTTGTAGAGGTTATTTGCTTTTAAAGATTATTGGTAGGGGAGTCCTTCTGTTGTTTATAAGGAGTGAGAACAGTTTGAAAAGCTCTTCTCTCAACTACCTTTCTGGAAAATTTTTAATGTGGTAAAACTGCACGTTTAACACAGGCCCAACTGCAAACAACCAAGGTAAATTCCCACAAAAGCCATCTCCCCTGCACCACCCCCTGGTCTAGTCAACACTGTAAATAGAACTGCCACGTTATTATTGAGAAGGCGGGTAGCTCCCATGCAAACTACATATTTGATTAGAGTCTGAACTCTTTGCTGAACCATGAATTTGAAATAATTTAGGTGATACATATAAATTTAATTTCTTTGTTCAAAAACTCCACATCTGAAATGATGCCCTGCAAATGCGGAGCTCTCACCAAGGTCTACAAAATGAGTCTCCTTCTAACTCGTCTATACTGTGTGGAAATAATCTTCAAGGAAAGGAATAAACCTATTTTAAAAACAGCTGAGTCCTTTAGATCATATACCCTAACCAATTTATGGAGATAAATGAAATTCAGTATTAAAGAAATATATTTTTTCCACTCCTCCAGAAAATGTAAATGCCAGCTACAAAATGGAAAGAAAGAAAAAGGACAATGAAATCAAGACTAGAACAGCAAAAAAAAAAAAAAAAAAAAAAGTCAGAAAAAAACAATTCCTGGACAATTGACGATTCCCCTACCTTATTGTCCCTTCCTGCTTGCCCACCCCCACCTCCTCCCATTTCCCTACTGGCCCAAAGGAATTGTATACAGGAACATCACAGAGGAGAGGAAGTTCAGGGAAAAACAACTTCTGAAGAAAACAAAATTCACTGGCACCATCTGGAATCAGAAAGGCATCGTTCTCTATGGAAACAAATACCCCTCTCTACAATGGGGAAGGGCCCACTATGGCTGTCTTTCCTGCACTGCATCCTATTTCAATAACTCTTACATTAACCCTGGGCTAATTACTATGACTGATGAGAAAATAACAAAGGAGAAAGAGCAAAAAGGGAAAACAAAGTAACACTGAGTGATTGCTTGTGTCCTATTAATATAAATGAATACAAAATACTTTTAAAAAACGCATTAGGCAGATATTGGCTTATGATGGGGTCAATATCACGATTTATTTAACTCTGGAGACAATAAATCTTGATATTGACTAAAAACATAAGTCAATATGTGTACTGTTGTGTGCATTCTATTACAAAAATGAGGTTTTTAACTTTAATGGCCACTTTCACAAAGAAGAAAAATAAAAGAACTCTCTCAAAGGCCTTCAAACCACAGCCACACTAACACCTGCGGGAATGAACTCACTCTCTGGCCCAGCTTCTCAGAATCATCTCAGTCAACTAGTCAGTTGGTCAGTTAATGTGATGGATTGAAGTATCGGTCCTAATTCTTTACCCCTCCCATATCCACAACCTCTGCTGTGCCTCCTACACAAGGCAGAGGCCATCCCTAGACTTCAGACTTGACTTTTGATACTTTAGCCATCAGAATGTGGACAAAAATGTCTACAGTTCCCAGTTCCCAGCCTAATCTTATAGAGGCATCTTATGCTCTGTTTGTTCTCTTTTAATTCTGTTATCACAATTTTAAAAGCTTCCACTCAAGCAGATGCTGCCCCTTCAGAGTGAACCCCAAAATAAATACACATGGAGCAGACCAGAGCCCCTGCTACAATGCTCAGCCCAAATGAACCTACAACTGGAAGCAGAGTTACCCATACAAGCTCAGCCTAGATTATTGCCTTTCAAGACAATCTGCAGATGTGTAAGAAATGAATGCATACTGCGAATGCCCCTGAGATTTGGTGGTTGTTTGTTATGCAGCAGTAGCTGACTCATACAGTTAGTATCACTAAGTATTCATTATTTCCAGAACACTGTATGTTACTCCCTTTGGTGGGAGGGGCTTCAAAAAAAGTTGAAGAGGCATGCTCTGACTCTAGAAATTCACAGTATAATAGGGAAAGCAGGACACCTACCTGATGAGCTATCTCCCTTTAGAATATGTTCCCTGTAATCCAGACTACTGCCAGATGTCTCCCCATCCCCTTATCCAGGAGTACTAACTGTCTCAGCTCCACACATATCCAGATGCAGGACTCAGTTCCCTTACCAGTTTCCAAGAAAAATGCAATAACTGTAATTGGGAGATTTTTGTAGGTTTTATTTTTTCTGAAGGTCAGGAAGACTTCACTGGGAGTACTACAGAGGTTTGCACATGGCATTCTATTAAACTCTACATTAGGCCATTTATTCTCCTCAAATCCCTCCTTAGTTACATCCTAAGAGGGCTTCTCTCTTTCTCCTCGTCTCTGACTCAGTAGCCAGCACCCCATTAGTCCCTTTTCCTTTCAGATTACTTTCAAGAGTTTCAAGTTCCTCCCCTTCTTGCTATTCAGAAAAAGCCACCTATGACCACCTCATAACCTCGAACTTGCATTACTCACCCTATTGGCAAATACTGAACCCTTCAGCAAATAGAATTGCTTCTTTAGAAGGCAGCTCAACTATTTGAGAAGGTTCTTCAGTGTCTCAAGTCCATCCCAGTGACTGATAAATGTCTTTTTAAAAAATCTTTGGGGTGGCCGGGCGCGGTGGCTCACGCCTGTAATCCCAGCACTTTGGGAGGCCGAGGCGGGCGGATCACGAGGTCAGAAGATCGAGACCATCCCGGCTAAAACGGTGAAACCCCGTCTCTACTAAAAATACAAAAAATTAGCCAGGCGTGGTGGCAGGCGCCTGTAGTCCCAGCTACTTGGGAGGCTGAGGCAGGAGAATGGCGTGAACCCGGGAGGCGGAGCTTGCAGTGAGCCGAGATCGCGCCACTGCACTCCAGCCTGGGCGACAGAGCGAGACTCCGTCTCAAAAAAAAAAAAAAAAAAAAAAAAAAAAATCTTTGGGGTGTGTGTGTGGGTGTGTGTGGGTGTGTGTGTGTGGACATTTCATATAAATCACTTTGTTTGATTTATAAGCATTCGTTCACTTTTTTTTCAGTAAGTATGCGTTGAGCCAGTCACTGTTCTAAAGGCTAGGGTCCAGCAGTGAATAAAAGAGAAACTCTTTGACCTCATGGAGTGTAGTCTCTAGGGAGGGAGACAGACATTGACAATAAACCCGTAGATGAGGTCACACTGAGCAGTGGGAAGTACTATGAAGAAGAAGCAGAGAGTAGAGGGGCGGTCACCAGGAGGTTGGGGGTGGGGTGGGATGGAGACGTTGGTCAAAGAATACAACGTTTCAATTAAATAGAAGAAATATGTTCAAGAGATCTATTGTATGATGTGGTGACTATAGTTAATAACTATGTATTTTATTCCTGAAAATTGCTAAGAGAAAAGATTTTCAGTGTTCTTACCACAAAAAATAAGTATATAGGGTAATCCATATGTTAAATAGCTCAATGTAGCCATTCCACAATGTATACATATTTCAAAACAACATATTGTAAATGATAAATATATACAATTTTTATTCAATTTTTAAAAAGAAAGTACTATGAAGAAAATTAATGTAGGTTGAGGGGATCCACATACTATTCTAGCTAGGGTGGGCAGGGGAGGCCTCCCTGAGGAGGTGATGTTTGAGTAGCAACCTGAATTGAGCCTAAATCTCTGCCTGTTTACTTCATTCCTCCATCCAAAAAAGTATTTATTATGTGCCTGTCGTACTGAAGAGATGGTGTTTGGTTGCTGAGGGGCACACAGAAGAAGCATAAGTGGATATTCTCCTCAAGGAGATGTAATCAAATAGAAGAAATAAGATATACATTTCAAGAAAACTACACTATACCTTAAAATAAAAAATCACTTGTGCTGCATAGGTAAAATACAAGGGAAACCAGGAAGTATAAGAAATCACAATATGAGAAACTCATAGGTCCTTTTAAAATTGTAAATTTTATTTTATTTATTTTGAGACAGAGTCTAGCTCTGTCACCCAGGCTGGAGTGCAATGAAACGATGGCTCACTGCAACCTCTGCCTCTAGATTTCAAGCAATTCTCCTGCCTCAGCCTCTGGAGTAGCTAGGATTACAGGTGGCGCCTGCCACCATGCCAGGCTAATTTTTGTACTTTTAGTAGAGACGGGGTTTCACCATGTTGGCCAGCTGGTCTCGAACTCCTGATATCAAGTGATCCACCCGCCTTGGCCTCCCAAAGTGCTAGGATTACAGGCGTGAGCCACTGCGCCTGGCCTAAAATTGTAAATTTTAAATACACAAGAGTTTTCTAAAGAATCTAAGACAGTTTTATTAAAAATGGATAAAATCCATTTTGAGTGAAGATTTTTCCACTCAAACTTCCAGATATTTTTAAAGGCTTTACATCTCAGCATATGCCTTGTACAACAATTTTATGTATAATCCAATGTTCTATATGTTATGTTCCAATTCTTATGATATACAAAAGAGAGTAAACGATTTCCATGTTCTCGTTCTCTCTTCTTGTTTCTGGAGTATGATGGGAGTGGCAAATAGCCTTGTAAAAAAGGATTGTCTTACCTTTGTTTTCACAATTATTTTTACAGTGTAAATCTTTTTATGCTTAGAAGCACAGACTAAACCTTAGAATAGGGATTCGAGCACAGGTGCGGTGATAGCTTTTCTGAGAAGTCCTAGAGAATGTTCACATATCAGCTAGTGAGAGCCCTGGCTGCTCACCCCAGTCTGTGGCTGGTAGATTGACACACAAATAATTTTTCACAAGCACATTTCAAATTATTTCTTGGGATTTCTATAGCTTTCTACTGACTGGCCAGATCTATAGCTCATTTCTCCTGCACCCTTCTAAGAAAGGGTTCACATTTTCCTGCTGAGTGGATTTGGGGTGTGTAGGGTGAGGAAAAGGCATGAGTTTGAGGAATGTGGCAGACACTGCTAATTATCCATCAACATCCATCTCCGGGTTTTTATTGAATAATAAAACTGAAGTTTTTGCTGGGTCCATGGCTCTCCAGCTAAACTTGCATTCAGCTGGACATTCTTGCAACTGAGTGTGGCCATGTGACTATGTTCTCCTAATGAAAGTTGAGTGGAAATGATACATCTTATTCCAGGGTAGATCATGGGCATGCACTCTTCTGGCCCTTCCTGCTCCACTCTCCCCACCTCTCACGGACTGGACATGGCATGAGCTAGAACATGCACTTTGAATCCAGACATGGAAGATACATGTTGAGGGTGGCAGTGGCACCCTACCAAGTCCTGGGCCTCTAATTGTTGTGTTACAGAGAAATAAACTTCTATCATGGTTAATCCGTTGGAGTCTGTTTGATACAGCAGCTTAGTCTGCACCCTAAGCAATACAGGAGGGATAATAATACTGTCGCCTTTAAAACCAGCAAAATTAACTGGCCTAAATGAGCATGCTCTTGGCCAGGTTTGTGGAAGTAGTGCTATCAGTGGAAGAAAGATTTGCCCAAGTCTGGACTTTGAGTTAACAACCTACCTATATTCTCCCTTGGCCACTGCCACATATTCACAGTTTCCACATGACTTGACGTTGCTCATGCTACATGGCCACTAACAACAGACCCTTCTGACCAGAGGAACCAAGCCAGTTAGTGGCACTGAATGAGAGGAGCTGACATTCCAGGAGCCAGAACATGAGGCCTTAGAGACCCTAATAAGTGGAAACCTGTCTGTCTATTGCTTTTCAACTCTAAAATTTAATGCTTCTTGAGTTTCTTAGCTGATACTCTGCTCACATCTTGTTTCCTACTACAGAAGAAAAGTTCTTTTCTAGGCTGTAGCTTCACAAAAACTATTTCTCCTTAGACAAAGAGGAAAGTAGAAGAGAGCAACTCAGGAGAACACAGATTTCTTTCACTTGAACACAGCATCTCTATGGGGGAACCCCCTTACAAAGCAGGATTTTCAGATTAGGTTTTTGAGATGGCCCAGAAGTTTTCTTTATAAATGGAAATACAATTTTATGGCAAGAAACATTTAAATTAACTCAACTAAAGTTGTAGGCTTTGGTGGCTAGGGAGCAGATATTTGAAAATGAGATCTCCTGAAATCTGAGGGCAGAACATGGAGTAGCTGTGGGTGGTACACCCAGTAGGAACTGGGCTCAGTGAGTGCTTCTAGATTCAGGGTGGTTCTGGGGCCCTCATTAGCAGATACACCTGGACCTTCATTCTACTGTTCACTATTTACCTAACTAGGTGACTCCTACAGGAATGCCATTGGGTTTTGTCCATCTGTCAATGAACTTGGCCTCTCAATACCCCAATTCTCAGTTCCTTTTAACAAAAATTAGGAGCACAAGCAGTTCCCTGGGAAAGCAGGCTAAGGGTGAACCAGGAATCCCAAAACAAGCACACTGTCCCAGTGTTTGGAGGACAATACAGATGCCTGAAATTTTCAGGACAAGTTAGAGGCAAAGGGCTGGATTCTTGAGCTCTTTTCTCGTTCTATAATAAATACCTTTGACCAAGGTCATCTAAGCTAAGACATCTTAATTCATCTATTTATTTATTCATTCAAACATTCATTTAATAAACATTTATGAGCACTTACTCTGGGCTATGGACTAGGAAAACAGAGTTGAATTAATAAAAGGATCTTTTTCCTTCAGATGCTCACAGGCAAACTCATAAACAGTTACTTCCCAGAGACCTTCAATATTTAAGAAAATCAGGGGAGGAAGGTCACATCAAGCTCAAAATGTGAATTTAAAAATAACTAGTTGAAATATAGTTTAAAATGGTTTTAATGTAAACTGATGTTTAAACTAAATGTGAACTCATTTACATAAGCAAACTTATTTGCAGAAAAACCCTTGCACATCTCTTAAGGAGGTTAGCCAACAGTCGATCCGAATGTGCCAGTGTGATCTTGCTTTTTAGCTAGCCCCTCCTCATGGCAGAAGGTATCTCCCATACCACCCACTATGTCACCATTGCTAAGGGTCTCAAATGCCAGTTTCTGAATCCCCTGCCCCGTTTGATATTGTTTAATCTCCAAAATATGAATCAAAGATACCATCTGTTCCAACAGTGCCAAAGAAATATTTTCCTTGTCCACCACAGATCAATCCAGACACGGTTTTGTTTGCCCATTGCCAATGGCACTAAACTAGCACTGCCTTATCAAGGTTGTTATAAGAGGATCTATTTACTGGTTTTGCCTTTTTTTATCAGTCAGCTTCACCAATTCACTGAGAATGCAAAATAAATTAATTCATCTCTTTGTTTTTACCTTAAACCACTTACATTTGTATATGTATAATTTAATTTGTTTGGTTTTGGTTTTATATTCTACCCTTTTACACATTTTTCAAAGTTTTTGTAGTGTGTAAAGTATTGTGTAGGGTTTTTTTTTCCATTTCTATGTCTTAGTTATTGGGTAACCTCATTGTATTTAAACATATAACTATTCACTAACACCGCACTATTAAATTTTATACAAATGACTGCCAATGATGTACTTGCACTTTTAATTGGAAAGATTTGGGGTGGGGGCTATGGCTATGTTACAGTGAATACCTTACTACCTTATAGTTCTAAACAAGAGAAGTCTACACAGTCTTGGTAACTATAACATTTTTATAAGTATATTAAAAAACACAATCCACAAACTGGTCAATGCAAACCTAGATAACCAAAAACAGACTACATGTGTATGATAAAACATGTACTAAGTATATTTCCAGAACGAAGGAGGGAATGACCAGTGTCACAGGAAGGTAGAATTAGGTAGGATACTGTAGGGAAAGGTGGGTGTTGAGGGAAAACTTCACAGAAGTAACTGTCATGATATGACTATTAATGGAAATGAAACAGAAACTATACTTTCTTAAAGCTGAGGTAGGGAGGGTATAAGATTGCCTAATTGCCCCTTAAAATTGCAGACCTCTTGCAAAGCAGAGATGTTTTCCACATAATCAATGTAAGCTCAGGCTATCTCCACACCCATCATCTGATAGGCAGTGGAATGTGTCCTGCTGTTAAGGAGTATACAAGACAAGATAATTCTATAAACTCTTCCTCCAGCCTGTTACCTCTCAAAAATACCTAAAGGCATTATAATAACTGGTGGAACTTCAACAAAACAAATCCAAAGGTTCATTTAGCCAATTCACTTTTATCATCTTCCAATATAACTGACTAATGTGTTACCCATAAAAGCAGCATCTTTAAGCCTCCAATTTAACTAAGCCACACATTGGTTTCTTTTTTAAAGCTACAAGTCAAAATACTGTTGGTTTCTTTTAATTAAAAAATAATACAGAAAATAGCCCAGTTAAGATATGCTTTCCAAATAACTGAGGAGAAAAATGACAAAGCAAAAAGAAAACAACCATCCTTTGCAATACTTTTTCTCATTTAGGCCACCATCTCTGATTTTAAGTCATCTCTAACTTAAAATACCTTGCTTTTAAAATAAACACTTTCCAAGCACAGCATTTTACGTCTTCGTGCACCTGTGAACAGTTGCAATGCAAAGAGAAACACAACAACGTAACAGCTATTTATCCCCCTTCTTCTTTCCCAAGACACTGTAATGACCTGGATGTAAGAGGCAATGAAGAAAAGCCCCCTTTCTCTAAATATCTCTCTCTCTCTCTCTCTCTCTCTCTCTCTCTCTCTCCCTTTCTCTCTCTCTCTCTTCCTTTCTCTCTCCCTCCCTCCCTCTCTCCCTCTTCCTCCCTGGTATCTTTAAAGACTTCCCTTAGAACTAATATGGGACTCATCATTTGATGATGAATTTGCATGTCGATCGGCAGCCAGTGTAGCAGCCCTCAGATTAGGGACATTCCGCTGCACACTAAAAGGCACAAAGAACAAGAAGTGCATTTCCATCTGCCCTTCCTTTCCAGTCAGTGCATTCCCAGCCGTGTCTATAGATGAGTACTTGGAACAATACCAAAATGCAGTGTAAGATCAATCCTGCTGTTTACTTCGCTGAGCTAAAGGAACAAAGAACAGAAGAAAGGCCTTAAACCCAGCTATCGTCAAGGAGTGGGGTGAAGGATGAAAATGGGTCTGATGGGCAGTTGAACAGAGTAAATGTATTTGGAGAAGCAGCAGCTCCAGCTGAGATAAAACCAATGATGATTTGTATTTTATACTGTATCTTCAGGGGATAAAAGCACTTCTATCAGACAGCCTTGTAGGCAAACTTGAAACACTGCAGTAAAGGGCTATGTTCTTTGCCAGGGAGAGAATAAAAACTCCCATAATTGCTGAGGAGTGTTAAATATCTGATTGTACATGCCTCTCTCCTCCCATGGTGAGGCAACTCAACCAGGCCCTCCTTTTAACTTCCTCAGCCCCCGCTAACCCAACAGTTGGCTGGGCCCTGCTGTCAACAAAGCAACAGGATACTGGGTTTTACTTGGATAAATACCAGTAATTGTAATTTGTGGGATTATTCCTCTTTAAAGTTATTTCAAATGGGAAGCGCAGCAACTTCACTGCTGCCAAAATAAGAGTTGAGGTTGAGTGGAGGTGGGACGGGGTGAGATGAGAGGCAGAGTTCGTGTTCAAATACAAATATTTTGAGAAAGAGAAGGCAGAGCAACAAGGCCATGGCAGCAAAGTAGGAATTTCCTCTTTGTGAATAAAGAGCAGATGCAGCCCATTGCTCCGTCATTGGGTGAAACCTCGTGGCACGGGCCAAGCGCAACAAAGGCATACCCCTGTAAAGGACATAAGGAAGGAAAAGGCCAGAAATGCACAATGGGGGTGCCCCCACAATTCTGCTCCCAGAGCTAGGCACAACTCATCCTTTAGCCTCACAACTCAAATGTGGTCCGAGGAACAGCAGCAGCAGCATCACCCGAAAGCTTGTTAGAAACGCAGAATCCCAGCCCCTGCCCCAGACCCGCTGATTGCTGATCTCGGGAGGCAGGGCTCAGGTAACCTGATGCTCAGTAAGGTTCAGAACCACAGCCTTAGATTAGCCCCCAGAAACCTTCCCTGACTCCTCCCCCACTCAGCAAACCCTCCCTTGCCGGAAGCCTATACCCCTTATTGCTGTGCCAGGAACAAGACATTAATATATGCCTTCACATATAGTGGGGATTCAACAAATATGTTGACTTGCTTTGCCTTGCCTTGTTACTGTTTTCATGTGCATTTATGTGCTCTGACTCACCCGTCAGATGTCAAGTTTTTTGAGGACAGGGACCCTCTTGGTTTTCTTTGAAACCTTCCCAATGCCTGGCATACACTGGTGCTCATTAATTGTTCAGGGGTTGACCTGTGCATTGGGACTTCCCATTCTCCTGGAGGATATTAAAGTAAAGTAGATGGTGTTGAGTGGGTTCTTCACTGTGGAGGAGAGGTCAGTATTTTCATACTTGAGTTACTCTGACAAAAGAACATGACAGCCTAAACTGAGAGCAATTGGGCTCTATCTTCAAGTAACTCCATTTCTCCATTTGCAAAGTAGGCATGGAAAATTATAAACATGTGAGTAATATTTTGCAGAGATATTAATTCATTGCAAAACAGGTATCCTTTGGGTGGGGGAGAAGTACTGAGTAGATGCAGTCTTGCATATCTATGAATTTTTAAAAAGTCAAATGTGTCCTTTTGACCTAGCTTTTTATGAGAAAGCCTATCACTGAGTTCCACACATTATATAGAGGTGATCAAATTTTATCCTCAAACAACTAAGCTAGCTCGATATAATTTACCCTAAAGCGACTTACAGAAACTAAGGCTTAAATAGATAAATAATTTGCCCAAGGCCACCAAGTTGAGAAAGCACAGATTCTAGTACAGGTAGATTCCAGAGCCCATTCCTGCTCTCTCACTCCACACTGGAGGAAGGAATAAAGGGGAGTTAAATGATACATTGAAATGCAACATGCAGGTTCTTCTGTGCACCCACAGGGAATGGAATTGCAAGCAACTGACAGTAGGGACCTGAGTTTTATCTACCAGAAGACAGATACACTCAATGTATACTACTTTGTAATTATATAGGTAGGTGAAAGAAATATCAGAGCACAAGACTATGTCTACATAATGTCAAATAACTGGATTTTTAAAATAAGAAGATTCCTCCATCTATTTATAAATTATATTCGAATATTTATAAATACTAGGTCTGGGAATTTTCCACTTTTTTCCCATATGTTTGAGAGACATACAGACACAATCTAAAAATCCCAAACTTCTGAAGGAGGTTCTCCTCCAAAGAATTTGACATTAACAAAAAAGCACATCAAGAACCTAAAATGTTTCTTATTGTTCATATTATCTGAGCATAGAAAACACAGTAGACACCATACAGAACATTAAGAGAGACTCAATTTCAGTCGAGAGGGCTCACAATATAAATTAGAAAGACACAAGCTAAATTAAATAGACACAGTCTAAATTAGATAAACAATATCAACAGAGTTCTGATTCCTTCTCAGCAGGGATTGTGGAAGAGGAAGCTTTTCAAGAGATTCTAATACATGGAAAGGTCCTCATTTCCCAGGTCAATAGGTCATTTTGTTACATTTTACTGGGCACCAACTATGTCCAGGTACTGACCTGGGTTTTATCCTGAATGAGTCTCCAGTAGTTACAAATAACATTGACTTCATAAGGGGAGCAAAGGTGTTAAGGATGAGACTTTTACAGTTTATCAATCTGTTTCATAAAAGTTGGGGTTTTGTAGGGAATTTCCACATGATTGGAAAGTCTCAGTTATCATTCAGTCAGCTCCAAAAGGTAGAGATTCCTGCCTTGGGTTCTTCCCTCAAAGAGTCTGCCTGGTGCAGATGGAACAAGGCCTCCATACATTCTTCCCAGAATCAGGAAAGTTTGGCTGCCTGCACCACAGACATTTTCCGAAGTGGCTTTAATAATGGAAATAAGACAATAGCATCTTGTAACTGTAGTGTAGTTTAACGCTATTGTTTCTTTCTTAAGTATCAAAGCCTCTGAATAGACTTTTCCAGAAAGACCTAAGGTGCAGAATGTTTGGGTGGCTTATTCAAGATCACATATCGAATTCTTGTAGAAGCAGGACTGAGACTAGCTCTGGACACTTGGCCCACAGCTCTTTCCTCTATTTTGCCCTGAGAGTGTGTCCCATTCTAGGGCTGGCAGAGAGAAATATAAGGTCAGCACAAATGTGAGCCACATATGTCACTTTAAATTTTCTAGTGGCCACATTTTAAAAAGCAAGAAGAAAAAAATAAACCTGGTTTTAATCATAGATATTATTTAACCTAATATATCCAAAATATCATCATTTCAACATGTAATCGATATTAAGAATTATTAATGAAATATTTTACATTTTTTTCCTACATAGTCTTCAAAATCCCTTGTGTATTTCACGCTTTCAGCCCATCTCAGTTTGGACTATCCCATTTCAAGGGCTCCACAGCCACATGTGGCTACTTATTGACAGCACAGCCTTACAGTGTCTGCCTGAAATATTTCAACAGGAAAGCCCTGCCAAGTCCAACCTTGGGGCAGACAGCTCCTTTGCAGTCAGGACTGTTGCAGTGAGATCCACACCACAGCTATTGGAAGTGAGAGAAAGGTTTCCAGGCAGCCTCCAGCCCTGCAGAGACTCCCATTCCTGATATAAAGCCCCAGAAGCCTATTAACCCCTCCACTCCCTACAATGCCAAGAAGACAGCACTTTCATACAATCTCCTGCAAGCCTCTGTGGGGTGGGGAGGGGGGATCATAGAGGAGAGCTGCATTATGCATTCTTGCAGATTATTATTTTATTAAGAAAAATAAAGCAAATTTGGTGTTTTAGCAAATATCTATTGAGTGACGACTACACATCAAGCATTGAGCTATGTTGTGGAAAGAAATCAATAAGCTCCTCATGGAGCTAACTTGCTAGTGGAGATGACCTGAAAAATAAATAAACACACATACACAAATAAATATAGTCTGTGATAACGCCTACAAAGGAAATAAACAGGATAAAGAGAGAGTAGCATTTCGTGAATGTCCACAACACACTGCACTAGTCTCTTTTTCCTGTGGTAGTGCTAATAATGGCCACCATTTATTTGTGCTTAAAGCGTATCAGGAAATAGGCGAGGTTATTTATATCATCTCTTACTCTTACGATGACCGTGCGAGGCAAATCTTACACAATTATATCTTTGAGCATTGGGATAAATGCCCAATGCTCAAAGAGATAATTGCCTAACATCACACCACTAGTAGGTGGAACAACCAGGATCCAAGCTCAGATAAGACAACACAATTCTCTCTTCTCTACCATGTGATGTTCATGTTTATATCACATGGATTTGTTGAATAGCAATAAGGAATAAAAACTACACCAACCCTGTGTGGACCAGTAAGGGTCTTTACTTTAAGGACTGAACTTCAAGCCATTGAAAATAGGATTTCTAAGAAGCCCTGAGATGAGGACATCAATTCAAACATCAGGGCGTGGTGCATTATGGATAACCAATGGGCTGCATCTCCCAGCTCAACTCTTGAGGCTGCCTGGGAATGGTGAAGCTGCATCTAGACTCAAGGCTAACTAGGCCTTAATCAATTAGATCTGTCTGCCATGGCTGGGGACAAGGAGAAGGGACACTCTTACTATTAATCTATCACCCCTAGGTCTGACTCAAGACCATCATGGACTTAGGAGCAAATCCCTGGATCCTGTACTGCCTAAGAAATGGATCCATCCCAAAATCACACTTGGTTCAGTGTGAGTCAAAGTCAATGAGATCTGTCTGCCCTGGCATACAGGAGGGTGTACAAAGACCCAAGACCCTCAGAGGACCCAAGGTAAACCCACAGGCCCTGGACTGCCTACAGGTTGGATCCAGCCCCAAATCACTCTTGGCTAACACTTTATCAAAACCCCAGTGAGGCGAGTTTAGTAGTTGACAACAAAACTACACTGTGGTAATAACATATTTGTAATTTACCAATGATTTATTTACTATTAAATTACTTACATGTAAACCGTTTTTAATCTGCATCAAAGTGTATATTTAGTCATTTTCCACCAATCATTTCATTGTATTTTTAAAAGCCTCAAGTTAAAAGAACTTCTTTCAGGTTATATAAATACCTAATGAAGCAGAACCAATAGGTGTTTTCTACCCTAACTCTGATGTCCCTAACGGATAGGCCTGAAAAACATCACTTTATCAGCTGAATGTCAAAACTGGACACCGATTTGGAACGAACTATGGTACTAGTACCATTTTTCTCCCCCAGGGACTGGCTTTCACAGAACACATGTCCAAAACAGACAGAGAAGGATTTCCAAACACGAGAATGATGGCACCTAACACAGCAGCATCCCCTAGGCAGCGTGTCTTCCTCCCCCTATCTTCACTAATCCCGGAAAATGGTTATACTACCTTTCAATGGCAAAGAGACCCCCTCAAAATCTTCTGAAACTCCCACCTCCCCACCTTAAACCCTGATATTACTGTGTTTTCCACAACAGTCAGTCACAGGGGACGTGAAAATCTCTCTCTCTTCCGATCATGGCACAGTCACAGGGGGACATAATCTTTGGATGAGAAAACTTCCTCTTCAAACAAAGGAATATTTCTCCCTGTGCGGTGGGAGACATTTAGCCCTTCTAATATCCCCTGTTGTGGAAGGTGAGCCTTCCAGACTTTAGTGATGAGGATAATTACAAGGGGATTTGCAGTCAGGGACTGCAGGTAGGAAGGAGGGAGGGAGGAAAAGAAGCAAGAATTTCAACTGCTTTTTCATGTACATGAGGCATCTTCATGCTCAAAATGAGCATTGCTTCCTTATCCCTGACTTCTCTCTGAAATAACGTCTTCTCCGTTGTAAAAAGATTCTTGTAAAAATGGTTCCCACAGTCAGAAATGTTGAAATTTCTGAAAGCTTTTAGCACTTCTTGGCCTGACACACAAAAGTACAATTGCCAGGCAGGTATTCTCACAGCCTCTGCCATCTTTATTGCACATTGTGGTGTAAACAGTAAGGTTACAAGTTGACAGTCATTTTACAGCTAAAGCTGGTTATTTAAAAAAATTGTTTTAAAGCAGAAGGCCTACTGTTTGGAGAGTCCAGGCAATGACCAGACCATCTGCTTCAACAACCAGGCCACTCAGAAGCTTCATTCAAGGGCAAAACATCAGAAAAGGGGAGAGATGTAAAAGGCAAAAAAGACAGATGACTACTGTCCAAGGTGAGTGTCTCTATGGACACGCATGTTTCCAGTTCAATGATCTGAGCTGAAACCAGGACATGGGCTATCCTAAAGAGCTTGTACAAAGCCATCTGCTCCAGTAAGCAAAGGGACACCTTGCCCTTGTCTAAGTGCATGGGGAAATCTTGTCAACTTCTCCACCACCTGGAACTTCTGTAGTGCCTGGGTTGATCATATGCCTATGTCCCAGCCATGAAAGGAGTGAAAATGTAACAACTGGAACCCTTCACAATTGACCTAACACTAGATATACTTCAAAGTGCATTTGAAATCTCCATATTCCTTTATTTTGGTTGATGTTTGGTTGGTTGGTCAATTGGTCAATTAAACTCACCTTCTTTTCCATCCTTGTAACCAGATGTCAAGGCCTTCCATGGGAAAAAGCCACAAGAATAGATGATTCCTCAAAGAATGGTATATCAGGATTTATTATTTCAGACGTAAAGCAATGTTGAGTCGTAAGATGTAATGTTTTGTTTGTTACTCAGAATAACTGCAATTGGCATCTTTTCTTGGGAAAAATAAAATCCTCCTTGAGCCCTGCATGATGCAAGGGGGTTAGACCTCTTTTCCTGCATGCCCAGAACACCGCACTTCCAAGACATTAGTTGAATAATCCTCACAAAGTGACCAGGAAAGAAGAAAAACTGTCATGGGACATTTGCTATTGTATTGCACATTTTAAGATACATTTCACTTCTTGTAGCTCCATTTTTCAAATATTATTCACACACACACATACATTATTTAACAACATAAATAATGTGTACCTTCAGTTACCTCTGACTGGTGTGCACATTGTGAAGAACAAAGTCTCTGATGTACAAGCAATTCATTTCTACCATGCAGATGGAGAATCTCAGAACGAGGGGCATTAAAAGACTTGCCCAAAGATGAACAGGTAGTTCCAACACTCAGGCTAAACTTCACCAAAATGTTTGAACTTGCAAGTAAAGGAAGGAAGAAAAGATACAAAAAGAGAAAGAAAGATAAAGGAGAGGAGAAGATAAAGGGAGAAGAATGCTTCTCAGTGCCTTACAGACTTTTCCCGTTCCTGTCCCCCTTTTTTTCTGCATAAGCCACTGAGAACATAGGCAGGGACAGGGCCTGGGGGAGACCATGGGCAGAAGAGTTGATAGCTACCCTCCTTTCACCACACGACCTTCCCTTCTACCAACCAGTGTTCCCCCTACCAAACCTTTCTTTCTCGCACGCTCTCTCTCTCTCACTCTCTCAAATATTTCTTCTTGTGTCTACTACCCTCTTTCCTCTCCCCACATTTACTTCCCTTCATACCCAATTTCCAAAATTAGTTGCTTTTTCTAAACCAAGCACTGAACCTGGACCTAGAGTAATCTTAAGAATTGCGAATTCCTCTGTAGACTTTCTCCTTCTTCACACCCCAAGTTTCCCTACCTCATCTCCCACCCCACCCCCATGATAAGGTATCCTAAGTCTCTGTGGACTGAAAGTCACCTACTTCCCTCCCAAGATCCTACATGTGCTCAAGCCAGGCCCCACCATCACTCAGCACAGATGTCTCCCAGACAAGTATGGTAAACACACACTGGGATCAAAGATGCTATTAACAATAATACCATTAAACAGGCCCTGGCAGGCTGGGGTTAATCTGGAAACACGCATGTTTATCACACATGAAGCCCATAATACACGGATGACGGAGAGTTTTAATTCTCCAACTCGCTAGCACTCATTTATATTCCAAAGTCTCTACCTCTCTCCCGACAGAATCATTCAACACAATAGGATTTTCTCTGCTCAAACCCACCTTCACTTTAAAAGAACCAAAAAGGATGGGCTTAGCTCCTGTCGCTGGCATAAAGGCTTTTTCCCTTTGACAACTGGCCCAGGGATCTGCAGCTTCATCTCTCTTCATCTTTTTTTTTTTCTGTATGCACTTTCAAAAAAGCCAGAGTCTTTATTGTAAGTGATATGAAATTCTATTGAATTCACATTGACCTAGTGTTGAATGGCTTTGCAAGCTGAAATGATGGGATATTAATTTTTGACCAGTCTGGGTTAAAATGAGCTGGCAACCCTGGAGAAGTAATACAGAGGGCTGATCTGTGTTACCTTGGGCTTAACTTCAGTAGAAGCTGCTTCTACATGGCAATAAGGGCTGTGACAGGAGCTTGGCTCAACAGTGGTCACACCTGGAAGCAGCTGCCCTTAGCTCTCCTGCCAGCCAGGAGCAACAGGGAAGATATGTGTGTGTGACGTCAGCAGGAGGCAAAAAGTGATGGCAGCCAGTCAAGCAACCTAGAGCTGAACACATTGAGATGGCTCCATGCCCTCTGCTACTAAATCCTACCCTGGAACCTCCCTGAACTCAGGCAGGAACAGCAACCTCAAAGGGCCCATCTGTTTCTTTGTAAAAGTCATCACTTGCAAAAAAAAAAAAAAAAAAAAGCCTATGTGGGATGTCCCCACACCAACCCCAGGTTACCCAGAAACATTCCCTGCCTTACTCTGCTGTTTCCCAATCTCGAATTTGCAAAGCTGCAAGGTGGCTTCCCTTATCTGAAGTATATTGAAAGTTTTTAGATAAAATTCTCAAGACAAAACTCATTCCATTTCTCATCATTTTTGAAAGTTTTCTGCACCAAATTTAGGAGAAAATGGAGAGTAAATTATGCTAAGATTAAACAAAGGATTACTAATAGTGTGTCCTTCAAAATAGTAAGTGATACTATTAATATATTGGATATAGGACAAAAATATTGAGGCCACCTGATTTACTAAGGACCTGCTTAGCTTTAAAGAAGTAGTAGACCCAGGGGTTTTAAAGTGATGATTCTGCTTTGTATGTAGAAAAAAATTTTGCTGCATCCAACCACATTTTCTCACCCAGCCCAGTCCAGCCATTCTTTTCCAGATGTGACCTCAGACCTTCAAGGACTTACACCATTGCCTTCTGTATTCCTTCTCCAAACATGCCTTACATGAATGCAATCTAGAAACAGATTCACTCCCCAGGGGTGACCACTGCCTGTGTGAAACAGTGGCCAATTCTGGAGATGAAATATAATTTCAGCTGCTATGTTCCTAGGTATGCCAATTGTTTCATTCATTCATGCATTTATTCAACGAATAGGTATGGACCCTCTATTCTCTACCAGGTCTCTACCAGGTCCTACACAAGGGAGGTATAGGGAAAAGCAGGTAGGTGACTGGGATACAGAGGTAAACAAGAGCAACCTGTCTCTCCTCCTGTGAAGCTGATATTCATACAAAAGTGAATAAAAATAATTGCAGATTAGGAAAAGTGACATGAAAAGACAAAGAAGGTCAAAAATAGCTTCTACCAGGTAGGAATGACTCGGAACCCAGTGAAGGCCTCTCCAAGGAGATAACATTTAAGCTGAGACCAAAAGGATGAGAAAAGACTCACAGTGCTAAAATTGGGGGCATTAACTTCCACTTACATTCAAGGAGAGGAAAGAGCAAGTGCAAAAGCCCTGAGGTTGGGAAGAATTTGGTGGGGTCAGATATCAAAAGACACTTGACTTGTTGCCTAGTACATAGTCATCGAGAGAGAGTGGTATAGGGTGAGACTGTGTCCATTAACCTATTATGAGTGTACCCAATTCCCTGCCTGCTCCCCCTTTAGAAGGAAATATGTCAGAATTCAAGTAAGTAAGAGGAATAAGTAAGAAAGGAATGCACAGAGATAGCCTTGAATTTGCTCTAATTTATAAGTAAAAGCAATCACAAACTTTGATCCTTTAACTAATATGAGTAATAAAGTGTTAGTGGCATCCCTCAGTCCTGAACATACCACGCCATCATCTAGGGACCATGTTTGAAAAAGCTGAGGCTCAGAGCACAAATCTGAAGTCCTACAAGTCCATCTTCTAATCCTGCTCCACGGCACTTAACCTCTCTGAGATTTGGTCTCTCACTCACACATGGTGAGATCTACTAATGGAACTGATCTAAGAAGGCATGTCTTCACCAAATGGTACGTAGTAGTAATCCTCTGGATATTTACATAAAAGTCACTAACTAATTGATACTTCATCAAATAAATAACTTCTTAATCCATCCAACCCACTTGGCCAGCAAACACAAAAACGAGTGCTCTATGGCAATGCTCTCCAATAGAAAACAATGCAAACCACAAATGTGAGCCACCTGTGTAATTGTACATTTTCCAGTAGCCAAATTGGAAAAAAAAGTAATAGAGAAACTAGTTTTAATAAGATGTTTAACTCAATATATCCAAAACATTATCCTTCCAACATATAATCAATATTTTTTAAATTACTGAAATATTTTATATTCCCTTTTTGTAGTTTTTGAAATTGAGTGTGTATTCCATACTTATAGCAAATCTCAATTCAAACTAGCCACATTTCAAATGCTTAATGGCTATTGGCAACTACATTGGATGGCACAGCTCTATAGAGGTAATTAGATTTTTAGACATTTGGACTCCATGAGATATCTTTAATATAATTGCAAGATTAATGAAAGTTAAGAAAAAAACAAGACAATAAAGATAAAGCCAATCCCCTGCTTCAGAAGGCCTATTCTGGTTTCTAAGAGTGGATGAAACTTTCAACTCTCCCACCTCCCTGAACTATCTGTGGTACATACATTTATTCATTCATTCAACAAACATTCACTGAGCACCTCCTACTGTCCAGGTAGCAGGTGTTAGGGGTATAGACATGAGCAATCATAATTCCTGCCCAGAAGATGTTCAATATTTGGATGAGAATCTTTCAATCCAATGGGTAGTCAGCAGAACCTCAGGATTTCTCCCTCCCCAGCTAGAATTTGGGAGAAATAAATTCTGGTTTTGACTCCTCTGCTAACAAACTAAGTATCCCTGAGAAAGCATTTTCCCCATACAGGCCTTTGCTTCCATATCTGTAATATGTGTGAATTGATCAGAATAATGACAAAGTCTCCTTTCAGTCAGAGACTGAAACTTCAGCCCAAACCTCATTACCCTGTGGCTTGTCCCAGTCATATGCGGGAACACGGAAGAACAAGCTGAAGAAACCCATCCCCCCATCACCCAGGAGAAAATGCAACTTCACTGGCTTCTGCAACTCATCACTCCTGGCCTTTTGTGGATGCAAGAATGGTCTAGCTTTGTTTTGCTTTGCTTTGTTTTAATTACATTCAAAATTAGCAAAACAATTTCCATGATCCACCTAGAAGAATAATTGGCCCATTTGGTACATCTCACTGTGTGGTGAGAGCCCCCGCTGTCATCATACCAGAGCCTCACACACATTCCACTCCCAGGTAGATGATGTCTAAAAAACCCAGAGAGCTCATCTAGCCCATCATTAACCTCATTTTGAGACAACCCCAGAGGCAGTCCTTTTGCCACCGGCACAGCCGGCTGTCAATTGTGTCAAGCCAGTAACATATTAGTTAGCAGGGGAGCAATCCAAAGAGGTAGCCATAGATCCAAACGCCTAAAAGGTATTCTGGAATGTGGTAATTATGTCCTGCAGCTGCCAAGGGGGTCCTCTGTGAGTTCACAGATTGTAGTTGTACCATAGAAAGAAGAGGATAGATAATAGCATCCAGGCTGTTAATAACAAACAGCAGGTCTTGGTTCTAACTCACCAAGACAGTCCTCAAAACTCAAGTCATGATTCATCTTCAAGTTTGTACAACTGTTCCCAGAAGACTCTGATTCCATGAACGTGGGTGTTGTGTATTCATGTCCCAAAAGGGAGGTATAGGGAAAAGCGGGTAAAGTTAAAAGCAAATGAAAAGAGAGTTTTAAAAAAAATAATATATCCCAGGTTTTATTAACCATTCTGTGGCTCGATTTTTACAAGCAAGATGTACTAACTTCCGTGATTTTTAAAATGGGTAATTTTTCATACTTTACCCCAAAATAGATTTTGCTTAGTTTGTTTTTAGTAAACTGGAATAACAGGATATCAAATGACCCAAAATTATAAGTTAGTGGGATCACCAGACATAAGTGGAACCAAGGCCTCTAGGATATCCAGATATTTGGGTAAAGCCAACAACTTTCCCCTTTCAAGAAAGCTCAGCTGCATCATTCACTGAAACCCACATACCTAGGCAATCTCCGTTTCTATCAGGGCCCAGTGTAGAGCTCATCTTTCAGCGCTGCATGCAATGGCCTGTTGTTAGGCTCTGCAGGTTATGCTCTCCTACCCACCCCAAAAACACTTAGGTCTGAGGCAGAGAAGTGCATCCTGAACCCTTAGCAGTCATTGCTGATTGATTGTGGTAATGCTCTCACTGAACAGACTCAGCCTCAGAATCATTCTTAACCCAGAGCCCTAGGCATCACATACCTATTGATCAGAGTTGACATGCATTCTGGCCTAGAGTCTCTCATGAATTATAAATTGACCATATGTATTAATTTCCCATGGCTGCTGTAGCAAATTACCATGATCTTTGTGGCTTAAAACAATAGAAATTTATTATCTCTCAGTTCTGGAGGTGAAGAATCTAAAATGGGTCCACAGGGCTTCATTCCATCTGGAGGCATTAGGAAAGAAATTGTTTGCTTAACTTCACCTTCTAGAGGCCACCTGCATTCCTTGGCTTGTGGCCTCTTCTTTCTCTTCAAAACCGGGTGGAGAATAACATCTTCACTCCTCTCTGATTTCTACTTTTATCCTTGTATCTTCTCTCTCAGACACTGATCTTACTGCCTTCCTTTCATAAGGACCTTGGCGATTATATTGGGCTTATCCTAATCATCCAGCATAATCTCCCTACTGCAAGATCCTTAATTTAATCATATCTGTAGTCTTTCTTCCCCTGTAAGATAACATATTCACAGGTTCCAGGGATTAGGATGTGAATATCTTTGGAGGGACATAACTCAGCCTGCCACACCACATCTTATAGAAAATCCCCTTGTAGAACTACAGAAGAGGTCTATTGTTAAGATTTATCTATAGCATCTGAGTACATAGCAACATGAGCTGAGAGACTGATTCACTTCAATTATTCACACACAATGGTTATCCTTTGACCAAAATCAGTGTCAAAATATAGCTCTAGACCAATCCACCAAATACACCATTAAAAAGCCAAATTTTTTTGTACCTCCAAGATATTAAGTTTGACATCATTTGCCCTTTGTCTGTTATATTAGTATGTCTTATATTAGTATAATTATTCTATTAATGTACAGCATTTTAAAAGTAAATTGTAACTAAACTATCACTGAATGTCTTGCCTTTTAGGACTTCAGTAACTACATGATAATTTGCCAGGACCTAAGGCAAAAAGAATGCAGCCCTTACTGTGCCCCTCTCTTGTTTAGGTTTATATTAAGAGTCCTATTTTTATTACATGTAATAGAGGTCAGCTTCATTACTGCCAATCTGCAAGCTGCTACAGTCACTCTGGGAGACGTTAGCCTGTCACCACTGAACCAGCTGGGTCACAGAATTCTGCAATAGGTCTCTCACTTTTTAGCTTTAAGAACAAAAAAATTAACCACAGAGAGCATAGCATTACTTGACTTTCACCACCACCCGCAGGACAGCGGCAGTGATAAATAGGCATCATCCAATGCCTGCAGAGGTACAATACCATGACCAGAGGCTGCATCCATGTGGCAGACCCAATAAAACTTTTCACAGACACACCTACCACTAAACTTGGCATTGAGTTAAAGTGCTCTCTAAGAAGATGCTTATTGAGCAAAACTAATATTATATGAAGAGATTTGTCCAATATTCCACTGTGAGAAAATGATGCCACTTTTGTTTAACATGTGTACAAAGAATTAGAAAAGAGAAGAAACAAAGGAAAGAAAGAAAGGAAAGAAGGAAGGAAGGAAGGAAATAAACAAACAAACATACCAAAATATTGATGGTGGTTAGCACAGGGATGCTGTATTACAGCTACCTTTTAATTATTTATTTTTTTTGCTTGTTTACATTTTCTAAATTTTCTTCAATAAAAACATTACTTTTGTAAAATTTAAAAACTTTAAAAAAATAATAACAATAATTCACAGTACTCATCTTGGCAACAAGCCTGACCAAGTCATGTATGAGCCCTGAATAAATCAAAGAAGCACCATTGTGTTTGAACTTGTAGAAGCTTAAGTAAATTTCTTAATTTTCCTGAGCCACGTATTAGGCATACACTAAAAGCCAGATACTGTTACTAGTGATGGCAACACAGTGTCGAACAAGGTAAGCAAAGTCCCTTGTCGGGGCAGAGGGAAGACCATAAAATACACTCTTAGGAAAATGTCAAATAGTTGTAAGTGTGGTGATAAAGATAAAACAAGGTACTGTGAAAGGGAGTGAGTGTAGGGCTTCTTTAGACCAGAGAAGACCTCTCTGCAGATAGCACTAAGCTGATAACTGAAATGACGAGAAGAAGCTGGCCGTGGGGAAAGCACGGAAGAGCATTTCAGACAGAAGGAACAGCTACAGTAAAAGTCCAATGGCAGGAGTAAGCCTGAGGTGTTCCTGGGCGGAAAAAAGGCCAGTGTGGCCAGAGCTTTATGAGCAAAGAGTGAGTGGAACAGTATGAGCTCAGAGAGGGAAGCAGCAGCCAGGCCACAGAGAGCCCTTTAGACCATCATTAGGACTGAGAATTTATTCAAAATGTAATGGGAAACCACTGGAGGACTTGAACCATGAGAATGATAGGAGCTGACTTATATTTTCAAAAGATCAGTCTAGCTGCTATGAGGAGATTGGATTGAAGGGTGAAAGAGCACAGGGGGGAGTCTAGTTAAAGGTCACTGCAATAATGCCAGTTACAGGCAGCAGAAATGTGAGCTAAGATGGTTTTAGTAGAGGTGGAGAGAAGCAGGTGGATATTGTGAAATAGACCTTACAGGACTTACTGATGGATCAGATGACTGAGAGAGGAATAAATGAATCAAGGGTCAGATGTAGTGATTCAGCAAGCATTGATGAGCACCTAATGTGTGCTAGGCACTCTTCTACTGCTGAGAAGCCAATGAATGATGGCACCATTTGCTGATACGAGCAAGACCAGGACACAGGCAGTTTTGGGATAAAGAGACTCAAAAGAGCTGCAGGGACAGATGCTGGTTAAGGTTAAGATGCTGTATTAATTTAGGTAATTTCAGTTGCTCTTACAGACAAAAACAAAATCCAATAGCTTAATACAATAAGATTTTATTTCTTGCTCTGGTGAAATCCAAGTCAGTTATTCCTGATTAGTGGGCAGCTCTCCTCCAAATGGCAATGCAGGGACCCAGGTTCCTTCCTTAGTGGGCAGCTCTCCTCCAAATAGCAATGCAGGGACCCGGGTTTCTTCCATGTGGTGGCCCCTCCATCTTCAACATTTGGCTTTAAAAGTCACTGAGCTCATATGCATCAGTCTACGAAAGACAAGGAATAAGGGAGATCTCTTGTGGGGGGTTTTGATGGGCTAAACCTAGAAGTGGTGCACATACTTCTGTTCTCATACCATGGCTAGAAATCTGTCACAAGGCCACACTTATTGGTATGAGAGGCTGAAGTATGCAGCCTAGGTACCCATTCAGGAAGAGGATTTGAGTTTGCAGGACCTCCCAGCAGTGTCTCCTACAGATACCTATTAGTCATCCAATGGAGAAGTCAAGCAGCATTTGAATATGCAAGGGAGTGGTCTGAACTAGAGATAAAAATTTCAGCACAGTCACTGCATAGATGATGAGATTACCTAGCAGTAGTGTAGAGCGGGAGAAAGGAAAGGCCTGACTCATGCCCTCATTCAGAGGTCAAGCAGAGGATAAGGAGCCAGCAAAGGAAACTAAGTCTGGGCTGCCAGTGAGGTCGGAGCAAAACCAGAAAGCAGCTGCCATGGAAAAGATAAGAAAAATTGTTTCAAGAAGGAGGGTGGTCAGCCATATCCAACACTGCTGAGAGGGCCAGGAAGATGAAGACAAAATACTGACCATTAGATTTGAAAACCCAAAAGTCATTGGTGACCTTGACAAGGACCATTTTGGTGGAAAAGTAGAATCAGGAGTCAACTAGGAGAGAATGTGAGGTCAAGAAGCAGGGAGAGTATCTACAGACAACAACATCAAGACAATCTGCTGTGAAGATGAGCAGAGAAATGAGCCAGAAACACAAATGGAATGCGGAACAAGTGAGTTTATGCTATGATGGAAACTATTAGAACATGTTTAGATGCCCATGGGAATCATCCAGTTTACAGGAAGGGTGATACAGAAAAGGAGAAATCTGCAGCACAAAGTCCTTGAGAAAGGATGCAGACAGGACCTAGAACACAAGTGGATAGGTTGGATTTAAATATGCACAGAACATGTCCCTGACAGGAGGGAAGAGGTAAGGTATCAGCATATTAATAGATACAGATAGCTTGGTGGATTTGGGTGGTGGGGAGTAGGGGTTAGGTAATAAAGAAAAGCTCATCTGGGAGTGAGCCAGGAGGAGAAAGCATACAAGATTTGAGGAGAGGAATGTTAAATAATAACTTGAAGGGAGAGAGAGCAGTTCCTCTAGGGAAATGCAGTAGGTGGGCTGGTTGAATGAGAGCTTGTTTGAGATTTTGGTCCTAACTTTAATGAGATCAGTTAGCCCAATCGTACATTTTCTCCAACAGGGTTGACTCAAGTGAATACATGAAGGAGACAGGTGATGGTGTTAACCAGAGCTGGGTTTTATCAAAAGGACCACAGAGTCAGAGAGGAGCAAAGGAGTCAGGGGTGTAACCCAGCCTGCAGGGGAGGTGACACTAATGATTAACCTGGGAATCCTACCTGGGAAAGGCAGAAAGTGAGAACACGAAGACAGAAACAGATAGTGAAAAGAAGGAATTACCCCTGGTCTGGAGGTCTCAATGAATGTAGGTTAGTGGTGATGACAAAGTCATGAGTGTGACCATGTGAGTGGGCAAAGATATTGGAGGAGGTAAAGATTTTGGATGTGAAGAGGTAAAATAACTGAAAGGCCTCAGTGTTCATGGATCAAATACCTGAATATTGAATTCACCATCACCAAGAATTGAGATAGGACTAGGAGAGGAAAAGGACAACAATGAGATAAATACTAGAGCCATCACTGAGCTTGGTGATCGTACTGGATACTTTTCATTCCCCCCACCCCGCCATTACCATTTTCCACCTTGCACAGTATGGAACACCTGAGCAAGCTCCCTGGCCCTCTGGCTTCCCAATGGATGAGTGGAGACAGGTAGAAGGATAACCTTGGGATATTTATTCCCCTTGCTCCACTGGGTTGCAAGATTGCTGTGGACCAACATTATCCCTCAGCAGAAAGATTCAACTCCTATTGGCAGCATCCCCAAACAGCCTCCCCAGACCCCATACCCACTCCCTTTCTGCCCTTTTCAATCTTAGGCTTATAACAAAGGGGCTCTACCACTAGTACTAGCCCCAAGCACACTATGTTTGAGATTTTCTGCATCCTAAGCACACTTTTGTAAAGAGTCCCTTTACTGAACTTTTTGCAAATTATCCTAATTTGAGTGGGCCATCTGTTTTCTGCTGGGAGCCTACTGATACAGTAGATGACAGTAATATGGATACCTACCTCACAGGGTTGTTGTAAAGATTAGAGAAAATATATGTAAGGCATCTAGCACTGTGTCTGGCACATTATAAACACTCAACTGATAGCGGGATGGAGGGGAAAAATAGCAGTTGTTTCATTTGTTAGTATAAACTGATATATTAAGATATAAACAGATCCTCTAGTTCATAACCAGTTGTTACTCAACTAACAGTGAAGCACTTGGCTTCTGGTACTACCAAGGTACTCAGATCTAGCAGGAGCCAGCCATGTCAATCAAAGCATGTATGTGAATAAATACATCCAAAAAGAGAAAGGAGAAGGACTTCAGGAAAAAGATTTCAACAAAGTAGTTGCCTTCCAGGGCGATCTCTGTAGAGAGGCCGGCCAAGCATGATGGTAAATATGGATCCATCCTGAGCAAATGGGGGATGTCTCTGGAGAACCAGGGAAAGCAGATTCCCCACACTTTGGCCTCCCACACACCTCCCTGCTCCTGAACTCTGCAGCTGCAATCTTCTTCCAGGGTCCAACAGTAGAACTATATCACTTGGAACACTGGACCCAGGACCCACAATAGAGCTGAGTGCTTAAAAAATCTTCACAGCCTAGGATAGGTCATGAGATGTTGGCCAGAAGCTGATCTTACAGAATGACAGCATCCTCCCTTCAAAGCCAGTTTCTCATGAGGTTAATGAATGTTATGTCAGAAAAAAAAAAGTTATAGAATTCAGAAGGCATTTTATTCATTCAACTATATTTGTTGAGCCTTTGCTGTGCATGAGAAGCTGGAAATACGGCAGCAAGCAAGATTCTGGCCTTTAAATATCTCACAGATGCTCTCCTATTTGTAGCACCAAACGGAAAAAATGAAGGCAGAATGGCATCCCATTGAGTTGAATTTGTAATTGTTGGTCAATAACCAATAACTAGTCTTGGCTCTGCCATCACTAATGAGGATGAAATCCTAGAAAGTTTGTCACATTTCTGGAAGAGGTGGCACTGGGTTTTAGAAAGCAATTGGCATTGCATTTCAACAACCATAAAAACACTGCTTATCTTTGACCTCATAATTTGGCCCCTATAATTTACCCCAGGAAAATAATATAAAAGAAAAAATGGAAAATATGTAAAAAAGGTTGTTGCTCTTTCTATATGGTTAATGTATAGAAAACAGCCTGATTGTCCAACAGTGGAATATGTCCATATAATATGGCATAGACACATTACAGAATATTATGCAACCATTTTACATTTTCATTTTGAAGATTGTTGTAACCTGAAAAAGGTTTAAGGCATGTTACTTCAAAACCAGAAAGCAAGATTTTGTCTATTTTAGGATTGCAAAGCTGTACAGATTTTTTCTGTATGTGAACAAGACAAATGAAATAACAGTAACATTAAGATTGTTAGGAAAGTTGTTTTTTGTGTGTGTTGTTTTTGTTTTTTGTTTTTGTTTTTATTGTTTGTTTGTTTGGTTGGTTTTTGTTTTTTTTTCTGAAACGGAGTCTTATTCTGTTGCCCAGGCTGGAGTGCAGTGGCACGATCTCGGCTCACTGCAACCTCTGCCTCCTGTGTTGAAGCAATTCTCCTGTCTCAGCTTCTTGAGTAGCTGGGATTACAGGTGCCCACCACAACACCCGACTAATTTTTATACTTTTAATAGAGACAAGGTTTTGTCATGTTGGCCAGGCTGGTCTTGAACTCCTGACATCAAGTGATCTGCCCACTTTGGCCTCCCAAAGTGCTAGGATTAAAGGCATGAGCTACCACGCCCAGCCAGAAAGTTGTATTTTTTATTTTTTAAATTGTTACTTCCAATCTTATTAAAATGAAAGTATTTTGTTATAAACACTTTTAAATGCAATATGGCTTCTCATAGTTGTGGTAGCCATAATTAGTATACAAAAAGACCAAAAAAGTGATAAAGACATAAAAGGTAACCTCTTATCTGTCAAGTCCAAAATGTCAGTTTTAGGGACACAGAAAGCTGGAAATGATAGACACTGGAGACTCCAAAATGCAGGAAGGTAGGAGGGGAGTGTTAAAAATTACCTAAATGTTCACTATTTAGGTGACGGGTTCACTAGAAGCCCAAACTTCATCATTACAAAACATATCCATGTAACAAACCTGTACTTGTACCCCCAGAATCTAAAATTTAAAAATAAATAAACAAATATGTCTATTGTAGAGAAAGACAGAAAAATGGCTTCTTGCCATTGACATGTAAAAGGCCAGGAGGTTTGAATTCCTGCAGGTTTAAGATCAGCAAGCAGTGCAATGTGACTATTAACAGGCGAGTAATCCAGAGTGTGCAAGTAAAGTAGCATGTGTGTCCCCTGCATCCTGGGACAATCACACCACACGTTGGGAATGTGCTGGTGCTCTGTGTGGCACCTACAGCAGAACTCTGATAAACCAGGTCAGTGCCACAGGGCATAGGCTAAGACGGGGGGAAGGCTGAAACCTCGCTCTTTCATTATGAAGAACTGTTGAGGAAAGAAGGGCTACTCACCTGCAGCAGGCATCACGTTTTTATGATGCTCATCTCGGGGACTGAGTTGTCATTAAAAGGCACTTTTTTCCTCTAGTTTAAAAAAAAGATGGGGGATGGATACCTTTTCTTTTAGTCAGAAAGCTTAATTTCCCCAACCAAAGTAATTCTCTCTCTCTCTCTCTCTCTCTCTCTCTCTCTCTCTCTCTCTCTCTCTCTGTCTCCCCTCTCTTGTGGCACATTTCCAACTCCATTAAAATTCCAAATTTCAAAAACTGAATTCTTCCCCTCCCTTGCTGTGGGACTTATCTGTTTTCCATACTCCACCCTTCATCAATGTACACCCACCAGTCAATCTATCTAAGCCACTCACAGATCCTCAGATGCACATCACCCTCCTCGGCCTCCTGCTCTTTCCACACTGTCTCACGCTGGCCATCCAGGGGGGCTTAGCCCTTCCTCCTCTGTGCTGTTATGGGGCCTGGTATGGACCTCTACTGGGAAATACCACCTTATAGTGGACGAGTTTGGTCCTTACCCACCTTCACCACTGACTGTAAGTTGCCTGAAGGTAGATGCTTTGTCACTACTAGTCAATAAATTCATTTCCTCCACCTTTGCAAAACCCCTTTTAACCATTGTCCTGACACACAGATGTCTCTAATTGTAGAATACCGTGGGCAAGTATTGGAAAAACACTGTCTTTGTTGAATAGGTACAAGATGGCCTCTTTCTCCTTCCTTACACTCCTTGAGAGTCCCTTCAATGGCACAGCCCCCAAAACCACCACAAATGTCTGTAAATCCCATCAGCTTAAAATGCAAAACATAGGTGAGTGCTTTAACTCATGCTACAAACTCTGCCATTGCTGGGCTGTTGGTTTTAAAAAAAGAAAAACCATTCCATCTGCCATAAATCTACATTCCCCCCAAATGAAATATAATACCCCGCTTTCCTCTAGCAGTCAGATAATCATCTCCTTGTTTTATGGGAAATGATTTAGAAGAGAAAAGAATCAGTCTGACAGTCTCATAAGTTTCAGAGAGTGCTTACCCTGACAGCCCCTTTCTTCTCATCCCTATATATGTACATGCACACACACACATTCTTGCACAGATGTACACAAGTACTTGCGCATGCTCACACATGCATTGAGATCTGGGTCTCTGCCACATTATGCCAGAATTGGAATCAAGCTGTTAATAGTCTGTCTTAGACCTAAGCATATTCTTCTATCTCTAAATTGCTTCCTGGCTATTCTTTGTCTGCTGACTATTTTTCTTGCTCTCCATTGATGACTTAAGTCCAGGAAAATAAAGAGGACCCTCAATATTATGCAGCCTTTCAAACACTGACAGTAGAAAAGACTCACCTGGTTCATTTAGTATGGTTGGGGGGCTAGGGAGACCCACTATCTTACTTCATTTGACCCTCCCTTCAATGTATCCCCCCGAGGCCACAGACAGAGTTGTCCATCCACCTCCTGGCCAGCATAGCGCATCTCTAACAAGAGGCAGTCATTTCCTTAAACACTCCCACAAAATCCTCCTTCTGCCGATGCTTAGCAGTGTTCACCTTGAGACGGCAGGAGACGACACCGTGTAGGTGAAGGGAACATGACAGAGGCCACCACCACTCATCACTTTCCTGAGATGGAAAAGCCCTCAGGGTACCCAAGAGAATGAGAAACTTTTTTTCTTTACCACTGATGTTTATTGATTTGTCCAGTTCATAGGGAGCATCCCTTAGTGTTCTGCTTTCATGTTTCTGCTTTGTTGCATGGGTGCAGAAAAGAATATTGCAAATTGATCCGTCTTCCCGGCCTTTGTTGGGAATGGACTCTTATTACTTTAGTTTCTCAGGCCTGTCATCGCATGCTCACATTCCAGGGCATATATAATCAGCCTGGCTAAACACTGAGAGCTGAGCTGATTAATTTCTAACATTCTTGCCTGAATCCATTGATGCCATGCCTGTTTGATGATCTCTGCAATAGATGGCCACCTCTGATTGTTTGACCCTTGCCCTTCACCCCAGAGCTGTCTATTCTAGTACCTGTTTAAGTTGACAGCATGTACATGGGGTCTACATCACATTTGAAGAAAACCATAATGTCTTGGTGCTATGAAAGCTTAGAAAAAAGGCTTTTAAGGGAAACCCATTTCCATTACCAGTTGAACAGCATTTGAGAACCAATCATATATCCATTAAATAAAAAGAAAATACATTATCCATAACCTATGATATTATGCTCGTACTTTAGAATCTACCCATTTATTCTGATTTAGCTTATGTGCTAATTATGATCAATGGATTTCCACAAGGATGTAAAATTATATCAGTTTTTAATTTCTCATTCCACCACTTCCCAGAATTCTGTTATTTTAATTACTTTATATGCCATTTACTTCTAATAGCTCAGAACAAAAGGGTCATCATCACCATCATCAATATGCATTTATATATATAATTTTAGGCATGTTGGCCCATTTCTAATGTAACCCTAATATTAGATTAGATGGATTTTATTTTTAGTTTTTATTATAGAGGAGGAGCCTCTTTAACAATTTCAGAGATGTACTTCATTTATCCTAAAATACCTTTGGTTGTAAAATAGGTTGGGGTCTATTTATAGAGCTAAGTTCTCAAAAATGCACATAATTTACATCCTAACTCACTAAGAACCAAGTAGTTAGAGAGCTAATGCAGGTGCACTTGGCAGCCATTTTTTTAAGATCACACCAACTCTTATTCACTCCATAGGAAAATGGAGGGTTATGAGAACACCAAGGTTAGCCAAGGACAAATCACATATGTATTTAGTTTAATGTGTCACATATGTGTCCCGGGCTGAGTTCAAAATGAACAGCAGACAGAAGTGAGGAGTGAGGAGAACCTTAAGCAGTAAGGTAAATACACTGAAATTAAACATACAACTAAAGGTAGGCATATAATTGTATCAAATTATGTCTCCCTTTGAAAATGGCACAGAAAAGAACACGTTAGGTTGGCAAAATCACAGAATTCGAGAGCCTTGAGGGACTACTGAGATCACACAGCTAACCCTCCATTTGGAAAAGAGAAGTGGGACACACTGGGAAGAACAGATTTGGGACCTGGTACCTACTGGTGCCGGGACAGTGTTCTTGTCATTTCACCCCATCCCAGGTTACTGGGGCCCCTTCTCTCTTACCCCAGCTCTCTTCATAATTCTTTCCCTGTTTCAACATGGAAATATTAAATGCTGAAGATGTATTATTCTTCATTCAATTTGATCGCCTTGAAAGACAACATCATGAGCTCATGGCTCAGTTCCTGGGTCCTGAAGACCATCACAAAATAAATACATTTTCTTTTCGTTTGTGATCAACCTGATTAGTGAGATTGGCTAATTATTTTTAAAGGAATAATGACTCAAAGTAAGAAAAAAATGCTTAAACAGCTGTTAGTTTTATTCTTAATCAACTGAAATTCTATATGAGCTTAACATTATGTGAGTGTAAAGATACCAAACTCAAACATATCTGTTTGTACCATTTAGCCTTTAGTGAGTATGCTATAAGTTTTAAAGGAGAAGAATCTTTAAAAACAAATGTGCATGTATACATATATATTTGTGTGAATTTCCAATATTTTTTCCTTTATTTTCATTTTATGAAATATTTTAAACACACAGGAAAATGTAGAGAACAATGGCACAGTTCTCACTCCCTCCCCACAGCTTGAATAAACATTTGTACTCTGCCATATTTGTTTCAGAATTTTTCATTTTATTTCAAATGAATAAAAAATTATAGATGTATTTCAAACCACCTGGGTACCCATATCCACACATTCCTTTCCTGCCCTCCTAAGAGAAAACCAGTATCTTGAATTTGATGTTTATCATTCTCACAAATTCTTCCTTACTTTTACTGCTTATTTATGTATCCATAAATACTATATAATATTGTTTTGCATGCTTTAAAATTATATACAAATGTATCAAAACTGTCTATGTCTTTCTTTATCTTGGTTTTTCTCGTTTTTTGTTTGTTTGTTTGTTTGTTTGTTTTCAGAGACAGGGTCTCACTCTCTTTCCCTGGCTGGAGTGCATGGGTGTGATCATGGTTCACTTCAGCCTCAACCTCCTGGCCTCAAGCGATCCTCCCACCTCAACTTCCCTAGTAACTGGAACTACAAATGGACACCACCATGCCCAGGTAAGTTTTTTTATTTTCTGTAGAAATGAGGTCTCACTGTTGCTCAGACTGGTCTCAGACTCCTGGACTCAAGTGATCTTCTCACCTTGCTCACCCAAAGTGCTGGGATTACAGGAATGAGCCACCAAGCCCAGCTTAATTTACTTTTTTAAAAAATCTATCTTAAAGTTTTGAGATTTATTCATGAGACAAATGTAGCACTACTTCATTTTAGTGAAGAATTCTGTGTTTTATTTCATGAATACACAATTTATTTATCTAGTCCCCTCTTGATGGGCATTTAAGTTGCTTCGAGTTCTTCGCTGTTACACACAAAACTTCAGTAAGTATTCTTACACATATCCTTATGTATATTTACAAGAAATTCTCTATAGTACATTCTCAGCAATGGAAGCTCTGAGTTGTAAGGTATGTGTATTTTCAGATTTACTAGACATCACCAAATTACTCTCTTAATTAGTGGCACCCATTTTGAAAATTTACACTCAGACCAATAGTGTGTGAGAGTTCACGTGGTCCCACACCTTTGCAAGGTCACACTTCTAGATTTTTTCACCTCATGGGTATAAATTTACACTTTACCATTGTTTTAGTTTGCATTTGTGTAATTACCAGGGACATTGGGCATCTTTTATATGTTTATTAGCCATATCAAATTCCTCTATTATTAATTCATACCTATTACTCCTTTTCTATTGGACTGTTAGTCTTATTAATTTAAGTAATTTTTTTTTTTTTTTTTGAGACGGAGTCTTGCTCTGTCACCCGGGCTGGAGTGCAGTGGCCCAATCTCGGCTCAATGCAACCTCCGCCTCCCGGGTTCACACCATTATCCTGCCTCAGCCTCCCAAGTAGCTGGGACTACAGGCGCCCACCACCATGCCCGGCTAATTTTTTGTATTTTTAGTAGAGATGGGGTTTCACCATGTCAGCCATGATGGTCTCGATCTCCTGACCTCGTGATCCGCCCACCTCGGCCTCCCAAAGTACTGGGATTACAGGCGTAAGCCACCGCGCCTGGCCAATTTAAGTAATTTTTATATATTCTGGATAATATTATTAATAATGGCTAAGATTTTGGAGGTGTTCACTAAATGCAAGACACTACCCTCCAGTTTCATGCACATTAACTGATTTAATCCTCAAAACAACCCTACAACACAGTCAAGGTTGTTATCCACATTTTTTAAAGTGAAAATAAATTGAGGTTAAGAGAGGTTAAATAACATGCCTAAGGTCACACACTGTTAATAAGTGATAGAGCCAAGATTCAGACCCAGGAATCCAGATCCAGAGTATCATAGTTTTCTGCATCTGTTTCAAAGGATGCAAATTCTTCAAAGCTTATGCATTGCAAATATATTCTTCCAGTCTGCAACTTACCTTATCAATATATTCATTGTATATGTCCTTATTTAAAAGAATACACACACGTAAATATTTACATGTATACACACATAATGTTATACATGTATTAAATTAGTAAGTACTTATTTATGATATGTGCTTTCTGTCCAGTATAAGTGACACTTCCAAACCTCAAAGCCAAAAATATATTGTCAAGTATTTTCTTTTAAAATATTTGCAGATTCGTCTTTCACATTTTTAAATATATGATATAGAGATTTAATTTTACTTTTTACAATATGGATGACCACTTGCCTTTGCATCATTATCTGAGTATCTTTCCCCAGTGATTTAAAATACCATGTCTATTAAACATCAAGTAACTATACATGTGAATCTGTTCTGAGTTCCTCATTCTATTCCACTGATCTATTTGTTCTTGACATCCAATAGGCCATGACTTCCCACTTTATTCTTTTTAAATTTTCTTTGCCAGTTGTCTTTGCCAATTCACTATTCCTTATAAATTTTGAAATCAGATTGTCAAGTTCCATACAAAATCCAGACGAAATTTTTATTGTACTAGCATTGAATTTATAGATTAACTTGGAGTAAAGTACTATCTCTATGGTACTTAACCTTCTCATTCAGGAACATGGTATAATTCTACATTTATTCAGGTCTCTTATGTCCTTAAATAATGTTTAGTAAAATTCTTCATAGAAGTCTTTTTTTGTTGTTATATACGTTCCTAACTCATTCATGCTGCTTTTGTAACTGGGAGCTTTTTCCTATTATATTTTGTGATTAGTGATCACAAAACTACTGTGTAATGATCTCTGCAATGGCCTCTTCTAATAGTTTGACTTTTGATCTTCACTCCAGAACTGTCTATCATAGTACTTGTTTAGTTTTATAGCACTTACATTTCTTCTGCATTGCCTTTAAATGAAGCCATAATATCTTAGCTCTAAGATAAGGAAAGAATGGAATTTAGGAAAAGCACATATTATAAATAGAAAGCACATATCATGAATAAGTACTTATTAATTTAATACATATATAACATTATATATGTATGTATACATGTATATCTGTACATACGTGTGTGTACTTCTGAAATTCCATTCTACTGATTTTGTGTATCGATCTGTGATTCAACAACTTTGCTTAACTCTAGTATTATTTCTGAAAATTGTCTGCATATTTCTTGAGTTTTTGATGTAGGCGGTCATGTTGCCTGGAAACAAGCTAGTTTTATTTCTTCCTTTACAGTTCTTTTATCTTTTTTAAATTTTCTTGCTTTATTGCATTGGCTATGACTTAAGTACAATGTTGATAGAAGCAAGAGAGTGGATATCATTGACTTCTTGTTAACGTTGTTGATAAAGCTACTTCTAAAGTTTTTCCATTATATATTAGGTGTGCTGTGAGTTTTATAAACATAGTCTTTATGAGGTTAAGGAGGATCCCTCTTTTGCTAATTATCTTAGAATTCTTACCATAAATGAGCATTGAATTAACTGAATAATTTTTCTGTATCCATGGAGCAGATTAAATGCCTTTATCCTTTTGTCTTAGAATATATTACATTAATATTCTGATGATTAACTCATTTTCATATCAAATATAAACCTTACCTAATCATAATCATCATTTTTTAAAGACTCTTAAGTTCCATTTGGAGAAATGCTTCTATATTCCTATTCTAAAATGCTCTAAAATTCCACAATTATTTCCCTTGTTATGCCCTTGTCCATTGCTGCTAACAATGAGCTCCAAATGCATTCAACAGCATTCCTTCATTTATTATCCTCTGAAATCTATGTGTAAGGTAAAGATTATCCAGTCCTTAAGTGCATGTAAATATCCACCTCTGGAACTGTTTACGCCTTGTACTTATTAAGAAGAGATACTCAAAATCTAGGAGAGGAGAAGGAAGGAGCCAAAAGAGGAAATGGGTAAAAGGGGAGAGGAATAGAAAATTTCCTTATAATATTTTAGAGTGGACACATGACATCTATATAAATATTTTAGTAACAACAGGCAGTTTGCTATGCTTTCTTAACCCCGTGATGTATTCTTGATCTCATTAAGACCCAAACCCATTGCCTCAAAATTCAACTCATATTAACAAAATGTGTTTGGTGGAGTGGAGAAAAATCCAGGTATTTCTTATAAAAGTGGACATCTTATCTCTAAAGAAGACGGGAGTCAAAATGCTACACAGTATTCCTGAGACATATGCCCAGCAATTTTTTATCAAACTGCATTGTTCCCTTTTGGTTTTGCTTTATCTGGGCTATTAATCCCAGCTACATTTAGTCCAATGTGCATAAAAGTTACCTTCTTTTACCTGCAGGTCTCATTTTATTCACAAAGTGGTACATCACTACACAGTGATGTCTCTCTATGAGAAAGTTCCCAGTTGCTCAGAAAAGCAATAAAATGCATCTTTGTTTTTAAAAAAGAAGAAGAGATACTCATAATGGTTATTGGTTTATTGGGGCTTATTATCACTTTTTAAATAAAATATTATTTACATTTTTCTAGAAAATTGTTTGTCTAAGTCTGTAATTCACTACCATAAAGTTATTCACAGTATTCTCTTATTTAAACTTCTACTCTATCTGTAGTAACAATTCTTTTTACTATGTATTTATACTTTTTAATCTTTCTTTTTTTAGAGGTGTCTTCAAAGAAGGTTATAGGTACCATTGAGCTTGGGTTCACCCTCCAAATAATTTTATTTTGCTGATGATCTTATTTCCAATTTTATCAACTTATGCTCTTATCCTTATTATATTATTTACTCTACTTTCTTTAGGTTGACTCTTTAAAAATAAAAGAGTTCTTTGATGTTCTTTAAAAAAGACTTTGCTTCATATATTTTGAGACTATATTGTTAGGCAATACGGATTTATGATGATCATGACTTCTTGGTAGATTGTTTCTTCTATTATTATTCAGTGTCCATGATTACACTTATTAATGTATCCTGAAATTCTACATTGTCTGTTATTAATATTGCTATATAAGATTTCTTTTAGTTAGTATTTGCTTAATATATACTTTTTCCCATCTCTCTGTTTTCAACATTTCTGTTTGGCTTTTACTTTGGGTTTCTAACATCTGGATATTGGTTTTGTTTCAGTTGGTTTTTATTCCAAGCTCATCTATTACTTTCTAACCAATTTTTAACTGCTTCGCAAACACACGGACCTTAGCTTGCTGAACTACCCATTGAAACACCCTCATATTTAATTACTGTCTGTTATTCTACTTTGACTTGTTTTAAACACATGTGCATAAAATGAGTATTTTAACCAACAGATAAGTAAATTTACCAGTATATTATATCAATGTTTCTTTCATCCTATGTCTAACACAATTACTGTGTCTTCCAAGCTATGTCTTTCCTCTGGTTCAGTTTTTGTTTGCTTTTGACTATACTAAAGTACAACCTTGAGTAGGTCTCCATGTATCAAATTTCCTGAGCCTTTGTATATCTGAAAATGTTTTGTTTTGTTTTCACTTTGAGTGATATTTTAGCTGTATATAAAATTATAGAAGGACAGATATTTTCACCAAGCACTTTGGATATAATGTGTATTCCGGCACCTAATTTTTCTGTTGAGAAATGTTCCTTTAGCTTGATTATACTTCCATTAAATTTAATAATGTTTTCAGTTCTAAAACCTTCTTTAAATCCTTAATGTTCTGCAGATTGAACAGGATGTGTCTAGATGTGGGTTTATATTTATTTATATAGTTTCATTCTCAGAGTATATTTTGATCTGAGAATTTTTGTCTTTTTTCAATACTGGAAATTATCAGCTATTATCTATTCAAATGTTGCTTCTCCGCTATTCCTTCCATTCTCTTCTTTGGGAAGTCTTATTAGATGTATTAACTAATACATCTCCAGCCATTTTTCATGGCTGTCTCTTCACTGCTTTATTTAATTTTTTATTTTTAATTTTTGTGGGTATATAGTAGGTGTATATATTTATGGAGTACATGAGCTGTTTTGACACAGGTATGCAATGTGAAATAAGCACACCATAGAGAATGGGGTATCTATCTCCTCAAGCACTTATCCATCGTGTTACAAACAATCAATTATACTCTTTCAGTTACTTTTAAATGTACAATTAAGTTATTAATCACCCTGTTGTGCTATCAAGTGATAGGTCTTATTCATTCATTCTAAGTAATTTTTGTACTCATTAGCCATCCCCACTTCCTCCCCGCAGACCTCTGCTACCCTTCCCATCCTCTGGTAACCATCCTTCAACTCTCTATCTCCATGAGTTTGATTGTTTTGATTTTTAGATCCCGCAAATAAGAACATACAGTGTTTGTCTTTCTGTGCCTGGGTTATTTCACTTAACATAATGATCTTCATTTCCATCCATGTTGTTGCAAATGACAGGACCTCATTCTTTTTTATGGCTGAATAGTATTCCATTGTGTATATGTACCACATTTTCTTTATCCATTCATCTGTCGATGAACACTTAGGTTGCTTCCAAATCTTACCTATTGTGAACAGTGCTGCAACAAACATGGCAGTGCAGCTATCTCTTCCATATAGTGATTTCCTTTCTTTGGGGTATCTACCCAACATTGAGATTGCTGGATCATACCTATTTTTAGTTTTTTGAGGAACCTCCAAACTGTTCACCATAGTGGTTGTACTAATTTACATTCTCACCAACATTGTATGAGGGCTCCCTTTTCTCCACATCCTTGCCAGCATTTGTTATTGCCTGTCTTTTGGATATAAGCCATTGTAACTGGGGTGAGACAATATCTCATTGTATTTTGATTTGCATTTCTCTGATAATTAATGATGTTGAGCATCTTTCCATATGCCTGTTTGCCATTTTTGCTTTATTTTAATACTAACTTTTTATTTCTCTTTGCTACATTCTAGGTGACCAGCTCTGTGTTGACTTTCAATACACTAAGCATTCCATCACCTGTTTTATCTAGAGTTTATCTCAACTAGTGAGTGTCTTATTCTGATGATAATATTTTTACTTTTAAGATTTATTTCTAATTTTGGAACTGATTCTTTTTCATATTCAAATGGTTTTGTTTCTGCCTATTCTTCTTGTAAAATATCTTAAATTTTGATGGCTATTATTTTCCCCCTAATTAACGTGTAAGCCTTCCCAAAATACTTATATAAACAGTACCAGCTATAATAAAAAGTTAATTTTATTTGAATTAGTTAATTTTCTGATTGTTGGTTTTGTTGGCTATCTTCCTTAGCCTTTAGTTTCTTCATATGGTTTGAAATTTAGCTTTTGAGGCTTATTTAAGTGAGAGAATTTTTGTGATTGCTTTGTCTTCACGCCCCTTCTCTGACTTTACCCATCTCTGTGTTTTCCTGCATCTGGCCTCCTATAGCCACTGTCCAGAACCTGGTTTGATCAAAGCAGTTTGAGGTCATTGCCCCTTGATGATGACAGATACCCCCAAATCACCCAAAGAGCAGCTTGATTTGGTTCAGGATCACAAGGCTCTGTCTTAGACCCCAATCTTCCCTAAGTTTGCAGATCCTTTTAAGCTATAGCCCTAACAGCAGCAAGTGGTATGTTTTTTTCTATTCTTCTTTTACAACTAGGTGTTGGAGTAGAGAGACCCACAGCCTTGCCTTTGGTTTCAAGCAGTAAGCCTAGATCCAACCTCCCTTCCTCCCAGTAAGTGTTTTTAGTCCCGGTTGGAGCCTAATTCTCAGCCAACACTATTTGCTCCTCAACCTGGGGCTAACCAGGCCTGGGTTTCATTTAGCTCTGCTCACCACCTTAGGTAGCTGCTCTATTACTTGTCTTGTTTCTGGGATTCGCTATGTCTTTTCGGTTTTGTCCTTTATAGTTTATATACAGTTATTATGTGTATACACATAATTGTTATGAAGGTAGGTCAAAGCATAGACTTCCTCTGAAGTCTTGGCCTGTGGACCCACCCTCACGTTTACAACTTACCACAAAGTATACATCACAAGGGCAGGGCCCCTAGCTGGCTAATTCCAGTACTGTATCTTTCATAATAGGTGCCAAATAAAAGTGTGCTGAATATATAAATGAATACAAATCATTTTCCTAAAAAGACAGAAATGCCTTCAGGCACCATGTTTCAGTTTTTCTAGTATACTACAAACTCTTAGGGACAAAAACTATGTCTAATCTATCACATTGCCTAGTTTATTACCCTGCAAATGGTAAATAGGCCATAAATATTCAAAGGGCCACACGTTTCTCCTGTGGATTTTTCATATGGCAAAAGGTAGTGACACCCCAGGTATATGCAGTGTTGCTCTAAAGGATTAATATCACCATCTTCTCCGTTGTTTTATAACATGTTGGTTCTTCCTTATAAACTATTTTTTTAAATGAATGCTTCTTAAGGAAAAATGTTTCGTCTGAGAGCAGAGATGGGCATGCTGAAGTGGAATATTTTCACTAGAATAATGTAAAAGTGGGAAATGTCTAACTGTAATTAGTCAAGAAATCAAATGAAAAACCTTTTCCTGCTGTCTTACAATGAGATCAGGGACCAAATGTAGAGGAAATGCTAAGTGATCACAATTCCTCTAGCTGAAATAACATTTTTCATACCGCAGACCAAAGGGCAAGGGGGACAAAGAAGTTGTCCTTGTTGATTAATTACTTTTGGAACCAGGCCCAGCATAAGGAAAGAGGAGAGCCTAGTGATAAAGCGACAGGTCCACTCTTTGTCCCCTCTGCCCTCCCAAGAAACGATTCACTGGTTTTCTGAAAGAAAAATGCACTTAGGTGCTTTAAACCATGATATCCATAAAGAAGAGACATTTCCATTTATTTCCCAAATGAATTCACACCCTTCCAATCAACAAACTCTTTATGGCTATATGTATTGAGCACTTACTGCATACCAGGTGCACTTACTGTATACTTTGGTGGTTACAGAAGAGTTAGAAAACCATCTCTTGAGAGGAGCAAGTTACACGTGACAAGCATGCCACGTAAGTTGCATCTTAATAAGTGCTACAGGCAAGTAAGGGAGGCGGAGGTCTGCAGGAGCAAAATGGATGCTGATGACTTCAGGAAGAGGTTAGAGATTCAAAAGACTTTGGTTAGACTTCCTATGGAAGATACTTAACATCTGTGGGCCTTAGCTTACTTATCTACTAAGTGAAGGATTTGTGTTAGTATTTATAAGTTTCTTTCCAGTTGAAACACTTACTAGTTCTCTTCTTTCCTGTCCCTCTCAGTGGGACACCTGTAACCTAGTAAACAGCCTCCATGGTCTAGAAAATCCTTTAGAACAGAGCAAGAGCAACCAGACAAACAGAAACTTCTCTCCTCCTTCAAAAAGATTCTAGGAGGGAAGGCTGAGAACAACCAGACCTAACTGAAGGACTAAAAATGGGATTCCAGGGGGCCAAAGACAGAAGATAAGTAGCACAGAGCTACAGAGCAGCACACTCTCAAATATGTAGGGGGATCACTTGCTTCAAATCCCTGGCCCTGATATGCCTCCATGGAAGGTGCTCTATGAAGAAAAATGGCATTTGAGATTGACAACTGATTAATATACAAGCTTGATTATATGCAAATCATCACTTGCTGTTAATTGTGATCTGATGTAACATAATTAACACATGTATTTAAAATAAATGTATATTTAATTGATATGCATATTTATAAAATGAATATTTACTTTTATATGTTGTCTTTTTTTTAATTGGGGGGTGAATTTCTTTCCCAAAGAAGTGAGGAGTTAAGGGACCCCATCAGGAACTAAGACAGAAAATAGCAACAAAGGAGTGAAAACTTGCCTTTGGTGCATGTAGTAGAGAAAGTAATGAGCTAGCAATCAGAAAGCCCGATTCTAGACCTGTCTCTGTCCCGTGTTGTGTAACTTTCTATAGCGTCAATTTCTATAACCATGAAAGAAAAGATTGGACCATTTCTAAGCTACCTTCTAGCTCTACAATTCTATTATAATCTCACAGAACGACTCTGACTTACAATTTCTTCTGTCAAAATGATTGGACTCTAACCACTGACAGCTCAGAGTCTCTGCTAGTAATTACTGGACCTAAAAATTGTACTCAGAAAGTTCCAAAAGAGTTCTGGAGCCTGAGGTCCCCCATCCAACCCCATAACACTCAAGAGAGCAGCCTGAGAACATAAACATGCATCTGTGGAACAAGAAGGCATGGAAGGTTCACCAGCAGAGGGCAGGGTGCTCAGAGACGGGCACCCAGGACTCATCCATTTTGAAGGAAAGGGAAAAGGAGGAATTATATAAGGCATAAGGCCTTGCCTAGAGATACTAGCTAAGTGTATGGGGTCTCTGATGAGTGGCTCTATGAAGAACAACATAAAAAAGAAAATACAATAGGCAAATGTATAATCTCCATTTCCTTCAGCAGACAAAACTACATAGAAAAAAAATCAATGCCTTTTTCATCATTAATGTAAGCAAAATCATTTTTTGCTCAATCTTTCACAAGTAAAGTGACTTGTAAAGTGTACGAGCCAACTGAATAGGAAGATAGCACTCCCATAAAAGTTTTTATAGGAGACCAGGGCCAGAGGATCACTTGAGGTAGTTGTATGAGACCAGCCTGGGCAACATAGACACTATCTCTACAAAAAATTCAAAATCAGCTGGGCATGGCAGCTACTGGAGAGGCTGAGGTGGGAGGATCACTTAAGCCCAGGAGTTCAAAGTTGCAAGAAGCTGTGTATTAGCCAGGGATCTCTAGTGTGACAGAACTAATAGGATAGATGTATATATAAAGGGGAGTTTATTAAGGAGTGTTGACTCACATGATCACAAGGTGAGGTCCCACAATAGGCCATCTGCAAGCTGAGGGGCACAGAAGCCGGTCAGAGTCCCAAAATCTCAAAAGTAGGGAAGCCTACAGTGCAGCCTTCAGTCTGTAGTTGAAGGACCAAGAGTAGAACTTGGAGTCCCATGTTCAAGGGCAGGAAGCATCCAGCATGGGAGAAAGATGCAGACCAGGAGGCTTAGCCAGTCTAGTCTTTCCACGTTCTTCTGCCTGCTTTTATTCTGGCCATGCTGGCAGCTGATTAGATGGCGCCCACCAAGATTGAAGGTGGATCTGCCTTTCCCAGTCCACTGACTCAAATGTTAATCTCCTTTGGCAACACCCTCATAGACACACCCAGGAACAACACTTTGTATCCTTCAATCCAGTCAAGTTGACACCCAATATTAACCATTACAAGCCGTGGTCAAGTGACACAGCAAGATCTTGTCTAAAAAAAATAAATAAATAAAAAGTTTTCAGTATGCTAAGGTTCTAATTATTTCTTGGCAATGTGATGGAGTGAAAAGAGCCTAATGACCTTGGTGTGCCTCTCTGTCCCACTCCTGGCTAGGTAGTAACCTTGTATAAGTTGCCTTTTTCATTCCTGCCCTCTCATCCCTCCTTCAACTACTTTCTTTTTGAAAAACACAACTTAACCATCAGTAAGCACATGTTCAAAAGACTGTCCCAGATTCAATGCTAGAATTACAAACTTGAATAAGACACTGTGTCCAAGGAGATTATAATCCAATGAAGAGGAAACTAATCGCAATGCAAAGAGAAGACAGCTGTTGTAGCAGTGTGGATTGTGTTCAAGGGCAGAGAAGGGGAAACAAGTGAACTTACCTGGAGAGAGACTGTTTAAAATTTTGGGTCTTGAAAAATTAGCAACTTTTCAATGAAGGTACAGGTGAATATGTCAATATGGTATGAGTCATCGTTATTTTAGTTGCCTTCTAGACCTCACCCTTCTGCCTATGATGCTTCTACAACTGACTGGGTGCAACAGACTTCCCTCTGCTCCTGGATGCCTTGAGAAAACTAACCGCACTGGGGCCTCTAAACCAGCCCCTCTCTGCACACTATTGTCTGAAGGCATTTGATCCTTGACCCAGCCCTTTCCTTGCTGCTGAAATGCATCGGATTCATTAATTAAGTATAGAGGGGACTTTTTTCATGGCAAATGCCTACACACAATGTAAGTTGCATTTTAGCCACTAAGCCAGGCCACAACTGGGCCACTGTCCATGTTCCATGGAAACTGGCTTACAGATCAAAAGAACTCTAGTGACAAATTCTGTTGGTCTATTGAAATCTACATGTTACTAATTGGCACAACCACCAGAAAAGAACAGCACACAAGCTCATACACACACACACAGAGACACAGCATTTTACTGTATGCTTCTACACATGCATTTCATCTGGGTAACAGCGCCTTTTGCAAGCAGATGGGGGAGAAAGAGACTTTAAAAGATGGATTCCTATTGTTCCACCAAATAAAACTGATCGAAGCCTCAGAGGAGAGAAAAACAAAGCCAGCTCTCTGAGGCTTTCCATCTACCCCTTCAGAAAATCATTGGCATCCCGGGCAATACCGAGAAAAGTATTAAAATTTGAGCAACACTGGTTTACTTGTTTATATGCATCCCCATAGAATCCCCCACCACGTCTACAGAAGCTTCAAAGGCTCCACAGCGAGACCCGTCAGGATGTGGGGAGAGGGAGAGAAAGACACTGCTCAAGCGTTTGGAGACCCAGCCCAGACATGCAGGCTCTCAGGCATCTGGTTATCCCAGCCTGACACCGCGCCTGCGATTTCAGACTGTTTAATTAATTCTGATAATACCACATCGCAGGTGCTGCAGGAAGTATGTTAATTTAAGATCACATCTTACCAATTCCCACAGGTTTCATTCGAACCTAATAAATGAAATAATCTGCACTGTGAACCCCTTGCTTACCTAATTAGGCCCAGGACGATGAAGCAGTCACACTTGGGTCATGTCAGTACCACTGGTCACCTTCAAAAGCATAACCGTGACCTGCCCATGGGCTCCTTCCCCAGGCTTCTACCATACGCAGATCAAAGCCAAACAAATAAGCGAGTACGTTATTCTTTCCCTACTAGCAACCCTGTTTTTTGTACACTCACGTATTTTCTTTCCTTGTCTTTTTAAATGCACCTATGATGCTAGATTCTGTGAAACCTCACTCTGTTTAAACTAAACGGAACTGTAGTTGTGCTTTCATATTATTTAATAATTACCATAGGATTCAGGTTATTTTTAACCGAAGGGTTATTTCTAACCATCAGATTTTTTCCACATTGATGAGGCATTCAAGGCGCCTGTCTGATTCTATCTGAACCAGTGTGATGGTAGCAAGATAAATACCATTATGCCTCCCCTGTCTCCCACCCACACACCTTCAGAAACTAGCCTTCTGTTGTGGGGTGGGTGTAACGCTGCCTGGAATCCTCTTCCCTCCTCCTCCACCCCTTTCCTCCACCCCTTTCCTCCACCCCTTGCTCACTTCCTTCATGTCCGTGTTCAAATGTTACTTGAGCAGCCAGGCCTTTCCTGACAATCCAAGAAAAAAGAGCAACTTTCATCCCTGCATCAGCACCCTGGCCTCCCTACACAAAATGATGATGTGGCAGCCACAATACCTTGCTGATTGGGATACAGTAGATGAATGATTATTAGCACTGGCTGCTCACTGGATTCACCTGGGGAGCTTTGACGTCACTGTCTAGGCCCCACCCACTGAGATCCTAATTCACCTGGTCTGCTTGAATTAGGCTGCTAGCATGAGCATATTAAATCTCCCCGAGATCAGAGGGGAGAAGCTTGAATGCTGTGAGTCAAACAGACTCAGCCAGGCCTGAGGGGTCATTTGATAGGGATGGTTTATTTTGAGTATCCACATAATCAGATAGGTCAATTATTTCCCCAATCATCACTAGATTGAGGAATACGTTATTTTTTAAAATTTCATTTTAAGTTCTGGGAAACCTGTGCAGGACGTGCAGGTTTGTTACACAGGTAAACGTGTGCCATAGTGGTTTGCTGCACCTATCAACCCATCACCTAGGTATTAAGCCCAGCATGCATTAGCTATTTATCCTGATGCTCTCCTTCCTTCCCCGACCCCCGACAGGCCCCAGTGTGTGTTGTTCCCCTCCCTGTGTCCATGTGTTCTCATTGGAAGAGGTTATTCTCACTTCACTTTGTTTTCCACAGACTCAAATGTCAGAACTCGCTGGTAGGAAGAATGTATCTTAATTCCTGGCTCCCAGCCTGTCTTCCCAATGGCCACTAAATGGTAATGACATCTAGCCAATGAGTATTTCCCTTTGGCCCAATGATGTTACAACTGCTTAAAGAAATTGAGGCAAGGTATAAAAAATATGACCTTCAACCCTCAGATGCCTTGTCAAGAAGGTAAAATACAGAGAAGAAAAGTTATTCAATTTCTGGGTAAGTTTGGGTCTTCGAAGTGCCACCTTCTCTTAACGGTTAGGTCCTTATTCTCTCCCCATTGGCCCAAACTCTGATTCTCCCCACTCCTTCCTTTAGCACAGCTGAAGTGAGATTTGACACAGAAAGCCAGCCTTTGCTGGAGGCAGAGCCCCAGGTACTTGTTTTTCCACTGGAGAGAGGATTTTCAGAGTGGCCCAGTCAGCAGCATCCCTCTCCAAATGGGCATTGACCTGACCTCAGTGTGGCTCCTTTTCCACACTGCTTGCAGGAGAGTCACTGCAAGTTGCTGGGCCAGTGGCTTCCCCCATTCCCCATTTTCTGAGCTTGACTTTGAACCAAAGTTGAACAAACCTCCGAACCTCAGAGGGGAAACCCAGAATACACAGCCAGATTTTTCTAACCCCTACTTGAAGTCATCAGACCCCCAGCGTATGCCTGAACTCAGCCAATGCTTGTTCAGCGACCAGCCTCAGCCTTGCTAAAAAATTCATAAACCACAGAACAGCTGGGCCACAGTCTGCTTTCAGAGCAAAGCCTCCACTATCAGGTTTTCATCTGGGCACTACTGAAGAACTGAGTATTTATTCCTGACAGAGACTTGAAAGAGGAAATCTTACTGGCTGTCTACTCAGAGTCACACAAGGACAGACTTGATGGGAATCCCATGCATATTCCAATGAGATAAAAGATATTATTCATTCCTAAAATGTCTTCAGAGACTCCATTAATGGAGAAATTCCAAGTGACAGATATAACCCAAAAAAATCCCCTCATATCTGCATACAATTGCATTAGAATGAATCAGGGGAAAGGATGCTTAATATTTAGGCCCTCCCTAAAATCATGTTTCTTTCCTTTACATCGCAAAAGATAAGAACTGCCTGGAGAAAGTGACAGAGGGGGAAAGAGATCCCCTGGAAAACATGTGGGACCAGTTAGACACTCCTTTTCCCCAACGGGAGACATTTCCTTAGGAGTTTGCCATATTTAGACAATTTCTATGGAGACTTGTTCTGCCAAGAATTTCCTCAGTCATGACAAGCTTGGTAAATATGACCTTGCTAACACAGTGAAACTCCATCTCTACTAAAAAATACAAAACATTAGCCGGGCGTGGTGGTGGGTGCCTGTAGTCCCAGCTGGGAGGCTGAGGCAGGAGAATGGCATGAACCTGGGAGGTGAGCTTGCAGTGAGCCGAGATCGCACCACTGCACTCCAGCCTGGGTGACAGAGCGAGACTCCGTCTCAAAAAAAAAAAAAAAAAAAAATTACCTTGCTATTATGCCATCAAGGTTCTAGGCATGGATGATCTTTCTAAATAGGCATTTTAAAAATTTATCCTTTCTTCAAAGACTATGTCTTAAGGAAGAAGGAGGAGAAACTAAATCTCTGAAAGCTTGTGCCCAATCAAATGGGGAGCCCAAAGCAAGATTCTTAGATTCAGGAAAACCAATTTTCTGATACGAGGGTTTGGTTTTGGGTTTTTTTTTTAACAAGGAAAGGTAATTTTCTTGCAGTTCACCAATCACAACTCTCTGATAACTAGCATATTATTATTGCACTACATTGGTAGTGCACTGGTAGTGCAACAATAATTACTGCCCATGATGGTGATCTTCAAGCCCTACAAGACTCTTTTTAGTTGTAACAATAAGATAATGTACTGTGCTTTTGATTGTTCTCAGACTTTGAAAACAAATAAAGCAATAATATGCAAAGCGATTCTAAGTTAATTGTCTTAATTCCATTCTACGTATATGCTAAGTAATGTGCCCAACTCAACAAATATTGGATGAATGGAAGGAAGGAAGGAAGGAAGGAAGGAAGGAAGGAAGGAAGGAAGGAAGGAAGGAAGGAAATTTTATTACAGCATAGAGATACCCTACCTGCCGTAGATAAACTGGCTCAGGGGAAAGCTGGTTAATTCAGGATCAGAAATTCCATTTTCATAATTCTAGTAACCCACATAAATTTATTGCTTATTTTCACAATCTATAGAAAGTCCCTAACAAAAATAAAAGGTGAAACAAGCAGAGTACAAGCTTTCAATTAGACCAACACTAGTCTGTGTGCCATAGACAATGCTTTACATTTGCGTCAGAACTTTATGTTTCAAATCACCTTCACAAACACTACTCTGGGTTCTCACAACAACCCTGTGAGACAAATGTGACAGGTAAATCATTACTATTTTCCAATAAGGTAGCAGAAGCCAAAAGAAATTAAATGCCTTGCTCCAGTCACACGGCTAGTTTGAGACAGGATCAGAATTAGATCTAGGAATCTTTTCATCCCAGTGGACTTCTCCAGACTGAGGGAGTTCTTCTGTTCACTGGAGAGTATGTCCTCTGTCCAGGAATAGAAGCAGGGGTTGAGCACAAGCTGAGGAGTCCACAGAACACTAGGCACACACAAAGTCAACCAATTTTCCAGAGTTAGGATACCATGATCTTGCTTATCCCTCCGCACACCATTGTTCTTACTCTTTTCCTTCTGGTTCTCCCTCATCCTTCACCACATCCTCTCCTCCTGTCAAATTCTTCCACAAGGTGTTCCCAGTTACCCTAGTCCAGGCACTTCTTCCTCTTTTAGCTCTTACAGTGGTACTTCTTGTGGCATCTGTTACATAGAACCTTGTCACATCTCTCACAGAGATATCTTTAATTTCAGTTGACATCTTGAGTTGTCATTTTACCTCATTGTGGGTATGCCCACAAGTGAACTGTACCTCCTCCAGGACAAGGAGGACATGTAGAGGACATCCACTGTTTCCAGCATACAACTCATGACTTCCATCTTGATTAGCATCCAAGTCCCCTTGTTCTGATTATTGCACCCCTGGTGAGGATCACTCCTCTCCACTCTCAGTCCCTATGACTTGGGGGTACCCAAAACCTTCTTCATATGCCAGAAATGGACACAGGATCCAACTCATGATCTTCCTGTACCAGAGATGGACACATGATCCAACCAAACAATGAGACTCAATTCTGAGGTCTTTGATGGAAGTGGAAAAGAGAACCTTGCTTTCTCCTGAGACTGCAAACAGGGATGAAGATTTAGGCCCAAGGGTGCTGAAAGCCTCATGTAGAGCCAAGCTCTGAATCCAGCACAGCACCGGAGAAAGCAGAAAAAAGAGATGAGCAATTACAAGGTCTGGATGAGAACACTTGAGTGTCTGGATCCAGCCATATCTAACCCCTGGACTTATGTGGATACATGAACCATATATTTCCTTTTTTTGTTTAAGTCGGTTAGAACTGGGTTTCAGCTGGGGTACCCTCATTTCTTTATAGGAAGGTCTTTGGAGGGCAATCTAATTTGGGGAGAGACTATGGGACTTTCTTAGAACTGAATATGAATAGCAAGCTTGTTGATTACAGATCAATAAACATAGGAAAGTTTGGGGGATTGGGGGGCTTTGTTTTATTGTGTTTTGTTTTTTGTAGAGAGGAGGTCTTGCTATGTTGCCCAGGCTGGTCTTGAACTCCTGAGCTCAAGCAATCCTCCCACCTCAGCCTCCCAAAATGCTGGGATAACAGGTGTGAGCCACCATACCCAGCCAAGAAAATTCTTAAAATGCTTTTATTCACAGTTTACAGAAGATTCAGAAAAATTTCACTGTCCATAGCAAATGGAAAGAATAATAATTACATAAAATTATATTAATATACTAGTCATGAAAAGCATTATTATTACTATCACTGTTCATCAATTCTTAGATGCACATTATTCTCACATTTTCATAATCCCTAAAATCAGAGTGTATCACGTAATCAATACGTTTTTATAATCTGTGGGCTTGAAATGAAGTCGAATTCTTCCAGAAAGGATTCTGCATTTGTTTCTGCCAAACTTACTTAAGCCCACTGGAAATTGATTTCTCTGCTTGAGAATTATTGGACCCCACCAATGGTGTAAATTCAGACTTTAGACCTGTGTGACTACAGGTTGGCAGGTTGAGTGTCCCTTTTCCAAAATGCTTGGGACCAGGAGTGTTTTGCTTTGCAGATTTTTTCAGATTCTGGAATATTTGTACATACATAATGAGATCTCTTGGGAGTGGGACTCAAATCTAAACATAAAATTCATTTCCTATACACCTTAGACACACAGTGTGAAGGTAATTTTCTGCATTATTTTTAATAGTTTTGTACACAAAACAGTTTTGATAACATTTTGACTGGAGCCTATTGTGTGACGTCCGGTGTAGAATTTGCCTCGTGTGGTATCATGTTGGAGCTCAAGAAGTTTTGGATTTTGGAGAATTTAGGATTTTGAATTTTCAGATTAAGGATGCTCCATCTGTATTAGATTATGGCTCAGATTCTCACAGAGACTTGTATTTTCTTCCCTCTGCAGAGGCCCAAGGCTGAGACATGCAAGTTTCCTTGCTGGCCCTGCTGGAGAATTTTCCTTACCCCTTTCACCGAGTGCGTAGCTCTTTGGTGTCCTGCCTATGAAGAGGTCTCCTATTAGACCTCCCATCTTAGATATTTTTTCTTTATGCAAGTGGTACATAAAATAACAGTTTTTTTTAACAATAGAGGGCATCTTAACGTTGATAAAACATTGTATTGTTTTTAATATTAGAATTGGTTTTGGGAAACAATGGAGATTATGAAGTTGAAGAGATAGAATCCTACTGAATTACCTCTTGATGCTGCCAAAAGTTCCCTTTCACTAGGGAGCAAAAAGTCTAGACTAACAGCAAACTGTGTTGTAAAAATCTTTCTAAACATCATTGAATCTAGAATAAGGCCAGAAACATAGTAATTGCTCAATAAAGGTTTCATTTCTGAATTAACTAAAGAATAACTAATTAGAACTTGATGAACCTAAAGGCAACCAAAGGGGCAGAGGAAATGTGCACCAGGGCAGCTCTTGAGCTGAATGTCTTCTAAGCACAAGCCCAAGATGTAGTCCCTGTTGAGAGGGGCTCTCTTTTCAAAAGTGCCCAATTAAATATCTCTCCATATTGTGTGTCACCACCGGGAACACAAGTGCCCACATGTCTAGAGGCACTAGATGATGCAATTAAAATGGTTTTCTGCCATTTCATTTTAACATTACTGGATACTTAGGTAGATTCTCAACTGCCCACCTTGCTAATAGTGGTTCCAGTACCAAATAAGTATTTCTTTTTATTCAGTTAAGCATCCAGAAATGCCACAAAATTACTTGCCAGCATTATAGAAAACGATTCCAGAGAAGGTTGAACAAGATGCAACCTTTCACCCTCTAACTCTATTACCACTGGGGTGAAACCTTCGTTACATCCAGATTTATAACCCTTCTCGTTACATAGTGCCTAGTGGTTCTGCAAGCACGAAGCCTGCATTTGTTGCCACAAAGAAAACATTTGCTCAGTGAATTCTCTTGGTCTTTATCTCCTCTCTCTTGAGAATTGTTAGAAAATAGAGCATTGACTCCCGGTCTCTCTCTTTCTCTCTTTCCCCTTAGAGCCTCTTGCTGTATAACAAGATTGTTAAAGACAAATTGCTAACCATCCCTCTTACACACACACCTCATTAAATTGGTTGCACAATTTTCTTTCTTTCTCCAGGGTTGCCGTAGGAATATAGCCATTTATAATAACTGCCACCGTTGAATGTAACTGCTGGGCTCCGGTGAGAGTGCGTATATACTCTTGTTTTGCAAAAGGCTTTCTTTCAGGTACAAGTAATTTAGTTCTGTTTCCTTAGATGAATGATTGGCACATTAGGAGACCTGAGGTCACCTGGGGTTCATGTCAGTTTTTAATGAATTCCTTGAAATGCTGGGAACTACACAAGAGACTTCTGAATGGGCATATCTTATAGGCGATTTGTCATTATCATCATCATCTTCAGCATTATTGAAAAGCTAATGTTAAAGGACAAGAGTAAGCCTCCCTCACCACCTCAGCTCACTCAATGACAATACCAAGTTTCCAAAAAAATTAATGAAAATCCAGGGAGGAAGCACATATGTCCGGCAGGGCACTTGCTCACATGTCAAGAGGCCTGGAGCGAGACTTTTTCTATGCCTCTCCTGTGTTATGGCCTTTGAGCCTCAGTTTCCCAATGTATGAAATGGAAATAAAAATATCTTCCAATCTATATAACAGGAATTCTAAAACCATTCCAAGGGTTGCTTTGCATGAAAGTGTTTTGGAATGTACAAAGCGGCAAGCACTTGGAAGGTATCATGATTGACATACTAATGGGCTCACACAATTTGGCAAATAGCCTCCTCTATGTGACTTGAAGGGGCTTAGGAATCAGAAACAAAAAGAACAGGAAGAGAAGGAATTCTGGTAGCAACACACTTGCTGGGATTCCTGGGGGCTCCAGAACCCAGTTCTGAACACCGTAGCCCATAGCATTTAGCGCCCTCTGCAGAGTCAGAGCCCAGTAAATTAAATACACCAGGTCATCCACCAAGCAACTTACCCGGAAGCCCATGAAACAGAAAACAGTCGCTGCAGATTGTGAGAGGGAATTATCACCAAACCAAAACAAGGTAAATGCCCGGACCCCGCCTAACGCGCACAGAAGTGAGAAAACACAAAGGGAAGCAAAGCCTGTCAGTGCTCAGCTCAGCACCCGGGCCCTTGCCGTCCCCAGCCCAGCCCTCCAGCCTCCATAGAAGCGTTCAAGCATCCGTCTCGGCGCCAGCCTGTTCCTAAGCCGGTGCTTCCACGCGCCCATGTTCAACAGCAGATGAGGGGCCTTGCCTGATTAATCCGTGTGACTAGAGCTGGCCTTGCTGCCCTGGGGTCTGGGCACACTCCCCCAACAGCAGCATCCCCCAGTCTCATCACAGCTGTCCTCCACTTGATTATATTGCAGCCACACAATGGACCCAACCCAGCCAAGGCCAGGTCCCACACTCTGTGGACATTCCTAGGAAGATCACCTTGGAGCCTGTCAGTCCCCCTGGCAGGGCCTGCCTTGCTCCCAGTCCACTGCCCCGTCCTCACCAACTCACCAGTCACGCAGCCGTGCCCCGCCACCATCACAGTCTGGCGGTAAACCACCCACAGCCACACTTCCGGTCAGCCGGTTCCGCAGGCAGCCGTATTACGGTGGAGAGCGCTGCTCAGCAAGTCGGAAGCCCAGGTTTCAGACCCCACCGTTCGTTAGTGGGTGGCATTCTGAGTGGAAACTGTTTCAAATTTTATTTTCTTCCCTTGAAAAAAATGAAATAACAGCACCTACCAACAGAGATGTCCTCAGCGTCGAGTGAATATATTTGAAAACGCTATGTAAAGTACAAGATGCTATAAAACTTAAGGTTTTGTTTTTTCAGTCGTCCAGAAGTAAAGATGTAGAATTCCTATTATTGGAATCTAGGCTCTCAATAATAATTTGTTAAATAATCGTGTGAATGCATGTAACTTTTATTTCCTTTTTTTCTTAAATAAAAGCTATAGGCTGTGCATGGTGGCTCACGCCTGTAATCCCAGCACTTTGGGAGGCCAAGGTGGGCAGATCATGAGGTCAGGAGATCGAGACCATCCTGGCTAACACGGTGAAACACCGTCTATATTAAAAATACAAAAAGTTAGCCAGGCATGGTGGCACACACCTGTAGTCCCAGCTACTCAGGAGGCTGAGGCAGGAGAATCGCTTGAACCCGGGAGGCGGAGGTTGCAGTGAGCTGAGATTGCACCACTACACTCCAGCCTGGGCTACAGAGCGAGACTCTGTCTCAAAAAAAAAAAAAAAAAAAACTATAAATCAGATGAAAGTATACATTAATCAGAGAGAGCTCTATCTACCTAGGATCCTAATAGTGATGTACATTTGTTTGTTTGTTTGAGACAGGGTCTCATTTTGTCACCCAGGCTGGAGTGCAGTGGCGCAATCTGGGCTCACAGCAGTCTCAACCTCCTGGGCTCAAGCAATCCTCCTGCCTCAACCTGCCAAGTAGCTGGAATTATAGGCACACACCACCACGTCCAGCTAATTTGTGTATGTTTTGTAGAGATGGGGTTTCACCATGTTACCCAGGCTGGTCTCAAACTCCTGAGCTCAAGTGATCCACCCACCTCAGCCTCCCAAAGTGCTAGGATAACAGCCATGAGCCACTGTGCCTGGCCTTAAATTTTTTAATAAATAACTTCTTACATACTTATGGCAACTGTTCCTTCCTCTAAAGCCCCACTATCAAGATCTATTGAAGGCCCCTCACAACACTCTCATGATTTATTTTTAAGGCCATTACCTCCTCGCTGGTCTCCCTGGCTCCTGCTGGGCTTGATGAGGCACGCAGCCAGGGGAGGCAGCCAGGCTTGTGAGCCATGAGTCTCAATAAACCTGAGTAACAGATGGAGGCAGGTTCTGGTCGAGGCTGAAGCCAGCCAAGGAAGTGGCCGAGGAAAGGAATGCCAAGTCATGAGGCTGAGATCAGGCTGGGTGAGGAGATAACCAGGCACATCCGAGCTGAGGGAGAAATCAGAATGGGAGGTGATGGACAGAAGGTGGGGTTGAGCAGTTGTGGGGAACTGAGGCAGAACAGAGGGTACCAGTTTCCCAGGCCATGGTGTAAGGCCAAATTGTATCAGCCTCAGTCTGACGCTTTTGAAGACCTTCGCTCCACCTTTCCCCAAGGCTAAAAATTGTCTGCCTTTTGCAGGTGGTCAGCCAGCAGCCCTCCGACATCATGGGTCTGCCCTACAGTCTGTTCTATGTTCAACTCACCCTCTTAGGGTCTACTTTGCTTACATTCCACTTTTGTGCCAAAGCTTCCAATGTCTTGCCCCAGCCTCTTATACAAATTCCATTCCCCTCACCTGAGTGCTCGGGGTTTACACATCTGGCCCCTGATGACCTATCGGCATTTCATCCTACGGAGTACCATGTCTTCTGCTCCAGGCATCCATCCTCCAAATCATCTGACCCCTTCCCATTCCCATGCTTGTTTACACCATCCCTCCCGTCTGGAAAGCCATTTACCTTCTCTATGCCTCACTAGATTCCATGTGTTCCTCAAGACTGTCAAAGAAAAATCAGAGTTAAAGTGATTAAAAGAATTCATTCAAGACTATTACTATAGGGAAAAGATAGCTCAGTATAGAGCTGGGCTCAATTCTGAACACAGTGTGGGCAACTCAGAATTTATAGCCGAGGAGCAGGGTGGGGGTTGGTGGATGGAAAATGACTAAGAGGAGACATCAAGGGTAAGGGAGACTCTGGCTAAACAAGACTCTTGCTGAAGATAGATGCCAGGGTGATCAGACATTACCTGGGGATGGTAAAGGAACCCAATCAGATATGGAAGGGGATTAGATATGGAGGGTGGGGGGTTTTGGCTAAACCAATTTAGCAGAGTTTTTGTTCAACTTGATTTTACAAGGAAGTGTACAGATGGACTTAGGGAAAGAAGATTTAAGAGCCTCACTAATGTTTGGTCAAGCAAAGAATTTTTGTCAAGACACAATGCAAACCCCTCCTCCTCGGTGAAGCATTCCAGAATTGCTGGACATACAATTGTTGATTCTCTGAATCTCTATAGCTCCAATCCTGTTGTCAGTTTGGGATAAATGTCACTTATAGGAGATTGTCGCATGGTTATCTTTTCTTATTTGTATTATTTATATCAGTGAAAATCTTGTATCTCTCAAGTACCCAGGAATGGTGCCCCATTTATAGCAACCTTCAATAAATATCTATTAATTGGTCTATTGAAATTGTTGGCTTTACCCTTCCTTCTATCTGGCCTCAGAGAGAGAATTCTAAGGCAGGAGACAGCAAAGTAATGAAACTCAACACACTCTGGAATCAGACTACCAAGTTTCAAATCTTGGTGTCACTGCTTACTTACCACCTGTGTGACCTCAGGAAATTACTTAACCTCTGTATGCCTAAACCCCACCCATAGAGTTGCTATGATACCTAAATAAACTAACCCACATAAAGTACTTATATTCTTACCAACATGCAGTAAACACTTAATAAAAGATGCTATTATTATTAAGGTAAGGTTTAAAAATACATTTGATGTTTGAGAGTTTTGTATCTTTTATTTGGAGTTGTACTATGAGCTGAAAGAACCTATAAAAATGTGAATAATTAAATTTATCACGTCTCTTTGAATGCCTGAATCAACTCAAAATGTTTTTCTTGCATATGGACTGATATTGTGCAATTTCTCAAGGCTCATTAAACATATTTTGGTTGACTCTCCAGAGTTCAGTGTAAGTTTTACAGTCTCAGAATCTATAAATGAACTAAAGTCTTCTGATTCAACAAAAGAAGCTATGAGAGACATGGAGGAAGGGGGAAGCAAATCTGCCTTTCCACTATCCTTCAATTGTTCACACTCCCCAAAATGGGGTTTGATCATTTTTAATAACGAAAATGTTGCCATAGACCAATTCAAAATCGATTTATTAAAATTGACAGGTTATCCAATCCTTTACCATAAAAGGATGTACCCACACTGTCTGCAAGCTCTTCTCCAAGAAACCTGTGGTTGCAAATGCCTTCCTAGAATGCTATCAATTTAAATGATTGAAAAAAACAACACATAATAAGTGACAGATTTTTCAAATCAGATAAAGATGGGAACTAGATTATCTGTCTGGGGGTGATTGATAGATTGCAGCAATAATAAATTCACTTGAAGACACTGGATCAATTTTTAATCAAGCCAAGAATTATTATTGCAGAAAGATAAAATGACCCATGAGAAGATGCCTTAATTTTCCACCAATCAAATTATAGCCTTTCTAAATAAGATGTAATGAGATCCATGGAATATCCAGGTTACACATCCCACCTAATTACCCATGTTCCCTGTCATGTAGTGATATAGTAGTGGTAAACTGACCTCTGAATTTGCCCAGATGCAAAGGTAATTAGTTTTTCCACCAGGCTCTAGTGAAAATAACAGCAGTGACACATGTCATCTCCTTCTACCAAGTCACAGTCTCCGAGGTGTTTGTTCTTAAAATATACAGGATATGACCTACTGGGTAATAAACTACACAGTCATTAAGTGAAGCTTGTGTCTGACAGAAAAACAGCCGCCATCCCTAAGTTGAGAAAAAAGGGCCTGGAGGTGAAGCAAATCAGTCTACACTTGACATTAAACTTTATCAGCAGGGAATGAAGCCCCCTCTCGCCCTCCCACAGGAACCACCAATCAGGAAATGGAGCTTGTGATTACCGACTATTGTGAAGACCCTTGTGAAGAGGCCAAGTTCACGTGCTTCATGTGCTCCCTTGCTCCCTCCACCCTTTCAGGCTAAAACACCTCGATTTGGGGTGTCTCCCAACTCAATTTCCTTTCCTCATCCAAAGGCTACTACTGAGAAAGAGCATCCGTGTAAATCTAGGTATTCCCCTGGGAGAACCCCCATTGCACCGGTCACCATTCATGCATTCATTCAACAAACACCCACCATTGAGAGCAGACATGACTCCTTTCCTTTCTTCAATTCTTGAAACAGATCATCTCACCAACCTGGGTCAAACTTCATCAAATGTATTCATTCTTCTTCTCTGTTGTGAAATATATAACCAAGCCCTTCTGGCATAAGGATTGCCTATATTTATCAGTCATTCAGCTTATCACTTCTTACAATCCACTCTTAATCTTTGACTAATGCTTGTGTGCCCCTGTAAAGAGACCACTGGTAAATTAGTGGCCCAGAGTCATGTTTAGGCATCCATTGTTAATGGCAATCAGCTACTGATTTGAAATGAGGTCTCTTTAATTTATTCCTGTCATTAAATCTTTTGAAGAACTGCTGACATTTCACCAAGAGGATGCAAATTGCAAAGATCTTGCATTTTCAAACACAGTGCAAGGCTACCCCAGAGTTTCCCATTTGATAGCTCTCAAAGACGACATAAAATCTTTTAAGCTAAGGAACGGTAAACTTTCACAAGGCTTACTGTCCAGAACTCAATGAATGCATTTACTATGAGATTTTATTTTCCCCCAAAAGATGTTTGTCTAAGTTTTGTCTTTCTAATCACTACGTATACATTTAACCCATTTTTGGTAATGTGTGATCCTTCAAACCACCAAATTCAGGGCATGCTTAAAGTAAAGGAAAAATAACGGTTTAAAAAAAAGAAGACATTGCCAACTATCCTAATGTAACACAAGATGTCATTTCATTCAATTGCAGATCTCAGCACTGATAATCCCAAAATTTATTTAATAATAATAACGAACATAAATTAGTTTTGTTATTTTTTGTTATGTAAATATATTTCATACAACCAGGACTAATTTTTATCCCTTCTAAAATTCATGTTGAAGCCCTAATCCCCAGTGTGATAATATTAGGATATGGGGACCTTGGGAGGTAGATTTAGATGAGATCATGAAGGTAGGGGCCCCATGGTAGGATTATGCCCTTATAGAAAGAGAAAGAGACACCAGAGCCTTCTCTCTTTCTGCTATGTGAGAATACAGCCAGGAAGAGAGCCTTCACCAAGAACCAAAACTGCTGGCACCTTGATCTTGGACTTCCAAGCCTCCAGAACTGGAGAAATAAATGCCTGTTGTTTAAGCCACCCTGTCTATAGTATTCTGTTATAGCAGCTCAAATACATTATAAATATATTACATAACAGTTATGTTATACATTGTATTATACTTAATATATAATAATGTATAATGCGAAATAAAATCAACTAACACTCTTTCAGGCACTCTGTTAACAATTTTATATTCATTGTCTCAACCCAACAGCTCAAGAGGTAACTACTCTAATTTTACAGATGGAAGAATCAAGGCTTGAAGAGTACAGCTAAAATGCACAAGGTTTCACAAATAATGAGAACCCAGGCAATCTTCACACTTAACCACTAAAATACAAAGTGAGCTTTCTGGGAAATTGGTCAAGTTCATTTTCAGTTAGCCTTTAACTAGGATTATAATTCCTAGACAACAGTCACTGCTATGATATCCCACTAGTGATTTCTCCCCCATTTTTATGATATCTTAGCTCTGGATATTACTGCCTCCTCCAAGCACTCTATCTTAGAAATAATTGGCTCAAGCACAAAGAGAGTTATTCTCAAATTAATGAATTCCAGCAATTCATCGTTTTGCTACCTCTTCCTTGCTAATTTATTAATAAGAATTACAATGAAATTGGCATGCTGTATAAATTCTTCCATATTCTCTTTACCTTAAAATATCATCCCTGTTGGTCTCAAAAGGTGATGCATTAAGATTTATGGTTTATTACCAGTAACATAGCTATAGCCAATTGACCATAAAAGCCAACTATTTTTAAGTAATTCAAAATGCCCATTGTAGTGAATGGAATATTTGCCTGAATATATTTTTGGAATGTTAATATTTTCAAATATTCCTTTTTATTCTCTGTATTAATTATCTGGATATAGGCAAGCAGCTCATTAATTCAACAGTAAATACTATCACAAATCTATATCTTCTATCAGTGAAAATTCTATTAAATGGTACAGCATTACAAATCTATTGAGTCTCATTATCTAAACAAGTTAATATAAAAATAGTTTTGTCATTCTTATGTGTTGATATGGCCAAAAAGACTTTATATCAACCAACGATTTTCTACACATCACTTTTATTGACTGTCTTCCTATTCTTAAAGTAAGGAAAACATTCCTTCATAGGATGACCAGCCACCCCAGCTTGCCCAAGCCTGTCCTGGTTTTAACACTGAACATTCTGTATCGCAGGAAACGCCTCCGTCCCAGGCTTTTCCTAAATCTTCCTTCAGCCACTCTCCCCAGAGTTAATCCATTTTAATACCATAAGTCTATTCTTAAAATGTGTTGAAAGCAACATTGATACACATTGCAAGAGGCTTTTTCCAAAATGGTATGATTCCCAATATGTACAGCTCTGAAGAAATTGTTTCCAGCACACAGATCAACACAACAGAACCTGCTAGCCAAGACCCTGGATACTGAGTGCCTTTCACCTGAAAACTAAGACAGGATGACAGCAGTGAAAAGAATTCAAACTTGTTCAGACACACCCCTCTTTAACTCAAGAAAGTCCGATGAAGGAAGGTTTTAGCCTGTCACCAAGAAAGTAAAAGTAGAAAGATATTCATATTTGGAGTGAGAAAAGATAAAACAAATTTAGTACTGAATAAGGTGAATTTGAGGTATCTTCAGGAGAGTCAAACAGATATATCCAGTAGATATTCATATATAAGGCTCTAGGGCTGAGATGAGATGTTGGGCTCGAAAGATGGGTTTAAGGATTATTGGATTATAGGTGCAAGTTGAAGTGGATGAGAAGAAGTGGATTGGACAAGAAGATCTGGGGAGACTAAATGAGAAAGACGGGGCAGATGATGTATATCTCACCTAATTTCTTGAATCATATTGGTTCTTAAACTGCCTGACCCTGGATTCTACTCAACTGATTTCCTGTATATTCACCTTGCTGAATTTGAATTTGAATTGGCTGGTTATTCTTCTGCTGGTTGGACCACCCTGAACCACTCCTGGGAGTCCAGTTTTTCTGACTTCCTCAAGGCATCCTCTCTGTAAGCATACTCTAAGGTTTGTCCTGGGAGCCCTGTAGTAGTTAAAGCTCATATTTGAGAAATTTTTTATTCCTCATTCCCTCTCTCTCTCTTTCTCTTTCTGTCTTTTTTTCTTTGTTTCAACAAATATCTATTGAGCACCAATCACAAGCCAGGCACTATTCCAGGTACTAGAAGCTATGAACCAGAAAGCACGGCATTACAACACATACTCAAAGGTTATATTTAACAGAAATGAGCTAATGTGTTATTTTTAGTGATTTTTCAATTTTGCTTTATTAAGAAAATAGTGGCAGAGCTGTTGACATCTCTTGAACTTGCTCTTCTAAAGAGAAGCTGAAGAGCACCATATGGCTACTGAAGGTGTAGATGTTCTTTCTAAGTCATTAAGCACTAAAGCATTGAATAAACATGAAATGTGTTGTTAACGGAAAACTCTAGAGTTTATAGCAAGCTCAAGTCTCAAAACTATACCAATGCAGCCCTCAGACCTCACTTTTTCCAATGTAACTATCCATTCATTCAGTACTCCTTAGAACAAAACTATACCATCCTTTATAACACCCACATTTCCCCCATTCAGTAGTTTGAAACCTGCTGTCTAGTGGCAATAAATGTTTCCATGGGCTATGGTGTAAAGGTCATTGGGAGGCTTTCTGTAATGTCTCTACTTGTTAAGGGAAGTTCACTGAGATAAGAAGGCATATGGTTGGCTCTTGTTGAGAAACCTAGGCCATTTGAATCATACAGTAGTAAATGTCTTCCTCACTTCCAAGAAGGAAAGAAAAATGATTCTTAATTAAATGTTTAATGTTTATTATAGCTAGAATAATAGTTTTAGGTCAAATTTATGATGCACTAGATTTGTACTTTTTATGTTATATAGACTTTATAGTTCATCGAAATTTCTTATATAATCAATGTGTATAGTATATTTGAGCCCATTTATATGACAGAGCTTAATTTTATTCTCTAAAATTATTACAAAGGTTTACAGCTGTCACATCTTTGCTTTTACGACATATTTTTACCACATCTATGGTTTATTTAATGGCAAGTCTTTGGTCAGGATTGCAATGCCCAATTATTATATTGTTCTTATGGGAAAATGTGACTGCTTTACAACACAATTTCCAGGAATGGATTGTGATGAAAGGCAAAGATTAATTGTGCCCTTGAAAGGAACAACTCAAGTGTGTATGTGCACGTGTGTGTGTGTGTGTTTTGCGTATGTAGAACCCCTCTCTAATCAAAACATATCACCAGGCACCCTCTTCCAACAGGCTTTGATGGACAGGCTCTGAACTTTTTTGAGATTTTTTGTTTGCACCAGTGGAACAGAGCTCACCTGAAAAATCCACAACTCCAAAGTTCAAGTCAGAGTCTTCAGTGTGACTCTGGATGTTCCTTGATATGCCTGATTCCTCAAATTTTACTTTATTTACTCCTGTACACATATGTTCCATTCTTCAGAAAAGATTCTCTTGGGGATACTATTTAATATACCTAGAAAATTGCATATGCAGCCATTTTTGAAATGAAAAGTGCCTGATATGGTTTGGCTGTGTCCCCACCCAAATCTCACCTTGAATTGTAATAATCCCCACATGTCAAGGGTGGGGCCAGGTGGAGATAATTGAACCATGGGGGCAGTTTCCTGCATACTGTTCTTGTGGTAGTGAATAAGTCTCATAAGATCTGATGGTTTTATAAATGGGAGTTCCCCTACACAAGCTCTCTTACTTGCCACCATGTAAGATGTGACTTTCCTCCTCATTCTCTTTCTGCCATGATTATGAGGCCTCCCCAACCACGTGGAACTGTGAGTCAATTAAACCTCTTTTCTTCATAAATTACACAGTCTCAGTATGTCTTTATTAGCAGCGTGAGAACAGACTAACATAGTGCCCTTCTCATTTGTTTAAAAAGATAATGTTTTTAAAATATGATAAATGAATGAGTAAATAATTGCAGATGTCTTGAAAGTTTGGGATATCTAATAAGAAAGAAAGGTGGAGAATTTCTGATCAGCTTCCACCACACCAATGCATTTGAAACATCAGAACAGGATTAGGCCAGGAAACTAAGTAAACTCACAGATAACTCATCCGTTCACATCCTGAATTTAAGCAACTTCTGTTCAGTACCACTTTTTGATGGTTCAAGCCCCAGGACATGGCTTGATTGGCAGTGGTAGCAGCAAAGTTCATGCCAGGAAATGTACCTGGAAGTAAGGGGGGAAGACCCCTGTCAGACCAAAATAACAGGTGCTGTGGTTCTAGTGGTAAGATTGGCTCGCTGGCCCAAGAATACAGGTGTGAAAGCTGGTGAATTATATTGGGGAAAATGGCAAGTATCCAGTCAGTATATCAGTTAGATTCAGCCTCAGCCAACAGAAACCACTCTAGCTAATTTCAGCACAAAGTGATTCATTACTAGGCATTAGGTAGCTTCAAACACCCATGCAGAGCTTCCAGGAATAATTCCCAATGTCCTGCCACAATGGAGGAAAATATCACCACTGCAGCCAGCAGGAAGGTGTGAGTGTAGAACATGGTACCCCTGATTTACACCAAAAAGTGAATGCCTCATACTCTGCCTCTCACTCCATCCTGCTCAGCTCTGAAACCTAGTCTTGTACATAGGTAGGACCAACATAGTACACAGAAACTGAACTCTAAGGGAGTTTTTTCAAGTAGCTTTTTGTTTTCCAGCATCTGTAGCACAAGAGGTTAGAATGATGAGATCACAGATGGGAAGGTTGGAGTCAATACTGGAAATCTGAATCAGCAACACAGCAAGGGAGAGTCAGGAACAAGGATAATATGCAAGAAAGAAGAAAACCTGTTCTTATCCAAGAAGGTGGGCTAGCCCAAGGGGGGAAAATCAAGGATGGGAATTTTCATAAGAAGCCAGGAATCAGGCATGGAGGGTATGTGATAGAGTCAACAACTGTAATTTCTCCCTAAGAGGAAAGGCTTACTAGCAGTCAAATATCATGTGTTTGTTTGTTTGTTAATCTAAATGGGCATATAAAAGCTTCCTAGTTTGATCCCTCACATCCTTTAAGGAGCCAAAGCTGAAGCAGGGAACGTTGGTTGGTGGTCAAACAAGAGGTGGTCTTAACTGAACCCCTAGCCATAGACTTGTTAATTCAAGTCATGGCATCTTCTTTAACCCTTTACAACCTGCCCTCCCTATGGGACAACCTGCTATGGCATTCAGGAAACAGACAGGGCTTGGCAGGTGGCAGAGGTTCCATCAAAGGGAAACTGAGGACAAAGTGGCTTGCTCATCCAGTGAAAAAGTTGGCTTCTGCTCTCTGCAATGTCAGCTGCAGCTGTCACTTCCTCAGGCTTCTCTCAGCAGTGTCTCACCTGCTGGACATTGAAAGGAGGTTGCCAGTCCCCAAACTGCAGAAATTGGAAACAGCCCAGACCTTCTTCGTGTGTGTACTCCCAGCCTTTATGAGCCAATGTTTTCACAACCATTCTCAATAAAACCTCACCAATCTGAGTTTAGGGAGCAGACCTCTGACACCAGTACACTCCAATGTTCTCTGAAGCCAGCTCTACTCTTGTATCCCAGGGGTCTGCCCAACGGACAATGATAAAACTGACAATGATAAAACAATGTTGCTGATATTCAAGGCATCTCTCCATATTGTATTTACTACAACCTTGGAATAGAGGTAGGAAAAATATGAGGATTCCCCTTTAAAGATGAGGAAACTGGGATTCAGCATAGATGAGGAATCTGCCCAAGGTATGTTAGTCCCAGACCAGACACCAGGCCCACTAATTACAGTGCCAGAGGTGACACCCTTCACTCTAAGCTAGAGCATCTGCTGTTTAGAGCCAGATCCCAGGAGCAAACAAAGAGGATTCGGAGGCCCACCCTGAGCCAGACCAGGTCTTCAGAAGTTAGAGTACTGAGCCTCCCCAAGAAACCTTGAAATGCTTCATCGCAAAGAAAACTTCTTAAGGCACATCAATCTTTTCTAGGTCATAGTTGGGCAAAATAATTTAACATAATTCTGAAAACAATTTTAGAATTGAATGGGAAAGAATGGGAAAGGGGAAGGGGAGAGAGTCTAATGGCAATTCCCAACTTTTTTTGGTGTCTACACCCTATTGAAGTCTGCCTGGCTTTAAGACCTTCTCCCATAGTGCTTTCCAAAGTGCTGGACAGATGTGCTGCTATGGTTTGAATAGGGTTTGTTTGGCTCCACCAAGTCTCATGGTGAAATCCGATCTCAGTGTTGGAGGTGGAGCCTGGTAGGAGGTGTTTGGGACTGGGGGTGGATTCCCCATGAATGTTGCAGTGCCCTTCTCTCAGGAGTGAGTGAGTTATCACTCACCGCTTCCATGAGAACTGGTTGTTGAGAGAGCCTGCCACTGGCCCCTGCCTGCTTCCTCTCTTTCCCTGTGGTCTCTGCACACACAGGCTCCCCTTTGTCTTCCTGCAGGAGTGGAAGCAGCCTGAGGGCCTCACCAGATGCCCAATCTTGAACCTTCCAGCCAGCAGAATTGTGAGTCAAATCAACCTTTTTTCTTTATAAATTACCCAGCCTCGGGCATTCCTTTATGGGAGCACAACAGACTGAGACACATCTTTCAATTTATTACTAATTTTGCTTTCAGAATTTCCCCACACTGCCTCAAGATAATTGAAGATGCTTTAGTAGAAGGCTTATATGATAAAGTGGGTAAAATAGGAAACCTATTGCCCTCAAACCCAAAACAGTCACTCAACATTTGTGGGCCCGAAGAAACTAGAAACCCATAAAAGATGAGCTTAAGGGCAAAAGGGGGAGGAAGAAAGTGAAAATAAAGTAGAAACACACACATTTTACCTTTAACAAACACATTACTATAGGAGAGAACTTGCTGGCTCTTCCATCCCAAATCAGCTTAATAATTTTAAGTGGTAACATTCATTGAGGGCACGTTTTGTGCCAGGCACTACTGCTAAGCCCTTGACATGCATTTCACTTGACAACACCCTGGGAAGAAATAAGTATTGTTCCCATTTTACAGAAAATAAAAATAAGAAGTGAAACTAAGTCGTGCTTATCAAATGTAATGTGTAAATGAATGATCTGAGGATCTTGATAAAATGCAAATTTTGAAGTCGGGCATAGTGGCTCACACCTGTAATCCCAGCACTTTTGGAGGCCTAGGCCAGCAGATTGCTTGAGTTAGGAGTTCAGACCAACCTGGCCAACATGATGAAACCCCATCTCTACTAAAATTACAAAAATTAGCCAGGTGGTAGCACACGCCTGTAATCCCAGCTATTCAGGAGGCTGAGGCATGAGAATCTCTTGAACCTGGGAGATGGAGGTTGCAGTGAGCAGAGATCGTGCCACTGCACTCCAGCCTCAGGGACAGAGCGAGACTCTGTCTAAAAAAAGAAAATGCAAATTTTGATTCAGTAGGTATGAATGGGACACCAACCCAGGACTTCAAGGTCCCAGGTAATATTGGTCCAAGGAATTAAGCAGCAAGGGATTAAGGAACTTGCCAAAGGTTAAACAGCTGGAAATGGTGGAAGCCAGATGCAAAATCATTAAGCCTATGTGTACCAACTATGCCACTGGTTCTCAAAGCGCAGTCCTGGGCCAGCAGCAGCAGCATTCCCTGAGAACTTGTTAGAAATGCACATTCTAGGGCCACACCCTAGATCTACTGAATCGGAAACTCTGGGGATGAGGTCCCGCAATCTGTGCTTTAACAAGCATGCTAGGAGAGTCCGATGCATGCTTCGATTTGAAACTACCTACACCATGCCGTGGTTCTGCTGGTTTTTGAAATCTTCCCTATCACTTTGCATTTGAGTCTTGGTATGTCTTTGGGGTTTTGACGTATTACAACCCCTGTGTGCTAATAACAATCAAGCAAAAGGTCGTTTCTTCAGATAAGGCTGAAAACATATTATCCCTATAACTAAAAATGCATTGCTTTTATCTTCTCCATACCAGAGGAGGATAGCAAAACAACTGATGCCGCCGATAAGATGGAATGCAAAGGAAGAACTTAACTGGCTTTCCAAATCAAATTGTTTATATGCTATGGGGTTATAAAGTATAACTGAGCTGCTGCAGGCATGTGCTTTATACCTAGGAAACGATCATTCTCCTAGGCCTAAGCACAGAACAGATTTCTATGAAGGAATGGAAATGTTTCCCCAGAAAATTCCCCAGCATGGCAACAACAATGATGCATCATTTCTTTTTCACATTCAGAACCACAGAACTCCAGTGCTTCCCCAAAGCAGGTCTCTGTGGCTGCCAGAAATAAAAAATATATATAACCCTAAAATAGAGACTAAATGCAAGTCAAAAAATGGAAGAAAAGATAAGCATAGTACCATTTTTCTACTTATTGAGCCAAAAATAATAGTATCCCATTCTGTTCAATTTATAGTCTACTTAAGACTCGCTTCGGTCCTTACTTTATCTGACCCAATACATTCATCCTCACTAAAGCCTCCACCCCATACTCACTCTGGCCAGACTCCAGTCAAGATATTTTATAAGTTGAAAGTGTGATAGGCTCTTGATGACAGCACATATTTTCCTGCATCTGCACTAAATTCAAACCATTCTTCACAGCCCTACTAGACATGAGCAAAGTTGCTTGTAGCCAGTAGGTGTCCTTTGATTACATTTTTAGAATAGCCCATGAATAAAATAGAGTTGGATTGCCAAAGAAAGCCAGTAACTAAATATGACAGTTTGAATATATCAGGAGAATTCTAACATTTTATCTGGAGAACAGTCTCCCCTGATGTCTTTGGAAATTATATGTTATATTCTGATTCCCGATTTTGGATAATCCAAGAGTTGCTTTAGGCATTGAAAGATACAAGAAAGCAACACAAAAGCACAGTAACACTTAGAGTAAATGAGCAAGCATGTGTGCATGAGCATGCACACAGACACCAGCACATGCACGCGCATGTGTGCGCACACACACACACACAAACACACACACACACCATGCAAGACCAGGAAAGAAAGCGTCAGTGGAAGAAAAAAACCAACCTCACAGTCTCTTGATATACAATCTTCTCTCCCTGAGTTTCAGCCTTTTCTCTAAAGCCCAAGCTTCCTCCATGGTTATCTTCAGATATTTAATTAATTTGCACCCACGTCCCCAGAACTCATTCCTTAACTTCCATCTGAGCCTGGCCCCAGAGAATCAAATACATATTCACACTCTCAGAAGCTGGAGATCTTACCATATTTAACAAGAAGCATCTCTGACAGTAATTGGAGTTTTGTATCAAGGTAAATAAATGGTAAGATCATAAGAACATACTCCAGTGGCCCTGTGCATCCTGGAAATGCTAACATCAGAGAGCAAATTTAACATAAGGCCTCGGTGGAGATGAATTTTCTATAAACAAACAATGTGAAGAAAGCCTCACTTTTGTCATGTGTTATTCCCATTGAAGAAAAGATGAATATTCTGTTTCATATGTTTGTTTGTTATATGTTTGTTACCAGAAGCTGCTGCTTCATTTATTTAATAGGAGATTTTTCACTTCCTCACTGTGTAGACTAAGTTATCATCATATCTTGGCCAGCAGTGGCTTTTAATGCAAATTGTCCAAATTATTAAATGTGCTGTGATGTTAACACTTCAAAAGTGAGTCAGTTTAAAGGTAGCTTTTTTCTTTTATCCACATTGAATAAAGGACCCAGCTTTCTCTAAGGACTAGAAAGCTTTCTCTTAAGACAGGGTTTCTCAACCTCGGCACTCTTGGTATTTGGGGCTGAATGATTTTTTTATCTTGGGCTGTTTAGACAGAATAGTAGCCCCCACAAATTTGTCCCTGGAATCTGTGAATGTCACATCACATGGCGAAAGAAATTCAAGTTTGCAGATGGAACTAAGGAGGCTAATCCTTAAAATAGGGAAGTTATCCTGGATTACCTGGGTTGGCCCAATGTAATCACAGTGGCCCTTAGACATGCAAGAAGGAGGCATAACAGATGGTCAGAGAAATGTGATCATGGAAGAGGCAGGAGAGATTTGAAGCACGAAAGGGACTGGACTCAGGATTGCTGGTTTTGAATATGGGGGCGGGGGCCCCAAGGCAAGGAACGCGGGCAGTCTCTAGAAGCTGGAAATGGCAAGGGAATGAATCCTCCCCTAGAGCCTCCAAAAAAAGGGAGTCTTGCTGACACCTTGATTTTAGCCTGGTGAGCCCCATGTCAGACTTCTGACCAATAGAAGTAGAAGATAACAAACCTGTTTTGTTGTAAGCCACTAAGTGTGTGGTAATTTGTTATGGCAGCAATCATTAAAGACATCCTTGTGTTTAAAAATGAATCGGGGCTCTCCTGTGCATTGTAGAGTGTTTAGAAGCATCCATAGACTCTACTTGCTAGATGCCAGTAGCACCCTCCCCCTGGTTATGACAATCAAAAAAATGTCCCAGACATTGCCAAGTGCCCCCTGGGAGGTGGGGTTTACAGGGGCAATCACCCCCAGAGAACCACTCCCTACGACTACCAGCCTTATTTATTTTCAGGATTATATTCTCTTCTAACCATTAGGACATAAATACATACTCAACCTCAAACTTTTGGGTCAAATCATTTTAATATTCAAATATAGTGCAAAAAAAGTTATTTATATTTTGAAAAATATTAAAGAAATAGTTAAACAGAAAAAATATTATATCATTCATGATTACACTAGAAAAAATGAGCCTTGCTCTACAGGAAGGCAAGAGAGAAGGTGTGAAAGATACATGGTTAAGGTCAGCTCCAAGTAGGCAGTTGGCCCATTACCAATAATGATAAAAATAATAACTTTAATAAAAATAACTAAGGGCTTAATATCTATTACTTCATTTAATCTCCAAAACTATTAATATCCCCATTGTGAACCATAACTCAGGGGTGCTGAGACATTCTAGTCGTTTGCAAGTTACTATAGCCTTTACTTCAGAGGTGGAGATGGGGTGATCTTGCTATCTAGGGTCAGAAAAGATGGAGTGGTCATTCTAGGAAAGGAGGTCCACCTCGCCCCTGTGTGTACTGAATGTTCTATAAATATTTGGAGGTTGATGGGAGAGTGATGAGACCCACACACACAAATGTCAGAAAGCAGCTGTTTGTCTCAGTCTATTCAAATACTAAGACTCTCCCTATTTAACTGGGTATTCTAACAAAAACACACACAGAGAGACCTTGGGAAATTCTTTAAATGAGAATTAACTATGAAAACTCATGATGATTCCTTAAAGTCAAGGTTATTCCCTTCTCCCCCACTAAACCCATGTTACTGTTATCCCTGGATCAGCCCCAGGAGCTTTTAAAAATTGTGTCATGGCTGAGGGCAGTGGCTCACACCTGTAATCCCAACACTTCGGGAGGCCAAGATGAGAGGACTGCTTGAGCCCAGCAGTTACGAGACCAGCCTGTACAACATGGTAAGACCCCATCTCTACAAAAAAAAAAATTTTTAATTAGCCAGATGTGGTGGCAAATGCCTATAGTCCCAGCTACTCAGGATGCTGAGGGAGGAGGATCACTTGAACCCAGCAGGTCAGGGCTGCAGTGAGTCATGATCATGCCACTGCACTCTAGCCTGAGCAATAGAGCAAGACCCTGTCTCAAAAAAGAAGAAAAAATTAATGTGTCGCAGGGACATGCAAGCAAGATATCTAGAGGAAATCTCCATCATCATCTGTTCCCTGACACTGAACAGTCCTTAACTTCACAGACTACATGTTCCTTTGGTCTTCCATCATCACTCTCTTAATATTGAACAAATGGTTTACCACAGACCCAGCTTGGAACTTGTTCATGGTCCCACTTATGCCGAGAGCTTTCCAAATGACCCATCGGCCTTTCCCATCCCTAGACACCCTTTTGAATGGCCAAAGAGTCAAGCTCAGATATGGACCAGTTCTTTCTTCGGCTCTCTTGGAGCATGGCCCGTCTCTGTAGAGCCACCTCAATAAAGAATTATTCACTGGATGAACTGCAAATCCCAAGTCTTCCTGATGTTGCCTTATAGGAACAGCTGTTTTGATATGTGTTTCTTTCATTTGTGGGAGATTCAGAAAGGGACATGGATGACCTGGGGAAGGTGGAGAGCGAAAGCAACTGCAAGGACAGCCAGTAATCCTGCCTGCAGTGGACAGTAACTACATCACATCCACATTATCCATAAAGGACCATTCTGCCAACGCAGATTATTTTCTTTTCCAGCTTTGCAATATCTGGTTCACTTTAGTATCATATTAAATGTAAGAAATCAATGCTAGACCCTTTGCCTTTGCAGAGTCCAATGTCAGGAATATTTCTTGCTGCTTTACCTGAATTTCCCTTTCCTCTGCTTTTTAATTTTTTTTAAATCTTGCTCCAGGAGGTAATAAGCCCCAGGGTAAGGAGACAGAAAGGCAACACTGCATCAGAAAACATTTGGATTATATTTTATCGACGTCATACTAACAGCACCCGCAAAATGAAAGGTAATTAATTAAATGGATTGTATGATGAAGCGGTTTATTGCCTTACACGGAGCTAAAGAATTGAATGCCAAACCATTTCTAACATCCAGTCAGTAATTAGGGAAAATAAAATGCAACTTCACATTGAGCAAAAGCACCTAAACTGCTGCTGGGATGACAGGCCCCACCAGAAACTCGTTTCAGTGGCTGGAAAGCCAGTCTGCCACCCAGTCTCGATGCGTTTTCAGCAGGACCAGCACTGATTGTTCAGCAGTAAGTTCTGCTATAGGCATCAAAATGACAGGAAGGAAATGCAGGGCAAGAGGGGCATAAGACCTCACTAAGAACTAGAACACTGCGAAATTGGGAGGTTCCATAGCCTTCACCTTTGGATCTTTTCAAGCTAAGCTAACAGGTCCTAGGTGGGCCCTGCAGGGGCCATTGCTATAGTTCACTGGGGCTAACGGGAAGAGAAAAGAAAAGAGCTAGAGGCAACCTTTCTGTCCCCATTTTACAGACAGAAACTCAAACCTATGCTAAAGATGGATTGTTGATTATTTTTATTCCTGGAAAAAGGAAAAAAATTAAAAGTAGGGTCAACTGTCTGGGGGAAGTTCATTCAACAAACATTTATTTAGTACTTCCCATGTGAAAATGAGGCCAAAAAATTGACAACAACGTGTAGAACATGATCCCTTTGTTGAAGTAAATAGATATTTACACAAGTAACTACAATACAACTCAGAATTAAATGCTTGCTACAAGAGAGGTACAACCAAGTGCTCCCATGCCACCCACAATGATTTAGGGATCAGGAAAGGTTTCGGGAAAGCCACAGAAATTGAGCTGAGCCTTTTAGTCTGACAAGGATTATAACTGAGAAAGAGGACATAGAAGGGCACCCCAAGCTGGGAGCACAGCTGGAAGCAAAGACTCAGCAATGCAGGTGGACACAGCACATCTGGGAAGCAGATAATGCTCCCTCTGGACTAGAAGGAAAAGTGAAAAAGGAAAATGATGCTCCCTGATGTATATTTCAAGCAAGCAACTAAAGCTATGCTGGCACATAGTGGGCACCCAATCAACAGTTTTTGAGCATATAGTGTGCACTCAATAGTGGGCAACACACCCAAGGTGACCTCCAATGAGTCACACCCCCGCAAAATTCTCTCTCCTTGTGTTTGAGTGGAACCTGTGACTTGTTTCTGATCCACAGAATATGCTACAGGTGACAGGATGTCACTCCCTTTATTAGGTTACATTATAAGTCTCAGGCTATTATGCCTATGATCATCCTATAAGCCTATGCCTTAGGCTATTATGCCTATGATAGGCTATCATAGGCTATTATGCCTATGATAGGCTATCATAGGCTATTATACCTATGATCATCCTATATGCCTATGATCATCTGATGCCTATGATTATCAGACAGGAGACAGAGGTTCCTTTGCTGGCTTTGAAGAAGTAAGCTGCCATGTTATAAAAGGGCTGTAGCACAAGGAACTGCCTCCAGGCAACAGAAAAGAAGAAAAGAAGATGAATTCTGCCCACAACAAGAAAAGAAGATGAATTCTGCCCACAATCTTAAATGGAGCACGTAAGCAGTTATTTCCCCAACAAAACCTTGGATGAGACCATGGCCCCAGCCAACACCTGTATTAACGTCTGGTGAGCCCCTAACACAAAACCCAGATAAGCCTTGCCTGCACTCCCAGCCCGCAGAAACTGTGACATAATAAAGGGGTGTTTTTTCAAGCCACTAAATTCATGGTAATGTTTTATGCTGCATAGAAAACTAATACATTGGGTAAATAAACATTGAAAAGGGTTGACATTCAAAATCAGAGCAGAGAAGGCATTGGAATCATGCTAGAGAAATGGAATTCCTTCAAGGAAGAGTAGTTATAAAGTATGGCACAATACTCTGTTTTCTTTTTGACAACTACAGATGCCTTATTAAACAAGCTAACATCTGTAAAGTGCTCAGATGATGCCTGGAACATCATGAATGCCATAAGTATTAACTTACTATTGTTGTTACTGCTGTTATCATTATTTCTTGCCATGAAGACATTTCCTCAAGAGAAATAAGTTGCTCTCCTTAGAAACACCACTCTCCTAGGATGTGGAGAAATAGGAATGCTTTTACACCGTTGGCGGGAGTGTAAATTAGTTCAACCATTGTGGAAGACAGAGTGGCGATTCCTCAAAGATCTAGAACTAGAAATACCATTTGACCCAGCAATCCCATTACTGGGTATATACCCAAAGGATTATAAATCATTCTACTAGAAAGACACATGCACACATACGTTTATTGCAGCACTGTTCACAACAGCAAAGACTTGGAACCAACCCAAATGCCCATCAATGATAGACTAAAGAAAATGTGGTACATATACACCATGGAATACTATGCAGTCATAAAAAAGGATAAGTTCACGTCCTTTGCAGGGACATGGATGAAGCTGGAAACCATCATTCTCAGCAAAGTAACACAGGAACAGAAAACCAAACACTGCATGTTCTCATTCATAAGTGGGAGTTGAACAATGAGAACATATGGGCACAGGGAGGGGAACATCACACAACAGGGCCTGTCAGGGGCTGGGGGGCTGGGGGAGGGATAGCATTAGGAGAAATATCTAATGTAGATGATGGGTTGATGGGTGCAGCAACAATACACATAGTATACACATAGGCACATGTATACATATGTAACAAACCTGTACATTCTGCACATGTATCCCAGAACTTAAAGTATAATAAATAAAAAAAAAGAAACACTGCTCTCCTTAGGTCTTAAGCTTTTGAGAACTTTGAGAATCCAAAGAAAATTACGTACTAACCACCATTGAGAAAAATGTGCAATTCAATGTGTGTGTGTAGATATATATATATACGTGTGTGTGTGTGTGTGTGTGTGTACACAACATTTTGCCTACAGTTTCAAGGGGCGCTCAGATGAGAACCAATGTCCTAAAAGAATATGGAGAATGTGACACATTAAGGTAGGAGGGAGAACCCCCTGAAAACCTCAAGAGACAGTATGTTTCAGACCTCTGATTTTGCCCTCCTCTCTGATGCCAAAACGTTTTGACTGTCTTCCTTGGCCAGTACCAGTTTTAAGTTTAAATACCACGGAACACTGTCCAATCAGGTGTTGTTTCCAAGGTAGAGATTATCCTCACTCTCAGCTCTTTTAAGTAATGAATGATGGATGCCTCATGCCTCCAGACTCATCACTGGTAAGACCTACAACACACCTGGTCTTCCAAAGCCAACCACAGCAAATTCTCCCCAGGCTTCCTACATATCCTATGGGCCATCTACGGAGTCTAGCAAGGCCGTGTCAATAGCCCCGTGAGTTCCACCCTTCTCATGAGGCACTGCTATGTCTCAGCTCTGGTGAAGATGGCAAATGAAAACTAAGGAGTTAGCTCAATCTCATAAGAGTCCACAGCACACAGTTGTGGTCAAAGTCTCCCATGCTACAATGAATGTATTCATGTTAGTCCAGTTATAAATGCAAGTGTCAGAGGTCACCTGATTCAGTTTATCTGTTTCAGTTGACAAGGTTGTATTCCTGGGATTGCAAGGCATTTCCAATTAAACTAGAATTTTAGCTTCCTGCCTGGGAAAGTTTTTTTAATGGACATGGAAATATGATGAACAATCATGTGGACCAATGAACAAAATATAAAGTGCATGGAATTAGTGAAAAGTGAAACTCATGCTTCCATTAACACATTCTATTCAGTCATTTGAAATACATATTATATATGTGTATATATGTATGTATGTATGTATGTTACATTCACACAGTGGCTTGAAATTAATAATCAAATTTGCACGTCATTTTTAATTAAATCCACATCTTTCCTGTCTCCCAGCTGTTGGCCCAGTGTTTATGTGGACCACATCTGGCAGCCCTCAGCATTCTCCACAGTCACCCGTCCTCTCTGTCCCCAGATACACCTGCTTTCTGCAGCTGGTCCACCAACAGGTGCAGCGGAAAGCCTGGTTGATGGGCATTATAAACACTCCTGCTGTTGAGCATATGCGAGGTTACAAAGGGCCCAATTCTAACTTCAGTGTTTCTTCCTCCAGGAGAAGTAAAAAACACCCTGTGTGATCTGAACATGCTGGAGTCTCCATCAGTCACTTTCCCACCCTGGGAAGAAATGCTTTGGGTCAACTTGGTGTTAACAGCTGTGCCACCTTCCAGGTTATTAGCAAAGGAAGAGAGAGCTGGGCCTTGGTCATTCTTAGTTTGTCTGAGATTCTAGGCCCTCAGCCAGTGGCCTGGACACTCCATCTCCATTTGCCCTAATGAACAAGGTACAGTTCCCCTCATGGTCCCCCAGTTTGTGACCATTAACCACCTGGATTTGATTGGGGAGCCAGCCAACCAAAGCGTCCCACAGCACTGCCAAATGAAAAACATGTGGGAGCAACACATATTGTGAGAATTACTATTTTGCAATTCCTTGTTGATAGAGTGGTAGGTATTTCAAAGTAAGAAAAGTTCAGAATAATCTTCAGGGTCTTTTGGATTTGGTTTGGTTATTTCCTAGACCCTGAAGTTTGGAAAGGGGTTCAGATGATTTTTCCTGTGATTATCTGAAAAATATCTCACCCTATAAGGAAGCATCCATGCAATTAGTCCAGATATAAATACAGGCTCTAAAACTATGCTCCGTAGCACCCAGGTTAATGGACTAATGCAATAAAGCAATAGGTTACAATAAGAAATTCCAATACAATTAAAACCATAAAGCTAATGATGATCTATTTCAAATGAAGCTCTAGGTAAAAATAAAGCACTAAAAGTCACTTATTCATTAAACAGTTTTGGTTCCACTCGCAGAAGTTCACAGAGGGCATTAGTCATCTAAAGCACAAGATGCACTGGAAGTTAAAATACATAAAAATGGCCTCCATCCCGCTTTTTATTTCTGCGTTCTCACCTTCATGCCAATGGACTACTCCCCACGTGCCTGTAAGGCAGAGTTCAAGCACCACTTCATTAGAAACTTCTTGTAGTTTTGTGTATCTGCATTCCAAGCCACTATACACAGCCCAGGAATTAAGTTGGTCACCTGAGATGCAGAGGCTAAGTCAAGATCCAGATTACTGTTAGCTGCAGTGATGGCCCCCACTTGCTTGAAAACACTATTGCATCACACTGTGATCTTTAAAGGACCTTAGGCTTCATGCGGGGACTCATGCCTGTAATCTCAGCACTTTGGAAGGCCGAGGCAGGCAGATTCCTTAAGACTAGGAGTTTAAGACCAGCCTGGGCAACATGGCAAAACCCCATCTGCATAAAAAATACAAAAACACTAGCCAGGAGTGGTGGTGTGCACCTGTGGTCCCAGCTACCCAGGAGGCTGAGGTGGGAGGATCACTGAGTTCAGGGAGGTTGAAGCTGCAGTGAGCCATGATCATACCACTGTACTCCAGCCTGGGCAACAGAGTGAGACCCCACCCCACCCCACCCCCCAAAAAGGACTTGAGTTTTCCCCAAGTAGTTCTGATTACCCTGGGTAAATCTAGTCCCCGCATGAAATGACAATTCCATTTCAGCTTCTGTCATTTGTGTAAAAACCGTTTTATTCTTCTTGTGGCTTTCTTCCACTCAGAACTTCTTTCTACTATTGCTGCAAATTGAAAGAGGTAGACGCTGGAGATGAAGGGACCTACCCATCATCAAAACACTTGAGAGTTATGTTCAAAGAGCAAGAGATAGAAGTTCAAGAATGAGTCTATGATATTTCTAAAGGCAATACGCTCATGAAGGAGGAAAATGAGGTTCTACATTCTTAGTGTCTGTTGCCTGTGTCTCTGGGTATAAAAGACCAAAAAAAGACAACCACATCCAATTGGAGCTTTCAGCAGAACATATCCATTGGCAAGTGAAAACTCCATATGTGGTTTTCCTTTGATAAAGTGGTTTGTAATTCTTGTCTTTTATAGATATTATCCACCTAAAACCTTAATGCTTTGACAAGAAACTCATGGGGGGAAAAATGCTGCTTGCTCTCTTCTCCTTGTCTGTGTTGTGAGTCAAAGACAAAGATAAAGATGTTACCAGAAACTGGATTCATACATTTAGCCAATGTGTTGAGACTAGGAAGACCAGAAAGCAAGAGCTGCTTCCATGTTATTCTCGCTGTCATGGGTCCATTGCTGCTACGCTGGGTTTTGTCTCTTATGGCTCCAGATGCACTCGCCACCTTTCCCCTCCCTCCTCTGTGCCACAAGAGCCTGACGTACATGGGCTACACTTGGGGCTCCCTGCCCCACTAGCTTCTGATTGGCTTGGCTTGCAGAGACACTAACAGGAGGTGGAGAGGGAAAGCAAAGTGGTTATTCTCTTCCACTTCTTCCTGCCACGTGCCTCTGGATTGGCTGTGTGTTCTAATCAGGTACCCGGGATTTATTTTAATCAGGTGTGGTTAAGGCATGCAGGCACGGAAATAATTGTTGTGACAGAAGTGTTTATACTCACAGCTCCCTAGAAACCACAGATGTGGCAGGCCATAAAGGAGAGTTATATGAGAAAGCACCAGGGTCACTGAGGAGCCAGAGAGAGCTGGGGACACATGGGCAAGAGTTTTCATTGTGGTTTCCACTGGAAGGCTCAGGAGAGGCAAGGTGAGCAAGTTTAGAATGGGCTCATTTGAATAATTTCAGTGGGCTCTGGGGCATAGGAGCCATTCCTAGTTGTCTGGTACCTGGCCCTAGAGTAATCATGTGAGGGGGATGGTGGCCTGGAGTGTAAAAGCCCAGTAAAGGGGGTGGTTGGAGTTTGGGCTCTGGATGGGTTGGTTTGCATAGAGAAGATGTACTCCCTGTTGAATTGCTTGCCAACTCCAGGAATTGCTAGCCCTGGGAGAGGGAATCTCTCGAGGGTCAACAAGGCCTCATGCTGTCAATGCATCAGAATACAGAAAATAAATGCCTGCTTAATGCATTGCATTTCTTTACTAGGCTTCAGCTTATATGAGACAGCCCTCTCCAAGGGACATTACCCATCTCCCCACCCTGCTTTTACCCCTTACCTCGACCTCAGGGTGGCAGCCACCCCCACTGTTTCTTCCCTGTGGTTGGTTTCCTTTAACTCTGCCTGGCACCTTTGTAAATAGTGCCTTTATTAAACTCAACTTGAATTCCTAATTTAACTTTGCCATTTATTTTCTGCCAGCATCCTCATCAATACAATCAAAATCATACCTGACAACAAATTTCTAAGCCAGTAAAGCCTGGATTTAGGGAACCTAAAAAATATTTCTTACCTAACAACAAACAGTATAGAAACAGAATGTCAGAGTGTAGGTGTGCAAGCCATAGGAGTTCCTGCCTACTTTCTCATTCCTTCAACAATATTCAACAAGCTTCACGTGCCAGGTATTGCTCTCAGAGGAAGTAATGCTATTCTGGCTCTTAGGCAATATCTACAAAGTACCCTCAGTGGCCTCCGTATTGCAAATGCTATATGTGGTCTTTGGTATGATTGTTCAATGTAAGACATCAGGTAATTCATTAAATTAACTTGTGCTGTGGAAGGCAGTAGAAAGAGAGGTTAGCAGATTTAACAGTAGCATCACATTATATATCTGTTGTTCTCATGTTTGGCTGTAAATCAGAATTGCCTGTGAGCTTCCTAAAACTACAGATAATCTGCCTCTACCATCAGAGAGTCTGTGTGCCCCAGCTGAGAATGTTTTCTGTTTAAAAAAAAAAAAAGAAAAAATCCCCTATAATGAATATCAGGTGGGAACTGCTTTCTCCTATACCTGAACAAGTCTTCTCAAACTTCAATGTGCACAGCAATCACCAGGGAGACTTGTTAAAATGCAGGTTCTTATTCATTATGTCTCGGATGGGGCAATGCGGCTGGTCTTTGAACCACACTCCAGGTAGCAAGGTATCTATACCATAGTGTACTCAACCAATTTCCTATTGTTGGATATTTAGGTTCTTTGCAATAGTTTGCTATTATAAATAACAATGCAATGAACATCTTTGGATATACCTATTTGTAGAGATTTTTGAATAATTTACAGTAGCCCCATAAAAGAAAAATTATTGAGTAAAAAAGGATGTGAACTCTTTTTAAGTTCTTAATACATATTGCTAGATTGATTTTTATAATGCTGATGTGAATTTACATCCCAAACAGCGATGTCTGCAAATGTGTTTCACTGTATCCTTATCAACATTGAAGAATATCTTTATTTTTGCCAATTTGGTAGGTGGAAATTGTACTTCATTTCAATCTGCATGTCATTATTAGTGAAGCTGACCTTTTTATATTATATTAGTCATTTACATTTCTTCTTCTGCAATCTGTGCCCTTTGTTGAACCAGTCTTAAATTATTTCCTTGTCAAATGTTTTCAACTCAGTCTATCATTGATTTTTTCCTCTCTTTATGAGGCTACATCTCCAATTTTATAATTGAAGTAGGAGGGAAAAATAAAAGCTCCCTTAAAGAATTTCAGTGTATTGCTAAGTTGTGAAAACATATTTCTATACTGACTTCAAGGAAGAGCTTTTTCTGGTCCTTCAGACAAAGAGATTTAACCATAAAATTGGAACCGGATACTTTTTCTTTGCTATAACATTTTTGTGTTTCAACTTGTAACAGGAAAAGGCAAATTAATTTATCTCATTCATTGAGGGATGGTTGTTTGCTTGGCAGTTTCCAAATTTTTTTTAAAAAAAAAGGAATAAAGGAAAGAAAAAGAAATAGAGATAAAACTCTCATCCACAGTTCTCCACACAAGAATAAAATAGCCACACAAAACCAGAGATATCACAAACATTAATACCACTGTATATATGTATGAAATGCCACAGCCACAAAAAAACTAAATTTAAAATACAGTAAGGATTTTATACTATAAACGCAGAAGAGTGTATTTTCAACATTATAAAACAGATATTTAAACTTTCTGTAACAAATGTGAACTGTGAACACTGAATTCAATAAGGAACAATATTGAAAGTTAAATTAGCAAGAGCTTATTAAAAAATTACTATGTTCTCTTTTTATATATCTCATCTATTCCAAGAAATACATAACTTGATCTCACCATTGACTATCTTAAAATCATATTACCCAGCTCATGATTTTTAAGATTAACTTTTGAGGGCAATTTCATACATTGTCAGTGAGAATGTAATTGAAATAATCTCTTGCGAAAGCAATTTTCAGTATATATCAAAAGCTTTAAATTACTTATAGTTTAAAACTAATTATTTCACTTCCGAGAATTTATTTTTTTAACCCTAAATAAAGAGGAGTTTTATGCACAAAGATGTCCATGGCAGTAACACATACACAATGAAAGAATGCCAATTTATAGGCAGTCTGCAAGTTTATCCATTCTATATGATCACAACTATGCAAAGTAAAAAACCAAGCATAGGAAGAAAAAAAAAGTTGAAAGGAAATAAAGCAAAATATTAAGAATTATTTATGCCTTCAACTTTTATATATTTTTCCAAATTTCCCATAATGAACATTATAATAATAATAATGGAGTGAAGGCTTTGTTTTTAAAATGAATAAAGAGGTTTTCTTCCCAGTTTGAGCCTCCAGGAAAGGAGGCTCAATACAGGGCTCTGTATCTTCATTTGGCTCTGTGGCCCCCTCCACTTTATTTAATAATTACTCTGCCCACGTGGATTTGTTGTAAGTGTTGTCTAAAGGAAAGTAGTTAGGTCCAAAAATTCAGAGAGCATTCATCAGGGGTACTGATGTTCTTGGGGGGCACTTATCACAATGTATCAAGAGTAATCCTCCACCACCTCCTCCCCCGCTGCCCTGGAATGGGAACTCTTTGCAAGCAAAAAAAAAAAAAGTTTCACTTATCTGTACATCCTCTATATCAGGGTTTCTCAGCCTCAGCACTATTGACTTTTAGGGCCAGATAATTGCTGGGGGCTGTCTTGAGCATTATAGGATGTTTAGCAGTATCCCTGGCACCTACCCATTAGATACTGGTAGTACCCACCCAGTTGTGACAAATACGTCATTAGACATTTCCAACTGTCTCCTGGATAACTCACCCTCCAACTGAGAACCACTGTTCTATATCTGACTCCAATAATGTATTAGATACTCAATAAAAACTTGTTGAATCCAGTGGGAAGAGAGGTTGAAGGAGAAGTTGACCAGGAAATGAATGGGCAAACAATAGAGTGAATCCAACTGTCGACAGAGAAGCTCAAATTCCAAGTCTCTGTCAATCAGATCCTAACTTGGTAGCCTTGAGCAAAACATTTCACCATTTGGGGCCTCAGTTTCCTCAGCTGTAAAATGAGAGGATTAAACTAGAATTGTAATGATCACCTCACAGTCTGACAACTCTAAGAATTTTGCAAAAAGCCTGAAGCTAGTAGATGCTCAAGAAGTATTTAATAATAGAGTTTGCTGGGTACCCATTATGAGCCTTGCTTTGGGCTATGTCTTTTATTTTTTGATTTTTAAAAATGTTTAATTTCTGTGGGTACCTAGTAAGTGTATATATTTATGGGTTACATGAGATATTTTGATACAGGCATGCAATGTGTAATAATCACATCAGGGTAAATGGGGCATTCATCCCCTCAAGCATTCATCCATTGTGTTATAAACAATCCAATTATGTACTCCTTTAGTTACTTTTAAATGTATAATTAAATTATTTTTGACTATAAAATTATTTTGAAGATAAAATATAAAAATTATTTGACTATAGTCACCCTGTTGTGCTAGCAAATACTAGGTCTTGTTCATTCTATTTTTTTGTACCCATTAACCATCCCCACACCCTCATCCCCACTACCCTGCCTATGAGCTAGGTTTTTTAAATACATTATTTCATTTAATAATCACAGCAACTCTCTGGGGGAGGCACTAAAATGTTTAAATCAATTTTACAGATGGTAATAACAAGGCCCACAGAGGTCATATAGTAACTGTCTGGTGTTGGGATTGGAACTAAGATAAAGCTAACTTCAAAGACTGCATTCAAAGCCACCATCCATACCATAGCATGCATGACCCCAGAACAGGCTGGTAGAGGAAAGATCCTAGAGTAAATGAAAGCTTCCGTTCTGGTAGTATCGGTCAAGAAAATAAGAAATCTCAATTTTAGCAATAAAAATCCTGACTTTCTTGTCCAGTTCCCAGAGACAATTAGAATATCCTCTGTGACATTCCTAAAAAGTCTAGGAGTCATAAACTCAATGCCTACAGGGTCAAGAGAATGAATGGGACCAGGCAAGAACAGAGGAAAACCGAAGAAGGTTTTTCTCCCCGACAGGGCACGGACGCTTCTCACACCTGACCAACGGGTACAGTGCAGAAAGGTGGTCTGAAGCCATCAGACCTTCCCTCCTGCTCAACAGAAAAAAGAATCCTGGAATTCTTAAGCTAAGTTGTTGAAAGGCTGACAGTTTGTTGAATAATTAAGGAGGGGGGGAAATGTGAAAGTCAAAGAAAACAATTGATGAGCCAGATGTAGCTCACAGACCTCCAGTTGGTGGCCTCTAATCTGGTTCTTGTTTGAATGCCTCCTGTGACATAGAGCTCAACCCAGGAGTCAGCCCAATCATATTTGAACAATAGGGAAAAAGACCAAATCTGCCTTCCTACTCCTTCTTCCTTTGGGTTCTCACCAAAAATGAAATGCAGAGCCCCACATGCATCCTTTGGTATGCACTCCCTTGGTTAATATGTCTTCTTTAGCTATTGCTCCTATGTGTGATATGAAGTCCCCAACCCTGGGGAAGGGTAACCCTACCAGAACAGCATCAGATCACATTGGCCTTTGGAGTTGGGTGGCTTTTCTTTGTTTCTGGCAATGACACCACACTCTGAGGAATGCTGCATTTGCACCTGATTCCTTCATTCCCCGCACACCAAATCAAACCTTCAATAAAGCTCAGTGCCCCTATCTCCCAAAACACTGAGTCCCTGGGTTCTTTCCAACTTCATTAATGTCATCCTACTCCAGGTCACCATCACTTCTTGCCTAAATTACTGGCACCCTTGCTTTTACTTTTTCCGCTTTAAACAGAATAATCTTATAAAAATTTACATTTGATCCTGTCACTCACCTGATTTATAGCCTCCAGTGACTTCACATTGCCTTAAAATAAAAGCCAAACTCCTTGATACAGCTTGTAATGCCCCCATACTACTGGCCCTGTCACTGTTCCTACCTTAGGACCTTTGTACTTGGTGTTTCCTGTGAGTGTAAGGCTCTCACCCCAGTTTTCTTAATGTGTGGCTCCTTGGTGACTCAGGTCTCGGCTGAAATGGCACCTTTAACAGTGAGGCTTTCCCCAACCTCACAATATAAATGACTGTCCCTCCCCACAACCACTCTGTTGTATTTTTATCACTTCACTGCATACTAAATGAAAAGATCTTTTTTATTTATTTGGCTACTTTTTATGATTTATCTTCCTCCTGTTGGAATATATCACCCTAAAAGAATGGTGCCTGGCACATAATAGGTGCTCAGTAAATATTAGCTGAATGAATGAAAGAAGACAGAAATCTTGTCTGTTTTATTCAATTACGTGTACTCAGAGTCTAGAGGAGCACTGCTCAATAGAAATAGAATGTGAGTTACATATGCAATTTTAAATTTCCTAGTAGGCACATTAAAGAAAAAGAGAAACATTAAATATATTTCACTATTTTATTATAGCCAATATATTCAACATGTAATTATTAAAAAATGATATATTCTATGTTCTCTTCATATCAAGCCTCAGAAATGCAATATGTATTTTATACTTATAGCACCTACAATTTGAACTAGCCACATTTTAAATGTTCTATAGCATTTCAAATGTTCGACAGTGACTCCCTTATTGGAGAATGCACCTCTAGAATAGTGTCTGACACATAGGAAGTGGTGAATAAGTATTGGCTGAATGAATGAGTGAATTAAATCCTTTCCTTTCTAAATCCTTTCCAAAAGAAATTCTGTTAAGCCACTCCTCCACACTCCATGCTCATATCATTTGTTGATCGGTTGGTTGGCTGGTTGGTTGGTTGGCTTTGATAATGTAAATGTAGGACTTTCCCTTTATTACTATCAGTGTGATTTTTTTTAACATTCAACTCCTGGATCCAGCCTGTTAAGAGCATTTGTCCCAGATTCTATCATCTTAAATATTTGCTAGTCTTTCTAGTTTTGTTTCATGCTCAAATATGGAATTCATACAAAAACATGGGAAGGTCTGGTCAAATTTCTGCAGTATGCCTCTGGAGGCTTCATTTATTGTATTGATCGATCTGCCATCTATCTTTCAGATTCTTCTACCTTCTATACATCTGCCTAGCTGAACAATCCCACACTTCCAATTTCTCCAGTTTTTTTCACAAGAATATCATTTACAGATTGGAAATCAGTTAATGCCTCAAGAAGCTGTTGGCTCAGTGTAGTACCTAGTATTATTCTCATCTACTTGTTCTACTCTGTAATCATATTGTCATCTCTATACAACTCAATAGATTCATATTTTTAAAAAAAAGAAACTGGCAGAACATATAACTAAATAATGATACAAATATTTGGCATTTGTGGATTTAACAATCTTAGTTTCAACTATTCCTTATCAACCTATTTGGTAATTCTCAAGGATGCTGTTCATGAATTTGAATTTTGGGTATTAAAAGACCAGTAGTGAATAGAACTTATTTAGCTAATAAGGAAACCTAGCTGACACTTTAGCATGCCCATTTCAATTTATTTTATAGTTTCTAGTCTTCAACTACATAGTAACTCTATAACTTTAAATAAATTTGTATATAGTAAAAAATGATCTCAAAAAGGAAACTAGAACATTTTGATAATGAAGAAAAAGTAAAAATGTATATGAATTGATATGATTTGGATCTGTGTCCCCACCAAATCTCATGTCAAATTGCAATCCCCGATATTGCAGGTGAGGCCTGGTGCGAGATGATTGGACCATGGGGTGGATCCTCAATGAACGGTTTAGTACTGTCCCCTTGATGCTGTTCTTGTGATAGCGTTTTCACAAGATCTGGTTGTTTAAAAGTGTGTAACACCTTCCCCTTGCTCTCTCTTGCTCCCGCTCCCCAATATGAAATGCCTTTCTCCTCCTTTGCCTTCCACCATGATTGTAAGTTTCTGGAGGGCTCCTCAGAAGCCAAGCAGATGCCAACATTATGTGTCTGGTACAGCCTGTGGAACCGTGAGCCAATTAAACCACCTTTCTTATACAATACTGAGTCTTAGGTATTTCTTAATAGCAATGCAAGAATGGAATAATACAGAAAATTGGTACCAAGGAGTGGGGCATTGCCATAAACATACCTGAAAATGTGGAAGCGACTTTGGAAATGGGTAACAGGTGGAGGTTGGAAGAGTCTGGAGGACTCAGAAGAAGACAGGAAGATAAGGGAGAGTTTGGAATTTCCTACAGACTGGTTAAGTGATTGTGACCAAAATGCTGATAGTGATATGGACAGAAAAGGCCAGTCTGATGAGGTCACAGATGGAGATGAGAAACTTATTGGGAACTGAAGCAAAGGTCACTTTTGTTATGCCTTAGCAAAGAACTTGGCAGCACTGCGCCCCTGCCCTCTGGATTTGTGGAACTTTGAACTTGAGAGTGATGATTTAGGGTAGCTGGCAAAAGAGATTTCTAAGCAGCAAAGCATTCAAGACATAGCCTGACTGCTTCTAACAACCTAGGCTCATATGCATGAGTGAGGAAATGACCTAAAGTTGGAACTTATATTTAAAGAGGAAGCAGAGCATAAAAGTTTGGAATATTTGCAGCCTGGCCATGTGGTAAAAAAGAAAAGGCCAATTTCAGGGGAGAAATTCAAGCAGACTGCAGAAATTTGCATAAGTAAAAAACAGCCAGGTGCTAATAGCCAAGACAGTGAGGAAAAGGCATTTCAGAAAAATTTTCAACAGCCCCTTTCACCACAGGCCCAGAAGCTTAGGAGGACTGATTGATTTCATGGGCCAGGCCCAAGGCCCTGCTGCCTTGCATAGCCTTGGGACACTGGTCCCTGCATCCCAGCTGCTCCAGCTCCAGCCATGGCTCAAAGGGACCCAAATACAGTTCAGGCTGCTGTTTCAGAGAGTCCAAGCCATAAGCCTTGGCAGCTTCCACATGATGTTACATCTGCAGGTGCACAGAGTATAAGAGTTGAGGCTTGGAAGCTTCCACCTAGATTTCAGAAGTTGTATAGAAAAGCCTGGGTGTCTAGGCAGAAGCCTGTGGCAGGGGTGGAGCCCTCATGGAGGACATCTACTAGGGCAGTGTGCAGGGGTAATATGGGGTTGGAGCCCCCACACAGAGTCCCCACTGGGGCACAGCCTAGTAGAACTTGAGAAGAGGGCCACTGTCCTCCAGATCCTGGAATAATAGATCCATCACCAGCTTGTACCTTCAGCCTGGAAAAGCCACAGGCACTCAACAATAGCCAATGAGAGCAGCCATAGGGGCTGAACCCTGAAAAGCCCACAGGGGCGGAGCTGCCCAAGGCTTTGGGAGCTCACTCCTTGCACCAGTGTGCCCTGGATGTAAGACATAGAGTCAAAAGAAACTATTTTGGGCTGTGCACAGTGGCTTATACCTGTAATCCCTGCACTTTGGGAGGCCAAGGCAGGTGGATTACTTGAGGTCAGGAGTTTGAGACCAGCCTAGCCAAAATGGAGAAACCCTGTCTCTACAAAAAAAATAGAAAAATTAATCAGGCATGGTGGTGGGTGCCTGTAATCCCAGCTACTCAAGAGGCTGAGGCAAGAAAATCTCTTGAACCTGGGAGGCGGAGGTTGCAGTGAGCCAAGATCACACCAGTGCACTCCAGCCTGGGTGACAGAGCAAGACCCCATCTCAAAAAAAAAAAAAAAGTAAGAAAGAAAGAAACTATTTTGAAGCTTTAGATTTCATAATAGCCCTGCTGTGGGGTTGGCAGCCCCCCTTTTGTGGGGCCTGTCGCCCCTTTCTTTTGGCTAATTTCTCCCTTTTGGGAGGGGAATATTTATCCAATGTTTATGCCCCCATTGTATCTTAGAACTAACTAACTTGGTTCTGATTTTACAGGCTCATAGGTGGAAGGAACTAACCTTGTCTCAGATGAGACTTAGACATTTAGGACTTTTGAGTTAATGCTCTAAATGAGTTATGACTTCAGGGGACTGTGGGGAAGGCATGACTGTATTTTGCAATGTGAGAAGGACAAGAGATTTCAGGGGCCAGGGGCAGAATGATACGGTTTATATCTGTGTCCCCATCAAATCTCCTGTCAAATTGTAATCCTCAGTGTTGGAAGTGGGGCCTGATGGGAGATGACTGGATCATGGGGGCGGATCCTTCATGAATGGTTTAGTACTGTATTAGTATGTTCTCATGCTGCTATAAAGAACTGCCTGAGACTGGGTAATTTATAAAGGAAAGAGGTTTAATTGACTCACAGTTCCACATGGCTGGGGAGGCCTCAGGAAACTTACACTCATGGTAGAAGGGGAAGCAAACACATCCTTCTTCACATGGCAGCAAAAAAGAGAAGTGCATGGGAATCGTCCCCATGATCTAATCACCTCCCACAGGGTCCTTCCCCCAACATGTAGGGATTACAATTTGGATTACAATTCAGGATGAAATTTTGGGTGGGGACACAGCAAAACCATATCAAGCACCACTCCCTTGGTGCTGTTTTCGTGATAGAGCCCTCTCAAGATCTGGTTGTTTAGAAGTGTGTAGCACCTCCTGCTTCTCTCTTGCTCCCCTTAGGTGGGACACTTCATTCCCCCTTTGTCTTCTGCCATGATTGGAAGCTTCCTGAGGCCTCCCCAGAAGCAGAAGCTGTTACAGTTCCTGTACAGCCTGCAGAAGTGTGAGTCAATTAAACCTCTTTTTTTATATAAATTACCCAGCCTCAGGTATTTCTTCACAGCAATGCAAGAACATACTACAACATGAATTAAACAATTTTCACCAAAACAAGCAAGTACAGAACACTTCAGAATCACATGAAGGGCATCTTTCAAATAAAAACTCCTAAGTCACACCTCTGATGATACAAATTAGGATATCTTGGAATCACACCTAGCAATACATTATTTTAACACAAATGTTCCTGTCTCTTAAGAAGCAGCAAGCAAGGCCCTGGTTAACTGGTGAACGCTCAGTAATCACTGGTGTAAGTACCCATCTGGCTCATGTAGTCAAACTTCTGCAAATTTTATTCTAATATCAGTAGGTCATAATTCTTGGTTGCACAATTTTACAGAAATAAAACAGGGAAATACAAAATGTAGAAACTTGCTCTTGAGATGCTTATTTACCTTTATGGAAGGAAATATTTACTCAACTCAGCAATCTGAAAAAGAAACAATATGCAGTTATAAGGAGACGAGTAAGTACAAATAATATAACTCTAAATAATCAGTAACTCTGGAGTTGTTCGGTTGATTCCCTGAATTCCAGCTGGACACTGAAGACCTTTTATAGTGCAACACCTAAACCTTACACAGGTGTTGGCATTTTTGGAATTTATATTCACAGTTTCCACTGATCAAACCCAAGATATTTTCTCTCATGCAAGAGCCACTCCTCTTAGAATTCCTAGTAAGATTCTGTTTATGAAGCCCCATGTGATCCAATTCAGTGGGTCATCCAAGTGATAACAAAGAAAATGTGTGAATTTGGCAGTGAGGAACTGATCAGCTGCCAACTGACTCATAAACTGGTCCACAAAATGTAATCACAGTGCTGGTTTTGAAGAGGTCAACAACCCAGCTGGCAGAAAGATATAAAGTGCCAAGAAGTCTGGAATAAATAATAATAATAATAATGCATAAACAACTAATTAAAACATTAAGAAAGGGATTTTATTCCACGATCATCAGTGGAACTGCAGGTCACTCTGGAAATACCCCAGACATACCATAGTCTGTCAGTATTTATTGAAGGCCTATTATGTAGTATCCTATGTAGAAAACCCAGACTCAAAGGCAAACCCAGGCAAAACAAGGCTGCATGAGGCCATGAGATAGCAGCAGGGATCAGGCAGGAATGGCTGCATCCAGCACCTAAATGCAGGGTCCTTAACATTGGCTGCTGGGAAAAAGTCAGTAGGATCAAGAGTGATAGGCCTTAAAAACCCAAAGTCTGAGTCTATCCAAACAAGCTCATCCTTTGTCGTACTCCTTATTTTAGCTTCAGGAGTATGGCTGCCATGAGATCCTCTACATACTGGGAGAGGAGACCCTCGTGCATTAGAAATGAGCCTGAGGGTATCAGTTCCCCAAACTGCAGAGTCAGGTCACCTAGGGAGGGTGGCAGATCTGAGCAGAAGTGGAGGATATGATGAAGGCAATGTGGTAGAAAATATATGTGGTAGACAATGAGATACCATCTCATACCAGTTAGAATGGTGATCACTAAAAAGTCAGAAAATAACAGGTGCTAGAGAGGATGTGGAGAAATAGGAACACTTTTACACCGTTGGTGGGACTGTAAACTAGTTCAACCATTGTGGAAGACAGTGTGGCGATTCCTCAAGGATCTAGAACTAGAAATACCATTTGACCCAGCCATCCCATTACTCGGTATATACCCAAAGGATTATAAATCATGCTGCTATAAAGACACATGCACACATATGTTTATTGTGGCACTATTCACAATAGCAAAGACTTGGAACCAACCCAAATGTCCATCAATGATAGACTGGATTAAGAAAATGTGGCACATATACACCATGGAATACTATGCAGCCATAAAAAAGGATGAGTTTGCAGCCATAAAAAAGGATAAGTTCATGTCCTTTGTAGGGACATGGATGAAGCTGGAAACCACCATTCTCAGCAAACTATCACAAGGACAAAAAACCAAACACCGCATGTTCTCACTCATAGGTGGGAATTGAACAATGAGAACACTTGGACACAGGAAGGGGAACATCACACACCAGGGCCTGTCATGGGGTGGGGGGAGGAGGGAGGGATAGCATTAGGAGATATACCTAATATAAATGACAAGTTAATGGGTGCAGCACACCAACATGGCACATGTATACATATGTAACAAACCTGCACATTGTGCACATGTACCCTAGAACTTTAAGTATAATAATAATTAAAAAAAGAGAAAATATATGTGGTAGAAATTCTCTCAACTGACTGTCATTTAACCAACTCATTAGGTCAATAAATGCTCCCCATTCCCTCTCTGAAAACTACAGATGAATGCCAGGACACACTGAATGCCTATAGCTAGTAGGCTGCTCTTATCATTCCTGAGCACCTCCACTTCTACCAGTTTTACTCACAAAGGGCCCGAATTGTCTATGCCAAGTGTACCTGCTATTATAAGTATGCAATTTGCTTGATGCATAAAAATGATGAAATAGGAGAACCAAAACAGTGTTGTTTCTATGAAAACTAAATTGCATTGAGATGATACAGTCAAATGAGTTGCTTTAAGTAGTTTCTGTGGAATTAGGGGTAGGCTAAACAACTGTTTAAAAATGTTGTAAAAGTCTTAAAAAAAGGATACTTAACATCCTCGTTCTACTTTAAAGGACCCAAAAGTAGAAAATGAAGAAAATGCTTGATGGGTTTGGTTTAAAAAAGAAAGATGATTCCCAACTCTGATTAGCAGGCCCCCACCCAGAGGAAAGGCCCAAAGTCTGCAAGAGAAAGAAATGAACTCAGTCAGCAAAAAGAAAATGAAAACCAACCGTGATCCCACTACCCAGGGCCAATCAATGTTAATATTTTCATGTATATCTTATTTTGAATTATATGTATATATTTTAATTAAAGCTACTGATTAAAACAAATATATAACAACTTAAAAACCCACATATAGACATATGCTTTACAATCTATTTTTCTTTCTTAATAAATCACATCCATCTTCTGATGTGGACAAATATTTATCTATGATGCCTTTTCAATAGCCTTGTAGCATTCCATGTTATAGACACAGCATAAATGATTCAAAGAATCTCCTTTTGTTGGACTTTTGATTCCAATTTTTATCTGAAATAAGCAATACTGCCACCGTAGTGCACAGCCTCCACTATTTCCTTAGGACACATTGTGCTGGGTGTAATTTCATACACACATAGGAGGTCTCAGTTCTGTCAAATTCACAGAGACAGAAAATAGAATGGTGGTTTCCAGGGACTGGGGAAAGGAGAAATAGAGAATTATTATTTAATGGATGCAGAGTCTTAGGCAACATGAAAAGAGTTCTGGAGATGGATGGTGGTGATGGATACACAGCAAAGTAAATGTATGTAATGTCACTAAACTGCACACTTAAAAATGGTTAAGATGGTAAATTTTTGTTACATGTATTTTACCATAATAAACTATATATATGTATAGAATTATTAGTTCAGGAATCAAACAACACCAGGCCTCAGACCTGATTTAGCCTGCTGGCTGCAATTAGCCAACCCTGATCTAGTCCAGCGATCTCCAAATAGCGTTCCAGGAGACCTGGAAAGAAACTGTATCTCTGCAGCTGCCAGGCAGCTCTTGGGAAAGGCCTGCAGGGAAGGCTCTGGGCCTTAGCCCTTCTTCAAACACTATAGCTCCACTCTGACCTGGAATTCTATAGGCTTGACTTGAAGAAAGGCCCCTGGTGCTTAAAAAGCTTTGGAAAACCACTGCCTAATCTACATTCCTCATGCTATAGAAGATTACACGAGGGACCAGAGATAGCAAGTGAGATGTGCAGCAGAGTTGGGACAAGAGCCCAAGTCCTTAGCCTGTGAGCTCAGTGCTTGTCCTACACCACTCAGCCTCCCTTCCCCAAGGAAGGCCATGCCCTCCTCACGCAGCAGACTGGGGCTTCTCCTCAACAGCTCCCCTTAGCCTAGGGGCTTAGATCCCAGTAAATGCAAGTAATTTATTCAGCACCTCTATGTGCCCAGAAAGTATCTATGAGAAAAACACAAGGCAGGATCCTGCTCTGTGGTGGGCAAAATAATGGTGCCCCAAAGATCTCCTTGTCTTAATCCCTGGAAGCTGTGAATATGTTATATTACATGACAAAAGAGACTTTACAGATGGGATTAAGGTTAAGGATGCTGAGATAGCGAGATTATCCTGGATTATTCAAGCGAGCCCAATCTAATCATCTGAATCTTTGAAAACTTTCCCAGCTGTAGTCAGAGAGAGACAGGACTATTGAAAGAATGGTCAGAGAGACACAATGTTCCTGGCTCTGAAGATGGAGGTGGAGGCTATGAACCAAGGAATGTAGGCAGCCTCTAGAAGCCAGAAAAGGCAAAGAAATGGATCCTCTCCTACAGCCTCTGGAAAGAATCACAGCCTTACCAACATCTTGATTTTAGCTCCATGAAACCTATGCCAGACTTCTGTCTTCCAGCACTGTAAGATAATATATTTGCCTTGTTTCAACCCACTAAGTGTGTGGTAATGTGTTATGGCAACCATAGAAAATTACTATATGCTCTCAAATAGAGGCGGAATGCCTTACTTGTGCTGCAGTTTGTGGTCAGTTAGGAGCATCTGCTCACTTGGCCCTTTTGTCTTCCCTACTCATCAGCATATTGACCTCTTGAGCATCCAGCCCTGCCCAGAAAGCCTGGAAATCAAAATGTGAGCCAATCTGGAAATTTCCCAGGGGCAAAAGATAATAATACAATAAAAAAAATTTAAACTACCTCTGTAAATAACAGTCATTAAGCTTGACAAGTGTTTTAAAAAAAAAAATTCAGGGCCTCTGTTTCTCCATCCTGGAGACTTGATGAGTGAAGCCAAAGGCTGGGTCACAATAATGTTAAAAACCTGGTCTGGTCTGTATGTGCAATTGGAGGCAGATGTGCATGGGGTGGTGGGGGGAACGGGAGGTAGGGAGGGGATCAAACAGGTAGACACAGGATAGAGGAGTCAGTTCAGGCAGTTCTTTCTCTACATTGACCTAGCACTTTATTCCAGATTAAGAATCAGTAAACTACCACCCTCAGGCCAAATCTGGCCCACCGCCTGGTTTTCTAAATAAAGTTTTATTGAAACTCCAGCCCACTTTCCCATTATATATTATCTATGTCTGCCTTCCCATCACAGTGGCAGAGGTGAATAGTTGTGACATACACCCCATAGCATGAAAGGTCAAAAATATTTATCATCTGGCTCTTTATAGAAAGTTTGCTGACCCCTGAAGACTCATGGGGTAGCCCCATGTAAACGAGAAGAAAAGGATTTCTGAGCAAGAAGAATTCACAAGCTCACAGGAGCTTCTGTTGCCCCTCTGTGCCGCCATGAGATGAGAGGCCATGTTTGTCTTTCCTGCTGCAGTTGGTTTTGTGACTCACATCTTCTGACCCTGCTCAGTGAGGCTGAGAAAGGCAACCACATAACCCAAGGATATCCAGCTGTGGCGATCCAGCTACATTTTCCTTTGAGTCAGCCACCCCAGCATGTAAGCAGCCTCATTTGATCCATTTCTTCTAATCCAGAAGTTCCCAACTCTTTCTACCATATTTTTGAAATTATTACACTAATGTATTTTTCATTACCCATAAATCATGTTGCCCTGCAGCTCTCTGCCCACTGAATCAATGGCCTTTGTTGTTTCAGGGAAAGAAGAGGCACAACCCTGAACCAAGAACTCTTTTTTTTTTTACCTTGTGTTTTATATTGGATTTCTCAAGTCAGAGAGAAACTATTGTCTTAGAAGTGAGTTTTGTTGAAAGAGAAAAATATGTTATTTCTATTCAAAAATTATCTTTGCACATATTAAGAACAAAGCCCAGGGGACTAAGCACAGAGTTTTACTATGAGTTACTGTGTAGAGAGGACAGAGGATGGGATGTGGGGGCAACTCCTGTTGAACAGAAGAAGGGGCAAGACTTTCTACCCATCTATCTCCTCACCTACCGGGGGATGGCCCTGGAAGAAAGAGAGCAAGAAGACAAAAATTCCAGATAGGTTGAGGAAGAATACAAAACTACTTAGGCTGGTGCTTTAATGTGTACTACCCTCCTGTGCTCCACATGCACACACGCATGGCCCCTGGAGTTCAGGAGCCCTAGAACATCATTTGCAGAGAGAAATGCCAAGCAGATGGGCCAAAAATAACCTTCTCTTGTTCCCAGAGATATACCTGGCCTGGGGACATCTAGAAGCTCCCAAATAGCCCTGTGGTAGACATGGAAGAAGGGAGCTGAAAAGTAAGAGTATTTGCTAAGAAGTTGCCTGGTGTGTGGCAAGAGAATCCTATAGCAGAAGCTGGGAAGTAGGCCACATAAAGCCAGTTTCCAGTAGAAGTTCCTGGCTAAGCCCCAGAGGGTCTACGGCAGCAAGAGGCAAAGCAGAGGATGCTAAACCTAGGGGCAGCCACACCCAGCTGACAATCACAAGACACACCAACCAAAGACACCTTGGTAGCTGAAGCTAACTCCCAAAGAGGAGACAAAATCAGCTGCACCTCAAAAAGAAGTCAACAGAAGCCAGAAGAGAAGGACAACACAAGCAGAAAACATCCCGCAGGGTGCAGTGGCTCATGCCTGTAATCCTGGCACTTTGGGAGGCCGAGGCAGGCAGATCATTTGAGGCCAGGGGTTCAAGACCAGACTGGCCAACATGCTGAAACCCTGTCTCTACTAAAAACACAAAAATTAGTCGGGCATGGTGGCACATGCCTGTAATCCCAGCTACTCTGGTGGCCGAGGCAGGAGATCCTTTGAACCAGGGAGGCGGAGGTTGCAGTGAGCTGAGATTGTGCCACCGCACTCCAGCCTGGGTGACAGAGTGAGACTCTGTCTCAAGATGAAAGAAAGAAAGAAAAGAAAAGAAAGGAAGGAAGGAAGGAAGGAAGGAAGGAAGGAAGGAAGGAAGGAAGGAAGGAAGGAAGAAAGAAAGAAAGAAAGAAAGAAAGAAAGAGAAAGAAAAGAAAGAAAGAAGGAAGGAAGGAAGGAAGGAAGGAAGGAAGGAAGGAAGGAAGGAAGGAAGGAAGGAAAGAAAGAAAGAAAGAAAACATCCTGCCCCAACCATGACAATGTTACGTAAGCCTTTTCCTGTGCCCAGATGTCACCCGGGGAGAAGGAGAAGAGGGGTTGAGAGAAGGAGAAAAGGCTTAAGCCTACAGAATCTGAGCTTGCCTGAAAAATATTGCTTCAAACCGGAATAGATCAATTTATTTAAACGGGCAAGTTTAACTTCTTTTGGGTTACTCTGTATAAACAGCAACCCCACAGCAAGATCATGTCAATTACTAAATAAATAAATAAATAAATAAATAAATAAAGTCTCCATTTTGGAGACTATGGATTCCATATTTACAAATCCCCAAACAGGCACTCTTGAGGTCATTTGCAGATATAAGCAGAACAGCAAAAACTTTGAGGACTATTTGAGTACGATGGGTATGATTCCAGAGGTCCCACCCTTCCTTCCTCCCTCCCCTGCCCTACACATATGCTTAAATCCGTTTTTTAACACCAGGAAGGAAAGACCCTCTTTTCCACCACCCCTCCAACCCCAGGCTGAGAGGAGAAAGGGAACACTGATGAATTAAGGCCAGGGGGAAGAGTAAGCAGACCCCCCACTGCTTGGGCTCTGACTGTCCTAGAAGCAGGGAAGTGGGTCAAAGGCTCTGGGCAGCATTCCTGCCTGTGCTAGCCAGCAGCAAAGCAAGGGGGAGTGGGACGGTCCTATTTCCTCTCACTGAGGCTTGCTCCTACGGAGGGTTTTCCAAACCCAGTGGCCAATTCTGTGAGTCCCATGATTTCAGATCAAACCAACACTCCCTATCTCCACAGGACCCACTTTCAGGCCTCCCTGCGTAACCACGTCATGTGCAGTGCCCACCTGAGAAGCATAGATTGGGACGTTAAGCCCCCCTCCCTGAGAGACACACAGCGCAGCGGGCAGGACAGAGGCATGTGGCTGCAGAGTTACAGTATTTCCCTGAAACTGGAACGAATTATCACTACTTGCTCCTCTGTCCTTCTTAGATCTGCAAAGTGTGGGTCAGAGTGACTTTCTTTTTATTGGCCTACCACATATTGAAACCATTCCTGCATGTTGATACTGAATATCTCGGCCAGATCCTTGTGAAAATGACTTACTGTGCAGCACAACAGAATGACTTTCTAAAGTTAAACGTCTTGGGATATTTTATCTTTTCAAGTACATACCAAATGCAATTAAGTTCAAACTATGGAATACAGTCTTTGCCAGTTTCCATTCTTGACACATATGTGTCTGGGTTTACAAGTTCAAAGACCTCTTAAAGGATCAAATCTCTAGCATTAATTTTCTCTTTGTGAGTGAAAAACAGTTCTGCATCCTTCTTTAAATCATCCACAAATAACTCTGTGGCATGAGGCTTCCACCCAAGCCATCTCTAATGTGGCCAGCAAAGGCGGAACCAGAACCCATGGCTGTCCCTCCCTCTCCAGCAGTCCACAGGGGGTACCACAATTGGTTGAAAAGTAAAAAAACTCAGTCACAGAGCTCCAAGCAAAGGATAAGTACGGCGGCCCTACGCCAAAAAACCAATCTGACTTACTGAGCTTTCGCTACACTGACCCAAATCACAGTGTGGTTCTAGCATTCATGGTGGTCTCCTTCCTCCTGCTCCTTCTGCTCTCCCCTGTCCAAGCTTTTTGTACTCAGCTGTCCTGATTCCAGAGACTTCCTCCATTACTCTTATGCCCCCACTTCCTGGATTCCTAAGCCCTCACACAACTCCTTCAGTTTCTCCTTACTTCTCTGAAGGCCACACCTCCTCTCTTCCTCTTCTTCCCTCTCCAACAAAAAGGCCTTTATCAATAGGATTTGGACGCCTAGCTGAGTGATACAACCTGATCGTGCTGGAGAAGCCCAGAAAACCTGTTGCAATTCTCCACCCCACCTCCAACCCGAGTTTATCTTTCAATACTGGTTTTCAAATTATAGTTGAGTCTCATGGATTCCATATTTACAAATCCACCAACTCACTAAACTTTATTTGTAATCCCCAAGTGGGCACTCTTGAGGTTACTTGCAGACATGGGCAGAACAGCAAAAAATTTAACCTGGCCCACGCACATATGCCCAGCTGAGGTTTGAACAAGACAATGCTCTACCTTCTTATTTCAGCTCTCATATTGTAAACAAATGTGCTTTTTGCACTCTATTTAGTACCACAGTTTGGTTTTTTTTTTTTTTTTTGCATTTTTGTGCTTTTCGTTAGTGATTTTGCTCTTTACAATGCCCCTCAAGGGTAGGGCTGAAGTTCTGCCCAGTGTTCCTAAGTTCAGGACGGCTCTGAGGTGCCTTATAGAGAACAGAAGTGTGTCAGATAAGTTTCACTCAGGCATGAGTTATAGTTCTGTTGACCATCATTCAATGTTAATGAATCAACAATATATATTAAATGTTTTTAAACAGAAACACACATAAAGCAAGGTTACGTATTGATCAGTTGACAAAATTGTGACCAGAGGCTAGCAGAAACCTAACCCTATATTTTGCCTAGGAGCAATAGCTCAGTATTTGCTATTTCAGTGTTCTTCTGACTTTATAGAACAAAACTACCATGAATAACAAGAATTGACAGTAAATCTAATGGAGAAATCAAATCAATAATTTCAACATTATGTAATTCTGAGGGGAAAAACACCCCCTTTCCTCTTCCACAGAAGTATAATTTTTGTAAATATAATTCAGAAATGTGTTTTCATCTATGGATGGAGTGGGTGCTTCTTCCCTCTCTGACGTTACCCTCAGGAGCATCCCAACTCCAGACTATCTCAGGTGTTCCTTCTCCTCCCTCACACAGGCTCCGGGTTCTCCTGTCTGGGGAGCTTCCACACCTGCCTCAATTCCTACAAGAATTCTACCAACCTCCCTCAATTCTTTCGTTCTTACCCTTCTGAAAGCCCTGCTCTAGCCATGAGGTACAATAGAGCAGATGGTGTTTATACCCATTTATGTTTCTGCCACTGTTGTCTTGAGGTATATTTCATCGGCCCCATCCCCTCCTTGGTTTGTGAGTTTTCTATTTCCTTCATGAGGCTCACAATGCCTGCTAGAGTGCTTTGTAATTTTGTGACTGCAAAATAAATTATGTGGATTACCCGGAGACGCTCACTGACTTCAAACTGTCCTGCTCGTGGTGCAATGCCTTCTATTATTTCATCATGCTTTAGGCACACTAAAACATCATCACTTGTGTTCTCTCTGTCCCTCTGACAGAGAGACTTGTAGATTTCAAGGGAAAAATATTATTCAAGCACAGCACACTAAAATGTAAATAATCAACATGTGTTTTGGGGTTACGCCATGATATGATCACTGTGATTGATGTATGATACTCCACAATTCTAACCAGGTTATATGTTTGTGACTAGCTAATTTGTGGGTATAAACAACCCAGACAACCTTATTTTTCAGGGTATACTTCTGTACTGTCTCAATTGCTTTGAAATTGTCCTCCCTTCTGCTTTCCACCCCTGGCATGACACTTCCTCTCAAATAGCAGTGGCACCTTCTTGAGTCAGACAGGCTTTTAAATCTCAGCTCTTCTGGCAAATCCATAAAGAAGAAACTATTGATGATGAAATCGCCATTGTGTAGCCTCTAGTAAATTAAGGGATCCAGGCATTGAGCATCAGTGGCTGCTACATCACCAAGGGAAAGAGAACCTCATAATGGAAGAAGATGGCACCACTTATGAAGTATCCTTGCAAAAAAATTCAACCTGAATCTGACCAAACCTGTCACTCCAACTCCAATTTATAGGAAATATAGAGGACAGAGGAATATGTCAAACTACATCATGGGGATACAACCAGCAAAATCCAGACTGTAAGAAACTCTCCAGTCAAATAATTTGATTTCTTCCAAAGATTAATTATATAAAAGAAAGAGGGAGAGAGAGAGAGAGACAGGAAGACATGGAGGAAGAATTTATAGATTGAGAATTAAAACATTATTAATCAATTGCAATGTGTGGAACTTACTTGGATCTTAATTCAAATGAACTGTAAAAAAAGATGATATTTATGAGATAATTTGAAAATTAAGCACTACCTAAAAATTTAATATTAAAAAAGTGTTGTTAAATATTTTGGGTATAATGGTTGTCATTATCTTTAAAAGAAAAAAGACCTTATCTTGTAGAGATTCATGCTGAAATAATTAGTGATGAAATGATACAATGGTGGGGAATTTGCTCCAAAATAATAACAGAGGGAAGGGAGGAGGGGGGTGACTAGAAGATTAGCAAAGAGCTGTTGTTGATTGGAACTAAGTACAGATACATGGGACACTCATCATGCCATTCTGTCTACTTCTGTGTATGTTCAAAATTCTCCATAATTAGATGAAAGTGAGCATATCCATTGCCAGCTTTGCCATCTACTAACTGTGTGACCATCCCCAGTTCCTCAACCTCTCTGAGCTTCATTTTCCTCAGTGAAAATGGCCTGACTGTCAGTGTCCTGATGAGGTTCCGTGAATTAAGATGTAAGAAGCACAAAACTTATGTCAGGTTAGTTTTTTTAAAAAAAATTAAAAAACAAACAAAAACACTCTATCTCTTTTCCAGTATATTTCAAATCTATCTCTCTAATCCCAAACTGCTTATCTGCAACAAATGCTCTATTTCCAAATGCAAAGAAATTCTTTCCCACATCCAGCAAATTTCAGCAGAAGGAATGTTTGCCTACTCAAAAGCCATTTTCACTTTCTTCTCTGCTAATAGCCATAATTTTGTTTCCAGTGTTTCCTGCCTCCCCCTTTCTTTTGCCAGTGATAGGTTCAAGGGTGGGCCTCCAACCCAGTTCTGGCTATTGAGATATGAGAAGTCTGCTGGGGATTCTGGGATAGGATTCTTTGCTCATAAGAAAACAAAAAGATGCACAAGGAAGAAAGAGGCCTCTTTCTTCTGCTAGACATAGTCACCTCTGCCTGTGATGCCTGGAACTGCAGCAGCTGTCTTATAACCATGAGAGGAAATAGGCCGAGAGGAACATGCTAAGGATGGCAGATTGGAAAGGCATAAGGAATCTGGTTTCTCAGTGACATTACTGAGCAACTGAGATGGCCATCCATGAATTTCTTGTTATATATCATAATAAGTGCCATTATTGATTAAGCCATTTTGAGTAGGGTATTCTATTACTGAAAGCTGAAAGTCTCCTAAATGAAACAGGCGCAGGTGTTTCATCCCCCTGGGGAAGGGGGATATCTGCACATCATGCCGCCCCACATTCTGCTATTTCTCCATTAAGGACATACTCCCTCCTCCATATTCTTACTCCTTTCCTATCCCCTTCTCATCCCCTGCCATCCTACTCCCAAAATTGAGTGTCAAGTCTCTTAAGAGTGTTGGCACAGAAAAAAAAGTGAGAATCACTGCAAATGAGCTGAAGGAGGTCACGGTAGTGATCTATTTATCTTCTTACCCTCAGTACCTGGCAAAGTTAATAAAGATTTGAGCACAAGGGAAAAAATGAATCTATAAATGAATGCCCTGCCACCTCTTAAAACATAGTTTCAAAATTGAACTCAACTTTCCCCAAATACCTTCCCAAGTAACCCATTTATGCATTGTCTTTTGCCTGAATTCTAATAATCTCTTATTGGCCTCCTTGTCTCCAACCTCTTCCCATTGTAGTCCACCCTCTTCAGGGTCATCAGAGTTAATTCCTAAGACACAAGTTGGATCATTTACTACTGTCCTTAAAGATCTCTACTAACTCATAATCAGCAAGAAGATGAGGTCCAAATTCCTGTCATGGAATGAGGTCCTCTTTCATTTGACCACAATCTAACTCTGCTAACAAATCTCCCATTTCCCTCCTCCCTTCCTCTCTCACTTCAATCCACCCTAGGTTCCAGCCAGACAAGTCACCAGTAGGGTCCTGCACATCAGTCTCATTCATGCTTCTCCCATTATGTTTTTTCTTTGCCCCCGACCCCCATATATAGCCTAACAAACCCTTAATCACCCTTGTCAACTCGTCTCCACTTTTCCAGGCAGAGTTGGTTGTGCTTCCTTCCTTGGTTTTCTCCTAGTCCTTTGACTATAACTCCACAATAGTACCCATCATACCAAATTACAGTTATATGTTTAAATGTCCATAGCTCCTCCTAAACTGAAAAGTGTTCCATAGACAGGTCTACATCCTTACTCCCTACAATATCTGGTACTGAATAAAAGGGTTTAAGTGATGGAAAAGAGGTAGGAAGTAAAGTATTGGCATTTTTCCAGTACCTAAGTCTAGAAACCTGGAAGTTATGAATTCCCAGTACAGAAAGGAATGTTACAGATCATCTTGAAAAACCTTTACTTTAAAGATAAGTAAATTGACTCTTCTTTCATCCCCTTGACTCAATTTGTCCATAAATCCACTTGTCACATCCTCCTTCAAAATGTCTACCACATTTCCTCCTGCCTCTCCATCCAGATGAACCCCACACCCAGTGCATGCTCACTTACTTATTCTGGGATTGTTGAAAGAACCTTTGAAGAAGGTTCTCCCCCTCCCACATTTTGAGCCATCTTGTGCACAACTGACAGAAGAATCTCTAAGCAAGTACTTTTAACAAGTCATCCCAACCGTCCCAAAGAAGTCTTTACAATTTCCAATTGGCTTCATTTCTTTAAAGCCAAGCTCCCATACTACCACTGTGGCCTTCTAGAGCTCAGTCATCTGGGCCATCCTCTTAGCCCAACTCTTCCCACACTCCCAGACACACGTACCATGCCCCAGGCACCTCCTGGTGTCAGAAAATATGGCGGTGCTTACTCCTTCCTCTGGCCTTCTGCTTACATTCCAAGACTCTACCTGGGTGTCCCCCAGCTTGCCTCTGCTCACTAAAAACCTAGTCCTTTTTCACAGCACCACCCACCACTACATCTTTCCTCTCTACCTGACACAGATCAATGTTTTCCTTTCCCTGACCTCCCATGGCTCTACTGTTCACTGTTCCATCTCCCACTTAGAACGTAAGTGATTTGAGAGCAGGGACCCCCCCCAAATCTTAAGCAATTTGCATGCCCCAGAAACCTGCTTTCCCTAATCTTTGCCCATCGCCACCCTCTTCAAGACTCAATACAAATACCACCCACCTGTGAACTAAATAAATGAAAACCCTAATGACTATGAACTCCTATAGCACTTTGTTGGCATCTTTCTTAGGGCATTTATCACATTCTTTCTGCTGATGTAACTGTTTGTCAGCGTGTTTTATTTTTCTTAATATAAGACAAACTCAGCCTGGCGCGGTGGCTCACACCTGTAATCCCAGCACTTTGGGAGGCCAAGCGGGTGGATCACGAGGTCAGGAGATCACTACCATCCTGGCTAACACAGTGAAACCCCGCCTCTACTAAAAATACAAAAAAAAAAAAAATTAGCCGGGCGTGGTGGTGGTCATCTGTAATCCCAGCTACTCGGGAGGCTGAGGCAGGAGAATGGCTTGAACCCGGGAGGTGGAGCTTGCAGTGAGCCAAGATCACACCACTGCACTCCAGCCTGGGCAACAGAGTGAGACTCCGTCTCAAAAAAATATATATATATATATATTGTATTGTATATATTGTAAAAGCCCTTATTGTAAAAATCTTTCTTGAGTCTGTTTTTCTGTGATTCCTAACATGGATGTTGAAGGCGGAGCCTGAGGCAAACAATCAAAGACAGAGAGAGAGAGAGGTGGGCATGTTTTTTGTGTGCAGACACATGCATGTACCTGCCTCCCACGGTGATATCCAGATGAAGTTATGTTTAAATGGGTCTCAGTGGCATTTTAGAAGGGGAAACAGGTATTAAAAGAAACAGAGAGGTGGGTCCATTCCCACAAAGTCACAGTCTTGATGACCCACAGAGCGATTATTGTTGCACTGACCTGTTTCTAGCACTGGAAGTTGTGCATCCTAGGAAACCCTCCACCCCCAATCCCATGCAAACCTGGATGGTTGATCACCCTAGCACCAGGGTTAATTTTAGCACTAAGGCCACCTCCTTGTCTCCCTTTCCTGGCTCCTTAAATCACTGTACATTCACCAGCACAGTCACAGGGTAAACACATCAATTTATCATAGCCTAAGCCACAGCAAACTTGGATAATTCCTTAAATTTCTCAGTGTCAAATTGAGCTCTGCTTTGCAAAGTGGATGTTTTAGATCTCAGTAGAAATTATTTCAGCAGATTAGGAATACTTCTTAAAAAGATGTTTGCTTCAGCAAAACATAAGGCAGGTGGGTAACTACACTGAGATTCTGTAAATACCCTGAAAATATCATTGAATGGCAACTTATTTTCTCAAATCATCCTTAAATCACATACAAACACAGTTGAGGTGAAGAACCTTCTAGAGTATTATCAATAGTTCACATCTGCCTTTAAGAGCCCCTCTTACTCATAAAATACTTAAACCTTTTCTGTCTTCTTGACTTCATCTCATTTTGATGGTTTCAGTATCCATATTCTGAACTGTGGCATTTCCAGGTCAAATTTTTCTGCAGACAAGTTAATCTAAAAAGAAGCCTCCGTGATAATTCTTTGGATGTCTTTGTCATTGGTCTGGTGTTTACACCAAAATCTCCAATGTGGGAATATGTTCTCCTGAGTTTCCATTAGTTCCCACAAGGGAATGACAAAGCCCTTTTAATCCTTTTCAGGGCACTCTTTGTAGCCTTCCACCATGTCTAATGCCTCAGAACCAACATCTGAAACAATCATGTATGCACTGGTGTGATGTGATACCTGAGGACTTACGAAATGTGCTTAATTTGGTAAAACATTCAGTTAAGATTCAGGGAGTTTCTACACGGCTTGCAGCATGCATATTGTTCTAAGTGGATACCACAGACTCAAATTTTTGTGGGATTAACTGGAGGTTCAGACATCTTCTAAATCTACCATTGCAACACTCAAAATATGTGACTAACACTACCCATAAAGTTGATAGAATCAATTATTTTTTAACAGGAAGAAAACCTTAAATTGTTCCTTCACATTGGCTGTGCCATCAGTTGAACATGCTACATAACTTTTCATAGAAATATGATTTGATATGAGAACATCTGTAACCGTCTGGAACATATTTTTCCCAGGACTTTACTTCAAGCTCTCTATAGATATCAGATGTTCTCCACGGAATCTGTGATATGTCTTAGGATTCTTGAATAAACATCAGCTATGCCTCTGTCTTGAATAGTGTCAATCTGAATTGAAAATCTGCCAAACTTTTTAATATCACCACCAGCAGACTTCTTAATCAATCTGCTGATACTGTGTATAGACTTATTTTAAAATCAGAGTTGTATAAGCAGATCTTCCACTTATTTTAGAAACTCACTTTTGTTTCCAAAAATTCAAGATGCATTTCAGCAAGCAGCAAACTGAAAAACATAAGATAGAGTCTTATCTCACTGCTTACATTTGCTGGAGTGTATTTGTCCCATGATAACTGACAAGGTCCTTTACCAATGGCCTTAAGTCCATTAATTATGTAAAATAAAAATACTTCAGCACAATTTGTTCTATCTTCGTGTACTTTTGATTATAAAATGGATGACTGGCATCGTGATTAATAGTACTTATTAAACGGGAAGTCTTCATCTCTTAAATGAGTCTCTCTGACACAAATGTTCTGCAAATTACATCTGAAGTACACATTACAGAAAAGAACCTACTTAATTTTAATGGAATTATTTCAAATATGCACAAAGATGTATGTGCATGGATATTCTTCTGAAAGTTGTTTAGAGATTCTAAAAATGTGGAAAGACTTGTACCATAGGGAATAGCTAAGTGATTTATAATATGTCCATACAAGGAAATACCATGCTGTTATTAAAATTAAGGTGGCAAACATAACTTTACTTACATGGAAAGATAGTCCGCCGTAGTGTTAATTGCGGTAAAAAGAAATTCAAAAAGCAGTATTGTGATATAATAGAATTTTGTTTCTCTGTTGTTTTTCATTATGTATACCTACATTGCATGGAAATAAATCTGAAAAGGTATACACTAAATAGTGAGAGCGGTTATCTCTGGATGACAGAATTACAGGTCATTCATTTTCTCTTTATGTCATCACCAGCAAGCTGTGACCTGTCAGTGCCCAAGACAGAAAGGGGCAACCTGAGGTATAAGCAAAGGATGGAGGGTGTTCACAGGTTAACCTGACTTCCACAGGCAAAAGGCTCTGGGGTGGGACCTAAGAATTTGCATTTCTAACTAGCTTCTAGGTAATGCTGCTGCTGTCAGTGCAGGAACTACACTTAGAGTAACACCGCCCTAGGGTTCTTCTTCGCACTTCCCTTCTCAGCTGCCTCCTATTGGTAATTATTAGAGTGTGTTGTAAATGTGTGTGCTGATTCCTCCACTAGAGTACAGGATTGGCTCCTGGCCCCAAGCCTACAGCCTTCCACATAGCAAGTATGAAGTGCACATTTTTTGAAGGCATTAATAGGGAGATTTCCAGGCATGGTGGGAGGGGTATTGAGAAAGATCTGCATAGTTCACTGCTTACTTCTCATGTGATACCGTGGCATGCTTCAACGGCTTCACCTATGTTTGGGCTAGTGTCTCTGGGGCAGGCCTAGCAATCTGCCAAGGCTGCTCTGCTGCTCACTAAAGTTTGAGAATCTGCCCAGGGAATCAGAGGAAAGGGAGGATTCCATGGCTTGGTTGGAGAAAGCTTTACATTGAGACAATAAAAGTCTCTGGAAAAATGTAAGGATATTTTTAGCGTATTGACATAGCATCACACTTTAACCTACTAACAGTTCAGTATGAATTAGTGCATCTGATTAGCGTAGAGAAGAAAGAATGGACATAAGATTAGCATGATTTGATCAAGAAGACTTGAAAGGTCCAAAGCAGAGCTTAGAATTCACCCGAGGACTGAATACCTTTTTCCAAGGGAATTGGGGAAGAAACATATCACATGCTGCCCAGAGGCCTTCTTCCTTTCAAGCAGTACAATCCCAGAATAAAGACTTTTTTTTAAGAGGTAAAGAAAAGAAGGGGGAACAAACAACTGTTTCTACTCCCCAAGAGACCTTTAAGCAATCTCCAAGTCAGAAACCAAGAGGGGGCTGGACCGCGAACGCTTGGGGGATCATCCCCTTCCCACGTGCTACTGCTCCCAGCTGTATCTGCCAAGCCCTAGAGTGTCAGGATCCTATAAAAGGCATTTTGAGAGGCCACAACACTTCCTTCTCTCACCCCAACATGAGGCCCTCAATTAAGCCAGAACTAATTCTTATGACAAGTTACAAACCACAGTCAAAAATAATGAAAACATTGACACCACTCACACTGGGGGAAGATTTCAGGGTGCTCCTATGACAAAGCCCCCATTATTCACCCATCTCTCCTGAGAGTTCCCAGGGATGGGCACAGCAGCCTCCCTAAGTTCTACAGAATGAAGCAAAAAGCAGAGTTTCTACTGTGGTACTGGTTCAAGCTTCTAGCAGGTAATTCTGCATATCTGAGCAACTTTTTTATAGAACATTTTTTCTTTAAATCAGGATAGGCAAAGGGAAGAACATTAGATTTGGAGTAAGAAGTCCTGGGTTCTACATCCAGTTTATGAAAAAAACAAATGGGATGGCCTAGAATGTGTTAGTCATGTCTCTGAGTCTCAGACTGTGTGCATTTGTGTGTGTGTGTGTGTGTGTGTGTGTGTGTGTGTGTATTATGTGTACATACAAGGGTAAACTAGTACCTTCAAAACTAAGGCTTGACACATCTAGTGTGGGGGTGACACCCATGCCTCCAGACATCTATTCGCAGGTGTCGATAGATGTTCCTTCGCTAGAAAAGTAGGAGTTGGCGAACATGGGTCTGACAGAAGGAACAGAAGAGTAGAAGGTTCCTTTAATCTCACTGGGAGCAGCCCCATCATCAGCCTGAATATGGGTGGAAAACTATTTGCCAGCACAATGTGACAGAATATGTGAGTCCTGGCTCCTGAGCCCAAGTGAGGCATCCCTGGGGGACCCCAGAAACAATAGAGGAATCCCAAAGAGAGCTCAAGAGGTCCCACAGTTAGGTGAAGAATGGGCTGAGTGCCTTCAGAATTGAGCCATTAGGTCATATTAAATATGTCCCCTACTTGACGGTGGCCAAGACCTGGGGACATTCAGTGGGAAAGGGAACTCCCCTGTCAACACCACAGGGTGAATATGAGATTCAAACTAAGCAATGTTCATGAAAGTAATGTGTAAACTACAAAAAGGATCTAGAGATACATTTCTTTCGCAATATGAAGTCAGTGGCCAAGAGATCTTCAGAGCACAAATCCCACTGGTGGAGTGAGCCCTAATAGGGTACAGTGCAGCTGCATCTAAAAGCATCTTTATCATACAAACAAATGGAAAAACATTCCATGCTCATGGACAGGAAGAATCAATATCGTTAAAGTGGCCATACTGCCCAAAGCAATTTATAGATTCAATGTTATTCCCATTAAACTGCCATTGACATTCTTCACATAACAAGATAAAACTATTTTTAAAGTTCACATGGAACCAAAACAGAGCCTAAATAGCCAAGGCAATCCTAAGCAAAAAGAACAAAGCTGCAGACATCACACTACCTGATTTCAAACTACACTACAGGTCTCCAGTAACCAAAACAGCATGGTACTGATAAAAGAACAGACATATAGACCAATGGAACAGAATAGAGAACCTGGAAATAAGACTGCCCACCTACAACTATCTGATCTTTGACAGCTTGACAAAAACAAGCAATGGGGAAAGGATTCCCTATTCAATAGATGGTGCTGGAATACTTACCTGGCTAGCCATATGCAGAAGATTAAAACTGGACCTCTTCCCTACACCATATACAAAAACTAACACAAGATGAGTTAAAGACTTAAATGTAAAACCTAAAACTATAAAAACCCTGGAAGACAACCTAGGCAATACCATTCAGGACACAGGCACAGGCAAAGATTTCATGACAAAGACAACAAAAGCAATTGCAACAAAAGCAAAAATTGATCAATGGGATCTAATTAAACTAAAGAGCTTCTGCACAGCAAAAGAAACTATCAACAGAGTAAACAGACAACCTACAGAAAGGGAGAAAATTTTTGCAAACTATGCATCTGACAAAGGTCTAATATCCAGCATCTGTAAGGAACTTAAACAAATTTACAAGAAAAAAACAAACAACCCCTTTAAAAAGTGGACAAAGGACATGAACAGTTTTCAAAAGAAGACATACATGCAGCCAACAATCATAAGAAAAAAAGCTCAACAGCAATTATCATTTGAGAAATGCAAATCAAAACCATAATGAGATCCCATCTAACACCAGTCAGAATAGCTATTATTAAAAAAAAAAATTTAAAAACACAGACATTGGTGTGGTTGTGGAGAAAAAGGAATGTTTATGTCCCGTAGTAGTAGGAGTGTAAATTAGTTCAACTATTTGGGAGACAGTATGGCAATTCCTCAAAGACCTAAAGACAGAAATGCCATTCAACCTAGCAATCCCATTACTGGGTATACACTCAAAGGAATATAAATCATTCTACCATAAAGACACATGCCCACATGTTCATCGCAGCACTATTCACAATCGCAAAGACATGGAATCAACCTAAATGCCCATCAGTGATAGACTGGATAAAGAAAATGTGGTAAACGCACACCACAGAATACTAGGCAGCCATTAAAAATGTGGTAAACACACACCACAGAATACCAGGCAGCCATTAAAAAGAATGAGATCATGTTTTTTTTGCAGGACATGGATGGAGCTGGAGGCGATTATCCTTAGCAAACTAACACAGGAACAGAAAACCAAATACCGCATGTTTTCACTTATAAGTGGGAACTAAATAAATGATGAGAACACATGTACACATAGAGGGAAACAACACACACTGGGGCCTATCGGAGGGTGGAGGGTGGGAGAAGGAAGAGGATCAGGAGAAATAACTAATGGGTACTAGGCTTAATACCTGGGTGATAAAATAATCTGCACAACAAACCCCATGACACAGGTTTACCTATGTAACGAACCTGCACATGTACCCCAAACTTAAAAGTTTAAAAAAAAATAAAGTAAGAAAAAACATTTTTAAATAAAAATAAATAAAAAATCCTTAGGAATGTGGAGGGAAGTTTTCTTACTTTCCGAGGAGTCCTCAAATTCTTTCTAAGGGACTGACATAAGCCTCTTCAATTGTGAATTCAGCAAATCTTTGATACCAGACCTCTCTTCTTGGCTTGGGCTCCCTCTATCTACATAGAAGACAGTGCCATTTGAATATGCTGCAGACAAATCAGCATTCAAAATTCATCTCCTTTTATTCAGAACTTTTAATTACCATAACATATATACATCTGTACTTCCCCCAGACTCTAAGCTTCTTGAGGACAGTGACCAGATCTTACATGTCTTTGTATTCCCAATGGAAAGATAGTAGATTCTCAGTAGTGGTTGGATGTATTGAATTAAAGTATTCAGTATTAGCTATGGTAATGTTAGCTGCTATAACAAATGTGACAACCTAAGAGGCTTAATATATTTTAATTTTGTGTGCCCTAAAGACTGCAATATGGATGTTTCTGACCAGCGGGCAGCCTTTCACATGGTCATTTGGGACCCGGAATCATTCTATCTTGTAGGTCTTCCCTCCATTAGGGTCCTGGAGACGTCTACATTCAGCCTACAGATGGAGATAGAGATGAGTGGAGGGGAAGGTGAGGAAGGTGGAGGCATACCTGTTTTTTCAGTTCCTTGGTTCCAAAGTGAAACATCTCACTTCCAAAACATTTCTTTGGCATGATCCAGTCTCATGGTACTACTTAGATGTAAAAGGACTAGAAGATGTTGTCCCTGGTGGGAAAACTGCTTCCCAGCACAACTCCATACTATGGAAGGGGAAGTATGAATCTTTGGTGGAGCTGGCCATCTTGGCCACATGCTCTTATGGGACCTAATATCTAACCTATAAAAGACACATATTTCTCATAAGTAGAATGACCATATGTCTAAGTTGCTTAGAAAAGTCCCATTTTTGCTTATTTCCTTGACATAATGATTAATAACTCCCCTTTTTACTCTCAAAAGTGTCCAAACTTGGAGGATAAATTATGTTGTTACCCTATAAGACAGATGGCCATAAACCATCTTATAGATAACCTATGAGCTCACCAAAAAGTTTTTCAAGGCTTACATGTTTCACCATGAGTAACTGAAGACCTATCAAGGCATAGATCTGTAACACAAAGAAGAAAACATCAAGAGTGGCATATTTCCATTTTACATGACCACCATATACTTTCCTATGTGTAAGTAAAATCTATTCATTGAACTTTAAAGTTCACTTCAGAGAAACATGTCATTCCACAATATGCCTCCTCTGTGCTATAGCACAAGCAGTGCCCTAAACATAAAGGAGCAATGTCTGACACTGAAAAGCACAAGTTTTGCCTTATAGATATCTCTGACTTCGCTTTCCAGGGAAGAACTGATATCTTCAGAAGTGCCAGTGTTCCTTTCCAAAGCCACACCAACAAATCAAAAACACCTATCATTCAATCCAAAAATCCCTTAGTTATAACACTAAAAACATGATCGACTAGGCCAGACGCACTGGCTCACGCCTGTAATCCCAGCACTTTGGGAGGCTGAGGCGGGAGGATCACTTGAGGTCAGGAGTTTGATACCAGCCTGGCCAACATGGCAAAACCCCGTCTCTACCAAAAAATACAAAACTTAGACAGGCATGGTGGTGTGCGCCTATAGTCCCAGCTACTCAGGAGGCTAAGGCGGGAGAATTGCTTGAACCCAGGAGGCAGAGGCTGCAGTGAGCTGAGATCGCACGGCTGCACTCCAGCCTGGGCGGCAGAGTGAGACCCTGTCTCAAAAAAAAAAAAAAAAACTCATGATCAATTAGTCAACAAATTTCTTTCCAAGCATGAATTGTCACCCGACTTTAAATAAAAAAGCCTATAATTCACAAATTACAATTATACAGACAGGGACTTCCTTTTGCTAATAGTCTTTCTTCATAATTTAGTAAACGAAAGTACAAGAGGAATGTTTAAAGGACTTGAGAGCAAAGAGTTTTCAAGAACCCAAGAGAATTTTGTAAGATATATATAGGTACAAATATAGATTCTAACTACTAGTGATACAGGAGTTAAGAAGAAATTACTTAGGCAGATAGTCCAGAAGTCCTTGGTAACGTTTTTCTTTTAATGAAAAGCTGCCCCAAATCATTTTCTAACAAAGAGCAGCCTGTGAAGTTGAGCTGCAGACATAGACAAGCACGCTGGGAGCTTTCACGGTGAATGCCGGCAGGAAAGAACTACCTGGGACTAGACATGGCAGCTAGAAAATGGCGGCTCCATCTTCCCTTCTTGGCCAGCCACGTGTACATTAAGGAGCAGACAAAATGAAGCCGCCAGCCAAGGGGAATGTTCATTTGCATAGTAAGATTAGGGTGGGGTGACCAGCCTTACCCACATGCTTTGTAAACGTCACACCTGATTGAACCAATGTGTGAGCCCCACATAAATCAGACGACGCCTCCTCAAGCCGGACTATAAAACCTGGCTCATCTGCCGCCAGCTGGCCTTTTCCTCTCAGAAGTCTCCTCTCTGTCACTCTAGAGAGCGAGCTGTTTTCCTTTCCTTTTCTTTCGCCTATTAAATCTCCGTTCCTAAACTCCTCATGTGGGTCCGTGTCCTAAATTTTCTTGGCATGAGATGACGAACCCCAGGTATTTACCCAGACAATGTAGCCTCTTCACTAGGAAGCTAGATGGAGATAACTTAAAAAGCTTTGTTAGTGTGCCCTTTTCTAAGTTTAGTTTGAGCAACTTGAAATCACACAGGAATCTCCTTGAAAAATAGTTTGCAATTCAATTTCACCAATTCAGACTGATTTTCCATTTCAATTAGTCCAGAGGAAAGAGGCTTTGCCCAAATGTAGAGGATTTCCCCCATCTAACACCTTCTCCGGTTGAACCTTGTAAAGATATTGCTAAGAGGAATGCTTGATCAAATGCTTAAGCATTAACCATGTGCAAGGAAAGCCACTAAATGAATGAACCTTCTGTGAATTAAATTGATTTTCTAGAAAATGAAAACAAAATTGAATCCAAGAATAAGCTATCTTAAAATCACATTGAGTAAAAACATAAAATATTTTTTCACCAGAGCTGTAAAAATTAAATTAGCTAAAAGAGGAAATAAATGCTTTTGTGTTCCAAGGAATTCCATTTATTAGGACAATAGGTACCTATGAAGGAACCAGAACTCTAAAAAGAACTGTAATTGTTTCTCAGGATGATGCTTTGTGATGTGAAAGCAAAGCCTGCTGGAAGAGGGGCATCATAGTTGGTGGCTGCTCACAACTGGACAGAAAGAAGGGGGAAGCTACCTAGATGTTCAGAGGGACTGCCGAATGGGAGCTGGCTCCTTGCTGGGACAGGGATGGACAGTGTGTTTCCCCTTCCTCTGTCATCCCTCCCAAAGTATCACCAATCTTTCCTTGGGTTCAGTTTGCTTCTATACATTTCTGCTTCTCATAGGGGCTCGTCCAATAAGCTGTTCTGGGCTCAGCAGCCTTTGTCTGTGGATTGAGCCATATCATGCCATGAAACCTGCAGAAAAAAATGTTGTGTCCAGATTCTTGTTTTATTAGCCAGGTAAATACACTCACTGCTATAACAAACAGGTTCAGATTTCAAAAGCTTGACACAATTTTAAAGTCTAGGTCCCTCTCTTCCAAGCGGTGACTCAGAGATTTGGGCTCGTTCTATCTTAAAATGCTACCATATCCAGCCAATTGAATGAAAGGGAGAGAAGGAGCTCATGGAAGGTTGTGCATTGAGTTTATGACAAGCCTGAAAAGTGGCACACATCATTTCTGCTCACATTCCAGAACTCAGTTATGTGGTTCATCTAGATGCATAGGGAGCTGGGAAACATAGCTTTGCTTTGTGCACAGGAAGGACAAAAGAACTGTATATTGGTGAATTGTAGCAATTTCTACCACCCTGGCTCTGCCCATCAATTCAGAAAACATTTGGTAATGTATTTTCTATGTCAGACACTCTGTCAAGGACTAGAGTAAATGGTGAGCAGTACATTGCCCTTGAGTAATCACAGTCTAACGAGAGAGAAGAATGGGTAAATTAACAATTATTATATACCATGATAAATGTTATAACAGAGACATTTGCTGAGTGCTGAAGGCACCCAGAAAAGAAGCAAGTTTAGGGAAGTTTCAGTTACATTTGAACTGAGTCTTGAAGTAGAGTGATCATAGCTGATGTTTTTTAATCACTTTCCACTCACCAGGCACTATTCTAAGCACTTTTCATGTATTAACTCACTTAATCATCACAACAACTCTAACAGGAAGGTGTTATTATTATATCCACAGATGAGGAAACTGAGGCATAGTGAAGTTAAGTCCCTTGCTCAGGGTCTCATTCTTTGCTAATGACAGAGACGAGATTTGGACCTAGACAGTCTATCTCCTAAAACCACTCTTTCAACCAACAACACTATACAGAGAAGCAATAGACGTTCACCAGAGAGGAAGGTGGGGGCCCTCTCTGCTTATGTAGGGCCTGTGTCAGCATGTCTAGAACAATGACATCAGAAAAGTACTTCCTGGTGTTGAGAAGCATGCCCTGGTAAGGTCTCACCACACCCTTACCGCCTGTGCCATGCAGCTATGGGTTTCACAAACAGAGTGAGGGATGACCCTTGCAAGGCAGGGAGGATGCCAGGACGTTAGGCAGATGGGCCAGACTGGAATAAGGAACCCGGATGTTAATAGTAGATAATCCTACTAAGGCATGGCCAGTGGCCAAGGAAGGTAACCAAAGAGGCTGATTTATTTTTACAAATGTATTAAGATATTATTAGGTTCAATATAAATTAATCTCATGCTGAATATTAATAACATCAGACTCTGGCCATTCCCGATTCCATGCTGACCATACACACTCGCTTCCTATGTGTGGTAAAGGCTTCTAGTGCTCACCTATACCCTTCTCTCCTCCTGTCACTCAGGAAGTCTCCACTCCCCAGGTCTCTTGCAGTTAGGTATGACTATGTGACTAGTCATAGCCAGTGAAATGTATGCAGAAGTCATATGAGTTTCTCCTGGGCCACAGCATAAGGAAGTGACCTCTAGTCCTTTGCCTTGGCAACCCTGGAGGCCACCTGTTGAGATGGCAGCATAACAAGACAGAGGGAGTGCTGCCCAGAGAATCGCCTAACCCATATAGGACTTTATGCAAGCAAGAAATAAGCCTTTGTTGCCTTCACTCCCTAAGATTTCTGAGTTTATTTATTAATGCAGCACTACCTGGTGAGTGTATTAATATATTATATTTCAAGCCTATGCCCATCACTGGTTTTGCTTTTACTTCTGCTTTGACACTGGAACTCATGCCAAACTCCTTTCATTATTCAGCCAAGATTGCGTCTGTTAAATCTAATCCAGTAGTATGCAGATACAGTGACTTCTTAAGTTGTTTATTAATGTTCACATTTCTTTTTTTTTTCTTTCTTTTTTTGAGAAGAAGTCTCACTCCACTGCCCAGGCTGGAGTACAGTGGTGCGATCTCAGCTCACTTCAACCTCCACCTTCCAGGTTCAAGCAATTCTCCTGCCTCAGCCTCCCAAGTAGCTGGGATACAGGCATGTACCACCATGCCCAGCTAAATTGTTTTTGTTATTTTTAGTGGAAACAGGGTTTTACCATGTTGGCCAGGCTGGTCTCAAACTCCTGACCTCAAATGATCCAGCCACCTCGGCCTCCCAAAGTGCTGGGATTACAGGTGTGAGCCACCGTGCCCAGCCAATGTTCACATTTTTCAATGAAGCTAGAAACAAAACTCCTTGACTACCACTTGGAATGTCACTGTCTGAGTTTGATGTCATAATGGCCACAGAGTCTGAGCTATCTTCTAACACATCCCCTGCTCTAAGTGGAAATTTAACAAGATGAACTTTCCAGTAATGAGGCTTGACAGCGCTGCCACCACCAGAAGCGGAAGCAGTCAGGTCAGAAGGAAGGCTGCTAACTTCCTCACAGAAGTGTTGATTAGGCTTTGCGCTACTAGCCTGCTCATGGAGGGAGCCTCATCAGTCCTCTTCTGAACACTGTGAATCCTTCCTTATCCTCCCTTCCCCCCTGCCCCCACACACACACACAAATTCACACTTAAGATATTACCAAATTGCAACATCTAACATTTCTCAAAGAAGCTATTTCCAATGCAGGTGTGCCCCCACATTATGAGAAAAGTACATTCAAGAAGTGTCATATATAAATCCAGTCAGTGGAGAATGATATCATTTGGTAAATTCCCATTTGTTTTGTGTGTTTCCTTAAAGAGAGATGTACACACATCTATAATTCCAGCTTCAACTTAACGACTTTCAGACAAAACACAGGGGAAAATATTAATTACAGGAAAGTGTCTTTTAATCTCTAGTACCAGTAGGGTAGTCAGACACCAGTCATAGGCATACAGAAAAATATGCTTCCTGTCATCATGGTTACTTTCAGAAACACACACTGAAGATTAGCACCAAAACAGGAACTCAGAGACAACCAGGCTCAAAAACAAACAAAATGCAGAAATTATGTAATTGCCTAAAAGCCATGAAGTCACTTAGCTAAATATTTTAAGGAATAGCATTACCTAAAATAATAATCATCCTCACTTGACTAATAACATTTCATTTTCAGGGCATAAACAAACCCCAGTTTCAAATGATTAGTAGTCCAAGTCAGATGCCTTGAAATCCATCCCAGCCCTCATTTCCACTCATACTGTTTCCACCCATTCCTTCACCCTACCCATTCCCAGAGCTTCCATCTTAGATTTTGATGATGCTAGCTGGAGGTATAGATTCAGATTACCACATAATTATTATTGTACTATATTATCTTCTAGGTGATATTTTTATATTTGCTTTTATTTTAATAAAGAGAAATTAAAGCATTTATATATAGTCTCTAATATTTATAATTATCTAGATATATAAATAAATATACATTAACTGGCTTCAGTGTTTACTCCCAACCTTTTTTATACTCTAGCTTTCCTATTTTAATCCTTCACTCTAGCATCTATCATCCTTGGTCACCTGGAATTTATCTTCAAGCATTTTTTCAACAGAGATTCATGTTAAATCTTGCCCAGGAAAATTGCCTATCATATAATTTTTTTGAAACGTGGTCTACAGAGAATATATTTCTGTCACTTTCACACATAAAAGACAACCTGGCTGGGTATAAAATTCTTGAATCACAGCCTTTTATAAACAAAACTCTACAGATATTGCTTTTATATAACTATCACAGAGTGGTGTGATTATAGGAGGTTTTATCTTTCTTTTTGTTGGCATTTTGGCATTATTTTATTTGTTCCACACTGAACGCAGGTTGTTGTAATTTTTTAAATTAATAAAAACAAATAAAATCAAAAGATTTGTGCTGAGTAACTTACATTCCCACATTCTGCTGGATGTTGAGAGGCACGCCAATAATCACTGTTGTCAAGGAGGCACTAACTCAACTGTAAGTCACATATTAATGATATAAATGAATGATGTGGCTACAGAAGTAATTTTACAATTTATAAAAATACAATATGGACACAATTTAATATTCTCTAGGGGAAAAAAACAGTAGTGCATTTGGAATACCTAATAAAATAAAAACATCAGAGTCCTCAAACTGAACCATGATCTTCCACAAGGCAAGATTCTGAAATCTGAAGTCCACAGGGTCTCACAACAGTTAAGCTGTAGTTCTGGCCTCCTTCAGGCTGCACAAACATATTACCTCTTTATTCAGAAATATTAGAACCCTCACTACCACCGGAAGAAAAAAGATACGTCAAAACTGAATACACTTTGAAGGAGGTCAGATAGAGGACTACAGCAGTTATTAGAAACATACTGTGTTCAGACAGCCTGGGTTTTAGTCTGGCTGTACCATGTTACTACAATCTGTTTATACTCACAACACTTCTGACGCCAAGTGTGTGGGTTTTTCCACACCAACAACTAATTTTCAACTCCCCAGACACCAACTACAATTTAATTCAATCCTACAATTTAATTCCATTTTCTAATGCTATCTATGTGGAGTTAGCATCAGATCCCACAAGGCCTCAGTCCCATAAGACAGCCCCCATATCAGATGCTAATCACAAGTCCCAAGCTTCCCATACTTCTGACCAACCAGCTATAAGCTGGGGGTTTTTTTGAACCCTTCTCAGGTTTGATAAATTGAAAGAACAGCTCATAGGATTCAGGAAAGCAGTTTAGTGACTAATACTGGTTTTTTACAAAAGGATACAACTCAGGAGGAGCCAAATGGAAGAGATGCAGAGAGCAAGGTATATGGGAAGGGACACAAAGCTTCCATGTCTTCCCATGTCATCTCCTGAACTCTAGCCTTCTACCACCTCAATGTGTTCACCAATCCAGAAGCTCACCAAACCCTGTTGTTAAGGATTTTTATGTTGTTTAGGTTTCCTGTGTTCCATGACACAGGCATGGTTGATTAAATCATTGGCCATTGGTGATTGAATTCAATCTCCATCCCTCTCCCTCTCCAGAAGTCAGGGTGAGGGACTGAAAATTCCAATTCTCTAATCAAGTGATTGGTTCCTCTAGCAACCAGCCCCCATTCCGAGATTATCTTGAGGCTCACCAAGAGTTACCTTATTAGCATTATTAGCATTATATAACTCAGGTATGTTTGAAAATGGCTTATCATGAATAACAAAAGATGCTCCTTTCACCCCTATCACTCAGGAAAGCACAAGAGTTTCAGGAGCTCTCTTTCAGGAACTAGAGACAAAGACTAAAAATATATTTCTCATTGTATTACAATATCACACAATGTGCTATTTGTAAGTGACCCTGAGCAAATTGCTTCCTATGTGCCTTCATCTTCTCATCTGCAAAATCCAGATAAAAGTAATCTCTCCTTGTGGGACTGTTGTAAGAATTAAATGAGTTAAAATAAAGCACAGTACCTGGCATCTAGAAAGTGTGAGTCAAGTATTTACAATGAGCAAAATGAGTCACACAATATACAAGTTGCATGTGGACCTTCATTATTTGACATGTTCTCCAGGAACGCCTATGATCAGCAAGGTGGGAGGGCAGGTGTTCTTCTTCCCATCCCAAGCCAGTGAAGCAAGCTGAGGGAAGGTGATGGGGGCTAGTTCAAGTCATGGGATGGATTGGTGTCACAGCCAGAGCCAGATTTTCCACGCTACTGTGCTGTTTCCTGCATCACCTTTCAAACTGCCCTGCCATCAAGTCTGGTCATTCAGCGATGGTGCCGCTGAGGACCTTGTTGCCCAAATCCCAGGTGAACATGCCCATAATTTTCAAGGTAAGTAGAGAAACAGTCCTTAAAATATTCCCCTACAAAATGAGAAAACCCTACTGCAGTTTTGTTGGTTTTGTAAATGATTGTTTGTTTGTCAGAGTACAGGGGATATTTAGTTTGTTCATCTATCTAGGAATTGTAGATTTCTCAACTTACTTTCAAGAGGAAGTTGGTCCAAAGCCATGACTCAAAGTCCCACGTGAAGATTCAACATTGCTATTTAAAGCAACTACAGTGAAGTCAAGAAGGAGTTGTTCATTTCACCTAGCACATTTTAAGAGTTGGAGTCTCTCAGCCTCGTGGTCTCCCAATTAATTTGTTGGCACAGTTAATCTAAATGAAAGGGAGGATTTTATTCTCACATCCATTAACCTGTAGTAGGAAAATCCATGAGGCTCAACACCTTGGAACATCCCCTCCACCCCCACAGTAGTAGCAAAGAACCTCTAAAGGGGAGAACAGTAAGAATATGAGCTCTGGAGGCTCCTCCACCTTCCATCCAGCCAAGCCTGCACACATGACTTAACCTCTCTGAGCAAAGTGTTTTCTGCATAATAGAGTTGTAATAGTACCTACTTCATAAGGTTGTTACGAGGATTAAATGGGAAAATATACCTAAGGCACTTAGCACTGTGCCTTGCATATTTATCATGGGCTCCATTATCACTCCATGCTCAAGGATGGAATCGCTATAAATCCTGCCATACCAAGCGATGGACAAAGACACTGTGCCAACCGTACTGGCTTCCGTCTGTTTACCTGAAGAACTTTCTGTTTCATAATATATAATGGGTTATTTATGTATAACCTGTGTTCCCAGGACAAGCTCTTGTTTCATGGTTTTTGTAGAGCCCCTAACAGTTTGTCATGGAAGTCCTGAATCTCACCCCTATGATGAAGCACTTTCTTGTAAGTCTGGTTTCAGTTGACTTTTGACCTTTATTAGTCAAAGTTATGGAGCCCAAATTTGTTTGCTTCCATGTCTCCCTAGGGATTCATTGAAGAAACAGCTGGGGTGGTGGCTTACTGACTTTTAGGTTAAATTCAGATAGCACATGATTAGAAATCTCCATTTTGCCCCAGAGAGGTCAGGACCCCTCAGAATCCCAAAAGCAAGAGAGATACCAGATCACCCCTAGGACCAAAGGGGCACCCTCTAGCCTGGGGTGTAAGAAGCTCCCAAGAGCACCAAGAAAGGACACATCTTGGTTGGCACACCTGGCACTGGCTGGTTCTAATCTTCAGAGGAAGGGACAGCAGAGGAGATAGGCAAGCTTGTGTGCTGGGTCCAATCTGGCCATGAGCCTCGAATTGTCAGGATCTGGATGCATCTCAGAAACTCTGGAAATCCACCTCAGATGCAGGACAGTAAAAATGGCAGTGAGGGGTCCTTATCTACTCCTGCTTTTAGGGAGAAGCTGAAGCTTCCAGTGGGATCTGTTTGTTCTCCCATCTGACAACTCCTCCTACTCTCCTTCCAAAGTTGGGTTTATTCTCAGCAAAGGATTGATGACTGCAATGAAATTGAGCAAATGTTGGCATTAGATAATACCTGGAAAAGGGTGTTACCTGAGAGGTAGTTCACAGCTAGCCAAAAAATCAAGTTACAAGGCTTACACTTCAACTCCTGCTTCCCTATGACCTTGGCAAATTGGAGGAGAATCCTCTAGTCATCTCATTCTTCTCCCTTTCCTGTGTCTCTTCCCAACTGCTCCCTTGACTTTTACCCCCAGCTCCCTGTATATCCTTTCTTCTCTCCCTTTCTAAGTAAATCTTAAAAGCCTGAAAAAGTAAAGAGGGCCAAAAATGTGGATACAATGCTAATCACACAGTCACAGACATGTCATAATAATACTGCAAAATACTACTTTATATATGGTCTTCTTTGATGTGAGAAGTGTGCATGGTAAAGGGTCTAATTCAAAGACCTAGAACAAGCATAACATTGCAAAGTTCATACAGTTGCTTACAAGAACTAGACTGAAAAGGCCTTAGTCATTTGTTCTTCTGTTTGACTTTTGTCAGAAGAGCTTACAACCTGGAAACAGTCACAGGGTGAAATATCATCACATCAGGCTGATGGGAGCCTCTCTCTCTCTCTCTCTCTTTCTCTGTCCTTCCCCCTCTCCCCGCACCTCTTTCTATTGTCAGTGAGATAAAGGGAGATACCATTGTCTCCCATTCAGGAGCCTGTTATGATCAATGGACCCATCATAAGCAGGAAATCTTCTTTTCCACAAACTTCATACTATCATATCACAGAACAAAGATGGGAGGCTCTATCCTTTCATTTTATTTGCTGGGACAAGGATTCTGCCCAATTCTTACCTGCTGTCTGATTTCTCACCAAAGGAGCATTTGCAAGAGGAAAGATTTATATTCTGTGAAATATTTCACTTGTCATCAGGCAGGGGCTCCAGGCTCCCTGGCTGTGCCGGTCAGTTCCAGGAAGGTTCCCTGAGCCTCCCTCATAGGCAAGGCCACACTGCTCCCAAGTGGCTTCTGTGGAGAAGTAGGAAGCCAGACTTGGCTGGAGCTGGAAAGCTCTCCAGACCCAGGGTCCTGTCTCGCTGCAGCCTCACTGCTAAAGAGCCCACCTGCAGACCTCGCCCCAGAGGCCCTTCCTAGCACCCACCACACTGGGGGAGCTCAACCGCTCACACCTCCAAGAAGACTTTTTGTTGTAACAAAGAAGGCAGCCCTTTTAAATAATTCTAAAAAGCTACAGGGCTAGTCTAACCAAAGAAAATTCAGAATTCAACTTGGACATCATCATAGTGACAGTCTGTTAAGACAGAAGTATAGGGAGCCCTCTTCACTCCCACCCTCTTTTTAAAAAGGCAAAAAGAAAAGACAAAAATAACTGGAGGCTAAAAACAACTATTAGTACCTATTGCATAGGCTTGTTTGTAGCTCAAGGCAGCTCCCAATTCTTGATGAATCTACTTACAGTCATTTATAAAGGTAAAGCAGTCTTAATAAGCAAAATCTCCTTCAAGCTCATCATTTTCTCAACAATTAAAAACACAACCTATCTTCATAATTGGTGTCCCTGTAACATTGTTATTTCACCCTGAGGAGGAGGGACTATTGTTTCTAGCATTATGATCAGTTGTGCTCAAGGTTTAGAGCAATCCCACCTTATTAACTCTCATTTAACAGAAAGCAGGGGCAGGTTGGTACACCTCCTTAGTAAGACAGCAACATTAAGAACTCCCCCAAAAAACTCTTCAGAGATACTACCCAGCCCTTCCATTTCAGAATCACCTGGGGAAATCTTAACACACCCAAAACCCAGTCAGCACCCCCAGACCAATTAAATCAGAACCTCTATGGTGGTCCCAGGCACAGGTGTTCTGAAGTTCTTCGGGACATTGCAATATGCAGACAAGTTTGAGAACTGCTCTCTGAGACAGGAGTTTTTAATTCTAGCCACACATAAGAATCAGCTGGGAAGTCACTAAACGCTACCCATCCCCACGCCCCCACCCCACCCCCAAGCCAACTCAATCAGAGTCTCTGGAGATGGTACCCAAGCGATTTGTTAAGCTCCCAAGAGATTATGGTGCACGGAATGTTGAGAATAAAATTATATTATTTGATTAAATGGCTTCATTTTATTAAAAAAAATGTGTGCACAGGAAAAAAAAACAGAGAGAAGAAGTTAAAAAAAATACATTTTAGCCATGCATGATCCCAAATCCTACCTTCCAGAAATAACCAGTTAATTACTTTCCTGGGGTTAAGATGAGAGGTATTCAGGGAACATATAAATGAAGAAAGGTGGACTCACAGGTCTTTAATTCAAAATCTCCATCACCTTCCTAAACTCTGTCCAAGCAGCTGGGGGCTTGGACACACAGACACACAGACACACACACACACACACACACACACACACACACTGCACTAGAGAAGGCCTGGGGAGACGTTCTTTTCATCGCCAAGAAGCCCCTTTATAATTTCATTTTGTGGGTCCTTAAATTAGAAACATTTTGCTCGCCAAACTAGATTTATGAAGTAACACTTACCTCATTTGCCCATTTTTTAAATTAACCAAAGATTTATATAACTTCCAATCAGAGGTGCTGATCAGCACAAAACAAACCAGGCCTAGCAACAAGTTGCAACAATGCCATCCTAGAGCAAAGAAAAGTGATGCTTATTAGGCTATGCAATTTAGCTTAAGTAGACTTGGCTTCTGTTTTTTAGTCAAGAAATTTGAAATACTAAAATACAGAAAACAAATAACTACTGTTGAGAGCCTAGGGATATTTGAGGAGGGAAAGGAAACAAGAAGAATAACTAATGTCCCTAGGGCAGTAGGTTAAAAGGGAGAGAGTTGGAGAATAAGGGCAGGGTTCCACTATAATGTTACAATTGTTAGAAATTTTATTCTGCTGATAATTACACATGAATCCTTGAGCAAATCAAGCTATCATCTCCGGACCACATTTTCCCACTTGTAAAATGAGAGTGGCTAAGCTAAGGCAGTGCTTCTCAACCTCAGTGCTATTGACATTTGCGGTAGAATGCTTCCTTGTTGTAGGGGTTATCCTATATGTTGTAGGATATTTAGCGGCATCCATGGCCCCTACCCACTAGATGCCAGTAGCACACCCCTGGCTGGTGCAATCAAAAATGTCTCCAGACTCTGCCAAATGTCCTTGAAGGGGCAAAATCACCCCTAGTTGAGAACCACTACTCAAGGGTTATTCTGAAGTTCTATTTGTGAAAATTCACAAATTATGCAGAAGAGGTTGGAGGGATGAGTTTGACGTATCAGACAAGACAACAATGTATATAAAAAAATCCAAAGATGAGAGCGTGTGAAATCACCCTGTAAAGCAGAAGTTCTCAATCTTGGCTGAGTTTTAGAATCACCTGAGGAGACTTTCAAAGTCCCATTCTCAAAGTGAACCCCCTGACCAATTGAATCAGAACCTTAGGGTTTGAGCAGAGTTCTCCAGGTGATTCCAGTATGCGCAGTTTGTGGGCCACTGCAGGAGAGCTTAGTGTGAGAGAGAAGTAACAATAAGTCTGTTTATCTCTTATGATTCTGATAATACTTTAGCATTTCAATCAATAAGAAAACCAAAAGCCCAGACTGTGCTAGGATTTTGCAAAGCATTGGGAAACACACCATGTTAAATCAGGCAAATCTCAAGCTTTAGGTTGAAGTGAAACCTAGATGCACTTCCCGGAGAATTATATGAGCATATGGACACCTAAACAAAATCGAAACGCTAAGTGTCTCCAGAGGAGGCACCACCGTTCCAAGAATCGTCTGTTCTCTGCAGTTATTGACCTGAGACCATGCCAGCCATGGTCTCCTAACCATGACTGTTAATTGCATTAATGCTTTCCAGCAAGAGATCATCTTGTTGGAGAGGATTATCAAGTAAATGACAGTTTATCAAGTAAATGACAATCACATCAAAAGAAAATGTGTGCACTCCTGGGAAGAGGAAGATGCACTTTCCTGGACTCATTTCTGAGTAAAATCAGTCTATGTGCTGAGGCGTGGAAGAGGCTTATACATCTAATCAATGAAGCAAAGCCACTACCAACCGGACTTAACACAAAAATGGCATAAGCAGTTCAAAGGGGACAGTGTAAAGTAACTACAGAATCCTGGACTGTTTCCTAGGGATTCTGTGCTGATTAACTTGGGACTCTGTAAAGTGCTCACAGTTACCTAAGAAGAAAGTTGTGCAATGAAAGGATACACTCTTATTTACTATAATTTTTTATTCCTATTACAAACTAATAGCAGTGTCAGCCAAAGTTTATTGAGCACTTACTCTGTGTCAGGTCCTGCGCTAAGCATTTGATATAAATTATTTCATTTAATCCTCACAACAGCCTGATTAGATTGTTGTTATTATCCTGATTTTACAGCTGAGGAAACTGAGGCTTAGAGAGGTTAAGTGACTTACCCAAGGCCATGCTTCCAGCAAGCACAGGAATGGGAAATAAAATGCGTGACAGCAGAGCCTAAATTCTTGAACATTATGTAAGATAGCCTCATGGGTCTTCTATTCATTTGTCAGATTGTGAAATGAATAAATTTGCATAACATTCTTTCAATCAAGAATTTTAAAATGCTTTTATTCTCACTCATATGTGGGAATTGAACAATGAGAACACTTGGACACAAGAAGGGGAACATCACACACTGGGGCCTGTCGTGAGGTGGGGGGCGGGCGGAGGGATAGCATTAGGAGATACACCTAATGTAAATGACGAGTTAATGGGTGCAGCACACCAACATGGCACATGTACACATATGTAACAAACCTGCACTTTGCGTACATGTACCCTAGAACTTAAAGTATAATAATAATAAATAAATAAATTTTTTTTAAAAAAGAACTTTAAAATGCTTTTTAAAGTATATCATATACAGGCTTATGCCTAGCTGTGATTCAAATGAAGAAATTCCATGCCAGTGTTCTCAAAGTGTGTCTTCTGCCCTGCTAAATCAGAAACACTTGAGGGAAGCTTTTCTAAATGCAGGTTCCTGGGTCCCATCTCCTACCTACCATGTCAGAATTTGGGGTGTGAAGAAGCAGCCAGGGGGCTCATCTGAATTGTGAATAAGTTCCCTGGGTGATTTTTTTCCCCACCAAGGCTTGAGAACTACTTCCTTAGAATTGGCACACTTTTGTATCCACAAAGCACAGCCTTATGCCTGCAAAATTTGACAAGAGAAAATTTGCCACCCCAAATTACAACACAGAGAAACTACAAAGATCGACTTTAAGAGCCAGAAGTTTCCCAGGAAGATCCCTAAAAGATCCCTGGATATATAACATATTCAATTTTAGACATAAACTCACTTACCAGAATATGTCATACTTTGCCTTGAGAATTTGCCTTCCTTCAGAGACGGGAAATCTGCTTTATTAATATCACTTAAGCTGTTACTCAAAGCCCTCAACACACATGCTCCTGCACACACACATCCCTACAAGAATTTGAGTAAACACTGTGTAACCAGAAAATGAAATTGCTCTCAAATAACCATTATGACTTTTCTTATATGCTCACATTACAATAACATTTGGAGTGAGAGCTATCAGTGGAGACAGAAATTATAGACTACACATTCCTTGGCTAGATCTGAGCCTTTAAGGGCTGGGATGATATCTTTTTTCCTCTCTGCATCTCTAGTTTTGAACCTATTGTAGGTAATAAATCCAGTTTTGTGTTAAGAAAGAAGAAAATAGGAAAGGAAACTTTGAAGGAATTAGTGAGCAAATCATTTGCCCAAGGAGAAGGTGCTTCCCAGGTCATCTCTTCCCCACACAGCCCTTGAACAGGATTGCTTTCCAAATATAAGAGAACAGAAAAGGCTTTTCTTTAACTGCCTGACTTCTCTCAGTAGCACTTCTTTAAATCTTGAAACCATGCCTATTTGCATCAAAAAATAATCACCTTAACATTTTCAGTACACACATACAACCCAAAGTGAACCTTCAAATGAAAACCAGAATAAAACACACTGAGGAAGAAAAAGAAAGAAATAAAAGACAGATTGTGGTTTAAAAAAAAAAAAAAACAATAACAGCATACAACACACCAGGGGTTGGAAAAATTTCAAATATTCATTTATAGCAAAGAGTGTGTTGAGTTTTGCTTCATTCTGCTATTCATGAGTTTCATATTCTTCCTTACATTAAAACCTATTTATGCTGCTGCTTCATTCTCTCCAGTCCCTGTGTAGCATGAATAAAAACTTAGACTATAGGCAACAAATGTGCATTCATGCACATGCCTGCATCACACCCAAAGATCAGCTTCTTGATCCCTGGGAACTCATGTGATGAGCTAATTTCCAAACTGCTGTAAAATGAATACTAGGGATGATACTAGTCAAACAGCATCAGGAGAACCTATGTGTGGGGTTGGTTTCCAGACACTGGAATAGCTGTGAGTCGATGTATTCAGAATGTCTTGCTCAGACTTCCACATAGTCACATCAAATTATAAACATTCAGCTCTTGAGGAGACCCTAGAATCATCTGCTTCCAAATTCCTCATTTAACAAACAGGGGAATCAAGCTCAAAGTGAAACTGCTTGCCCGTCATCAGATGATGAGTTGGTGCTTGAGTATTCAATCCAGTTGTCTCTCTACTATGCCACAAGGAGACCAATAGTTTGCACTTAATAGATAGCAAGCTGGCAGTTCAACATGAAAATTCACCTAGAGTCATCTTGATAATGACCTCAAGATCTAAATTCAATTTCTATAAATAATTGCCAATTTTTGTTACAGTTCCTAAAGAATGCTGTGCTCCAATAATCAATATTATAATGAATGAGTTCTAGCTCTTTTTTGTTATCCTTTTTTAAAGTGCTAGTGGCTAACGGGAATAAAATATGAAAAAGAAAAGATGGCTTGAGGTTTAGAAAATCTACAAAGTGGATATTCCCACTGGCTACATGCTTTTACTTCATAACTCCAACCCTAGCCACAGTCAAAGTCTAACACAGTGCTTCTCAAACTTGATTATTATATGAATGTGACTGCATTAGTCTGTTCTCATGCTGCTATTAAGAAATGCCTGAGACTGGGTAATTTATAAAGAAAAGAGGTTTAATTGACTCACAGTTCCACATGGCTGCGGAGGCCTCAGGAAACTTACAATCATGGCAGAAAGCACCTCTTCCCAGTGCGGCAGGAGAGAGAATGAGTGCAAGTAGGGGAAATGCCAGACGCTTATAAAACCATCAGATCTCACGAGACTCACTCATTATCGCAAGAACAGCATGGAGGAAACCACCCCCATGATTCAATTACCTCCACCTGGTCTGGCTCTTGACCCATAGGGATTATGGGAATTACAGTTTAAGGTGATATTTGGGTGGGGACAGAGCCAAACCATATCACTGACAAAATGCATGCAATCATTAAATAGGTCAGAGTGGAGCAGAGATTCTGCATTTCCAATTAGCTCCCAGGTGATTCTAATGCTGCTTGTCACAGTACCACATTTTGAGTAGAAAGACTCTAAAGGACCATTCACAGTGACCAAAATATCAAAGCCACGCAAACCAAAGCAGGTGGCTAGGAGTAAAAGCCCAGTCAACAGCCCCTAAAAGCAATGCTTATAATGAAAATAGCAGGGCAGAACCAGCCAACAAAACTTAGTCACCAGCTAATTAAATAATGTCCTCTGAGACTTAAGTCTACCTTATCTAGATGTCAACGTCAGAAAAGCTCATGTCAACATGCAATGGCAGTATGTTGTACTTGTCCAGGAAACTCACCTCAGAGAAATAAATCTGGAAGCAGAAAGGCAACAGAAATTCTAATTCTCTGTATTAATATGCAGGAGCAAGGAATAAATGAAACCAGAGCACTTTCAGTTGCTTATAAATAACTTCAATGCCAAGTACAAGGAAATGAAAAGATCTTCAATGAAGCCAGCAGCATGCAGCACTGAGTCCAGCTTTATCCTTAGTTTACTAAACAAACCAAACCACCATGTCTAACAACTTTGCCTGGAAAATACATTTTGTGCCAGATGGACATTATTTCAGAAAATCAAATGGGCAACTTAATTTCAACCTTTCTGATTAAGTAGATTCTAGCCTCTCCATGAGCATGCATCCAACCTTTCCCCAAGGGAATTGAGTGGTAACATGGAGAGCATGACCGTTTATTTGGCTTAAGGAACACATTAATTTATCTGGTTTATAGAATTTAAACATCTGACAAATGACAGTGGGGTTGATTTTATTCATCAGCTAATTGCTTTGCCACCTGGAGCTGAAGCTTTATATATGCAGCTCATAAAAGATCTGAAAAGGATCTCAATTATTCTTTAATTTGTTCCTTGAATATAAAGTAGGAAAATCTGGCTTAATCAAACATTGTCTCAATTCTACTGGGATATGTCTAGTTACCTTATAACAAGGTAAGCTTTCATTTAATCATATGATATGATAATTCCCCACTTTCAAGCCAAGTATCCTCTTAGTTACAATCAATTTTCCACTGAAAAAATAAACATTGTCTCTTTACTGAAATCCCGGTAGAGAAAAATAGCCCTTTTTAATGAAACGTGCTGCTAATACAACCACACTAGGAATTTTTGTGCAGGAATCCATTAAACCCCGTAATTTGACATTGCTGGTAAATTGCAGAATAAAGCAAGTTCCATGAACAATTCTCTATGCACATGGCCATTCTTGGCACATGTGGAAGAAATGGATAATGAGGGCACACACACACACACACACACACACACACACACACAGAGCATTACTGGAATCTATTAAATCTCACTTAATAAATGTTTTAATCAAGTTGAATTCTACAATTTATCTTGAGGGGAGAAAAAAAAGAGGAGAAACTAGCAGTCATGCAATTTCTTTAATTGCACCAAGTGAATCTGAAATGCCAGCATGTACTTGAAGGCTGCTGGAAATCCCAAGACATAAAAATGGTAACTGGCAGGCAACTGGGACACCTCCTGAAATGTAATCCTGCAACAAGCTGAAAGTTAGATTATAATACCATTATTTTCATGACCCAGGGTATTGTGGGTTTAAAGCCAAGTATTTGGTCCCCATCTTACCAAGTTTCTCTTTCTCATTTCTTACAAGCCTCAGGAAGGGGCAATACAGCTGCCAAGAAGGGCTCAGGCCAGGAGAAATGGGGGTCAGGCATTGCATAGGCTTCCTGGAGCAAAGCAGGTCACCAACTAGTACCCCATCTGAGAAAGTGGGGTTCTGGAGCCTAAGGCAAGTGAATGGTAGAGGCACAGGCACACAGGTGGCAACAGAGACCCTGGAACTAGGACTAGGGACTTGGGTGCAAGGGCAGGTCCCCTGTTCCTGGAAACTCTGCTGAAAGCAACACAGAACTCGAATCCCTTAGAAACCATCGTATATGGTGAGTACAAGGAAACAAAACAAAACTCAGGCAAGGGGAATATCACACCCAAACACAGACCAGGATCCAAGCAGGTGATTTGATCATAAGCAATAATGCAAGAGACCAAGCAAAGGGCGAGTCCTTGAAAATTTAGAACAAAACCAGTCCTGCTTCATCATCTTCCGAAACACCAAAAACTGGGCCTTCCTTCCAAGTAGCATGTTCAATAAACAAGAAAAATGTAGTCAAATAAAGCCTTGAATGTTAGAACTGAAAAAGATTCTAAGCAATATCTATTCCATTGTACACACAGATAACATGAAGCCCCCAGATGTTTGGAGTTAGTATAGCTTAGGAGATAAGACCTGAGACTCTGGAGTCAAAATCCTAACCCTATAATTCACTGGATGTGTTTCTTCAGACAGCTTTTGTGCTCCTGTGAAAGATAATAATAGTAACTATTTCACAGGTTGCTTTCAGAATTAAGTGAGAAAATTCATAGACAGCAATTATAATAGTGTCTGAGCTAAGTAAGAACTCAATAAATGAAGCCTTCTGTCATTATATTATTATTACTAGTTATTAGTTATTAGTTATCATTTTTATGTCTTGGGATTTCCAGCAGCCTTCTATTAACATTATTATTATTACTATCAACATTATGGACTGAATTGTGTCCCCCAAAATTCATATGTTAAAGTCCTAGCCCCGAGTATACCTCAGAATGTGACTGTATTTAGAGATAGGGCCTTTAAAGAGGTAACTGAGGTTAAGTGAAGTCCTAAGGGTAGAGCCCCAATCCAAAATGACTGGTGTCCTTGCAAGAAGAGCAGGAGACACCAGGGAAGCTGGTGCACAGAGAAAAGGCCATGTGAGGACACAGCAAAAAGACAAGCCAAGGAGAAATGCTTCAGGAGAAACCAAATCTGCCAACACCTTGATCTTGGACTTGCAGCCTCCAGAACTGTGAGAAAATAAATTTCTGCTGTTTAAGCCATCTGGAATTTTATTATGGAAGTTCTAGAAAAATAGTATAGTCACTATTGTTATTATCTGGCTCAAGTCACACTGCCAACTGTGACAATGCAGAATGGGGACACAGCTTCCATGCGTGTTCCATCGGCTCTTCCTCCCACATTATTCCCCCAGATTCCCTGTTTGCTCTATTACACGAAAACATTGTTTCCTTGCCTGTTAAGAGAGGCCAAGCTATTATTCAAGAAAACATAGAAAGTCAAGGAAGGCGGATCACATGAGGTTAGGAGTTTGAGACCAGCCTGGTCAATATGGCAAAACGCTGTCTCTACTAAAAATACAAAAATTAGCCAGGCGTGGTGGTGCACACCTGTAATGCCAGCTATTCGGGAGGCTGAGACACAAGAATAGCTTGAACCTGGGAGGCAGAGGTTGCAGTGAGCCGAAACTCCACCACTGCTCTCCAGCCTGGGTGACAGGGTGAGGCTCTGAAAAAGAAGAAAAGAAAAGAGAAAAGAAAAGAAAAGAAAAGAAAAGAAAAGAAAAGAAAAGAAAAGAAAAGAAAAGAAAAGAAAAGAAAAGGGGATGGGAGGGGAGGGGAGGGGAGGGAAGGGGAGGGGAGGGGGAAGGGAAGGGAAGGGAAGGGAAGGGAAGGGAAGGGAAGGGGAAAAGGGGAAAGGGAAAAAGGGGAAGGGAAAGAAGGAAGGAAGGAAGGAGGGAGGGAAGAGAAAAGAAAGAAAACATAGAAAGTATAAAAAACATAAATATCTGGGAGAACATCAAGTGTCTCTATCTCAGAGAGATATACTTGTTCTGAAATTTATTCCCTCTGTTCTCTATTCAGAAGTTCAGGCTAGAATCCAATGTTTTGTAGCTATTTCTCTCTCTCTTAGAATTTCGAGGGTTGTTGAGTCTGAGCAAAGGGCCTGGCACATGAAAAGAGACAAGCTGAAACCCAGGGGCAATAGAACCAATAAGATGAAATGTTTTCAACTGGACTTACAGTCGGAAACATTTTGAGAGCACATGTTTTTCTAGTGACTTCCTTCCCTCCAAGGTGGTTTTCTTGGGTGCTGGATGCTAGGCATGCTGTTGGTTGGTTGTACAGATACCCCAACCCAATCAGCTTCTCCAAGATGAAATTATGCCATACACTGGGATTCCTAACTAAATGCATCCTTGCTCCCCATCAGTGAGTGTCCCCCGTGAGGAGAAATGGGTGGGTTGCATTTGTCTCTCTGAAGGCAACTGACATTCATACCACACATTTTAATGTTTTGCCCTTCTTTCCCAGCACACCCATGTGCACACCCATGTGCAGGCCTGCACACACATCAATCCATAACCCCATTACCGTATTCATCTATGCCCTTAATAGCTCTAACTCTAAGTGCACTCCAGCAAATACGCTTCCACTAACCTCTCCTGAGGTTAGCGTTGGTAGGTTGAGCAGAGAAATCATTTTGATGCTCCCTAGTCTAGATTCCTTGAAAATATTTTCATCTATCTGCAAGCACTTTTTAAGATCTGTTTCATAATTAGGGATGTTTCTTGAGCTGTGCCTACAGGCATAGTGTGGTGTCTGCAGAAGGAACACAATAAAGCAAAAAATGCCCCCCTGCCTCTCGGGACTAGTTCTCCACTAGGTGGAGACAGGCATAGGTACTTAGAACAATTCCACAACAACTCAAAGCTGTTCATAGTTAAGAGCCAACATGAGTGTGACCAGCTGGCAGTAGAGCACAGGGCATTCAGTACAGGAGAGAGGAACATGGGGACCTAGAAGCTCTTCACAAGCTGTTTTTACAGTGGACCTCAAGGGCCTGAGACCTGAGAGCAATGAGTTTGATACAAATGCTGGCACCAATAGCTAAGGCTAGGCAATAAGTCAAGTTTGTAGAAGCAGGTAGATAAGTAGGTGAACTTTAGGTGCCACATGCTAATGATTCTCAGATTTCCATCTCCACCCCCATTCTTGGGCTCTGACTCACCTATCCAACTGCTGAAAGACTTCAATGTCTTATAGGCCTGGGGAGAATGCTTGATCTGCCGTGGGTTTGGCTGCATGCAAAAGAAACCCAAAATTGTAGTGGCTTAGCCGAGGTTTATTTCTTGCTCACATAAAAGTCTAAGCTTGTTTGAGAGCTCAGCTCTGTAAAGTCAAGGGTCCAGGCTCCTTCTATGTTGCTGCATCGTCATCCCTAAGGTGTCTTCCTTGTCCACCTATTGCAGATGGCTCATTATCATGGAGCAGCATTCCAGCCACCAGGAAGGGACAGCCATGCCCTTATCCTTTAAAGGCATGATCAAACAAGAATTTAGTCACATGCTCGTACCTAGCTGTAAGGAAGTCAGAGAAATGCTGTACAGTCCTCATTACCAGGGATGCCATGTGCTTCCCAGGACAGCAGGTGCTGGGAGCCAAGCAACAGTCTGTGCTCCTCACCAGCAGACTCCTTCCATTGCTGCCAGCATCGCGTCACATTGGACTCAGCACCTCTGTCTACCCACAATCCAGCAGTGGGTCTGTCAGCTCTACCTTTAAATTAAATCTCAAATCTGTCTACTTCTTTCCATTTCTAGTGCTGAAATGCTAGTTCACAATGTCATCCTCTCTTGCCTGAACTTCACAAAGGTCTCTAACTTTTCTTCATGCTATCACTCCTGACATGGCAGCAGAGTATCTTTTAAAAATGCAATCCAGCCACACATTCCTACCCTGCTGAAACCGTCCAATGAATTCCCATTGTACTTAGAGTGAAATCCCAAATTCTTGCCATGGCTTACAAGGTCCTACATAGTCTGGTGTCTGCCTAACCAATGACTTAAATGTTTTCTACTTTTTTTAATTGAAGAATAACATACATTTTTAAAATGCACAAGTCTTAAGTATACGGCGTGCTGAATTTTTATCTTTATGTATACACTCATATAACCACCACCCAGACCAAGATATAAAACACTTTTAGTATGCCAAAAGGCTCTCTGGTGTCCTTTCCCAGGTAATACCTCCCCACAGATACCATGATTCTTTCTATCACTATAGAGTATTTTACCTGTCCTTGGACTTCGTATAAATGAAATTACACAGTATGTACTCTTTTATGTCTGACTCTTTTTTCTTAGTATTATACCCGTGGGATTCATCCATATCACTGCATACAGCATGAGTTCAGTCTTTTTCAGTACTAGATAGTATCCATCGTATGAATGTACCACATTAATTTTTTCATTCCATTGTTAATGGACATTTGGGTAGTTTCCAGCTTGGGGGTATTATAAATAAAATGATGTGAACATTTTTGTACAGGTCTTTTCATGGGCATATTCACTCATCTCTCTTAGATAAATACCTAAGAGTAAAATTGCTAGGTTGTAGACAGTATGAACAACTACAGTCTTTGAATTAATTGTATGTTATTATCCCCCTTGCTCACTGTTCTCTAGCACACTGACATTCTTTCTGTTCCTTGAACACACAAAGTTCATTCCTGCCTCAAGAGCTTTGTACACACTGTTCCCTCTTCCTAGAACACTCTTCCCCTGGTCTTTTACAGCCTGGCTTTTTCTCAAGACTCAAGTTTCACCTAGTACTGTAATTTCTAATTTGCTCTCCATTCATTATGCTCTCTTTCCCCAAAGTCTCTGACATTCATCGGAAGGAACTCAGATTTATCACAATGCACTCAAAAATACCCCCATCCCAACAACCACAGATATACCTCCCAAATCCAATGTGTCTATTCTACTCTCTCCCTCTTCCCATAGAGTGAGCAACGTCTGAAACTAGCATCATGCCTGGGGCATTAACAGGTGACCTTTGTTCTCCTGTGGACAAACAGTCAGTGACAAACCTGGAAATGTGCCTCTTCAAGAAAGAATTCACTTCTCCCTTCAAGAAAGAACTCTGTCTGACCCTCCAGGTCAAGTTCACATCGGCAACCTTGTGCCTTTGGTCTTTCAAATTCCCTGTATATGCACAGTTCTCCCTAACATTCCTCATTAAGACACATTTTATTTTCCAGAATTCCATCATTTTTTCCAAGATCACTTTTTGGTATCTGATATGGTTTGGCTGTGTCCACACCCAAATCTCATCTTGAATTGTAGCTCATTATTCCCAGGTGTAGTGGGAGGGACCCAGTGGGAGGTAATTGAATCATGGGGATGGGTCTTTCCCATGCTGGTCTCCTGATAGTGAATAAGTCTCATGAAATCTGATGGTTTTATAAAGGGGAGTTCCCCTGCACATGCTCTCTTACCTGCAGCCATGTAAGACATGACTTTGCTCCTTGCTCACCTTCCACCATGATTGTGAGGCCTCCCCAGTCATGTGGACTGTGAATCAATTAAACCTCTTTGCTTTATAAATTACAGTATCTTAAGGATAGATAGCAACTCTGCTTCCAAAAGGGCCAGGATGAAAAGGTTAGAGATCAAACTTTCGTCTTACAACTTTTGTTCCAAGCAGAGAGATGTCCCAGCCGCAGATGGAATGTGTGTTGCACAAAGAATGTACAACACTCACTCTTACTTGATTTTCAGATACTAAAAGTTTATATTTCCAGGAATGTTTGGAATTCCAAATTCACTTAGCTGGAATTAAAAAGTAGTTACTGAAGTGGAAAATATCTAAATAGCCAGAAAGAAAACAGAAAAAAATTAACCTCCCAGACTATACTCATAATGAATGATTTCCCGACTTTCTGGTGGTTAATCATTACTAAATACTACATTCATTCAAAATTATCTGTCTTTCCTGAGCCTCCAAACTCAGTTATTACCTGAGTTTTGTGCCATGGGCATCTGCTCCTTAGCAGTAAACCAGATCGTCGTGGTGCCATAAAACATCCCCTTGAATACCGAGTGCAGTTAAAGAGCCCTTCAACACTTCAAGTAATTCAGCCTCCCTTGCTCAGGCAGAAAAGAAAAGATCGACGTGAAGAAACAAAGTAAGAAGATGCAAGAAGTCTCTTTGGCTTTTGTTATCTCTTTCCTTCCTCCCATCTCTCTAGCCCATTTCCTTGCTTCTCACCGTAAAATATAACTTCCCTGGAAAAAACAACAGTGATTTTTCTTTAAAATGCAAACAGAAAAAAAAACAGAAGCCTACAAACGAAGATGCCATCTGTTAACAATGGATCATTCTGGGTACTAAGAATACGAATAGGCTTTAATTTTCTTCATTTTACTCTCCTGTATTTTTCAGTTTTTCAAAAAAATAGTTCTTTAGATAAATAAAAATTTAAAACATGCCCTATGCCTTTCAAAGCTCTGTTCCCACCCACCCCAACCCCAAAACTATTTCAGTATAACATCCTGGCAATCCCTGGCCCCCAAATAAATGGGAAATGTGATTTTTCTTTGAAACCCTTCTGCTCCCTTCTCCTTTTTCAATATTATCTCCCCTACCTACCATGACAGCCTTACTCTCCACCCAAGAATCAGTACTTTCCCATCTAGGGCTTAGAAGTCACTCCTTCAAGGATTATTGGATTTTCTTATGATTTTTTATTTTAAGATAATTATAGATTCACAGGAAGTTGTAGAGAAATGTACAAGCAGGTCTTGGACACCCTTCACCTAGCCCCCCATGCCTCCATTCCAATGTTAACATCTTGCTGAACTATTGTACTACAGTGCAATATCAAAACCAGGAAATTGACACAACACAAATCACAGAGCTCATTCAGATTTCACCAGTTATACCTGCATTGTATGTGTCTGTGTCTGTCTGTGTGTGTGTGTGTGTGTGTGTGTGTGTGTGTGTGTGTGTGTAGCTCTGTGCAATTTTATCACATGGTAGCTTTATATAACCACCAATGCAATGAAGATACAGAATTATTGCATCACCACAAGACTCCTTTGTGCTACCCCTTTATATCCATGTCTACTGCACCCCCCTGACCCTACTATATCTCTAATTCTTGGCAACCACTCCATCTCTATAATTATGTTATTTCGCAAATGTTTTATAAATGGAATTATGTAGTATGTATCCTTTTGCAAATGGCTTTTTTCCTTGAGCATAATTTCCCTGAGATTCATCCAAGTTGTTGCATGTGTCAATAGCTCTTTCCTTTTTAAGTTGAATTCTATGGTATAATGTACCACAGTTTGTTTTACCAGCCACCCATTGAAGGACATTTGTGTGGTTTCCCATTTGGGGCTATTAATAAAGCTGCTATGAACATTACTATACAAGTTTCCGAGTGAATATAAGTTTCCTTTCTCTGGGATAAATGCCCAAGGAGAAGAATTGCTGAGTTGCATGGTAGTTGCATGTTTAATTTCTTAAGCCACTGCCAAACTATTTTCCAGAATGATTGTATAATCTTACATTCCCATTAACAATGTATGAATGATTGCATTTCTCCACAACTTGGCCAGCACTTGAAGTTATTACTATTTTTTATTTTAGACATCTGAGAGATGTATCTCACTGTGGTTTAAAATTGCATTTCTCTAATGCCTAATGATGATGAACATTTTTCATGTGCTTATCATCTGTACATCCTCTTCAAAAATGTCTGTTCATGTCTTTTTCCCATTTTCTAAATAGATTGTTGGTTTTTTAATGTTCAATTTTGAGAGTTCTTTGTATATTCTAGATACAAGTCCTTTGTCAGATACATGATTTGCAAAGGTTTTCCCAGTCTGTAATTTGCCTTTTTATCCTCTTAAAATGGTCTTTTGCAAAGCAAAAAGTTTTAAATTTCAATGAGGTTCAATTTATCAATATTTTATTTTATGGACTATGCTTTTGGTGTCAAGTCTATAAACCTTTTGTCTACTCTGAGTTCACAAGGATTTCCTCTTATTTTTTTCTAGAAATTGTATAGTTCAGGGTTTCACATTTAAATCCATGATCCATTTTGAGTCAATTTTGCACAAGGTGTGAGATTTTGGTTGACATCCAGTTTTTTGCCTGTGGATATCCAATTGCCCCAGCACCATTTACTGAAAAGGCTATTTCTCCTCGATTAAATTGCTTCGGCTCCTTTGTCAGCAATTAACTGGGTATATTTGTGTGGATTTGTTTGTGAGTTCCCTATTCTGTTCCATTGATTCATGTGTCTATCCTTCTGTAAATACCACACTGCCTTGATTATTATAACTATATAATAAACCTTAACATTAAAATAATAATTTCTCCCACTTTCTTCTTCTTTCTCAAATTTATTCTGGCTATTACAGTGCCTCTCCTTTTTCATGTGAATTTTAGCAGGCTTTAATAGTAAAAACATTATACCTATAGATCAATTTAGAGAGAATTGACATCTTTACTATGTTGAGTCTTCTAATCTGTGACATGTCTGCAAATATTTAGGTCTTTCATTTCTTTCATCGGCATTTTGTCATTTTCAGCGTACAGATCTTGCCCATATTTTGTGCCTAAGTGTCTCTCTTTTTGCAGCATTTGTAAATAGCTTTTTTAAATTTTAGTTCATTGTTAGTATATAGCAATGCAATTGAGTTTTGTGTGTTGATCTTGTATCCTTCAACGTTGTTAAACTCATTTATTTCTAGAAGTTTTTTCATAGATTTGGGGGGACTTTTCTATATACACAATTACGTTATCTGAAAATAGAAGAAATGTACAAGCAGGTCTTGGGCACCCTTCACCTAGCCCCCATGCCACCATTCCAATGTTAACATCTTGCTGAACTATTGTACTACAGTGCAATATCAAAACCAGGAAATTGACACAACACAAATCATAGAGCTTATTCAGATTTTGCCACTTACACCTGCATTGTGTGTGTGTGTGTGTGTGTGTGTGTGTGTGTGTATACAGTTTTCTCTCTTCTTTTCCAATCTGAATGCCTTTTCTTTCTTTTTCTTGCCTTGTTCCAGTGGCTAGAAGTACTAATACTATGTTAATAAGACCAGTGAGTGCAGACATTCTTGCTTTGTTCCCAGTCTCAGAGGGAAAGCATTTAGTTCTTCAACATTAAATACAATGTTAGCTGCATTTTTTCTAGATGCTGTTTATGAGCTTGAGGAAGTTCTCATCTATTCATAATGTACTGAGAGTCTTTGTTATAAATAGGAATAAAATTGTGTTAAATTTGTTTTCTGCCCCAAGTGACATTATCAATGATGTTGAAATGGTAAATTATGTTGATTCATTTTTAAATATTGAATCAACCTTGTATACCTGGAATAAATCCCACTTGGTCATAGTCTATTACTGTTTTTAATCATTGCTGGATTTGATTTGCTAAAATTATGTTGAATATTTTGAATATTTTTGCATTTAAGTTTCTGAGAGATATTAGTCTATAGTTTTCTTTTTCTCTGTTGTGTTTGCCTGGTTTTGGAACAACAGTAATTAATACTCACCTCACAAAATGAGTTGAATGATGTTCCCTCCTCTTCTATTTTCTGTGGGAAACTGTATAAAATTGGTATTAATTCTTCCTTGAACATTTGATAAAGATCCTCCAGTAAAATCCTTCCATCTAGGCCTGGAAATTTTTTTCAGTAGTTATTTAATTACAAATTTAATTTTTAAATAGTTATACAACAATTTATGTTACCCATTTAATCTTGGCTGAGTTTCAGTAACTTGTGGTTTTTAAGGAATTGGTCTATTTCTTCTAAGTTTCTCATTTCTGAGCATAAATTTCTTCATAATATTCCCCTATTATCCCTTCAACAGCTACAGGATCTGTTGTGATAGCCTCTGTTTCATGCCTGATATTGGTTATTTGTATATTTTCTCTTTTATAATCTTTGTCAATCTTGCTTGAGATTTATCAATTTTATTAATTTCTTTTGAATAACTAGTTTTTTGTTTCATTACTTTTTTGTATTGTTTTCCAGTTTTCAGTGTTACTGATTTCTGTTCTTTATTATTTCATTCCTTCGATTTGCTTTGGGCTTGTTTTGCTCTCCTTTTTCCAGTTTCTTGGAATGAGAACTTAGGTTATTGATTCAAAATCTTTTATCTTTTTTACATAAATAGTTGGTGTTATAAATTTCCTGTCAACACTGCATCTCACAAATATTGATTATGTTGTTGTTGTTTTTCCTTTTTATTTGGTTGTATTTTTTATTTCCTTTAAGGTTTCTTCTCTGATCTATGGATTCCCATTGTCTTTCCACTATCAATTTCTAGTTTGATTTCATTATGCTCCAGGAATATATTCTGTACAATTTCAATCCTTTAAAACATTTTAGCTGGTTTTATGATCCAGGATATAGTCTATCTTGGTGACTGTTTTGTGGGTACTTAAAAAGAATGCAAATTCTACTCTTGTTGGGTGAGGTATTTTATAAATGTCAATTCGATCCTATTGTTTGATGATATTTTTCAGTTCTTCTGTATCCTTGCTGATCTTCTGTCTACTAGTTCTATCAATTGCTGAAAGTAAAATGTTGAAGTCCCCAACTATTCAATATCCTGTCCCCCATCTATCATCCCAGTCCCACTCTCTACCCAAGGATCTAATACTTTGCCTTTTGGAAGCCAATCCCTTTAAAGGGTTTAAAGTAGGGGAGCCACTCCCTTGAGGATTATTGGCACTTTACACCAAGGTCCTGAGCACAGGCAAGATGTGGTAAAACCCAAGGCTGAGACTTGCTGAAGGTAGGTGCCAGAAGAGACACAGCCACACATCAAAGTCAGTCCAGGAGACAGCAGATGAGTCAATCAAGCAAAGCCAAAATTAATTCCAACCAGTAGGCTGGGAGAGGTCAAAAGCCAAATGGAATAGCCAATAGTCAGAGTCTCAATCAACAATGAAGTCAGAAACTAGCCAAGAAGCTCAAGAAGTGTCAGGATCCAGGACTTGGAAGGACACGTGAGGGTCTTATTTAATTTTATCTGATCCTTGATGGCCTAGCACTCCTATGATAGGGTCAAGGAACACCTTCTGGGCCATACTGTTATTCACCTTAAAGGTGTTCATAACTTCTAACATAACCTAAAGGATTGCTACTGGGATGATTTCTGTCATAGCAACAAAGCATTGAGAAAGATATTTCTGAGCTGTATTCTCTGGATTTTCTAAAATCATTCTAAATGAGTCTCATCTGACATCTCATTAGCGCTGGTCAGGGGCAGAAATGCCTGTTGAAGAGTCATTAGGCAAGGTGATGTCTAGGGGCAGTGATTTTAGGAAAACAGGTAAGACCTTCTACAACTTCAACGGATAAGCAGGATGTCTAATAACCCACAAACTACTTATCCCAGACTTCTAAGAGGCAGAAGGCACCATTTAGATGCACCTTCATGATTAACCTACCCCTCCCTTATGGTATTCAATTGGGAATAACTCTGAAATGAAGCTGACAATATTCTTTCTTAATTTTAATTTTTTATTTTAGATGCGGGGAATGCATATGCAGGTTTGTTGCATGGGTATCTTGCATGATGCTGAGATTTGGGGTATGAATGATCCTGTCACCTAAGTAGTAAGCACAGTACCTGATAGGTAGTTTTTAACCCTTGCCCCTCCTCTCTCCCTCCCTCCTTTTGGAGTCCCCAGTGACTATTGTTCCCATCATCTGTAAATGATGCTGACAATATTCTTAACCACATTAGCAAACTGCTAATGACTCTTGTTCTTTGATACCAACATTCCAACCTGCATGACAACCCAGTTCAAGGCCCTGCCTGTGTCCTGCAAGCATGAGGTTTGTCCTTAAATCCACAAAGGCACTCTGCCTGCGGTCTGGCCTGGAGCAGTGCCCTCAAAGTGATGTGACAGACCTGGAAGCAGAGGCCCTCAGGAGGTGCCGAGAGCTGTACCTCTTTGCTCAGAAATGAGAGACAAGAGCTTCATGTACTTCACAATCAACCAAAGTCAATCCCTTGCAGACCTCCACAGAGCACCACCCATTGTCCTATCCCAGGCAACGAGAAAGTTGCTAGCCTCACAAGATCTTTGTCTCCAAGGTTTCAAAATTCCCCAAGATCAGGCATACTGGTGTGCTGCCATAAAAGAAGTTCCAGGGTACCTTCGTAATCCTTCACATGCCACTGGTGCCAGTCTAATACGTAACCAGAAAAAGATGAAACAGAACGCACCCCTAGGAGATTACCGATTTATTTTATCACGTATTTTAAATGAGGCGCAAAGCCTACACAAAAATAAAGTGGAACCAGGGCAACTGCAGAAAGGCCTGATCCCATGGCAAGTGAAAGTCTTAAGTACACTGAGTTGGAGCACTGCCTCATCAGACCAAGACACTATGTAGCGGCAATGTGCTGCTACAATTCAGTACTGGACCCCAACAATAAAGCCGGGACTGTAATTACTATAATGACCTCCCACTGCTATTGTGTCTTTAATTAAGTCTTTATCAGTAGGCATTTGCCACTTAAACGTAACTCACTGTAACTACGGCAGCGTATCATCTACATTTTCACAAAGAATTACTGAATCATATTTCTGTCACAAAGATGAAAGGGAATATTTTAGTTCAAGTGCCATTTGCAGACAAGCTGCATAAAGAAAAATCAAGCTGTCCTTTCGCGGCACTTTCTGACAAGCGAAACTCAACGGAGAGATGCCCGGGGGTTTTGTGTATGTGTGTTTTGGCTGCACCGGGTTTCTTTTTACCACAACTCCACTTCCTTTCTACACAAACTACGGGGAAAGAATGACACCAAATGAATAACACACTTGATTACATAAAATTTCTTGAGGTAGAAAGGGGCTGAGACCCTCCTGTGAGGCCCAGAGATGCTGAGGGTGCTGTCCCCTCACACCAAGGGTAACAGGCCAGGCCAGGCCCACAGCTCACACCTTGCAGCTACTGGCTCTTCCCGCTCCATGGCAAGGCCACCTGGGCAGCTGAGAAAGCCTGTTTTACCCAACGAGGCACACTAGAAGTACCCTGGACCTGGAGAGACCACATTCCAAGTTCAAGTTTCCAGTCATAATCACTTCCTTACGTTAGCATGAAAGTCAGGGCTCAGATGGCTTTTTGGCAGAGCCCAGCTCAGCAAGCCAGACAGCCCTCTGTCAGGAAAAGCCGCCCCAATTCCAGGCCTCCTAAAGGATGTCAGCTGGGAGCCTCTCCCTGCAGCGCTTGCCCCTTGAGGAAGGAAGCGTGAGCATCCACTCCGGTCCTCACTCCTCTGAGGTGACTTGGTCCACCTAGGATCCAGGGAAAGCCCCCACCCCATGCCCAACCCCCAACCTCTGTGGCCAGTGAGTCTGAACCTCACCAGCCTGCACCCAGTGGCCAGGCTGTGGTGCCATCCTTTGGGCTCTTGCATATCACCAAAAAGCCCTTTTGGCTTTAAAACCTGCTCCTCCAAAAGGCATAAATCCCTCCAGAACTGGGGAAGGGCCTGTGCATTGCATGGGTAAGTGCTGGGGGTGGGGGGGCTGTGAGGCCCCCTCAAGGAGAGGAAGGGGTGGGGGAGTCGGGAGGAGAGTCTGGATCTGCTCTGGGCTCAGCGCGGCACCGGGTATCCCCGTGGTGGGACCCAGTGACCGAGAGGCCTGCAGCTCGGCTTTCCTCCCAACTTTCTGCCTGCTTATTTCAGGGGTGCAGACTCCAGCAGGGAAAGCCTGATGCTGCCACCAATTTCCACCTTTTCTCAGTGTCATCTTTGGCCACAACTGCTCCCTGCTTCCTTTCGGTTCTAATTTCATTTTTAACAACATAAAGGTTTTGCCTGAACACAGACGAACTGAAAATGAGAGCCAAACCAAGTGGAGGAGGAAGCATGCTTCCTGGGGGGCACCCCAGGGGAAATTTTATTCAATTTTCTCCCACATATTTGCATCCACTGGGGAGCATCTCAGGTTTTCCCATCTTGGCAGGGACACCTCCCAGGAAGGCGCAACCCAGCTTAGGTGTGGCTGCTGCTGCTGGCTTGTTTCTACAACTGCACTGCTGGAGTCAAGCCTGCAAAATCTAGCAAACAATTCCAAGTTCAGAGAAGAAATCGAAGCTGCCCTCATCCCTGAATTCAGCAATAATTTCAGGATGCTTCATGAATTTTTGTTTCCACCTATTGAAAAAAAGTAGCTCTCCAGCCTAGAATCTACACACTTCCGATGACATAGGTAAGACCAGGAAGTGGGACTTGATGTTTGAATATTTTCAGGCATGGCATCTTGCTGGCCATTTGTCCTTGTTCTATGATGAGCTCTTCTCAGCAGAGATACGGGTCTTCATATCTTCAGTCCTCTTTGCTTTGCCTCAGTCCTCTTTGCTTTGCTTTTCCCTCCTTGGCTGGCCACTGTGCCAGTGTTGCCACTATCGGGCAGTTCTCTCTGGGGTCTGCACACAGCCAGGATGCATCTTGGCCAATGTCAGTGGGAAAATGGGGCTCTGAGCACGGTGGGCCCGTGTTTATGAGGATCACTGCCACTGCTGCAAGTGGACTTCTCATGACAGCCCACGCCTGGGCTTCCAGCCCTCCTCGATTGAGTCTGCTGCTCTCACAGAGAGCTTAGCCCGTCAATTGTTTCTGCTAATGCTCTCAGCTGCTACCTTTTCATCTGACGAAGGACCCAGCCAAGTGATGAAACATATAAGCCAGAATTCACTCTATGCTTCATCAGACAAATGCTTGGCTTTCCGGGGGCCAACACACCTTCTACTGACTGACATGTTTCTAGGTTCTTTACCACGCCCTGCCACGGTACACATTAGGATGTTTCCCTGGGTAAATGCCAAGGTTCTCCCTGGAGGGGAAAAGAAACGTCAGAAACACAGCTCCTATTAAACAATCTGAAATTATCATACACCTAAAAAACATATTCCCTAGAAAGAATCTCTCCTAGACATGATTTTCACCAGAGAGGTAATTCCCTCCCCCATAACATGGAGCTGAGCCCACAGCATGTCATAAATATTTGTTGAATATAAATGAATGATGCATGCATAAATGAATAAATGATTTTCCCCTAGTGACATACCTGATTTCCTTCTCTGTTCCCTTGCTTGCTTTATTCTCAAGCATCTGGTTGCCATTGACTTATAAGAAGCCATGTTTTATTTTCTACATGGAAGATGATGGGAACAGTGCAGGAGCTAAGAGAACTAATATACATTACTATGAAAGAAAAATAAGAACAGGAAAAATGAGAAAAAGGAGGGGTATATTTAGCTTAGAATACCTGTTGTCAACCTTGTCTGTGCATTAGAATCTCCTGAGGAGCTTTAAAAAGTACTGATGCCAGCCGGGCACAATGGCTCACACCTGTAATCCCAGCACCTTGGGAGGCCCAGGTGGGCAGATCACCTGCAGTCAGGAGTTTGAGACCAGCCTGGCCAACATGGTGAAACCCTGTCTCTACTAAAAATACAAAAATTAGCCAAGTGGTGGCAGGTGCCTGTAATTCCAGCTACTTGGGAGGCTGAGGCAGAAGAATCATTTGAACCCAGGAGGCAGAGGTTGCAGTGAGCCGACATCACACCATTGCACTCCAGCCTGGACGACAAGAGCAAAACTCCGTCTAAAAAAAAAAAAAAAAAAAAAAAAAGGACTGACACCTAAGTCCTACCCATACAGGTCCTGACTTAATTAATATGGGGTGTGATCTAGCCATTGGGATTTTTCCAAGTGTCCCAGGTGATTGAGCCATGCAGCCAAGTTTGGGAAACACTGGTTTATAAAATGTCTGCCCTAAAAGACGGGATGCTGGCTAGAGGAGAACAGGAAACTTGGTTCTGAGCCTCTTAGCAGCCAAAGTGAAAAGAAAAAAACAGAATCCATTGCACGATCCACAGTGTTCATGGGATAAAATCAAATCCCAGTTGTTTAGAAGTACAGTCAACCCTGAGACAGACTAGTAAGAGATTGGCTGGGGTTCCTCATGAAGAAGACATGGAATGAACCAAGCAACAGCATCTTCAACAGTGTCCCTATGGTATTCAATCAAGGAATATTTATTAAACACCCAATATGAGGGCAACTGTGTTCCAGATAAACAGACAGACTTAAAACCTGTGGTGGTGCATCCAACATAGCACATCTGGTAGGTGGTGGAGCTAAGATTCAAAACACAGGACTATCTGATTCAAGTCCATGCTTACTCCATGATCAAGTAGCATGGTACTATCTGGGAGTACATACAATAAGTTTTGGATGACTTGTTGCTACAGTATGCTTTAATATGAGATAATAGCATCATTCCAGCCACCATTCTTAAAGCAAATTCTTCAAGAAGTTAGAACCACATGATTCCAGCTCTACTTAAATTACAGATGCATTTATCCTTTCTCCCAGCAGAGGTATTCCTAAAGGCACACCAGTAAACATAGGACATGCAACCCAGGATGTTCATTGTAGCATTGTTTCTAATAGCAGAAGACTAGAATCCATGCAATAGGGTACTGGTTGAATAAACTATGATATATCCATGCTATAGCATAATATGCATATATGAAACATAAAGAAGACAGTCTGGGCAACATGGCAAGATCTTCTCTCTACAAAAAAAATTTTTTTTAATTAGCCAGTCATGGTGGTGCACCCCTGTGGTCCCAGCTACTCCAGAGGCTGAGGCAGGAGGATCATTTGAGCCCAGGAGGTGGAGGCTGCAGACAGCCATGTTCGTTCACTGTCATGGGTGACAGAATGAGACCCCATCTCAAAAAATAATAATAATTTTTAAATTTTTAAAAATAAGGAACATCTTTGTGTTCTGATATTATGAATGAAAAAAAAACAAGACAATGTTCAGGACAGTATACATAATAGGATGCCTTTTGGGTAGGGAAGGAAGAAAAATAATAATATATATAATAAATTTGCTTTTGTTTGCATAAAAAACACCAGAAGAAACAATGAGAATCTAAGGACAATGGTCAGGGTATAGGTAAGCATGATGGATAAGGACAGGACAGAATAGATTCCGAGCACACATATCCTTATATTGTTTAAGTCTTCAAACATGTCAAAGTATTCCCCATTCAAGAAGAGAAAATAAATAATGAAAAAGAGAACTGGATTAGGGCTGAAGTCCCTCAACTAGTAAGTGGTAGAGCTGGAATCTGAACCCAAGTCTGTCTGTTCCCAGGTCCATAGTCTTGACACCATAGTGGTCACCTCCGCCAAAACCTAGGGAAGAAACTCACCAGCTATTAGCCAGCCTGGGAGGCTAACTTGGCTGCAGAAGGCCCTGCTCCCACTCTCAGATCTCTCCCAAAGGAGTTCAGGATCTAGGGGTTCCAAAGCACCATTGCAATCAGGTTTGTTTGTTTGTTTGTTTATCTCCATCAAAGAATAGGGCAGCAGTAACCAACCAGTCCGGGTGGAAAGCCATGTGCTCTGGGTTCACTCTAACAAAGACAAGTTGGGTATGTTTAAATTCACAGCCGTTTGTAATCCAAGCATTTAGAGCTCATCTGTTTAGGGTGAGTTGTGGGCTACAAGCCCTCCTGGTAACAAATAACAATACATGCCAAACATATTATACCTGTCGATCTGGTTTATGGCTATGTCTTGGCTTATATTAAGGAAAGGGCTGCTTCTGTCAATACAGAGTAAAGATGCTGTTCTACACTGAAGAGAAATTTCAAACAAAATCTAGAACTTTACAGCCTGTCTGCTCTGATTTGGAATGGTATGTAATTTTTTACCCTCAGCTTCTTTTCTCAAGTTTGAAATCATCCCAAAGCTGCCTGAGAAGAGACTTAGAAGAATTATTTTTGACATTTCAGGCACAGGTGGTGGAGCTGCCCCTAGATGACACAGCTGATCAGAGAGTGTTTATGCAAAATTCCCCCATTGCCCACCATGTTGGAGAAGCAGATTACAGAGACAAAGGGTGGCACCATTGACCTGGAGAGTATAGAAACTCTTCCTACGTTTTTGGTCTCTGCCTGACAGGGGATCTTGCCTAAGCTGAACTGGTCTCCTTTTTCTCTTGGAGGGTAGGAAAAAAAAGATGGATCAATTTCCCTCCTTTCTCTTGAACCCAAGCCAGCCATGCTTGCTTTGCTTCCAAGAAAGTAACGTGAACTGCCTGAGGTTTGTGGTTTTTCCAGGTCTGGATGGGGAATAAAAAATTATTCTATAAAAGGGGCCCAGATTGACAATACATTGGATTTTGAATTCAAATATGTAGAGCCAGGGTCTGTTTGATATAAGATGATGAAATGAGAGACTATTGTCGGCGGTCTTAGAGTCCTCCCTTTCTGTCTTCATTCCCCCTTCTCTTCTCTTGGTAACCTAGTCATATCTACTTCAGTTTGACTAGCTTGGGCACCTACTGTGTGCTAAGTCGATGGTGCTAGAAATAAGACAGGAGTGGAAATTAGAGGAAAAAATTTCTAAAAAGATCACTCCAATAAAATATGGTGAATATTACAATAGAGGTGTTCAGGTTGTGCTTTGAGAGCATAGATAAGGGGCTCTGGGAAGATCAGGGAAGGCTTCCTAGAGGAGGTGATGTTTGAGCCCAATTTTTAAGGTTATATAGGAGTTAGCCAAACACTGCCTTCAAGTTCAAGGCTCTGCACTTCAAAATGCCACCAGAACCAGCAGCTTTAGACTATTCTCAGTCTCAAGCAAAATGTCCTATCGTGTAAATTTACCTGCCGTTTTATCAGAATCATTTCAGAAACAATTGCTGTTTTCAAAGAACTAACTTTGTTTTAGTATTCTTGCATTCAAATGATTTTAGGTAAAGTGTTTCCAACTGTTGGCAGCTACCATACAGCACTTCATTTTCAACAAGCTCTTAATTCCCTTAACCCACTTGGGATGGAAGTACTTCTGCTAGGGGAACTTAACTAGCATACCTGCATCCCCATCCCATTATTTGGCCTATCTACCAAATAATATGGTGGAATACATTTAAAGAGACCCATGGAAGCCATTAAATATCCCTTTAAAATGGGATTCTATAAAAGTCAACCTACTGATGTTTGTTTCCTCACCTCACCACGCACCCGCCGCACACCATTCCAAAGCTCATACACACACAAGTCTCCCTTTTAACTTCCCTTTTGATGTCTTTTTGTCCTAATCCATGCCTAAAGAAGAAGCAAAGTATAATGCAGAAGGGGGCAGACCCCAATCTGCAAGCTGTGTCCTGCTGTCCCAGTTGAGAGCGGCTGGGACCCCTCACTCTTCACAGGTCTCTGGGCATCATCTGCAGTAGCCCCTGCCCATATAGTAACAAAAGCTGCTATTTTGTGACTGTCTTTGTCATGTCAAGTGCTGCATTAAGCACCTGTTCTGCATTAGGCCATTTCATTTTCGCAACAACTCTATAACCTCATTGGAGAAACCTAGTAGTAATTTGTTCAAGGGCAAATTAACAGCAGGTAGGTATATGCTATTTGAACACAAAGAGTCTGGCTCTTGGACCCACACAGCAGATACATCTTAACCACTTGTCATGAAGAATAATAGAGTCTTCAGGGCCCCAGACCAGAGTGTGAATCTCAGCTCTGCCACTTACTTAGGTGAAATGACACTAGGCAAGTTACTCATTCTCTCCAAGCTTCAGTGTCCTCATCTGCAAAATGGGATGAGTAACAGAACCACTTCATATGGTTATGGGGGGATAAATGTTGCTGTCTTGCATGTATAGAACTTGGCATGGGGCCTAGTATTTTGTAGGTGTTCAAACATGTTAGCTATTGCTATTATTACATGTTTACAAATCTGTCTATCCCCCCACACACCATCTCATTAACCATGTCATCGAGGCCAGGGGTCAAGCTTATTAATATCTTTCTCCCCAGGTACCCAACTGAGTGCCTTGGAAATGTCTGTTGAATGGATGGTTCAACAGCACTGGTTTTCTCTGCTATTTCAAATGATCAAGTACGGCCCTCCTCTATTTTGACACACAATATCCTCTTCTTGATAAATTCTATTCCTTAACATTCAGAAATGAATTATCAAATGTTTAAAGAGATCATTCTCAAATTCTTCAATTAGAAGAGTTGTATGGTATTTTTTTTCTTGTCTCTAGAAAATGAGTGCAAGTCGGCCTCCCTTCCCTCTCCCAAATCTTCTTGGACTCTCAGAAGGAGAGACCTGGCATTTCAGGAAGGCCTCAGTTTCACAAGTAGAGGGATGGAACTTCCAAAATAAACAACACCCAGGTTGGGACAGGGGTGGGTTTTCACTTTACAAGGAGATTTCTACTTTCTCGAAATTTCAGTGATCTCTTCAAACTTCACTTTCTCCTAGAGAAGTTCAAGAAAAATTTAGCTCCCCTGAAATACTCCGGGAGTGCATTCCTTTTGTAAAATGAGGCACACTCCTATTGAACCCAGTTTGTTTCCCACAGCACTTTCTGGGCTCTCAGAAACCCCTGTAACACTGTCCACCACAAAACCTACACGTCTTTGCCCCACCTGAAGAGCACATTCCTCCTGCTATCCACGCCAAGCACAGTCCCAGCCAACATCAGCTACCTGCCACCAACATCTCCCTTCTACCCCTCCCTGTGGCTGGGCCCACTAGGCCATCCAGCAAGCATCCTGCTTAGTCAAGTGTGTTAATTTCCAAGGACTGCTAGAAGAAAGCACCACAAACTAGGTCGGGCACGGTGGCTCATTCCTGTAATCCCAGCATTTTGGGAGGCTGAATTGGGCAGATCACTTGCAGTCAGGAGTTTGAGACCAGCCTGGCCAACATGGTAAAAACCTGTCTCTACTAAAAATACAAAGAATTAGCTGGGCATGGTGGCAGGAGCCTGTAATCCCAGCTACTTGGGAGGCTGAGGCAGGAGAATCACTTGAACCTGAGAGGTGGAGGTTGCAGTGAGCCCAGACCACACCACTGCACCCAAGCCTGGGCAACAGAGCAAGACTCTGTCTCAAAAAAAAAAAAAAAGGACCACACACTAGGTGGCTTAAAACAGCAGAAGTTTATTCTCTCCAAATCCTGGAGGCTAGAAGTTCAAAATCAAGGTGTTGCCTGGGCCATGCCTCCTCTGAAGGCTCTAGGAGAGAATCCTCCCTTGCCTCCTCCAGCTTCTGGTGATTGCCAGCAAATTTTGTCATTCCTTGGCTTATAGATGCTTCACTCCTAGTTCTTCTGCTGTCTTCAAATAGCCTGACTCCTTGTGAGTCTATGTCTGTGGCCTAATACCCTTCTTCTTATAAGGATATCAGTCATATTGAAGTTAAGGTTCATGCTATTCCAATATGATCTCATCATAACTTGATTATATCTGCAGTAGCCGTGTTTCCAAATAAGGTCACATTTACAGGTTCCAGCATGAATTTGGGGAAAACACTATTTCAACCCAGTGCAAAAAGAGATCAGTATGAGTAGAGAGACTCAGCAGCGACCTATGGGGTAGGACATAGAGGGTTTCAGGATGAAAATCCTTCTTCCCCTCCATAAAGAAATATGCTATAGTGCCTAAATCCCACCATTAAAGAGACTTTCCTTTGGCTCTCAATGCCTTTTTAGCGCCAAATAAAATAAAAGCAAAACCAGTAATAATCCAAATGCTGTCTGGAGGAATGACATTCATAAATCACTATCATAGCCTGCTTCAGTGGTCATCAGTCCCTTTTTGAGCATGACAGCTAGCAGAAGTGAGGTTCTGTTTGAATGGAGCCTGAAATCTGCGATTAGAATGAAGCAGGTGGCACAGGAAACCTAGGTAATAAGGTACCAAGGGTAGACATGCCTTAGTGCCTGCTTTGGTAACCTGCCATATCCCAGGGAGCCCAGAGCCAGACCAGGCACTATGAGGGGGCAGGAGGGAGCAGAGTGCATGTGTACTCCAGTTCATATTTATTGAGCATCTACTGCATGCCAAGGACCATGCTTGGTGCTTCCACACACATTATCTCATTCAGTCTTTATAGCAACCTCGTGATGAAGAACATACCATCTCGCAATTCACAGATAAGAAAACTAAGCCTTAGGGGAGTTACGTGGCTTGGAAAAGGTTGAGAAATGAGCAGTAATTACCAAGCTCAAGTTCAGATACTGACATGTTTTCCCACTTCACAGAGAAGAGACAATAGAATCCGAGGTTTCCAGTCCCACTTCTGCTGGAAGCCAGTCCAGCCTGAAGCTCTCTTGCTGTACATTCGAGTTTGCTCTTCTTAACTTCTGGTTTTAAATTGGCAGCCATTTTCTACTGCGTTTCCAATGTGCCTGTGTGTGTATCTTGGAGAGAGGAAAAAAGAGAATATATGGGTCAATATAAGCAGACTCTTAAAAGCGTATACTTTATCATTGTAATAATCATAATATATTTTACTTTACAGCCACTCATAACTGAAGCCTCTGGGCACCCTAAAAAAAATAGCTAAAAGAAAAAAAAGAAATTATATTAAACAAAGGAAATACGACTATAAAACCCCAATAGCCAGGGAACTAAATGAACAACATAAAACCTCCAAACAACAAAACTACAGTGAAACCAAGAGGGGGAAAAAACCTTTTCACGAGCTTTACCCTGAAGAATTCTATGCTGTGAGATCACATCTGTTTAAAGCACCATAATTTATCGATGTGACATCAAACCAGGAACCAGCCATTGTAAACCTTTCCCGCAGAAACTCTCAGAAAACTAACCAGGTGGTCGGTGGGGGGGTCTGTAGCACATAGCTGGGGCAACAATGGCTTTAAAATTTTATGTTCGAATACATCTATGTGAAGTTCCAAATCTTGGTACTGAGATGCAAAAATTAGTTCATTCCATGGGTAAGCAGAATTTACAAACAGGGCTTTTATTAACAATATTCTTTTTTTCTGAGTCAGTCCATCCATGAGTACTCGCTGATGACTTCTCAAACTGCTGCTAAATGGACCATTTTCAAGAATGGGTCCCCTTTAGAACTAGCCACTGAGTCTCAAATACTGTGAAAGGCTTTGGGGAGGATAAAAGCTCATTCATTTATAAAGCAGCTGAGTTACTCAGCCTATCCTCCCATTCTGATGTTGCAGCCATTTCACAAACAGAAATTCCTGTTGATCCACAATACCGCCATAAACCTTTGTTTAGGAACCACTGTGACTGCCATATTCATGTTTGTGAGGGCAATATTTCCCCCAAGCAATTGGTTCCCACATCCCTCCTACATGCTTTCCTGTTAAATATGGGAAGCAGACCCTGCTGGGGGAAAAATCTTTAGAAGATTTGTAAGGTTACAATAGCATAAGCGTTTAGAAAACTACCTGGTTAGAAAAATGAAATAAAATGTTAAAAATGCTGAAAGACACCCCCTGCCTGTGTAAAATGTTGTTCAAAATGTTCATCCTCAAGTACTTTCTAGGTCAGTATAGATCTGGCCCCAGGAATTAGGACACTCATGGCTGAAATGTGGACCTCAAGCCCAATGTAGCTTCAAGAGTAAAGCAGGCAAGAAAATAGTGCAGAGAGGAGAAAGAAGGCAGCATGGCAAGGAAACCTGATGATATGGGAGGAGCCAGGCATGCAGGAGAGTCAGCCCAGCCTGGGCTCTCACCCACGCTCTAATGCTTAGTAGCTAGAACACCTTGGATAAGTCACTTAACCTTCCTGGCCCCCGGTTTTATCGTCTATGAAATGAAGAGAAAGTGCTAAGCAAACTCTGCTCTTTTTATTTTATGGAAGCCCGTGCAGTTCTTCAGAGAAATGACCCGTCTCTAAATAGAACAATATGGCCAGCTCTCAGACACAGCATTCAGTTCAAACAGCAAGCCATGGAATGACACACACTGGGTAATACCATTCACATTTGGGAAAAATAACCTACCCTGACAACGCTGGATGATTTCTACAGGCCCCTGGCTGTATGTGTAAGAGTACACAAAACTGTAGACTGAGGCACACAGGCCAAGGTACAAGGGTGGACTCTTCTGGAAGCAGGTTTGAACTAGGTCAGGGCAAGTGAAGAGAATATATTTATATATTGCTTATGCAAGAGAGAAGAAAACTTTTATGTGGTCAGTAAAAATATCATCTAGCTTGTTTCAGGAATAAATTTAGTAATTCTAGAAAAGTCTCTGCCAGTCAATAAATGAGAGCTGGGGTTACGATGAGGCCAAAACTTGGAGAACCCCTGGGTTCAGGATGATGTAAGTATGCTACCTTACTAAGCTGGGCTCAAAACCTACTTGAAATGGACCTTGTAAAGCAAGATATGTAAAATGGAGTTGCAGCTGAGACTGGGGGAGCCCTGGGTGGGAGGAAAGCTTGGGGGGGTCCCCTCTGCCCCAGCATGTCAACCAGAGAGCCTCTTGGCGAGCCATCCACTATGTATCTGCCAGGCATGGGATACACACTCTCATCAACACCCCAAACCAGTTACTGGGAGCACTAATATGAATGATGGTACCCTCCACCCCGCCCTCATATTGAACAAGGCACAGAACTTTTGGTTCTTCTCACTTGGAACTGCCTAGGTGGAGACATGTTGATCTGGAAGAGTTCAGAGCCAGGACCCAGACTTCCCATTGCCCTCATTCATTTTGATGAGCTCTTTAGCATTGCTCAATTTAAGCGAAAAGAGCTTCCATGGGCCTTCCGGGAAATACCCCGAAGACATTTCTTTTTTATACACCAGAGGTAAAGGTATCACTAGCACACAAGCACAAGAGAAAATGAAATGACCTCTGGCAGCCTGAGATTGTCTAGTGCTCAGAATGTCCCTCCTTACTTTAGATATAGACTGGGAGTCAAAGCAAAAGTGTATTTAAAAGTAGGTTACCTATGTCTTTAACTGACTATTTTATTTAGATGGGCCAATCACAGCAGGAAGACTACAGAAGATGACTGGGGGCATCACTTGGAATGTGTACCAAAATGATTGTGATGTTTTCTTCAATGAGCAACTTGAAAAATATACGTTCAACCACATAAATAAAGTAGACATTAATCCAGAATCCATGCTCCATTTCTAGCAAAGGCTATCAAGCTCTGAAATGCAAGAATATCAGGAGGAAAGGCAAATTTCCCCTCCTTTGTTCATTCCATTTTGCATAAGTCAAATCCCAGATAAAGCCTCCTGCTGGGAGGAGGTGCAAATGGATGGGCAGAGAGGCTGATGGCCTGAGTGGCTATAATCTTACCCGCTCCAGAAGTCAGACTCCACCCACAAAGCTTATTTTAAAAGAAAAAAAAAGTAGGTTTTAACCAATTTAAGTATCAGTTATGTTGCAATTTTTTCCATTTTGCCTGTATAATAAAATAGTCCCTGTTCAATCTGGTGCACGTCTTTTTAAAAAGTTTGAGTTCAATGTATGAGTATGTGGGTGGCGGGTAGTGGGGGTGTTAAATCAACTTCAGGTTTAGCAAATTAATGCAGGTTTGCCTGATTCTGGTGTATGGATCAGTTCCAGATCTGTTTTTAAGCACCAAGCTACTGAAGGATTATTATTTTTTGAATTTGTATTCCTTCTTAATCCTCTAATCCTTTCTGGAGAAATGTCCAGATTGTCAGGCCAACACATGAAAAAACTTCAATGAAGCAGCAAGAAAAAAATATAAAACAATAGATAAATAACCACGGGATATATTGTTCAGCTTTTGTTGAGCTTGAAATGTGCCAAGTTGGAAATAGGAGAGAGAGGTTTGTGATATTCCACTGGAACATATTGTCACTGTTATAACCAGCCCACGTTCACTGGAGCTGCCAATTATTCCCCAGCCACCATTTTTTTCCTTTAGATTGATCTCCTGCTTGAGGCTGTTTCACACCCATGACTCTGAAGCTTCCCTAGTGGCATGTTGCCTAATTAAGAGCAAAATCCATCTCTTGATGAAATAATGCTGCCACTGAAAAGGAATTCTACATTTTTTTTAAATTCTTAATCAGGCTGGAAGGAGTAGTATTCTAACACTTGTATTAAGCATAGGAAAAAAGGTCTATAGCTAGCAATTAGCAATGATGAAAAGGACAGCGATTTAAAGCATATTGCGGTGACATTTTTATCAAATTAAATGAGTTTGCTAGGCCCACCAGCTGCATATGCTTATTGTCATTTACTGTTTGGACAGCAACACATCAGCCACTGAGTATCAGGAGGTGCCGAATTTAATAAGTCATTTTGACACTGGTGTGAAACGAACAGATCAGCATTCTGAGGAATGTGTTCACACTCTGAACAGACAGGCAGACATTCTAAGCATGTGAGGTGACACCAATCAACAGGAAGAAATGATGAAAGCCAGGCTAGGGAGCAGGCAATGGTGGTGGCGGCGACAGCGGCAGGCGCGGAAACACACCACTGAGAAAAGAAAATGATACGCACATGCACACACCGAACCTACCATTTCCTGGCTTAGCTACATAGAGCATCTGAAGAGGCAAAGACTTTTCAGAAACACTGGGACATGTATCCATTCTAGATCCCGGATGTTTTCATGTATAATTTAAAAACCTACCCAGTTTTCTTAAAACCGCCACTAGGAGAAGCTGATAAATCTTCAGATTCTGTTGTTGTTTTTCTCCCTCATGTTTGAAATATGGCAAAAGAAACCAAAAAAACAAATCTCTGCATGCTAGGAAAACATTTTCATTTACCCTTTCTACCTAATATGTTTGCCCTAAACTGATTGCCTAGCTAGGATAAGAGGAGCTAGTATTACTTGGTTTTGATTTACAATGAGGGAGGGTTATATGTTGCTTTCAAAACTCTTGCTTGGAACATGAGATGTGGAATGACATTCTGATAATCCCAGAAGCTATTTATGTCAAGGGTGAGATCTGATACCAATGTCTTAACCATGTACCTGGCATCAAAGTTAAAACACACCAGATAGTCGATTGCCAATTACCTCTTAAACCTGCAGGTGTAATTTACAGCCTAACAAAGGTGACTAGTAATTAGTTCATGGCTTCAGAAGTTTCTAATGCCATCTAGTGGAAACGGTAAATCTGATCACTTCTGCATCAAAGGAGAGCCTCAGATTCCAGATAATATGTCATTACGGTGCTTCGTATTGAGAAAAACTTCGTGCCAGAGTCCAGTCTCAAATACATCTCAAAAAAATTGCTGCAGTGCTCTCATAAGACTAGAATACATTGCCTTGGGAAATAAGACTTGCCCAGAATACTCTTGGATGCCTGCCCACTGCAAATGAAATCATTATTAGCACCAGCCCACCACTGCCATGCCCATAAGATCATTTTCCTCATCATCATCATTCTTCTCTTTCTTGTCTTCCAGACTCTAGAATCTAGAGATGGGTTGTTTTGTTTTGTTTTGTTTTGTTTTGTTTTGTTTTGTTTTTTGAGATGGAGTTTTGCTGTTGTTGCCCAGGCTGGAGTGCAATAGCGCGATCTCGGCTCACCACAACCTCCACCTCCCAGGTTCAAGCAATTCTCCTGCCTCAGCCTCCCGAGTAGCTGGGATTACAGGCATGCACCATCACACCCCGCTAATTTTTTGTATTTTTAGTAGAGAAGGGGTTTCTCCATGTTGAGGCTGGTCTCGAACTCCTGACCTCGGGTGATCCGCCCGCCTCGGCCTCCCAAAGTGCTGGGATTACAGGCGTGAGCCACCGCGCCAAGCCTAGAGATGGGTTCTTTGGTCAATTTTTAAAAATCATTTTGCAAGCCTAGTGGGTTCAGTAAAACCTGAAATATCTTTTGAAGTAAATTTTGCACTGATTTTAATCTAGAAAGTAGTTAAGAAAAACTAAATACATGTTGATAGTTTAATACTGGAAGCTACTTAACTTTCAGCAGAATGTTCATAGATTTTCCTCCAGTGAAATTCTACAGTAACGTTCTGAGCCAGGACAGCATTGGAGACCTTCTGCCTCCTTTCAAGATGCTCACCAAGCAGCTTTAGCCATGGAGCTATGACATGAGAATCAAATGGTGCTTCACATAATTGCAAACACAAAAACAGTCCACATTTTATTTTGCATAGGAAGATGGGCAGGTGAACAGTCTCTGTTCACCTTTGCATATGTCACTCTCCTCTGTATCCACACTCAAAGGCAGTCCTCACTAGGAGCATGGTTATGGGAAGAGAAATTGCTGTGCAGGGAATCTGGAACCCTGAGTTCCAGTGCAAATTAATGTGAAACTCAGAGCTACTCATTTCGCCTCTCCCCACTCAGTTTCCTTATCCATCAAATAAGGAAGTTAAATATGATATCAACTCAGAAGTCTTTTCTTCTCTAAAACCCTATGGTTTAGAATTTCAAGTCCAAAATTCAGATCTTCTGTTTCATTGTAATACTTGTATTTAAAAGTATTAACTTCATTGTAGTTATTTCACTTAAAATATAATGTTTATTAAAATTTGCTTTATTATATATTTTATTTATATTATATTATCTTTATTATAATTATTTGTATTAAAAATATGTATTAGCCCACTGTTTGGATTGTCACTGATTTTAAAAGCAACTTATTGGCAAGAGGAGAGGGCTACAGTTTTTTGTTTTTTTTAGACAGAGTTTTGCCCCTGTTGCCCAGGCTGGAGGGCAATGGCGTGATCTCGGCTCACTGCAACCTCCGTCTCTGGGTTCAAGCGATTCTCCTGCCTCAGCCTCCCTAGTAGCTGAGACTACAGATGCCCGCCACCACTCCCAGCTAATTTTTTGTATTTTTAGTAGAGATGGGGTTTCACTATGTTGGCCAGGCTGGTCTCAAACTCCTGACCTCAGGCGATCCACCTGCCTCAGCCTCCCAAAGTGCTGGGATTACAGGCATAAGCCACCGTGCCCGGCTGGAGAGGGCTACAATTTTAAAGAGTTAAAAATAGAAAGTATAGTATACCTTTCCTATATATGCCCATTTAGCATTGCTATGTTGAATAAAATATATTTTATTTTAGTATATTTGTAAAATAAAGAACTTTTTCAGTTGGAAAGAAATATATAGTCTTGCCACACATAAAGTCTTTAAAAAAAAAAAAAGAAGATAAATCATTTGTAGCTCTAACATCCAAAGGCTTCAGACTGTCCATTTAACACAACAGTGTACCCCTCAATCTTCTCCTCATGTGTAATATTCACATCATTTTATCATATGGCATAGGTAAAACAGTATATGCTGATTTTCATAACAGCGTTCATTTTTGTGACAAGAAATATAGTTTATTAAAAATATACAAATACACAAAGAAAATTAAAATCACTCAGAATCTCATGACTCAGATATCCTCATTTACTATTTTATTTCTTTAAAGTTCTTTTTCTATGCATAATTTAACATGGTTAAGATTATATTACATATTCTGATTTTAAGTACAATTAACCCAAGAAGAGTCATTCACAATTCCTAGTTGGAAGACGTTATAAAGGAGGTTTTAATCACAGATTATATCTGCCACTGGTAGGTTATTCATTTTTCATAATTACAAAAAAAAACCTATATACTCAGGTCATTCAAAATGAGCATAAAATTATTACTCAAGTTATTTGTCAATGCAATGTTTTTGTATTGCTGAATAAAAATCAGTTTCAATGGAGGGATTAAAAAAATACTTTCTGGGTTTAGCAATTCTGCAAACACAATGCCCTGTCATTTAAATATTGCAGGCCCTTTTTTGGACTAGAAAAGAAGTAGGTTGTATTGTTTTAAGTAGAAGGTGATTCCATCTGACCCATGAGGTAAGGAATATTACCCCAAAAAAAAGTTTTTCCTGATTTTGAAAAAATAGCAAAAACCAACAATAACAACTAATGGAAAATAGCAAAAACCAACAATAATTAATGGAAGTGTTATAGACCCTAGCTTTGCCCGTGGGTTATAAATCCATTTGAAAATATCTAATATAATTAGATTTTCTATTATGGAATCTAAACGGAATAAGAAGCTATTTGTAAATCTTATTACATCATGGTTTCCAAGTCCTTAATCCTTCAATTGGCTGGAGTAAAACTTCGAGTCATTTTTCCAGTTGTGCACAACTTGGCATATTGCAGAATTTTTAATATTGTCTTCACAAATTAAGGCAATTCTGGGTTGTGACGTCCCCAATTCTTAACCTTCAAAACTCTGGAGGTGGGCATCAGCTTCTTTAGTTCTCTAGGGAGAACTCTGAGTCCAGCCTGATTTTTGTTCCTTTGTAGACTAATTTTGAACTCGGATGCTTAAAGAGCTTTCTTTAGCCTCATAATTCAAAAGACACAGGAAGAGTCTAAGGGTAGACCTCTTTTCTTGGACCGTATCAGGACCTCTGTGAGTCCTTTCCATCTACATTCAAGTCTTTCTTTGCCTCAGGAAACTTTCTGCTTATTACATCTCCGATGGCCACTTTTGTGCAACATGGAGGGTGAGCTCTTCCTCAATGGCACCAATTGTCGTTTTCACTCTTCTCATTCCTCTGGCCTCCATCTCTACCCTACCCCACATCGTTTTAATCTTTGTCTTTTTTCCCTCCATATCCTGAGAAAAGTTTTATTTTGTACTATCTGTGCACCACCCTGCATAACTTCACTACAGATTTTAACCTCCAACTCATTTCTAACTTCCTTACACTCAATTATTTCATCTTTTTTAAATTCATTCTACATTGTTTTGTTTTCACATCAACACTACTGCCTGTTTTTAGGTGGTACAAATGTAAACATCCCTAATTTAAAAATTTTTCTTATTTCCCCCAATTTTTCCTTTATAAGAAGAAAAATTTGATCCAAGTATGGTGGCTCACACATGTAATCCCAGCATTTTGGGAGGTAGAGGCAGGAGGATCACTTGAGCTCAGGAGTTCAAAACCAGCCTGGGCAACATAGCAAGACCCTGTCTCTATAATATTTTAAAAAAAATCATAAAAAAGAAAAAAAATAGTATGTAGAAGAGTCTTTATCCACACATAACAGATGTTAATAGTTTATCATATTTGATTCTGATCTTTCTTAGACACATAACTATCACAGATTAAGTTCAAACCTCTATAATCCTCCAGTGTATTTGTCTGTTTTCATGCTGCTGATAAAGACATACCCAAGGCTGGGCAATTCACGAAAGAAAGAGGTTTATTGGACTTACAGTTCCACATGGCTGGAGAGGCCTCACAATCATGGTGGAAGGTTAAAGGCACATCTCACATGGTGGCAGACAAGAGAAGGGAGCTTGTGCAGGGAAACTCCCCTTTATAAAACCATCAGATCTCATGAGACATATTCAATTTCACGAGAATAGGACAGGAAAGGCCCGCCCCCATAATTCAATCACCTCCCGTCGGGTTCCTCCCACAACATGTGGAAACTGTGGTAGTTACAATCCAAGATGAGATTTGGGTGGTGGCGACATACCCAAACCATATCACCCAGATATAATTATTTTGAGATTATTGTGTATCTAGTCATATTTTCATACTTTTACTACTTACACATGGATTTATAAATAAATAACAGTGGGCTGTTTATTAAATTTCTATATGCAGTATCATATTGAAAATGGTACCATTTTGCCATGTTTGTTTTCTCTCAATATTATGTTCCGTGGAGAGGCCACATTTTGATGTTCCAGTTGACAGCCCCAGCTGAGGCATCACCCTATAGCCAGAATCCACCACCAGATATACGAGTGCATGAGTCTCTTACACAACCCCACCCCTAGTCCTTGAGCCACTCCAGCTGATGCCAAGTAGAGCAGAGACAAGCTGTATACATGGATTTCTGCCCAAATTGCAGCTTTGCAGGCAAAGTAAGTGATGCCATAGTTTTAAGCCATTAAGTTTTGGGATAATTTGTTATGCAGCCACAGCAACATGAATGGCTTCTTCCTGTTCCCTGTCCTGGTTCCTCCACTTCCTTACCTGTTCTCCTGAGAGCACTGCCTTGATAAATTATTTGCATATGAATTCAAGAGACCCAGGCAGAGTTACGGGATAGTCCACACCAACAGAGAAATGCACAACTTCTCTTAAAAGCTCTGTTTTCATTAAAACTCTATTCTTCTGTGGTATCAGTCATTGGGCAAAATAAGCAATTGAACTAAAACTAAAAGGTGATAAGAAGGAAGAAATATGCTCTCTGAATTCTCCTCTGAGTAAGCACATTAACGGGGGAGTTGAAGAACCAAGAAGCACCCAGAACCATTGTTGCTAAAAGAACTATTTTGTAGAGTCCCATCTTGTAAAGGCAGTGCTTAAAACTTTCACCTTAATAATCCTGAAAGAATCCCTAGGAGATTTTTCATCTCCCTCTCTCTGGTGGGAAAAAAAAGAGCAAATCCCATTGCCCTCCTAATGTTAGCTCTCTAGAGAAATTGTTGAGGTTCCTGTGAACAGGTGCCCTGCCAAACAGCTGGATACCAAGAGCATGGAGGAGAGTAAACAATAGTTCTGAGTCTCTAGTCCCACCCCTTGGAGGAAAAGCCTCTGCCAACAAATAGTTTATGGGGCAATAGAATTCCATTTGCTGAGGAGTGTTGCTCTTCATAGTGATCTGAGTATTTCTTAGAAAATGACCTTCTCTTTACCCCTGGTGCTCGACTATAGCCCAGTGACCTCAAGACAGCAACAAACAGCTGATAAGCTGTATGGTAGGGATTTCACATACTAGGTCTTTGGAATAGAGGTCTCCTTCTGATGTCTATTCTGTAGCCACTCCAGCATGGTACATATTTCCAAGTGTTTTTGAGCTTGGCTAGCTCCAATTTTAGAGTTCCTCTCAATGGCATCACTATCCAAGACTGCAAGTTCATAGACAAACCAACATCCTATGGCAATAGTCACATAGTTACAGCCTTCTTTTAGTCTTCTACCAGGTCCCTTGGAAATAATTCAAAAATATGAGCATACTTGGAGCACTGTGAAATAAGCCTTAGAGAATTTTCTAGGATGGGATGTATTTAAATTATTCTCCATCTTGGGGCCTTATTTGCATTACAAAATTTCTCCCACCTCCACCATGGAGGGCATTTTGTCTTTCCCTGGCCTTATGTTTCCCCAACCATCTGGAAAATGAAGCTAACCTAGGAGACACTGGAGCCCTTCACAAAAGGCTGCTCTATTTCCCTCCTAAACTCACCTTGGCCACTGTCTCATGCCCAGGAGAAAGCCTTACACTGACAGTCTGTCAAGAAGCTGAGCATCTCCTGGTGTTCTTCCAATAGCAGTGTAACAGCATCCATGGAAAACAAGGTCTCAGGTCATCCCATCACAGGGTTGCAAACTCCTGTGGCTTAGGAAAGCCACCTCTCCTCTGCCTTTAATGGCAAAGAAAGAGAAGAAAATATTTGTACCACATGCAGTTGTGAGGTGCTCTGAAGAAGATTCCAGAAAGCTTTATGGAAGGTCATTCCCAGAATGGCAACCACTTCATTTGGCCCAGCCCCATAAGATACCTTTAAATTCTAGCAAACCTGAAGTCTTCAGAGCTTTGGCATTTGGCTTTTGTTTTTATTTTAACCTTTTTTTTAATCTTTGCTCAAATATATGTTTCCCAGGATCTACAGTTAATTTAATCTGAAATAAACTGAGGTACCATAAAATTCATGGCAGAGTTCAGCCTTAGGGGTCAAGCAACCTAGATTTTAAGCCCCAGCTGGTTCTGTATCTTAATTTCAATTTTTGTGACCTTGGAAAAGTTATGTCAACTCTCCAAGCTTCCATTTTCTTGTCTCAAAAAAAAATAGTGTAATGAATACACCTCTCTATAGAGTAATTGTGAACATTTCAGGAAATACTGCATGTAAAATACTAAGTTTAATACCTGAGACCGAGTATGGATTCAGCTAATATTATCTATGTGAAGAGAAATCCCATGAAACTCCATTTCATCCACTCATGCTCTGTCTGGAATATTCAGGACCAGGACTGTTCTATAAAGAAGGGGGATAATATTGTAGCAAGTGGTGAAACCCCATTTCAAAGGCACTAAAGTGGCTATTAGGCACCCCCTCCCCAACTACATACACACACAAATAGAATAATCTGGATGATCTCTTGCAAGCACTAAACCTAAAAGAGAATAGGCTCCAGGCCAACACACATTTTCTGCAAAATTGAAGATCCACCCCATAATATGTGCTATGTTCTTTAGACCTGGAAGCTTCTTTATGCTAGGGACCTCATTTGGGGACTATTATGCAAATGGGATGCACAGGGTTTTGAACTGTATTATTAGTTGTTTGGGATTCTTTCTACGAAGTTGTCCAGAAATACAGAGATTTTTTTTATTATGAAAAACTTCAAAGATATGCAAAAGTAGACAAAATAGCATAATAAACCCCTATGTTCTCTTTATTCAGATTCTACAACTATCAATTCATGGACACTTTTCTTTCATCTAGATCCCCACCCACTTTCCCCAATCCTATTATTTCAAAGCCCATCCCCAAAATTATTTCATTTCACCCATCAATATTTTCTATGTGTCTCTAAAAGAATTCACATTTGTAAGATATAACCATATATCACTCTCACACTTAAAAGCTTAATAACAATTCTTTAATATCAAATGTCCAGCTAATGTTTAAATTTCTAATTTGTCTAATAAATGTCATACTACTTTAACCATGTATTTGTTTTAATAAGAATCCAAATGCCTATACATTTCAACTGATTTATTTCTTTTCTGTCTTTTTTCCATCTATAGATCTTCCTCAATATTTTCCCTTGCAATTTATTTGTTAAAGAAACCAAACAGTTCTGTGAGTGTCCCAGAGTCTGGATTTTCCAAAAAGCCTGCTAAAGGGTTCTTAACTTTTCACAGCTAACCTCTAAACAGGAGGAGGGATAGAGAAGCTGAAGAAGCTATTAATCTGCTGGTGAGAACATTTTTATACTTTTACTAAAGGCTGCTGATGCAATCGACAAGATCACTGTCGTGTCAGTTGCAGGCTGGAGTGAGGAAGCCCAAGATTTGTTATGCCCTCAGGTCTTCCCCTATGTTCTTTCTAATGAAGACATCACAGGCACAGGCGCTCTGTGTACCTCATTGTTACTCACTATGTTTTTCTTGAGAACCTGCTCCCTTCTCTCTCCCTGACACAGGCATGGGTCTGTGCAGTGGAACTAAGGGGATGAAGATGTGGATTTAGCAGCAAAAGGCAACAGGTGGGAGAATGAAAGGGTGAGGAAATAGGTAGATGCAGCCAAAAGCAGGGGAGTCCGGGATTATGGATGGGTAGGATGAGCAGACAGAGTGTGATGGGGTGTCACAGAGAAGGTGGTGGCTCTGCCATGATCACTGAGTCTCATGCCTGGTGATAAGGAATTAGGCCACTTGGGCTGGGAATACATAAGACCTTTTCCTCTGCCGTGAACACAACCTCTGCTACCTCAAACTAAAATCCTCTAAACAACTCAGCCATTGTAGGAGATGCATTGTGACTTGAGTTGTTATGACAGATCAGATCTGGCTGTGCGGTTATGGCAGTCCGTACTAGGAAAGCTGTTAGCCTGATGGCTGCTTTATTCTTCCCACACGGGAGCCCTGCCATGAGAACTGGTCACCTTTTATATACAATAGTAAGATTCTAGAGCTTTCCCCCATGCTTAGTATTTTACATTGCTATAAAAACAGCAATACCTTGTTGACAGAAAAATAATATAAAGCAGAGGTATATTTTCATAAAATAAAATGTTGATGCTATTAGTGGACATTGAAGGTATACAGTCAGCCCTCCATATTCATGAGTTCTGCATCTGTGCATTCAACCAATCAAGGCTCAAAAATATTCAAGAAAAATAATTGTTTAAAATACAAACTGTAAAATAATATAGTATAGCAACTATTTACACATCATTTACATTATACTAGGTATTCTAAATAACCTAGAGATGATTTAAAGTAAACAGAAAGATGTTTGTACGTAGGCTACATGCAAATAGTATGCCATTTTATGTAGGGGAGTTGAGCGTCCACAGATTTTGGTTATCTGCAGGGGTCCTGGAACCAATCCCCCAAGGATACCAAGGAACAACCATCCTGTGTCTTCTCCTTTTGATTCTCTTTTGTTCTCATAATAAGCTTTGAAAATTAACAAATTTTTTTTCTCATGTAAAACCCCTCATGAGAAAAAAAAAAATTTCCCTCCATGACACTAAACCCCTTGAGATTAAAAAAAAAAAAAAAACTGATGATCTCCACTTCTGGCAATGGTGGCAGTGCTTGTTAAAGGCTTACCTTCCCACTGAAAACAACTAGAACACCTGGACGAGATACTTTTTAAAATGTATTTATTGGCTTCAGAGAACTACCAAGCCAAGGAAGACTTGAGGAGCCACATTCCTGGAGAGAAAACTGCAGAGAATTGAGTCCAATATTCATCACTGCTTTTGCCCTCTCGCTGTTCACAGGTTTCAAAGCAATAGCTGAAAGTTGAAAGCCTGAGCAGAAAGTGGCAGCTGAAAGACTAGACAGAGCATTGACAGTCTCAGGTGGGGAGGGAAGCAAAAATTGGAGTTCCGAGATCACCAAAGAGAAGGTGCCCTGGTAACCACATTATGCTTTCAGTTGGGACTCCCACTGGCATAATGGTGAACAAAAATTAATCCGACCTCACAAAATCTGAAGCCTACCTTCAAATCATCGCAATCCCAGGTCTGATCAAGGTGATCTGTCCCTGGGTTAACTTCATGCCAGACACAAAACAGGTCCTCTGGAAAAATGTAACATCATACAGAACTTCAAATTAGCTCTACAGCTCTTACATGCATGTCTAAGCATGCTAGGAGATGAGACCAAATAACCAAAAACCAACAGAAAAGAACAGACAATAGAAACAGACTAACACAAAATCAAGACATTCGAGTTTCACATATTATAAAGTAACTGAGATTAATTTGTTCAAGATATTGTATGATGAAACGGAAAATTTCAAACGTAAGCTTTTTTAAAAGGATCAAGTATAAATGCTAGAACAGAAAAATACAATTGGAATTAAAAATTCAAGAGTGGGGCTTAGCAGCAGCTAAAAAGATAATGGTTGTCTGGAAGACAGGCCAGAAGAAAATAGCCAGGCTGTGGGAAATCCAAATCTTGATAAACACAGTAAAATTTTGAAGGTCAAAGAAAAAGAGAAAATCCTAAAAGCAGATGGGACAGGGGTGGAAGGACACATTACTTTTAATAGAGTGACAATAAGACTGACAGCTGAATTCCCAACAGAAATAACTGAAGCCTGCTGGACATGTCCCCAGATGACCTTGGTGACCAATTCTTTTTTTTTTTTTTTTTTTTTTTTTTTTTTTTTTTTGAGACGGAGTCTCGCTCTGTCGCCCAGGCTGGAGTGCAGTGGCGGGATCTCGGCTCACTGCAAGCTCCGCCTCCCGGGTTCACGCCATTCTCCTGCCTCAGCCTCCCAAGTAGCTGGGACTACAGGCGCCTGCCACTACGCCCGGCTAATTTTTTGTATTTTTAGTAGAGACGGGGTTTCACCGTTTTAGCCGGGATGGTCTCGATCTCCTGACCTCGTGATCCGCCCGCCTCGGCCTCCCAAAGTGCTGGGATTACAGGCGTGAGCCACCGCGCCCGGCCCCCAATTCTTACTTTCTTTTCTCACTTACAATTCTCAAGAATAACTATAGAATGTGCTGGGAATGCAATAGCTTGAGATAAGGAGGAACTGGCCAAAACAGCTTGGGCTCTGTTCCAGTCCCTCCTAGAATAAGATCTCCTACAACACTTTAGCACAGTGAGTCCAGTTTCCTCTGAAACAAAACCCAAAGTGGAACACACTTTCAGGGACCCTCAGCTGTGGTGAAAAGTGGGATAAATGCATAGGAGACTTCATCCTCCCTGGGCAGCTTTCCTGAGCCTTAGGGAACAAGCTCATCATGAATCCTAGGCTTCTATTGTCCTCTGCTGCCTATCTATGAGTAAAAAAGTTGCTTCACTTAATTTCTTGTGTTACCAGACTCATGCAAGTGAATTGAAACTAGTGCAGTGTTTAGAGTCTTTCCTTGAGATTGAAACAAGTACATAGTGAACATGCTTCACAAAGCCAGGAGACAATGGAATGATGCTTGCAAACTGCTGAAAAAAAGAACAACTGGGCTTCCACTTCCAATATGGTAAAGTAGCTGCTACCATACCCAGATTTCCCACATATCACAACTGTAAACTCTGGACAAAATTAGAAAAAATAAAAACCTGATGACACTGGAAAGTAAACAAAGACAGGTAAATTGTGAAAGAAAGTAGACACTTGGAAAAAAGGAACAGCACAGGGTGAGTTGCCCATTTTTACAGCATTTTGCCTGAGTGTAGGCCAAAGTCAGTGCTGCACACTGTGGTTCTGATAGAACTTCAACAGAAAATCTCTACCTCACCAGCTTGAAAAAAGCAGAAGACAGAGTTCACGATAATCAGCCACTGGAAGGGAGAGGGAAATCTCAGAAAGGATACAGTCAGAAAGAATGACCACAATTTCTGTGTTTAAACTGCCCAAATCTCTGGCTAACGCCCAAAGCACACAACCACGGGGCAGATTCTAGCTAAGAATATGAGCTTTGAATACCTGTGGGATGATATCAAAATGTCCAACATACATATAACTGGATCCCAGAAGAAGAAGAAGGAGACAATAGGACATAAACAATAAAGAAATAATTTCCAATTATTTTCCAAGTTTAGCGAAATACATAAATTTACAGACTCAAGAAACTCAATGATTCATGAGCAGGACATACACACACAAAATGATTAATATCATCAGACTCAAACTGCTGAATACCAAAGATAAAGAGAAAATCTTGATAACAACAAAAGAAAAGAACACAAAACACACGGCTAAACAATGATTCAAAATATCACGAACTTCTCACTTGAAACTGACAGAGACGTCGGTAAAACACTGAAAGTGCTGGAACAGAAAGCTATCAACCAAGAATTCCACATGCAGAGAAAATAAACTTCAAGAATGAAGGCAATATAATGGCATTTTCAGAGGAAAGGAAATAATTGCCAGCCTGGAAGTCTATACCAGTGAAAATATCCCTAAAGAAAGAGTGAAATAAAGGTGTTTTAAGACAAAGAAACGTTGAAATAACGTATTGCCAGTAGATCTGTACCAAAGGAAATTCTAAAGAGGGTTCTTGGAGAAGATGAAAAGGATCTCAAATGGAGCTTAGAAATGCAGAAAGAATTAAGAGCCACAGAAAAGGTATGTGGGTAAACATAAATGAATATATAATGTAAAAACTGTAATAATCATGTCATGGCAGTTAAAATATACACAGAATAAATATAAATGACAATAGTAATAAAAATCAGAAGTCAAATGAAGTTAAAGTGTTCTAAGGTCCTTGAATTGCTTGGGTGGAGGTAAAAGTACTGTTTTACATGTAGTGTAATCTAACCTCTGCCAGTCAGACCTCCCCCTCAAGACATAGGGACTTACTCCCTCAGCTGTCACCTCTCTTTAGGAGTTGCCATCAGCTGAAAAGGGCCACCTTGCCCAGTGACAAGCCCCCTTCCCAAGGCGGCCTACATCCAATAACTGCTCAATGTGTGGATATAAAAGCCTGGCCCCTCACCCAAACTCAAGACAATGCTGAAAAGCCATCCCCACTTCCAAGGTTCCCTGGAGAGAGCTTCAGTCTTTCATTCTAATTGCAGCACAATCCAACTTCTCTCTTTAACAAACCTGCTTCCTTTCCTTCCCTTCCACTGGTGTTAAGCCAAGAACATTTCCCCCAGTAAACTTTCTGAACAATAACTACATCTCAAAGTCTGTCTCCTGGGAGATCCAACCTGAAACAGTATATTAGACTTTCATAAGTCTAGGAGATATGTTTACATTCTAGGATAACCTCTAAAAGAGTACAAAAACAAAATGTAAAATTAGCAAACTAAGAGAGGGGAAAAGTAGAATAATAAAAAATAATCCAGGCCGGGCATGGTGGCTCACGCCTGTAATCCCAGCACTTTGGGAGACTGAGGTGGGTGGATCACTTGAGGCCAGGAGTTTGAGACCAGCCTAGCCAACATGGCAAAACCCTGTCTCTACTAAAAATACAAAAATTAGCAAGGCATGGGTGGTACATGCCTGTAATTCCAGCTACTTGAGAGGCTGAGGCACAAGAATTGCTTGAACCTGAGGGGAGGAGGTTTCAGTGAGCTGAGATCGTTCCACTGCACTCCAGCCTGGGCAACAGAACAGAGACTGTCTCAAAAATAACAGTAATAATAATAATAATAATAATAATAATAATAATAATTCAAAAGAAGGCAAGAAAGGAGACAAAAGGGAACATAGAACAGGTAGGAAAGAAACAAATTAACCAGATGACTGTTAAACTTGTGAAAAGACACTTAACCAGTAATAATCAAGAAAATGCAAATTAAAGCAATACCATTATTCATCCATCAGATTTGGAAAGATTTAAAGAATGATACCATCCAGCACCAGCAAGAATTCCAGATTATGGACTCTTTCATATATTGCTAGTGGGAATGCAAACTGTTACCACCATTTGTAAAAGCAACTTGGTAATATATATTTAAATTAAATATTCATTGACCCTTTGTAGCAGAAACTAACTATTCAAAAAATTGTTTCCTTTTGTTCTGGGCACACCTACACTACATTTTCCAGATTCCTCTGTAGCAGACAACTGAGTCCTAGCTCAGGTATGACACTACATTCACTTGTTGAAGGTGGCAAAGCCCCTGTGGCCTGAACCCGGAGTGATTATGTGTAGCAGAGACCTCTGAGTACCTGAAACTAATGTGGACTATTTTACTTTTATTATGTTTGAAATATGATATATTCGAGGGTCTATTTGTTATAGCAGTTAGCTTACTCTAACTTATTTCCTTTGACCCAACAATATTACTTACAGGCATCTGTCTTTAGAGGTAAAAGTATGGAATATATAAGACCCTTTGTGTAAGGAAACATATGACCAGAGCAACCTGAATGTTCATTAGTAAGAGAAAAGGGTTGCATCAGTTATAATACATCCATACTAAGGAATATTATGCAGCTATTAGGAGTTATCTCTGTGCCTACTGACCTGGAGAGACTACCATTTAATGGTTAAGGGGGAAAAAACCAACCTGATATAAATGCTTAATATAATTTCTTTTGTAAGAAAAGAGAAACTGACCCCAAAAAAATGGCATATACATGTGTGCATATATTTGCATGAGGATGGAGAAAGGTATGCAAAAATGTGAATCAAGTTTTTAACATTAATTATCTCAGGGATGTAAGAATGAGCAAATACAAGCTATGGGAAAGAAAAAATGAATAACAGAATGGAAGCCTATCTCAGTGTAATATTGAATGAAAGTGTAGAATATAAAATTGAATCATTAAATATTAAATCAAATATGTAAAAATTAAATATATATGTATGTAGAGAAGGTAATATCAACTTATATAAAATTCACCTTTGTCTTAAATGTTAATATTTTAATGTTACTTTTATAATTTAAGAAAACTGAAAAAAAAAAGGAACAGGCTTAACCCCCACCTGGACTGGGCTTTTGATGCCACATAGTGACCATTTTTTAAAACTGACCAGCCTGGATTTGAGACTATGTACTGGTGTTGGGGTTGCACGAGTGTCTTGTTGAGCCCAAAAGTCCACAATCACTATGAGGATGCAGTTTCCCCTGAAAAAAAAAAAAAAGTCCCCATAGTCAGTCATCCCAGCTAGAGTTGAAACCTGCAATAGGAAATGAAGGCGTGAGAGGCAAGCCTTAGACTAGGATAACTTCTTAAACTTTAATGTTCTTAGAAATTGCCTAGAAGCCTTATTAAAATACAGATTATGTTTCAGTGGGTCTAGGGCAGGGCCTATGATTCTGCATTTCTCATAACTTCCCAGGTGATGCTGATGCTGCCAGTCCTTGGACCACACTTTGCACAGCCCAAGGACTAGTGTGAGGGAAATCTTTCTACTCTCTCTGGGGGCAGAAGCAGGGTACAGGGAGCAGGGGGCGAGGAGTTAGCTAAGTTGCCCCAGACAAAGCAGTAGTAAGACTGGGAGCTAGGCTGCCAAGACACCCTGAAGATGGCCTGAGCCATGCATGCCTCAGCTGTGAGCTACTGTGCATATGCACTTCCCCTCCATCAACCTCGAACCTTCTGGGAAGTCTTGTTAAAAGTTACATCCCAGGCTCTGCTGCATTGTCAGGAATTACAAGTGATAATTCCTGGAAAGACTAATCCCATGCTTATAATGAAGTGTCAACAGTAACAGCTGGGTCTGTTTCCCCTGAGGTCAATATAGTGGTTGCAAAGGTCTCCCCAGCAGGAGGAGCCCTGGTGACCTCTGTTCAGGTGGTATGAGGAGCAGAAGCTGCCAAATAGCACCCTTGATGGGAGAAGAACTGAGGCTATTTCTGAACAGGGAGCCACACTCTGGCATATCCACCAAATAAAAATGAACCAAGCTAAAATGGCTTAATCAATAAAAGGGGGTTATTTTTTCAGGTAACAAAGAGTCTGGAAGTCAAGCAATTTCAGAGTTGGGTGGTTCTCAATCCAATGACACCATTAAAGACCCAGGGACTTTCTTTCTGCTCTCCTCTCCCAGGCATGTTGGCTTTTGTCTCAGGCTGTCCCTTCTGTGGCCAGATGACTGTGGATATTTTAGGCATCACAAGCTCACACAACACGTAAGACAGAACACCCCTTCCTTGTATCCCTGGCAAAGATAACTTTCCCAGAAGCACCCTGTTTCTCCAGTCCTCCTTGCAACTCATGAGCCAGAATTGTACTACATGCCAAGTTCCTCTACCAACAGGGAAACAAGATTCCCTTGCTTGGCTTACAGGAATAAGATGCTCTCTCTTTATGTGAGTGGGGTCTAAGCTTCCTGAACAATGCAGCTGCCTGATACCCAAACAAAACTGTGGTCTGTGAGCAGGAAAATACCTGGACTTGGGGACATGTACTGGTGTTGGGGTTGGATGGGGGAATGAATTTGGGAAAAGCAGACAGTGGTGTCTTCCATTCCTGAAAAACACCCATAAATACATGGAAGGTTCTTTGAGGGGTGTTACTTTCCATCAATAAAGGCAGTAGGTGGTCAAGACACCATCCTGCAGTCATAAATCAACCCTGAAAGACAAAGGAGAAGAAAAATCAAGGAAGTGGATAGAGATCAAGTTTTACCAAGAACTATAAAGATCCAAACAAAGGGCCCCATGTGAACTATGCACATTCCTACTTCAGTGCTTTTACCTGTGCAGTCTGAACTGCCTCACCCCTACACACACACACACACATACACACACACACCTACCTGGCACACTCTCTTGTCTTTTATCACAGACCTTCATTCCCTCCATTTCAAGTCTGTCACACCTCAGAAACTTCTCTAACTAGGCCAGCCTACAATAATGTATCCATTCTCTGTATTCCTTGAGCATTTGTAGTCTATAACACACATGCTGTCATTTAACTATAGTGTGCATATTCTGGAACTATTAGTTTATATACATGATTATAACAGGATGTTAAAATGGAACTCTTTCTAACTCCTCTAGGGCACCTGGAAAATAGGTGTCAGCTATCCTCACTTTCCAAAGCAAAATGTTAAACCATCTATGCAAGAATCCCAAGGAAAAGGTCTCACAATTTTGAATGTTCTCACCACAAAGAAATGATGTGTTTGAGGTGATGGATATGGTAATTATCCTGATTTGATCATTACACAATGTATACATGTATCAAAACATCACACTGTGCTCCGTAAATAAGCACAATTATTGCGTCAATTAAAAACAAAATAAAACTTCTAAAAAATGGGGAAAAAATGGTCTGAGAAACAGTTTTGTGACCATTGTCCTTAATGGTATAAAATGTTGAAATTGAGCAACCTGGGAAATAGATGTTTTCATTCTCCTATTAGTGTGCTTTCTGTCTTAATGTCCCCTCACAGGATTGGATTCAACTGCAAGTGAAAGAAAACACAAAACAAATGACTTCTAAGAGAAAGAACTGTATTCCTCTCTCATGTAAATATCTAAAGTAATGGCTCAAGGCTGATATGGTGAATCTATCCACATTCCCACCAGTAAGAAAGTTGAAAGGAGAAAGGTCTAAGACCTTTTAAGGATACTTCCTGAACACTGCACACACAGTCTTTACAGCCCACTGGCCAGAACTGAGTAACATAACTAACCCCAGTTACAAGGAGGACTGGGAAATGTAATCTTTATTCTGAAAAGCCACATGCCCAGCCAAAAGTCTAAGGCTACATCACTGTGGAAGATACAGTGAGGAAACTAGGTGTTTCTTCCATAATCCACCTCTTTTTTTTCTTGAGATAAGGTCTCGCTCTGTCACCCAGGGTGGAGTGCAGTTGCATCATCATTGCTCACTTCAGCCTCAACCTCTCAGACTCAAACAATCCTCCCACCTCAGACTCCCAAGTAGCTGGAACTACAGGTTAACATCACTATGCTCGGCTACTTTTTAGTTTTTTGTAGAGAGGGGATCTCACTATGCTGCCCAAGCTGGTCTCAAACTCCTGGGCTCAAGCAATCCTCTCTCCTTGACCTCCCAAAGTTCTGAGATTACAGATATGAGCCACTGTGCCTAGCCCCACAATCTACCTCTTTAACCCTAAAAATACCCATGTGCACCCATCTTGAAATACATAGAACATACCCATCCTTTCCATAAAAGAAGGCAATGACCCAACCAGTAACTGCATTCAGCTTAAATCCAGAGTGTATGACTGGTGCCCAGTCCTCTCCATCAGGCCCAGATGCAGCTCTTAGTGGTCAGGTGATCTATACGCTAATAGTAAGTTATCTTCCCATCACATACCTAAAATTAAAATGGTAGAGAAGAAACAAGATAATAACAATTTCTAAAGACTCCCATTTGGAAATGGGGAGAAGGGGAAATGCCCAGAAGTCACTGGCCCATAACTATTATCATATCCCACTGGGCAGGAATAGCAAAGGCTCCTGTCCTTGATAGTGAAGTCGCTTCCTTGGTTGGACACTCTGGCAGCTTCTCACTCTCCTTTCTGAGAATAATTCCCTTGTCCATTGGCCCTGGTTTTCCCTCTCCTTTATCCATCATCCTCTTGACCACATCTGAAAAGGGCCTTGGAGGGCACACACAATCTCCTTTCCCACACTCTTCCTGCTAATGCAGCTTCTGGAACACAGGCATTACTCTACAGATTGCTGCTCACAGGCTTTTTTGTTTCCAATATGATTCCCTCAAAATTTTAGTAGGCTTCCAGTTTATCTGTTTCCATGTGTGAAAAACCACAGACAACAATGTCATCTAGACACAGCTTTTAAGCCTAAAGTCTCAGGCTTTTTACTTACTGGCCAGTGTTTGGCCACACCTCTCTCTCTCTCAACATAGTAGCAACTGAAACAAAAGGTTTGCTAAGATTTGATTTTTGCAGCCAGCTAAGCTGATTCCCATGATGGCAGAGAACTCTTAAAATAAATTGCTTGAAGAGGGTTTGGGGCCACAGTACTACATGTTAGCAAGGCTGCCATTTTGCAGCCACCTCTTGGGGCTGCTTCAAGTTGGGGTACAGACACAGTTAGCTTAATTAATACTTCAAACACCTCCAAATTGCTAGACTCTCAGTCAAATTAGAGTGCAGGCTACATCACAGAGCGCCTCCCCTAGCAAAGTGACATTTCCTTCCACATCTGCTTGTGGACTAACTAGCTCTCAGCTGAATTCAACTCTCTCCTGTAGGACTTTGCTAAAAGCAGCAAAAAGCTGCCCTACCACCAACATTCTAGCCTTTTTCTACTATTTTCACTAACACGTGGTCTGCCTTTTGAGGTATAGCAGATGCAATTCGACCTACTGTTTTGCTACCATCTAATGGGGGTGACCCTCTTCCTACTCTGCAACATCTATGTTTCTGCAGCCTATCATCTTCCCAAGCTAATGCTCAGCACTCCATTTCAAGACAAAATTCTGAATTATTTAGTATTAGGTTCAGTTGTGTCAGACAACCCATAACAACAGTGGATTTGTTTGTGGGTTTTTTTTTTTTTTTTTTTTTAGATGGAGTCTCACTCTGTGGCCCAGGCTGGAGTGCAGTGGTACAATCCTGGCTCACTGCAACCTCTGCCTCCCTGGTTCAAGTGATTCTCCTGCCTCAGCCTCCCAAGTAGCTGGGACTACAGGCACATGCTGCCACGCCCAGCTAATTTTTTTGTATTTTTAGTAGAGACAGGGTTTTACCTTGCTAGCCAGGGTGGTCTTGATCTCCTGACCTCGTGATCCACAAGCCTCGGCCTCCCAAAGTGCTGGGATTACAGGCGTGAGCCACTGCACCCAGCTTTTTTTTTTTTTTTAAACCTCTGAACTTTTCATCGGCCTCCTCCTCCCCAAAGGGTCCCCGGGTTCTGCTGACTTAATGTCTCAGAACTTTGGTGTTGTTGGTCTCAGACCCCACTTTGCCATCCACTATCCGGCCGGTGGTGGTCTTTTGCATAGTTTGCGTGGAGTTGATGCTGTCCAGGGCATCGCTAAGATTGAAGTCCTCACATCTTCCAGCAGGTGGTGGTAGGTGGCGATCTCAGCCTCCAGCTTGACCCTGATGCTCAGCAGGGCCTCGTACTCCTGGGCCTGGCACTGTCCCTCTGCCCAGGTCTGTGCCAGCTCTGACTCCAGGTGCAGCAGGATCCTGTTGAACTGCTCCATCTGCAGGGCATAGCGGGCCTCCACCTCCCTCAGGCCATTCTCCAAGCTAGCCTTCAGATTTCTCATGGAGTCCAGGTTGATCTCCAAGCAGCTCCATGAGCATCATCTCAGCAGCTCCAACCTCGGTGGACTGCATGGTGACTACTGTGATACTCTCCTCAATCTGCTGAGACCAGTACTTGCCCAGCTCCTCTTGGCTCTTCCGAGCCAGCTCATCATATTGGGCCCAGATGTCTGCCATGAGCTTGGCAAGGTCCTGAGATTTGGGGATATCTACCTCCACAGTCAACCCAGAGCTGGCAATCTGGGCTTGTAGGCCTTTTATTTCCCCTTCTTCGTTCTTCTTCATGAAGAGCAGCTCCTCCTTGAGAGCCTCGATCTCTGTTTCCAGCTGCAGCCGAGTGACATTGGTGTCATCAATGACCTTGCGGAGCCCATGGATGTCGCTCTCCATAGACTGGCGCATGGCCAGCTCTGTCACATACTTGACTCTAAAGTCATCAGCAAGATGGGCATTGTCGACTTGCAGAACGATGCGGGCATTGTCCACAGTATTTGCGAAGATCTGAGCCCTCAGGTCCTCCACGGTCTTGAAGTAATGGCTCCAGTCTCTGACTTGGGGTCCCTTCTTCTCCAGGTGCTCCCGGATTTTGCTCTCCAGCTTCCGATTCTTGGTATCCAGTCTCCTCACTCTGTCCAGGTAGGAGGCCAGGCAGTCATTCAGGCTTTGCATGGTCTCCTTCTTGTTCTGGATGTCTTCCATCCTGCCAGAACCCTGGCCATCCCCACGGCCAGGGCCCCAGACCCCATGCCACCCCAGAAGCTGGTGGAGGGGGACATGGAGATCTGGGAACCAGAGCCCCCAGCCCCTGCAGAGATACTGGTCATGCTGCTGACTGGCCGAGCGTCTTAGCTGGGCACCTGGACAGAGCCCAGGGACTGGTAGTTGGTGGAGAAGGTGGAGCGAGTGGTGAAGCTCATACTGTCCAGGGAGGAGAGAGAGAGGACAGAACTCAGGCTTTACCAGTGACAAATAGTGGGTTTTACAAGATGGAAGTTTATTTCTCTCACACATGCAAGTTTCAGTAGTCAGTGTGTGTATGACTCATCAGGGGCCCAGGCTGCTTCCTGCCTACTGCCCAACCTCCTCAACATGCTGCTCCCACTTCTGCGACCAAGATCTCAGCCAACTGCCTTCCATCCAGTGGGAAAGCGGGTTGAGAAGAAGGCCATGCCACCTCCTTTTAAAGATATTTCCTGGAAGTTGCCTACACTGCATGTACCCAATATGCCATTGATCAGAATTTAGTACCATGACAATGGGTTTAGTCTCATGGTGGGTAGCTGTAAGGGAAACTGAGAAATGTTGTCTTTATTCTGAAAAGCCACGTTTGCAGATGAAACTCACTCTATCACTGTAGGAAAAAAAATGGAAAAAAAAATTGGGGGACAACTAGTGTTTCTGCCAAAGTGGTATTTCCCCTCACCTCAAACCTGGTGGAATGAGCTTCCAGGAGACAAAATGGAGCTTGTTCAAGGTCCCCTGAAGTCTGTGCGGTACCAGAGGGTACTGCCAGAACGCTGGATGAATGAGCCTAAAGGGAAAGGGTGGGTAGCAGGGCTGAAAGCAGAGAGAGGAGAGGAGGGCCTGCATGACTGAGGGAGAGCCAGCCTGGCACCCTCTTAAGGGACTTTGTCTAAGATGGCCTCCTGGGGGCCACTGGGACACAGCAGAGTCTCTCTGTGTGAGTCAGATTACTGGAAAACCAAAGAAACTGCAGATAAGAGACTCCCAGAGATGAAAGGCAATCTCCGAAGAATATACAAATTTTTACTTCTGTCCCCAAAGCAAATCAACTTCAAACTTCTCCCACAGCCAGAAGAAGCCATGTCAGGTGGCATTGATGCCAGTCACATGAGACCCTCCCAGCCATTACCTGTCCTCCCTTCCTACCCACCCCAACCTCAGAGCAGTCGGCAACATCGGTGAGCAAGCTGGCTAGGAGGAAAACACTTGTAAGGTCAGGTGAGAAGTCAAGGCTTCCCAAGTCTTTCTCCCTAACTCAGAATTGTAGGCAAGAGAAAGAGAACAGGAGAGGTTTTCATTTTAAATAGAATTGGAATTTTTCATGATTTATCTGGAATTGCACATTCCATTTCTGTGGTTCTCAACCCTGTCTATCCATCTGGAATTCCTGGGAAGCTTTAAAAATACTGATGTCTGGGCTTCATCCTCAAAGATTTTTTTTTCCAATCACCAAAGATTCTTATTTCACTGGTCTTGGCGGTAGCCTAGGCATCAATATTTTTTAAGAGCTGCCCGGGCAATTCTGATGGGCCACCTGGGTTGAAAACCACTGTGATAATATTGAATTACAAACATTTTTGCAAACAAAAGATCCTGGAGTAGCCAGAAAAGTGATGGAACTTTCTCTAGATCTGACCCAGGGAATGGAGAGCTAACCCCACAGCCCAGGCTTAGAAGGAAAGGATGACAACATTTTACAACTGCATCTGCAGAAGTCCTCACTTTCAATCTAACAGTTATATAAATCCTACCTCTGCAAAATCAGAAGCCTCTTCTGGGCAAAGGCCATGACAGGATTCTATGGAGTCTGCACACTGCACCGCACTTGCTACACCCATGGCAAGAGCTTAGTATATGCTTGTTGTCCTGTTGTTAACCTCTGACCTCCATGCTGGGATAAATCAAAGTGTCCTTTCTGATGCACTAAAGGCAAACTAAGGTGACTCCAAGAGAGCCTTAAACTATATCTTGGAACTAATGAAGAAGATTAAAAAATGCATAAGATATAGTTATTATTATGAAGTGGCTAGAAATCTTCTATCAACCTATGACCAAATTCCATGGCCCAGATTATGACTTCTATATTGAAATTGTCCCACATTTAAGCAAATTGTTGTCTCATTAACCTAAGGAAAGGTCTTCCAGAAGGCTAAAATCACCAACATTGCATTGCAGATTTAAGGAGTAGGCTTTGGTGTCTAGGAATGCTTGAAACCTACCCAGTTTAGTGAAGCTGATCCAGTTGATTAAGCCAGAACATACCCCTCCATCTCTGTCTCATTCCCACATCTCCTAACCTGAGGTAGAGGGCAGTCTCACTGTTCACACCATCACCACAACCACCATCCTCAGTCATGGGGAATCCCGCCCCACTAAAAAAGTCAAGGCACAATGACAGAATGCAGGAAAAAGCCAAGAACTTGCAAAACCACCAGCTGACCTCCAGGAACAGCTTTAGTCAGCCAACCCAAAAATGTCACATCCCAAAGTAGAGGCCTCCAGCATCAGGATTCCACCAGAGATGCTTCTCGAAATGTTCTTGATTCCCCCAAGCCCATGTTTATTGTACAACTCCATCAAACAGGCAGGGGCTGATTGCCTAATGCATCGTACGCCAAGACTCGACACTTGAGAAATCACCTTTTCCTGTGGGTGGATCCTGAAGCTTGGTATCAAGAGAGCCTCCTTTCCATAACCTACAAAGAAAAAGCAAATACTGTGAAGCACGTGCTAGTATGAGAATGGGCCTTCTCCATCACTACCTGTTGTCTTTTGTCTGATTCAAGGACTTTTTTTTAACCTAGAAATAAAATGCATTCCACCATGAGACCGAACCCAGAGAGAAGTCTGCTTAAACCACATTTGATGAAAAGAGGTTTTCAATCCCAATATATTTTTCTAGACTTTTTCCAGCAGAGAGAAGCCCCCACATGAAAGATAAGTTCAACCAGAGATGAAGTCCCTTGTTCATTCAGACACGAAAAGCTTCACCCTGTTGCCCTCCCCTGCAACATTATGTTGCAGGAAGGTCAGTTACCTTCCAGAGGGATCCATTTAAAAAGTTCTCCCCGATACTGGCAGTGCTGTTTGCAACGTCCATATTTTACCCTTTAGAAGCCCCACTTGCCATGCATTCTATCCTGGGTAGTTCCAACAGCACCAAGCCATGAGCCCCCATCTTCAGTTTTAATCAGGCATTAAACACTGGAACATTAGACAAGCGAAGCATTTGATGATGACGATAACGAGTGGCCCATTAAAGGTAATTTTTTTTAAGTTAATGAGTTCTCCCCAAAGAACAGAGCCACGTACTGTACTGAAAAATGTCTGTAGGACGTACTACGCTTTCTCGTTATTTATTTAACTTTATGTGGATGCCATAAAATTTCTTTATTTGCTTTCAGTTAGCCCATAGGTTTTGACAAGATAAATTTTTATTTAGGTCTTTGCCCAGCTACAATCAAAAACAGGAGACTCACTTTCCAAAGCCAGGCTGATAGATGGATTAATCAAAGTACTCCCCACCCTCCTTTCCTTCCAGCAACCACAGGGATCCACAGACGGAGTTTTTCCTTAATTAAAGAAACTCAGCAACAAGATGATTTATCGATGATGAATCTGGCAGGCCTTTTCATTGTGCGGTTAATTTTGGCCACTGTTTGAAATTTACCAACATAAATAAAGCCTCTCCATGACTAAACAAAGTTAAAGTAGCAATAAATTGAGCCTCCCATGTACTCTGGGCTAGATCTGAAGTCAACATAAATACCAGAATGCCTTGGCTGTGACACGCTTGATACGATGACATCATGCACTTCCAAACAGATACAGCCCAGCCCAAGCCAAAATGAAAACCTAATACAATTCCCCTAAATGAATCAAATTGCAGCGGTCTAGACTCGGCTGCACCAAGTATTCAACTTCCTTGTTCTCCGCTGTCAAGCAGTCGCATTAAAAAATAATCTATACGCTGTTCTAAATTTTGCTTTTTCTGCATGATTAAATTTTGGCAGGAGTAAATCTCTGTTATTCTCACTCCCCAGGAATGTTTGGAAAGTTACTAAAAATTCAGGATTTATCAGCTTAAGGTCCACCTGCTGTGACGGGATCCTGCAGCCAGCCTGCCGCTACCCTCAGCGGGACACAGGACACTGAGTGTTCATACAGGAAGAGGGTGAAACTCTGCTCACTTCACAGAATGGCTCAATGCTGGCTTCTCTCCCAAGGGACTTGCTCTGCCCACATCTAGCAACAGGCTGTCATGAAAGCCTTCATGAAACAAGAAAGTCAGCTAAACAGGGGCTCAACGCCCCCCAGCCCTGTTACTACTAAGAGATGAAAGGGGGAAGAAACCTTTCAGAACGCACATGCAGGACAGCGAATTAAAAATGGAGAAAATCTAATAACTAATTGGTGAAACCATAAAAGCTGCCATAAAAGACATTTTCCTTAAACTACTTTACACAGGGCTGTATAATTTTATGTCACTTTTTATTTATGTTGCCGTAATGAAAGCTGCTCTGGGAGCTGAGGAGCTTGGGAAGAAAGAAATTGAACTACTTTTAAAAAGGAGGGGAGAAGTCCAATTATAGGGCTTCGAACAAGATTCCTTTTGAAATATAGCTGGACTGGGGAGGAGAACCTATTTACTTCCAAAAGCCTCTGAGCAAAAATGTTTGCAATGAATAACTTTCTTCCACCACTATTTTCTCTACCCCGAAGGACTTAATTACTTAACATTCATAAAGTGGGTTTGATAGTATTTCACAAAACAAGGGCTGGGCACAGCGGCTCATGCCTGTAATCCCAGCACTTTGGGAGGCCAAGGCAGGCAGATCACTTGAGGTCAGGAATTTGAAACCAGCCTGGCCAACATGGCCAAACCCCATATCCATTAAAAATACAAAAATTAGCTGAGCGTGGTGGTGCACGCCTGTAGTCCCAGATACTCAGGAGGCTGAGGCAGAAGAATTGCTTAAACCCGGGAGGTGGAGCCTGCAGTGAGCCAAGATCGTGCCGCTCTACTCCAGCATGGGTGACAGAGTGAGACCTTGTCTCAAAAAAATAAAATAAATTAAATTAAATAAAGATAGTATTTCACAAAACTAGGATGTGAGCTAGGTAGACCAATGCTATTTAGACTCATCTGTGAAACCAGGCTTTTCTTGTGTCTAATAGATAAAGAAGCAAGCTTTGAGCACCTAGAGGGATTCTTATAAAAATGAACTCCATTTTGGCAAGATATTGATGAATTTACAAAGCTCCATAGGACATTACAATGCCATATTGAAGGATTCTAGATAGGTACTGTTTATTATGACCCAGCAGATCAGACAAGTTCTTTTCCCTTATTTGTATATGATGATTCAGGGAATGTTACACCATTGAGAAAAACAGAATAAGGTGCAATACAGAAAACCTTGAATAAATTATAAATAAGAGAAATTTAAAATAGTATATGTTCCCATAGAGAGGCATGAGGGGGCTTTTGGGGTGCTGATGATGTTCTATTTCTTAATCTGGGGCCAGTTGCTACAATGTATTGAGTTCATTAAAATTCACTGTATGCTTATTATATGTGCTGTCTTATCTATATGTACATTATATTTTAATAAAAAGCTTTTTAAAGTGGCATATGTTCAGATGAATCCCTTTAAAAAGCTGCAGAGTGAGTAACATGCATACAAAAACACAGAAGTGCTCTATGATTTTCCCAGAGAAAACATAGATCACCCGTTAAAATGCAGGGGCCCTCTGAACTCTGGCTAACTTTCAAAGCAAGATGAGGTTGTTTTTAGAAACAATTTCCCATCTATTAACAATGAAATCCAATTCAGCTTCGAATATTAGAAAGTGAAACATATATACAACTCCGAGGGACTGTTGAAGTATCAAACAGATAGGGCATTATTTAGGGAGGCTCAACAGTCAAGGCCACTTTACACCATTACGGACCAGACTAAACAAACCTGACCCGCAGGGTGACCCTCCCAGGATCCCAAAAGATTGGAAACTCCGAAAAGGCAGCCCTGACCAGACTTTACAGCCTGATAATGGCATGCAAACAACACTCCATCTCTGTCACGCAGCCAAAGGTTGGTGTTGTATATGAGAGCAATTTCCTCAAGAATTCAGAGAAAAATGTGATACTTTCCCTTTTATGTATGGGGCTCATAACAGCAAGTGTATTTACTCATCGGGGACACCCAAACCTCCTGATGAATGCCCCATCAAATCATTCAACCCAATCAGTGGGTGGTGGCAGGGATGTCAGATGCAGGAGGAGGGGAGAGCCCACTCGTGCAGATCAGGAAAAGCCTCATTTGCAGGATGTTTTAAATGCTGAAACCATGTACAGGGAAACACCATTGAGATTCACAGTCTTCCCTGGGAGGCAGGTTTCTCTCTCTCTCTCTCTCTCTCTGTGTGTGTGTGTGTGTGTGTGTGTGTCCCCCTCGCTGTCCTCAACACAGGCAATTCTTGCTGGTGTGGCTCCGAGCACCGAGGTCCAGCCTGCATTTGTCTTTTTCTTTTTCTTTTTTTTTTTTTGAGACGGAGTCTCGCTCTGTCGCCCAGGCTGGAGTGCAGTGGCGGGATCTCGGCTCACTGCAAGCTCCGCCTCCCGGGTTCACGCCATTCTCCTGCCTCAGCCTCCCAAGTAGCTGGGACCACAGGCGCCCGCCACTACGCCCGGCTAATTTTTTTTGTATTTTTAGTAGAGACGGGGTTTCACCGTTTTTAGCCGGGATGGTCTCGATCTCCTGACCTCGTGATCCGCCCGCCTCGGCCTCCCAAAGTGCTGGGATTACAGGCGTGAGCCACCGCGCCCGGCCTCCAGCCTGCATTTGTAATTCACTCTTGTTCACCTAGAAAATGTTGGCAGTGGGTGGCCCTGAGTCCAGCTTCATCAGGGTCCTGTTTTCACATGTTCCTCTGTCTTGTGGGGAGCTAGTTCCCCCACACAGCCCTCAACAAGCACTTGGCTGGGAAAAAAAATGTGTTTGCGGGAGGGAGGCAGGGAGGCTGCAGAGGGGGTGGGTGGTGAGGTGGGGAGGGAAACAAGGCAGGGGAAGAAAAGGAAAATACAGAAAAAACAGAAGCTATGATCATATGCTCTGATGAGGAGGATAAACTTTGGGGACAACTTCAAATTCAAGGATCACCATGATTTATCCAGAAACTCACTTTCCTCACTTTTTTCTCCCACAGAACAGATCTGGAGCCTGGATCCTCATTACATGTCTATAACTGCTCCTCAGAGCCCTCTCGAACCTGTAGGGAAGGGAGCGTATCCCAGTCTCCAGACTTCCAGAACATCTTCTCTGACCTATTCAAACGCAGATCCCTTTCAGGACCATCAATAACATATCCCAGGCCATCAGTCCTCTCAAGAGCAAACTGTGTCTGGGGATCACAAGAAAGGGACATCAACCCCATACTGGGTATTTAAAGGCCACTCGCAACCTCTTTTAGAAATCCTCTTTACCCCTCTATGATAGAACACAGCATTTGGCTTTGAGCCATCATATTTTTCAGATGACTGCTGGCCCCATAAAAGTTCAAACAAGACATTCCTTCCAGTGTGGACCACAGCACATTGCTGTCATTCCACAGGACAAGCCCTCATTTTCAGGTGGATCACAAGCTCCGTGCTGGAGGTGGCAAATGCATATCATGTGTGTTGGGGAGCATGAACATCTTGACTTTTTCCCTCCTTAAAACAATGATCCTGCTTTCAAAAGATAAAAAGAAAGTCAGTGTGGCTACCGGATGAAGTGTAGACCTAGCCTGGCAGTGAAGAGGAAGCAGCCATCAGAAACGCCTGCAGAACAGTGGTATCCTCCCTGCCCTGGACAGAGAGGAGAGAGCACTGGCTCAAAGTAGCCCAGGCATTAAACACACAACCTAGGCTCAAGATGACCAAGGCCTCCCATGGGGAAAAGCCATCAGGGAGCTGGGAGCTTCATTCACCTCCCAAAATGGAGAGCAAGTTCCTTCTTCCTAAGCACCAACAGGCTTGAGCAGTTCCCTGCACCAGTTTCTGTATCCATCCCACCAGAAACCAGACACGAGGCAGGGAGGCCCAACCACCGGCCCAGGGGCCCTATATCCTGCTGCCGCAGCCATCTCCCCTTTCATCCCTGTGAGAGTCACCTCCCAGGTGACCCCTGGCCCCACTCAAGTTTAAACAAGGCAAGGTGTTGCTTTCAGCCCATACCCACAGCACATTTCAGTCCTCCCATTCAAGGGGCCTCAGCCTCCACCCCCCACCTTCCTCTGCCCTTTAATCCCCTCCTGGGGAATTCAGTTATGCATGTAGCTTGAAATGGGGACCACAGGCTGGGCCTCTACAAGCTGCTAATTGAAAACCTTGTCAGAAGTGGGAGGAAGAGGCAGAGGGGGAAAAACAACAACCCTTGACAGGACCCCACTCTCATATTATGAACAGCAGCATGCCCTCCCAGAAGGGCTGCCCTTGCTCCACCTCGGCTGTGTGGGAGGCCTTCCTCCCGGCCTTGAGGACTGAGTCTCTGGGAAATGCTGCCTACCACATCAGAAAGGATGCAGCCAAGGGGTCCTCCAGCCCCTGCCTGACCCTGGGGCTGCCTTGCTCTCTGAGCATGCTGTTCCTGCTGCTTCTGGGGACAGGCTGCCTGGGTCAAGGCCTGGCTCCACTACTCTCAGCTGTGTGATCGTGGGCAAGCGATTCAACCTTTCTGAGCCTCAGTTTCTTCCCCTGTGAAATGTGGATGAGAATTGTACCTATTTCAGAGGGTCATTGTGAGGATTAAATGTGATTTTACATATAAACACTTCATACAGTGCCTGATACAGTATTCATAACTTTTAATATTTTGCTCTTGTTTATAACAATGAGAATTCTTGATCTTGCCAAATTGGAGAACAGCCGAGGATAGGGGAGAAGAAGCTGAGGTTGTCATTCTATTCCCATTTCATAAGTAAATCTGGTACCAGATTTACTTGGTACCATAACTAAATCTGGAAGCCTTTAAATGAAAACAGACAGGGATGCATGCTTGTGTGAAGGTGGGGAGAGGAGGGTGGTAAGACTTCAGTGGAGGGAAGATACAAAGAGAATAGGGAAGGAAAGCAATGAAGCCAAAGTTTTTCAATCACCTATTGTATAACAGGCACATTTTCGGTGCTCTCATGACATGTCTGCACAATGCTATAAGGTAGTTATGATCACTCCCATTTTCCACTAAAAATCTGAGGCTCAGAAAATGCTTGGCTCCTAAATGTGGCATTGAATTGGCTTTGAATCCCAAAACCCCTGTCCAGGCTCTGCCTCCCACATGCTCTGCAGTGGGGGCTCCTTCCTGCTTTTTAAAAAGGACAAGAAATCCTCAGATGGTGGTATTCATCCAGTTTTCAGGAATTAGACACGTTTTTCTAATACTACATTCATAGAAGCTTCAGATTGGAATATGGGCATCTCTCGTGTGAAAGGTCTTGATCACCTTTTTTTTTTTTTTTTTTTTTTTGGAGATAGGGTCTCCCTCTGTTGCTCAGGCTGGAGTGGGCTCACTGCAACCTCCGCATCCCGGGTTCAGGTGATTCTCCTGCCTCAGCCTCCCCAGTAGCTGGGATTACAGGCATGCACCACCACAGCCCAGCTAAGTTTTGTATTTTTAGTAGAGATGGGGTTTCATCACATTGGTCAGGCTGGTTTCAAACTCCCCACCTCAGATGATCCACCCATCTTGGCCTCCCAAAGTGCTGGGATTACAGGCTTGAACCACTGTGCCCAGTCTTGATCGCCTTCTTTATTCAGAATAGAAGTTTCTAGTCCAGACTTTCATGCCAAGGGTAGGTGGGAATGTGTCTGAAGCAGTAAGTGGGAATACTTTAATACTTCCCTGTGAAGAGCTCTGGCTGAGTTGTTAACATCCAGGTTAAGAATATAAAAAGCAAGCTAAATGAAAACACCATGATTACAATGGCAGTGACTTTATCCAAGGACCTCCAAAATCACTAGCAATTATGTGCTTTGAAGCACCTACATTAGGAAAACTGCAATGATTTTGTGTCTACTGATGAGGATAATGACTAATATATTCTGTCAACAGACATGACAGCTGTCTGTACATATTTGGAGGCATGTATTTTTAGAGGCTGTTACTGTACCTCCAACTATTTTAACTACTAAATTTTGTTGACACCATGCAATCCAGTAACAAGGAGGTTTACAGGGAAAGGTTAAAATTCCTATTTCCAGCCGTTTCTCTTCCTTACATCATTTTTGTTTCATTATTCAATAGGACCCATAAATCTGCCACTCAGATCCCAGACTAAGTGACACGCTACAGAGAAATTGCTAATGTCACTAGGAAACAAAATAAAATTGAACACTGGGTTCACAGCATTCAGCCCTCAAAAGCGTCATTCCTGGCCTAAGATTCATTCTAACACTCACACACTGACCAGAGAACTTCCATCCGATGAAGAACCTGGGCTTCATTTCCTCTGCCCCCACTCCCCATTTTCCTAATTGGGGGCTGGGAAGAGAAGGGAGGTGGAAAGATTTGCAAGATTGGCTCTAATTTTAAGACAAAAGCCATCCCATTAAATCTTAACAGATGTTTCCCAAGTTTAGAAGATTAAGGAAGATTTCAGCATCAAAAATCAAAGAAAATACTCCATGACCTTAAAAAAGGATAAAACACAAAGCTCTAACAAACCCAAAGTCCACTTTGACAGCTGTCTCTGACGGAATTGACGAGGTGCTATTGATGTTTGGATTAAACCATGCCTCTGTGATCAAGTACTCAAACATGGGATAAAAGACGAATATATTCTTTAATCCTACCCACTAATTTTGTCTGGGCCCTGAAAAGCAATGAGTACTGAACAAATGTTGAAAGTGGTTTCGCTTCTGTTTATTGACAAAGCTATTTTTATTTCATTAATTTGCCACGTATCTTATCAGCATTTAAACTAACACGAGGAAATCCATATGAGGTACTGAACTCTCCACAAACAGATAGCTGCAACTTCTAAAGCCACTAAAGGTAAAATCAATAGACAATGATTCTAGAAAGTGAGGAAGTTGTTACAGGAAAATGTAATAGAAAAATTGTGTTCTGATTTATTTTTCATTTGTCTTTTAAAAAAACAACCAAACTATAAAATAGCATTGGGAATTCTACTTTCCAGCCTGGTGAGTTTTAAAGGAAAAGAAGAAAAACTTTTTTTTTTTTTTTAAGGGAAGGGTGAAGAGGCAATTAAGTCATTAATTACTGTCTTTGTCTAGCGATGTCCAACCCATCAAACTTGGCCTCTTCTGTCTTCATCAAAGGTGCAGCTCACTCTACTTTACAATAAGTACCTCTTAATAAGACAATCTCATGTTTCAAAAGCTGCGCTACGAGGAATTTAGATGAAGATAAATTACAATAACACTTAGCAGCAGACTCCAGAGTTTGACAGCCACACAGCGCCCACTATCACCCAAGGTTATCAAATGAGTAGTGAGAGGTTCAGGATACCAAGACACCACAGGGAAACAGGATGCTGTACGCCAAGGTCAAGGGGGATTGGGGTTAGGTGGAAGAGAGATGAAACTGACACTAATTCTAAGAATTAAGGACTGTGATCTACACCTCACTCTAAAGGAGACCAGGAGGGACACAAGTTCTTTGTAGAAGGACCCAGCAAAAACACCAGAATATCCTAAGAAAGTAACTGAGGAGACGGGGGTCCCAGAAGAATTAGATCAGCCTTAAGACCTCTTCAGTGGGAACACTATGGGCTGGCAGGTGGTGGCCCTGCCCTCCTAACTCTTCTGGGCAGCCACCTGCCTACTCTCCCCTGCATGCTCTGAGTTACCCAGGCCCTGCACTGGCTCCTGCCTTGGAGAATCAGGCACAGGCTGGCTTCCTACAAGAGCAACATCTGACACCAGCGCTGACACCTGGTGTCTGCTGTACTGCCTCCCTGTACCCAACCCCGATCCTGCTCCATCCCTTCAACAGCCATGCTCTTCTCCCTTTGTCCTCACTTTGACCCTGACATCCTGGCATCCATCTGCTCTGCCCCCACCTGTGTTACTAGCACGGCAGGTGTTGAGAATGGGGTCCCTGGTCTGCACCACCACAGCTGGGAGGTTTTGCCTTGCTAAGGAGGAGGGGGAATGACATGCAATGTGCAAGAGAAAGATCTGACATGTATGCTCATGAACTTCAAAAGAGCACAACGTAATTACTTTTATGGTTTCTAAAATAAAAGTTAAATTTCAAAAAAGAAAAAGAAAAAGGCCTCTCCAGTGGGTGGGAACGACTTCAGGGAGATTGCTCAGAGGGGCTCTCCACCTCTACCCCTCCAGCATACCTTCAGCCTCCTGAAGGCCCCCTCTCCTAGACATATCTTCCAGGCATTGAGTGGCACCTCCATGAAAGGGCCCCTCTATTGTATATATGATTAAGTACACTATTTTAGGGAGCTTAATGAGCTTCCTTGAAAGAAAAAATTCTTTTAAAAAATTGACTCAGTATGGCATGCCCACAGTTTGTTTTCTCATGTCAAGTTTCCTGTTGCTGATCTGGATGGAAGCATTCATTTCACAAGACCTTGAACCAATTCTCCCCCATGGCAAGGAAACAAAGCCACAACATATAAGGCAGATGCACCTACATGCAAAGGATGAGCAGGAGCATACATTTTACAGCTATTTCAGAAGACTGGACCACGCTTACAAAGGATTCTCCCCTTTCGTACCAATTTCCAAACATCCAACCACATTACATTCTAAGAAATGAGAAGATTCCACTAAGAACTTGTTGATTTCATCCCCAGGTACTCTTCCTACAGGATACTGGAATTACATAAGTACTAGTGTAGTCACAACAGCTTTATTTTTGTGTATTGCTATGGAATTTCAAAAACAAAGAAAACCACTGATCAGTAATTGTGACAAAACTTTTTAGCCACAGCATTGAGAATAAGGCCTAATTATTCTATAAACACACTTTGTTTGCTCCAACGTCAAATTAACTTGAAATATGTAACAGCACACCCTGATTTGATACGGTGTGCAGTGCTGCTCAGACTGTGTTCCACGTACCTGGCGTAAATCTCTCTTTCTAAAGAGATTCACTTGTACAAGTGTCTCCATGGTGTATGCCACACACAAAACTTGGAACCAGAGGTGCATTTTATTGAAAAGAAAGTTGTTTCCAAGGTGGGGGGTGTGTGTTTGTGATCGGATGGGTGGCTCACTCTCATTTGTCTCTTTACACAATAGAAACAGGGACATATTTTTAGGAGAATTAACAGCTGGTGACTACAGAGATAGTTAAAGATATAATGTGAGCCAAGGAAAATTAAGAACTACGAAGAAACTTTTTAAATTGTTGGCAAAAATTACCACATGCTGAGTGAGACAGGGCTGAACCCAGAGTGAGGCCTACACCCGTCATGTATCGACAAGCATGGATTAAATGCTTATTCCATTATCATTCCTTTATTTAACTCTTACATAGAGCTTAGTTCTCTAAGCAGCTTATGAATATTAGCCCATGTATTCTTCCTAATAATGCTATGTGGTAGGTACTATTAATATCCTCATTTTACAGAAGAGCAAATAGAGGCACAGAGAGGTTAGTAATTTGTCCAAGGTCACACAGCTAGTAAGTAGCAGAGTCTTGGATTCACATCTCAGCCCTCTGTCTCTTTAGTCCATACTATGCTATACTGCTTCTGACAATCATATATTCTGACCCTAATCTGGGCTCTGGGGTTACAAAACACGCTCCTTCTCTCAGGAAGCTTCTAGCCTAGAAGACAGTTATAATACAGGGTAGTAGAACTGTGAAAGCTGTAAGCATAGGGTGGTCCTGGGAGGCCCCAGGAGAGACACCAAACCAGTCTTAGAATAGCATATGGATCTATGTGGTTACAGCATATGTAATATGTGTATGTATACGTAGTGGGGAGTGGATGGGAGGGTTGGTAAAGACCGTTAAGATCTAGACCAGGGCTCCTCAAACTCTCACTCTTGACATTTGGGGCCAGATAATTCTTTGTTGTGGAGGGCTGTCCTGGGGGCTGAGGAACATCCAGCACCATCCCTGGCCTCTACCAGCTGTTAGTAGCATAACTCGCCTCCAGCATGATGACCAAAAATGTCTCTAGACATTGCCAAATGTCCCCTGGGAACAAAAATCATCCCTGGTTGAGAACCACTGGTTTAAAGGAAGGGGTATCCAATCCAGACCTGAGGTATGAGTAGTCATTACAAGAAAAAAGAATTGGAAGAGAGTTCCAGGCAGAGGATACAGCACATGCTAAAGGCCCCAAAGAGAGAGCTTGGCACTTCCTGAAAACTGAAAGTAATGCAGTATGAATGGCTCTTAGAATTAGATACAGGGGATTAGAAAACCGAGTCTGGAGAGTCAAGCAGGATCATCATAAAAGCTCCATACCCTCCTTTTGGGAGTTGCTCCTAAATGTAACTGGGAGCTATTAAAGGGAGAATGGCTTAATCAGACTTGCATTTTTTTTCTTCCACACAGACAGGGAGTTAGAGAAGAACAAGACTAGAGACCAGCCAAGACACTGTTGTTTGTACTTTCTTTGCATGTTAATCACGTTTCCTTTTAACTATAAACTTATTTAAAATTAAATGTGTGTTCTTCATATATAAAAAGTTCCTATGTGTCAATAAGAAAAAGATGATCACACTAATAGCAAAAGAACAAACTCCATTATGGCAATTCACAAAGAAGAAGTACACGAGCCCAATACACTGTGAAAAACATGCTGCTTTTCTGATGATCAAAGAAATGCTGTTTAAATCATGAAATCTCATTTTCCACCTATCATACTGGCAGTCAATTCTTAAAAATTGTAATCATAGAGAAGCTGCATTCTCCTAGACTGCTGGTGGGAGTTGACACTGGTGCTGCTTCCCTAAAAGCAATTGAGGAAAAATAGTAATAAAACTAAGTTTTGTGAAGGACTAAATGACAAACTATTGAAATGATCTAAACATCTGATGAGAGAGTTGTTGACCCCATTTTAGAATAGTGTGTTTCCATTAGGAATGCTTTTGTGGACGTCTGTTAGTTGAGATGGGAAAATATTTGATAAAAGGCAAAAGTAAAAACATGGACAACATCCAGTGTTGGTAGAAGACTGCATAAATGGCAACGTAGTGTTGGCTACAGTGTAAGAAGGCTGGCTACAACCCTGGGGTAAGTTTTTATTTTCTCATCTGTACAACGGCCAGAATAATTATATCTAATCATAGAGTGGTGGTAAGGATTACATAAAAGAATGCAAAATGCTTAGCACAAAATCCAACACATAGAAAGGTCTCTATAAGTACTAACCAACATTATTATTATCAAAGACAAAAAAGCTGTATGAATAATCATCTTCATCATAATATATAATAAAAAAAGAAAGGGATTTCAGTTTCCAGCTACAGGAATATAATTAATTAAACAATAACATAGCTATTAAATGACATAGTATGTAACATTTAACTTTAGTGATTGTGTTTACACGATGGAACTTTAACATATATATATATTCATGAAAAGTATATAATGACATGGAAAAATGCCTCCATGACCAACATGACCTGTTTTAGAAGCTTCAGGTATAAAACAAGATCACATCACTTCCAACAGGAAATTAAGATGATTCAAGCCTCCACCTCTCTGAGAAAATCTATTTCTTCTCTCTCTGGGCTCTTCCCTCCTATAAAAGACCCTCCAATACCCAAGGGGTCAGCCTGGGTTGCTCTCATCCTGTGGTCAGATCAGAGCTCAGATAGAGGACTCTGAATCCACTCAAAGCTGAAGAACGCTATGCTGAATGTCCCAAAATAATAGCATCAGACACTAAAATGATTTGGGGAAAAAACAAAAACTGAGTGAAAAATATGATATGTATTTCCATCATCCAAAGACAAATATAATTAACAGTTAGGGTATTTCATTCCAGAGTTCCCTTCTATGTATAAGCTCTTTTTGTCAAGTTGTTATTGTACTGTATTTTTAAAACTGTATCCTCCAAAACTGGAAATGAGAGAAAACCCTATCTTGGCAAGGTAGGATTTGCCCAACTGACCGTCCCATCCTGAGCCTCCATGGATTCTCATGAGTCCCAGAATATCTGCAGCAATCATTTTCCCCTCAATCCTAACAGGCCTCATGCGGCAAAATGTGCTAAAAAAAAAAAAAAAAATGTTGAAGAGTCTCCCCCGTGGTCTTGGATTGATAGTAGTGCCGCCATGGTTACTGTGTTTTTGCACACTGCCTAGTGATCCCGCCTCTCTGGAAAGAAAAGTGCTTGTCACATGGACATCCATTTCATCTGTGGCCCCACTGCATTTTTAAAACTAAATTTAGGAGGTATGATGAGAGTAAGCAAAGACATTATTAAAGGTGTGGAGCTCTTATTGTTGTTTGCTTAGAAGACACTTTATTAGCCTCCCTTGCAAAATTGAGAAGGCTGGTCCTTGAATATCATGAAAATGGAACTAAAGTAATCTAATGGGTCAAAGCCCACTCTAAAAGAGGGAACTCAGTTACTCCATAATCTTGTGATTGTACCTAAGCCAATTTGGTACATAATAACTGTTAGCAATTTTTATGTTCTTCCTAGTAAACATGGATGGCATCCAAGAGTTAGAAGTGGTTGGAGTCTACAGATCCCTCCCCTCACCATTTGATAACAATGAAATTAAGTCTAGGCTGAATTCTGCCACATATACATTTATTCATTTAGCAAGCAGGCCCCCAAACAATCATATAATCTAGTCTGCAAGTTTGAAGAAGTTCCAGCTTTCTGCCCTTGTAGGAAGTCTGAAGTTCACCAAAGGCAAACCTAACAATCATCTAGCAGCAGGTTTCAGCTGACCTTACAATTAGATTTATGAGACCAAAATTATCTGATCAATGACTGGGCTTAAGGTCATTTCAGAATGTAGTCTCAGGCACCATACCTGAAAGGTATAGACTACGAGACCAGATTTCTATGGCCCATATATACAAGAGTAGAGGACCTCTGCAATATTTCTGGCCAATCAATAGATTTGAACACCACTTTTTTCACCTGTGAAAAATAACAAAGCCTCTGGTATTGGTTAGATATAAAGATAGCTAAAGTCTATCTCTGAAGTGTGAGTTTCTGATTAGAAGCTTTCAAAACACTAAATACCTACCCCAAAAGTGTATGTTCCCTTTTAGGGCAACAGACTTTCCCTAGGATATAGAGCAAAATAAATCTACACACAAACACACACACATCACATGTGCCAACATGAGTTGCATTTGTACATGCACAGAATTGCATATGTGTGTGTATATATATGTGTGTGTGTGTATATATGCATATGATGTATATGCATATAAATATATATATAAGGCAATCTGTGTCAAAGTATTTTAAAGTAAATTACAGGCAATACAATATTCTCATATTAAAAACAAAAAGGTTTTAAAATCCAGATAAAAGAAGGAGGTAGGTAGGAACAACTTAAAGATCTCATTTCATTTTTAGGGATGGGTTTTAAACTCAATTCATTTGAAATAAGTCTGAATACATTAGACACGTTGGGAAATAATCCCACTATTAGTATAATCACTTACATCTGTCAAATGTGCCCTGATGTATCATATGCTTTCTTTTACTCCAGAGGACCCCAAGGAAACAAAACTTTAGATGAAATTGCAAAGGAAAAAGAAAGAATATCATTACCCAGTGTTGAATCCTGTCACAAAAAGAAATGATACCCTGAAACCACTCATAGGCCAAACAATTATGATCCCATAGGATGCATGCAATTGAGGAGAGACAAAGACGTTCTAAAGAAGAATGAAGGAGGAGCTGCCATCACTGTGGGGAAAATTAGGAGAGAGAATCTTAAGGAGTCACATTTGAGCTTGGTCTTGCAGGAGAGAAAGTTCGCCTGATTGAGACAGGGATGTCTGCTTGACTCCCTCGTCTATCGAGTGGGAAAGATAGAGCACCCATCTCTCAGAGAAGGGAGAATTAAGAGAGTACGTATTTAAATCCTGGCGCATGGTATGTATGTGCAGGAACCCACCTTATAAAACCTGAAACAGGCTGCAAAAATCTCTGGACCAAGAGTCAGAAGCCTGAATCCCAGCCTGAGCTCTGTCCCCAGCTACCTGCAGGACTCTACGTTCGTCTCTTCCCCTCCCTGTGCCATCACTCCCACGTGTCTAAAACGATGTCAACAAAACTGTCCTGCCACCTCTCATGACAGGCAAATGAAATCAAAGATTGGGAAGCACATTGAAGAGTTAAGTCCTTGGCAATGCAAGGCGTTATTTTTGTCACAAATACAGTACACTTTCCTGAGTCCAAATATGATAGGAAATTCAGGAAGGTAGGGCAGGAAGAAAAGGAATCAAAAATCTGTTCTACTGCAGAGAGTAAAGAAGGCTTCCAAGGATGTCTGAGCCAAGCCTCCACCTTCAAGTCCTCTCCTCCCTGCCTCCATATGGGATGGTGCTTTAGGCTCTTTCAACTGGACCATGAACATGTCCCTTCGAATCTAATGCTGAATGGAAGGTTTCTCTCTGCTAAAGTTCTGGCATTAGGGTCACTCATCTCCCTTTCCCAGATAAAAGGAAAAAAAAAAAAATAGTTCTGGGACTGGAGTGGCTTCCCCATTCTTCTCACAGAGTCAAGGGTCCTGATGAGGGCTCTCCAGGGTACAGAGGCAAAGGTGGTGCTCCATGCCTAACTTAGTCCCTTAATCCTCACTTTAAGCCAAATTTAAAAGTCTTCAAAGTGGATCTCTGATCAGAAGGAAAATGTTTAATTGAAAAAGCTGCTTTTCAGGCACAGTTAGTTGATGCATGCCCAAGGGGTGGCCATTTTAAAGCATTCCCAGACATGAGAGTCTCTTGGGCATCAGCATCACCAGTACTAGTTCCGGGCTCTGGCAGGTACCAAGGGCCTGACTGGCCATGCAGCTCACTTAGAAGTAAAGAGATGCTTGAAAAGAGGAAGTTAAACCAAGTCTCAACAAAGGATCTAAAACAGGTTCCTCCTTAAGCTGGTCATTGATGGTGCAAGAGTAAGAGACCACTGTTATTCTGATTGTTCACATGGGCAAGAAGCATTTATTGAGCACCTTCTGTATGCTAGCAATAGAATAGTCATTGAGTCACCAAAGTTCAATTACTGATTTTCACAACAGACATTTATTGAACACCTACTGTATGCTAGCTCTAGTATAGTCACTGAGTCACCAAAGTCAGTTACTGATTGTTCACATGGGCATAGGCATTTATTGAGCACCTACTGTATGCTAGCACTAGAATAGTCACTGAGTCACCAAAGATAAATAAAATATGATCACAGCCCTCAGAATTCAGGACCTAGTAAGGAAGACAGGGAAGTAAACAGAAGATAACAATGCCTTCCCCTGAAGGTTTCAAGAGAGTACATGGGGCTCAACTACCTGACCTTGTGGGTGGTGCAGAGGAATAGACCAGCCTGCCCACAGCAGGGCTTCTGGATCATCACCTAAATCCCCTGGAGTTCTTGTTAAATGCAGATTCCTGGCTCAGTAAGTCTGAGGTAGGCCTGGGATTCTGCACATCTAACAAGCTCCCAGGAGATGCTAAGATGCTGCTGATACACAGGCCTGCCTTCGAGTAGGAAAGGTCTTAAAGGACCTGATACCTGAGCTGACTCTTGAAGGATGGCTAGAAGTCAGAGTAAGAGGAAGTTGGGGGTTGGGGAGCAGCCTCCTGACCCAGGTTCAAAGGGGAGGGTGTAGAGAGTTCAGGAAAGCACGGGTGCTTCCATTTGGTTAGAGAGGGAAGTTGGGGGCAATGCTGGAGAGGAGGACAAGGACAAAGGCACACAGGGCCTTGTATGTTCTGCGATGGCATTTGGATTCATTCAAAAGACAGCAGGGACCATTAAAAGACTTTGCGCTGGGAACTGATATATTATGTTCAGACAGTGTTTTTTAAAGATCTGTCAGTGAAAAGTATAGGAAATGGATGAGCAGAGATTAAGATAGGAGAGAAAGAGGCCAATAAGGAGGCTATTGTTGCAGTACAAACAGCTAAGTAAATGGAATCAGGAGGTATCAAGTAGACGCCATCAACAGGTGTCATTTCACCATAGCTTCAAATTCACCTTTCCAAAAGTTCACTCACTTTGGTTAAGGGCTCTTCAGTGACCTCAATACAATTTTGAAACTTTTAAATCTGGTTTTCAAAACATGCTCCAACCAGTTTTAGCCCATCTCTCTACTGGATCCCCACTGTAACCCAATGTGACCACCTGGCTGCTGCCCTCCTGCTGATGTTACCTTCCAGGCCAGGCTCCACCTCCATGCTTAACTCTCACTGTTCAAGTCACCCAAGTGTCCCCAGTGTCTCTCTACCTGCCCACGTTCCACTGTGCTGCTAGGCCCCGCAGTTGACAACCTCATTGGCAAAATTTCCCCAGACCGTCCCAGCCCCATTGATCTGTGTAATGTACTATCTGCTTCACTCCATTTGCACTTGGTCCCAGAGGGCCCCACACTTTTAAATGCCTTTTTTATTTCCTTTTGCTTTTCATAAAATACTTCAACTTTCAGAAGCATACCTATGGCATACATGTATAAATTAGGTATGAATAATAAAAGGAAGCCAGGCGCAGTGGCTCACCCCTGTAATCCCAGCACTTTGGGAGGCCGAGGCAGGACCATCGCTTAAGCCTAGGAGTTCGACACCAGCCTGAGCAACTAGCAAAACCCCATCTCTACAAAAAATACAAAAAAAAAAAAAAAATTAGCTGGGTGTGGTGACATGCACCTATAATCCCAGCTACTCAGGAGGCTGAGGCAGGAGGATCACTTGAACCCAAGAAGTCAAGGCTGCAGTGAGCCAAGATCATACCACTGAATTCCAGCCTGGGTGACAGAGCGAGACCTTGTCTCAAAAAATAAAAATAAAGAATAAAAGGAAACCTGAGCACCCTCCTCTTGGGTTCAGAAACAGGCATTACAAAGATATTTGAGGCTCCTGTGTGCCCCTTCTTGGAGGCCTCTCCTAACAACATAACCTAAAATAAGACCTGAGAAACAAGAGCGGTCTTCTACATCTTTTATCTCTTCCGAAGCTCTTGTCACAACACTTTTTTTTTTTGGAAGAGACAGAGTCTCACTCTGTCACCCAGGCTGGAGTGCAGTGGCTTGATCTCGGCTCACTGCAACCTCCACCTCCCAGGTTCAAGCCATTCTCCTGCCTCAGCCTCCCGAGTAGCTGGGATTACAGGCATGAGCCATCACACCTAGCTAATTTTTGTTTTTTTCAGTAGAGACAGGGTTTCACCATGTTGACCAGGCTGGTCTCAAACTCCTGACATCATGTGATCTGCCTGCCTTGGCCTCCCAAAGTGCTGGGATTACAGGCATGAGGCACTGCACCTGGCCAACATTTTCTATACTAAAAATCTGGGCATGCAACCAGCCAGTATGAGTGTACTTGTGGGAAAGTGGGAGAGAGTATTTTAAATCAAGTCTGCCTAGAATAATCCAGAGCATGGAGTCACTGTCACCCTCAGCATCTAGCAGACTATCCACCACCAGGCAGGCCCTCAGTGAATATTTAAATTGAATCCTGCTCTCACTTCATCTAGTAGATGTAATGCAGATTCTAGCCAAAGTCAGACATAAAACCACTGCCCTCAGCAAGTGCTTTCCAAAGTAATGCCCAACTCCCACCCGGGTGTGCATTTATATCCATTGGGGTGTAGGAAAAAATATTAGAACTTGTTTACACTTAATTTTCTCATTCTTTTAAATGTTCCAATTTTTTGTATAGATCTCATGGTGGTTACAGCATTTGTATGTGTATATGTAATATATACTCCACAGTATAACATACTACATAGTGTAGGAAGTGTAGTGGTACCAGCACGGCAGTGATGGTACCAAGGCATCATACTGATGGCTAACTAGAGTGGACAGCAAGAAAGCAAAAGGAAAGATCCAAAGTGGGGTCTTACCTGTGAGCTCCCAGAACTCATTCATTCATACATTCATTTGTCCATTCATTGATCCATCCAAAAAAATATTTTATTGATCTCCCTGTGTACACCAGGCTCTGTTGCCCAAACTACATCAGACAGAGGTGGTGAAGAAAGCATCTTTCAGAGGCTTGCCATGCTTGTCCTGTCTCACTACCCACAGGACTCAGGCAGCCAGTGTATAACACTAGCTACTTCTCCCATGCCCAGAGTGAGCAACATACATCCAAATACACACCCCCTCCTAAGAGGATGAAGACGAAAGAGGTCAGCCAGACCCAGGCTGCTAATCCTGGTCACAAACGTGTGTTTGTTCACTATGAGTTCAGAGCAACTACTTAACATAGTTCTTTTATTCACACCTGGCTTTTTCCACCAACAAAGAAGGGAACTGCCTTCCAGATGTGATGCATAGGAAAAATCTCCTACCCCTGAAAGATGCCTCTCCACCTGCTCCTAGATGTTTGGAACTGCTCTCAGAAGGAGGAAGTCCTGAAGATAAGAGATGTGATTTTAAGTGTCCTTGCCATGGGGCAAGGGAACCTATTGAGGAATTTACACTACATCATAAATGATTCCTATCCAATACTCTCTGGAGGACCAGTTTTGATAGGGGAGAGAGATGGAAAAGAATAGCATACTAGAGAATCAGCCTATGATACCTACAGGTGAAGTTAGCGGGTCTCCTGGATACAGAAACAGCCTTGGAAAGGAGACACCAGGCCATGGGCCAGGGTGGGAATGTTGAACTTTGCAGTTTTGTCAAGTACATCACTATTTCCAGCCCTGCACTTACTGGCCTCAAAAACTTAGTTACTATAGAGAAAGTTAGTGCTATAGGAAACTCAGAGAGGTGCCTACACATTACAGGAAGACGCTAAGATTCCAGAACGTTACCATGACTCAGGCTGGGCTAGACCTGAGCCTTCCTGGTCACGTCCCACTCCAGAGGTGAACCTGGAAACAATAAACTGTTGTTTGGTTGGGAAAAATAAGACAAAGGAAGAGACTTCACTTACTATGCAAGACTTGGGGTTAAATGTCCTATGACAATTTTGGGGAACGATAGAGAAGAACAACATCTAAAAAGGCGTCTTCCTACTTCCAAAGGATGAGAAATTGAAACAGCCATGTAATTGTGTTGAATCCAGACACGCATACTAAGTTCACTGGCAACTTACAGGGGGGTGATCAGTTCAATCATATGAGTCTCTTTAAAGATTTTATTTCATTTTCAACAATTCTACTTAAAAATTACTGATATTAGGCCAGGCACAGTGGCTCATGCCTGTAATCCCAACACTTTGGGAGGCCGAGGTGGGTGGATCACTTGAGGCCAAGAGTTTGAGACCAGCCTGGCCAATATGGTGATGCCCTAAAAATACAAAAAATTAGCCGGGTGCCGTAGCACGTGACTGTAGTCCCAGCTACTCATGAGGCTGAGGCACAAGAATCACTCGAACCTGGGAGACAGAGGTTGAAGTGAGCCAAGATGGCACCACTGCACTCCAGCCTGGGTGACAGAATGAGACCCTGTCTCAAAAAAAAAAAAAAAAAATTATTGATATTAAAATTGTTACAACCAAATCACAAGCTCTATTTCAAACATGCCAATATATCATTTTAACACATTGACTTTTGAAAACAATGTTGTATTTGTTATTTTGAAAACAATTTCACATCAAACAGTTCTGGAGGCTGGAAGTCCAAGGTGTCAGCAGGGTTGGTTCCTTCTGAGGCTTTGCTTTTGGGCTTGTAATTGTAGAGGGTTGCCTGGTCCATGGGTCTCCATATGGTCTTCCCTCTGTGTATGTCTGGGGCATCATTTCCTTTTAGGAGGACACCAGTCACACTGGATTAGGGCCCACCCTAATGACCTCATTTTACCACTTTTTTTTTTTTTTCCTGAGACGGAGTCTCGCCCTGTGGCCCAGGCTTGAGTGCAGTGGCGCGAACTCAGCTCACTGCAAGCTCCACCTCCCGGGTTCACACCATTCTCCTGTCTCAGCCTCCCAAGCAGCTGGGACTACAGGTGACCGCCACCAAGCCCGGCTAATTTTTTTTTTTTTAATAGAGACGGGGTTTCACCATGTTAGCCAGGATGGTCTCGATCTCCTGACCTCGTGATCCACCTGCCTCGGCCTCCCAAAGTGCTGGGATTACAAGCATGAGCCACCACACCCAGCCAGCCACTTTTTTTTTATTTTTTTTTATCTATTTTTTTTTTTTTTTTTGAGATGGAGTCTCACTCTGTTGCCCAGGCTGGAGTGCAGCGGTGCAATCACAGCGTACCACAGCATCAACCTCTGGGCTCAAGCAATCCTCCCCGTCAGCCTCCCAAATAGCTGGGACTTCAGGCATACCACCACACTGAGCTAATTTTTTTTAGAGAGATGGGGTCTTGCTATGTTACCCAGGCTGGTCTCAAACTCCAGGGCTCAAGCAATCCTCCCGCCTTGGCCTCCCAAAGTGCTGGGATGGCAGGGATAAGCCACTAATTTTTACCTCTTTAAAGAGGCTCTAATCCCAGCCTCACTTTTGCCCCTTTAAAGACCCTATATCCAATTACAGTCATATTCTGAGATACTGAGGGTTACGGCCTCAACCTATGAATCTTGGGGAGGCTTACAATTCAATCCATAACTATATGTGTATATAAAGGTAGGCCTGCATATAGTATACTGTGCACAGATAACTGAGCATCTTTGCCCTAATTGCCTCAAGGTTTTTTTTTTTATAAAACCTTGGTGTGATACATGTGGCTGTGCTTCTAATCGAATTTTTACATATTCTTAATAGAAATGATGAGTGTGTGTAAATTATAATCTAGAATTCGTATAAAGAATAACACACACATACACACACGGCATTAGAATAACTTCCCTCAAAGGAACAGCTCCTCCTTAATTCCGAACATTTTAAGACATCCAGAATCACTTTCCCTAAGCAATTATGATTTTACAAAATGCTGTCAAGACCATCACAAAGTTTTACTGCCCAGACGGAGCTAAATGCCTGAAGCTTTCAGCAGTGATTTATTATTTACTCTGGAGGTAAGTTGCTAAGCAAGATTTATTCAGTAAGAACAGAGCTACCCGTAACAGTACAATACGAATTTTACTGTCGGGGGGGCGGATTTTTTTTTAACCATTCCTCAAGAGAATTTGTTCTTTATAATCAGAAAAAAATACATCTACATGTAAGTTTTCATCCCTTTGTGAAATCAAGGGCGCTGTTATGCATTTGACAAACCAGTTTGGTTTCAAACATTCTTTTTTTTTTTTTTTTTTTAGATGGAGTCTCGCTCTGTCGCCCAGGCTGGAGTGCAGTGGCGCGATCTCAGCTCACTGCAAGCTCCGCCTCCCAGGTTCACGCCATTCTCCTGCCTCAGCCTCCCGAGTAGCTGGGACTACAGGCGCCCGCCACCACGCCCGGCTAATTTTTTGTATTTTTAGTAGAGACGGGGTTTCACCGTGTTAGCCAGGATGGTCTCGATCTCCTGACCTCGTGATCCACCCGCCTCCTGACCTCATGATCCACCCGCCTCGGCCTCCCAAAGTGCTGTGATTACAGGCGTGAGCCACCGAACCCGGCTGGTTTCAAACATTCTTATTTGAATTTTAGATCTGAGAAATTTTCAGTAAATTATCATAATAAAAACAGTAGAACAATTTCAAAGTCCATTGATAGAATCTGTCGGGTATCTGCTTTACCTACACAGGGCTTTTATTTTCTTGGGATTGGCTTCTTTACACTACAGTAGCCTAACTCTCACACTCATACCATCTCAGAGAGACTTGGGATTCTTAAGAAAAATAAAACACTAATAATGCAGATTTGCCAACTTTAGTTTTCAGACCAAACAAGTACTAGAGACCGATTGCTGGCCTACTTCCGCCCCCTAGTGACGATAACGTATTTTTGCTTTTTGCAAAAGGGAGGCTGGGGAGCTCGGACCAGCGATTAAAGTGACTGCCCCGTCCTGTACCCACTTCAACGACCTGTTCCCCAAGATACCTCAGGCCCTCTAGCTACCCGTTCACCAGATACAAACAAGGGATATGATAAATTCATTCACATTTCGGTGGTTTCAATTTCAAGAAATTTGCTTCTCCCCAGACGGCGTGCATTTGCACAAAAACATTGAAGCAAGAAAGTAATGTTGTGTAACTCAAAAAAGTAAGTCACAGGCTGGGCGCGGTGGCTCACGCCTGTAATCCCAGCACTTTGGGAGGCCGAGGCGGGTGGATCACGAGGTCAAGAGATCGAGACCATCCTGGCCAACATGGTGAAACCCCGTCTCTACTAAAAATACAAAAAGTAGCTGGGCGTGGTGCCGCGTGCCTGTAGTCCCAGCTACTCAGGAGGCTGAGGCAGGATAATCGCTTGAATCCGGGAGGTGGAGGTTGCAGTGAGCCGAGATCGCGCCACTGCACTCCAGCCTGGCGACAGAGCAAGACTGCGTCTCAAAAAAAAAAAAAAAAAAAAGGTAAGTCACAAATGGTGGAAATTTAGGCTTAAAGAGAAGGTCTTTTCCCTGGATGTTTGAGTTTTTTGGCTTTTAGGTTTTTTTGGGGGGGGGCGGTTGGTTTTGCTTGGGGGAGAATTTTTGCTTGTTTTTTTGGAAAGATGTCCTTAAAAAGTCATACAATGCCTCCTTTTGGTAAATCACTGCCCCTGCTATATAATTAGTCAGAGGGGTGGAAATCAGCAGAAGACCTAAGAAAATGGTTCATTTCCCAGACTTCTCACCTTCAATCCCAACCACTCCTATCCCTGTATCCAGCTAGAAGGTGCAGCTCTGGGGTGGCCACCGCATCCAATGGGGCATTTCACCCTGCAGACACGGAGTGGGTGGAAACATGAGCGAGGAATGTTCTGGTCAGACTCCAACCCTCCCACAGCTGCTAACAGGACTCCCTGCTGCAGTTCCTCAGCAGGTCAGGGAGTTTTTCAGGCAGGTAGCCAATCTCTAAGATGGCTTTAGATCAGGGGAGGCAGGGTTGAGTAAAGGGAGGTAGACAAGGAGGCAGGATCTGGGGAGTTTTACAGAGGCTCCAGGCAATGTTTCTGAACTCTGGTTTGGGCTGGTCATTAATCAAGCCCCTCCCAATGTTTGAAATTAGCCACACAACCCCATCAGGAGTCATGCCAGAAGGACACCCCTCCTGCCAGTGCCGAAATCCAATCTAGACAGAACCATGAAGAAAATGGAAAGAATGCACAGAGAGTGAGGGCTCCTTCATATTGCCAGTTAAACTTGCTGAGAAACCACAGGAGCTCTTCAGCTTCCAATCCACCATCACCAACTCCCACGGACACGGCATCTCTGGGGCAGCTGGTGGAGCAGGGCTAGGGGCTGGGAGTCAAAGGTCTCCCTGTCAGGGCATAGTTTCAACTGTCTGTAGTAGTGCAATACAGAGAGAGTCTGGTGTCAGGCAGACCTGAGTTTGAATCCCAGCTCTGCTGTGGGCTCGCCGTGCAAGCTTTGACAGCTTCTATTCCATTCTTCAATCACCAGTGCAGAGGCTTATGCCCTCAGGGACGCCATCTCTGACTCCACAACTGGATCAGATCCCCTGTTTACAAATTTTGTGATCCCTTAAAATTTTCATTCATTACATATATCACTGTTTGTAATTTTATATTTTATATATTTGATGATTTGTCTACTTTATTTTTTTTCCTTCCTGCATCCTAAGCTCAGAGAAAGCCGGGACCCATCTCTTTCATTCACTGTTTTATCCCAGGGACTAGCACACAGAATACACTTGATAGAGATTTGAGAAATGAATGAATTACACTGAGTTTTTACTGTCTGTAAAATAGAATGGAGGTTTGTTGTGAAATTAATGAAAGACTACAAATGTTAAAAAAAAATCCTCCCTGTGTCTGACACAGAGTAGTTGCTCAAAAGGGGGTGGTTCCTTTGCCACTGTCTCTCTGGGGACACTCCATAGGAGAATAGCTGTCCCTGACCTCTGGAGGTGCCACTGAGCAGTGAAATTAGCCAAAACAGAAAACCAGGGACCTGAATAATCCACAAATTCCATCACAAGTCCCTGAATAATCAAAACTAGTTGGCACATTACAATTAATTGCCTCTCCTCTATAGATGTCCCTTGATGGCAGGAAAAGTTATCTCCAGCTTCACTTTCTTTTCCATCCCAGATAGAGAGTAGCCAGAGGGACTGTAAATCCATTCCTAACATTTTCAGTTGTTTGAGTTATGTTCTACCAGAATTAAGAAGGTGACTTTAAAAACATGAAGGAGAAATAAAGGTTGCACTTCCCAGAGCAGAGTACAGGTGGAAAATGGAACTGAACTTTTAATATGAGGCTGCAGTGGAGGAGAGAGTACTAAGAATATTTTTATAGAATACTTGCATTATGGGTAATTTTTTTAAATCCAAGATTCAACTTGCATGACACTGAGGCATAAGTCTACCACTTAATGACATTTATAACTCTGTAACAATACATTTTGTATAAATTACTGCTGAGGCTTAACATTTCTGATTATGATATATAGAATGAAGTGATGTCATAAAGGCGAAGTTTGTAAGTTACGATCTGTCCTGTTGCTTTAAATAAGAGGATTTCGGAGACAATTGCCTTGATGAATATAAACTCAAATGAACCTTGAATCTCTTCAATTATTCTTATTTAGAATTCATTTTCCTTTGAACTTTCATTTAACTCAAAGCACAATGGTTCCATTATAAATCAAATGCAAGCTTGTCTTTCCTGCAATAACAAGTATGCTTTAAATAATGAAGCAACACCTATGATCATAAAAGATAATGTTTCAATGCACCAAAATACAGAAGGTAAAGAGATTTATTATCCTGGTTCAGTGACAAGAAGTTGAATATTTTTGTAGCAACAGACATCTCTATTCCAGACAACCTTTTTGTTTGACTTTTTTGTGTATTTCCTTTCCCAGAAGACTGGGCTGCCTTATTACCAATGACAGAAATCCAGGATTCAACATGCAATGCTTTTGGTGGCCAAGAAGCTTAAATCTCTCCTTGCTTAGTTTCCCCAAGAGGCTAATGGGGATGAAATCTCTCAACTTCCCTGGGCCTCTTTTCTACTATGAAAGGGCTGGGTTAAATCATCCTAAATTCATCCCAAGCTCTAAAGACTATGACTCTGTATGCCTTTCCTTTTGCACAGAATTATGGAGAGGAACAACCAAGTTAATGGAAGTAAACATACTTTAAAAGGCATAAAAGTGCTATACATAGCACTTGATGGTTTTCACTCTGCATTTTGTAAATACCTTTACACATCCATTATGTGAACTATGCTATCCAAACTATGCTAGAAAAACCCTGGAACATCTCCAAGTCATTACAGATAAAGGAGTATTATAAACAAGATCTTCTAGAGTTCCCATAATAAATTCTCTTGAAGGAGATCTAAATCCCGCATAATAGGTCAAGTAGCCAAACCACCCCAAACAAGAGCCCGCTTCCCCGTGGAAAATCTCATCAGCAGACAGGACACAGAACTAAACAGGTAGCCTGAGCAGCTGGAAGGCTCTCTTCCTGTTATCTCTTTATGCATTCCATCTTCAAAGAATTTTGACCTGTCTTCAATACACCCTCGGGTGTAGGATTTACATTTTTAATATTGGCATTTATGACGTGGTGCTTTCTCCTGGTTAATTGGTATCAGAGCAAAATGTTTGCCTCTCTCCTGAAATAAATCTCTTCAAGAGCTTCAATCACACATTCTTTTGTTCTATACCTCATTTGAAACGGGTTCTATAAAGCCGCCAGACCATGCTACATAATCTTTCGCCTCTCACGTTTTTAAATCTGGGGGTTTATGCTTTAATGGCTTTGATGTGCTTACTATTCAGCCTGTTACTTAAACCACGTTCTTCCCCATCCAACACTCAGCTCTCCCTCAGCCTTGCAGCCTGTACCCTCTGAGACTGAAAGGATTTATTTACCATCCAGAACGTTTCCATAATTTTGGAAACATATGTTTTGAAATTACATTCCAATATCTCATACTATGTTCTTTGTCTTGCATCTGTTCTATAAAAACAAACAAAACACATATAATTATATTCCAATGGCTGCAAAGTCTACATTTTCCACAAGAGTTGGTTCTTCCATAAACAGTAAGAGACACAAAAAAGGCACTTACATACCCCTTCAATGTCATCTGAAATCACATTCTTGTGTTAATTAGCGTTAACCACTGATAATAACAAACTTCTACATCATAACTGTGTGAAACTTTAACTGACTCCTTTCCAAACTCATTTCAATTTTACAGCATAATCTCTTCACTGAAAATTAGCTATTGTTGAAAACTCAAAATCTCAACATAATACTCAACTTTGCATGGACAATGACTCAGTAATCTTTTATTCTCCTAGGGTATGACTTGCATTAAATAAATATACTTTTAAAAATCCACTTCTCTCTCTGTAATATCCTAGTGAAAAGACAATAAGTCAATGCACAATTATAAAAAAGACCAGAAAACAAAGAAAAACCTGAACGAAACAATTGACCAAAAAATATATATACATATTTCATATAACTATCTTAAAATATGTTATATTTCGTGCAACACATACTATGTTCTTTGTCTTGCATCTGCTCAAAACTCTTACCCACCCACCACACAAACATCCTTCCTCCCTCCGTCTCCTCCCTCTCTCTCTCACACACACACACACACACTCACACACACATACCGTTTAAACATAACCCAATCATTTTACATCCACCATGTTTCCCTAGAATGTCTGATGTCAAAATAGGACAAAATTAGATCAATTAGCATTGAAAAAGCCTCTCAAAACTAAGAACTGCTATTTATCCTGTTAAAAATAAAATGTTACCACTAAAATAAGTTTCTTCTCCTAGTGATTCTGCTCTTGTTACCATGCTCCTTTTATTCTTAGGATTTTGGAACTGATAAGAGAGGTAAGCCTGATGTCTGTGGTGGTGCACTGGTAAATATTTAACAACCAGCCCCAAGTGAGGGAACAAAACTCTGATGTGTAGCATTTGTCAATTTCTATAATGTAAATACCTTTATCATGGCCAATTTCAAGCTACCAAATGGATGTTGCTGAACAATGGAGTTGGGAATATCTAGGCACAATTGGCTCCTCCAAGGTGGTACAAGCCAGTTCCACCACCACCACCAGATGCCTGGGACTCATCTCAGAGATTTTTAAATGTTCCCAGCACCTTTGACCTACGGCAGCGGTTCTAGAGGCACTCTAGTTCATAGAGCTCTTCTAGTTTGCTCTCAGCCATCTGTTTCTAGAATGTTTTCAGACATGCCTGTCAATTTCCTGGGCGAAAAATCACTTTCTAGGATCACGGGTGGAGAGGCCAATACTAGTTCCTGTGTTCAGTCAATACACAACATAATCCATATAAATCCTGGCCTCTGAGTGATCCACTCTCAAAGATGTGTTCAAAGAAAACATGTATAACATTTCAGAAGCTTTGAAAAACAGTATCAGTCTTGGGGTTTTCTTATAAAGTTTTATGCAAGTGTTTTACCCCAAAACCTTCCCAATCAACAACCCTCCTTAGACATTCTCATTCTGTCTCCAAAGTTTTATACTTACGATAATAGCTAAACACACAAACGTTTCTCTCACATTCCCTCACTGTCCCCCCACATTCATATACACACGCACACATGCACACACGCGCACACACACACACATCCTACATCACCATTCTGCTCCCTCATTCAATTCACACACCTTTATGTCAACACCACACTCTCTATCCATGACTGCCCTCATCATGCACAGTGCGCTAGGAAACATAGTTCTCCCAATCTGACTGTTTTTCTCCAGTTCTAGTGAGTGATCTTCTCTATTCCATTATAATAACAGAAGCTATTTGTGAATGTGACTTTGCAGCACCCCAATAATACTAGGGAATACTTACCTAGTTCCCATGCTATACCAGGCACTAAGGTAAGCACTTTAAGTAGAGACTCATTTAAATCGTGGAGCCAGGACTGAAACTAGGCAGAGTGGCACAAGAGCCCATTGTTCTCAACCACCATGGCCCGCTGCGTCTCAAATCCATCAGAAAGAAAGCCACTGTGGGACCTTAACCACATCAAATGTTCTGTATCTCTGTTTCCTCATTTATAAAATAAGACTAACAATAATGCCTATCTTTCAGGGTTTGGAGGAGAATTAAACGAGTTAACATATGTAAAGTCCTTAGAACAGCAGCTGGCACATAAAAAAAATTGATTATGTTAGCTAAGTGTCAGCTAGTGTTAACTAGTGCAAATCCACTCCTCACAGCCTATGGAATCCCATGACTTTTCATAGTGTCCTCTGATAGTGTCCCCTGGGTTGGCAATTTTTTTCTGTAAAGGGTCAGATAAATATTTTAGGCTTTGCAAGCCACATACAGGTCTCTGTCCCATAATTTTCTTAGTTTTTATTTGTTATCTCTTTAAAAATATAAAAACCATTCTTAATCTGTGGGCTAAAACAGATCACAGACTGGATCTGGCCCACAGGCCATAGTTTACTAACCCCCATGCTAGATAGAGAGCGCCCCATTTTAAATGCCATATGTTTTTAAAGAGGCAGCAGGTGCCATGTCTGGACACAAAGGTGGCAAGAAGCAGCCCCTGAAACAGCACAAGGAACAGGCCAAGGAGATGGACAAGGAAGATGTGGCTTTCAAGCAGAAACAAACAGAGGCTGAAGGGGCCCTGGATACAGGTGGAGTTAAGAAATCTGGCAAAAAAATTAGTACACCCACCGTGGAAAACAGTATGGAAGTTCCTCAAAAAATTAAAACTAGAACTACCGTATGAACCAGCAATTCCACTACTGGGTATATATCCAAAGGAAATGAAATCAGTATGTTGGAGAGATACCTGCACTCTCATTTTTATTGCAGAACTTCTCACAATAGGCAGCATATAAAATCAACCAAGTATCCATCAGTGGATGAATGGAAAAGGAAAATGTGGCAAATATACACAACGGAATATTATTCAACCATAGAAAAGAATGAAATCCTGTCATTTTCCACAGAATGTTGAAATGGAAGACATCATGTTAAGTGAAATAAGCCAGGCACAGAAAGGCAAACACTGTATGATCTCACTCATATGTGGGCTCTAAAAAAAAAAAAATAGTTAATGTCATAGAAACAGAGAACAGAACAGTGGTTATGACTGGGAAGAGAAGGGGAGAAGGGAGGATGGGGAGAGGTTGGTCAATGGGTACAAAGTTACAATTAGAAAGATGGAATAAATTCTGTTGTTCTATTGCACACTAGGGTGATCATGGTTAACAGTAAGGTATTACATATTAGAAAATAGCTAGAAGGCTGGTCACAGCAGCTCACACCTATAATCCCAGCACTTTGCAGCCCAAGGCAGGAGATCACTTAAGCCCAAGAATTTGAGACCAGCCTGGGCGACATAGAGAGGCTCCATCTCTACAAAAAAAAAAATTAAAAATTAGCCAGGCGTGGTGGTGCGCACCTGTGGTCCCAGCTGCTTGGGAGGTTAAGGTAGGAGGATCGCTTGAGCCCAAGAGGTCGAGGCTGCAGTGAGCCATGATTGTGCCACTACACTCCAGCCTGAGCCACAGAATGAGACCCTGTCTCAAACAAAAAAGAAAAAGAAAAGAAAAAAAAAATAGCTAGAAGCAAGGATTTTAAATGTTCTCACCACAAAGAAATTACAAATGCAGCTAGGCGCGGTGGCTCATGCCTGTAATCTCAGCACTTTGGGAGGTCGAAGCCGGTGGATCATCTGAGGTCAGGAGTTCAAGACCAGCCTGGCTAACATGGTGAAACCCCATTTCTACTAAAAATATAAAAAATTAGCTGGGCGTGGTGGCACGCACCTGTAATCCCAGCTACTTGGGAGGCTGAGGCAGGAGGATCACTTGAACCTGGGAGGCAGAGGTTGCAGTGAGCCAAGATGACACCATTGCACTCCAGCTTGGGCAACAAGAGCAAAACTCTGTCTCAAAAAAAAAAGAAAGAAATTACAAATATATGAGGTGATGAATATGCCAAATGCCCTAGTTTAATCATTATACAACATACACATGTATGGAAACATCAAACTGTTCCCATAAATATGTACAATGTGCCAATTTTTTTAGAAGTATTATAATGGGAAAAAAAGAAATCTGGCAAATAAGCTGCTCCTTGTGCCTGAGATGATGATGACCCTCAATTCCATTCCTATTTAAACATCTGGATTCTCTACCATAATATCTTTTACCACATATAACTAGAATAAAGAGTTGTCTTGGAGCCTATTGCACATTTAAGAATAAACTTGGCTGGGCATGGTGGCTTACGCCTGTAATCCCAGCACTTTGGGAGGCTGAGGCGGGTGGATCATGAGGTCAGGAGATTGAGACCATCCTGGCTAACACAGTGAAACCCTGTCTGTACTAAAAATACAAAAAAATTAGCCGGGTGTGGTGGCACGCACCTGTAGTCCCAGCTACTCGGGAGGCTGAGGCAGGAGAATTGCCTAAACCTGGGAGGCAGAGATTGCAGTGAGCCAAGATTGGTGCCACTGCACTCCAGCCTAGGCAACAGATTGAGACTCCGTCTCAAAAAATAAAATAAAAAATAAACTTTTGTAAAAAATAAAAATGAATAAATAAGTGTCATATGTTTTTATGCAAGTGAATACGGGAACTCGGAAAAACAAACATGTAGCAATTCACACAATGCCTTCGCAAATTAAGTGCCAGGCACTATGCTGGTTGCTGAGGCGAAAAAGATGGAGAAGGGTGTGGCTGGTCTCTAGGATGCTCATAGCTGGCTGGCAAGAAAGTTGCAGCACAGGGTGTGGTGAATGCTTTAATAAAGGAGCGGGGTATCAGCTCTAGGTAGGGGAAGGTGATGGATGAGGAGAGAGTCCAAAGAGGAAAAGATGCTGGAGATAAAGCTTGAGGGAGATGAGGAATTCACTCAGCAGACAGAGGCACAAGAGAGTGAGGAGGTATTCATAAAATGGCAGTGCCTGGGATCTGAGGAAGTCCAAGAGGTCAGCGAGAGCCAGACTGGGAGGAGGGGAGGGCCCAGAAGACCCCGCTGCAACACTAGGACTTTGTCCTGTAGATCTGTGGTTCTCAAACTTTTCAACATAGAAATCTGTCCTCAGGGAAAATATTTTTTTTTTTTTGAGACAGGGTCTTACTCTGTCGCCCAGGATGGAGTGCAGTGGTGCAATCATGGCTCACTGCACCCTTGACCTCCCAGCCTCAAGTGATCTTCCCACCCCAGCTTCCCAACTAGCTGGCACTATAGGCGCACACCACCATGCCTAATTTTTGTATTTTTTGTAAATGTGAGGTTACACCATGTTGCCCAAGCTGGTCTTGAATTCCTTGGCTCAGGGATCCACCTGCCTCAGCCTCCCAAAATGTTAGGATTACAGGCATGAGCTACCGTACCTGGCCAAGGAAAATCTTAATCTGGAGCCCTAGGTATAAAAGTAATCTGATTGAAGCTGGGAGGTGAGCCCACCCTCCTGCAAAGCCTCTTCACCATCGGCAGGTCACAGCTCCCTCAGAGCTTCCTGGTAGAAACAGATGAAATTTGTGGCTTCTGGCAGTGGGCAGCAAGCTGAGGGCCTGGGGAGTCCTTTGTACTTAAGCAAATTCTTCTGAAGTCAATACATTCCATCTACCTATTTTTATCTTGAACAGACATTCTGCTCTTCCCCAGTCCCTCTCCCTTTGCTGAGCTGCGTGCTGACTTGCGTCATCACAGAATTGTTTCTTGAGCATGTTTTCTCCCCATTTAGATGAATCATCCTGAGGATGGGAAGTACATCTTGCTTCTCTTGTATCTCTCTCAACAAGCAGTGCAGGGCAAGACAGGGCTGTTGAAGGGAAGGTCTCTTCCAACCTTAAGATCTCTTTTTTTTTTTCTTTTTTAATTCTTAACGTTGCAAAACTGATGTCCCATTCCACCAACCTTAAGATCTTAAAACTCTCACAGGATAAAAGTATTTTCAGGCCGGACATGGTGGCTCACGCCTGTAGTCCCAGCATTTTGAGTGGCCAAGGCAGGTAGATCACTTGAAATCAGAAGTTTGAGACCAGCCTGGCCATCATGGTGAAACCCCATCTCTACTAAAAATACAAAAAAAAAATTAGCCAGGCATGGTGGCAGCCACCTGTAATCCCAGATACTTGGGAGTCTGAGGTAAGAGAATCACTTGAACCTGGGAGGTGGAGGTTGCAGTGAGCCAAGATAGTATCACTGCACTCCAGCCTAAGTGACAGAGCGAGACTCCATCTCAATCAATAAATCAATCAATGGAAGTGGAGTATTTCATGGGTAAGCGTTTGTGTGTTTCAGGACTCAGGGTTGATTTGAACAAATTCTTCTGTTCATGAGACATTACTGTTTGAAGTCAAAACACAACTCCACATGCCCCGCTTTTTACTAATTCTCTTTCATCTCCATTCTACAGCCCAGTTTCTCTCCCCACAGTTGACAAGCATTGTATTGTGCTTATCTGTATATGTGCTTTGACTATTGTCTTGTATGCATATATTTTAATGTATAGAAAGGTTATGTTCTCATGTTTTAGGTATCATCCGGTCTCTTCCTTTTTTCACCTAGCATGATGTTTTTGAGATCTATCCATATTGCCACACATGCATCTAGTCATTTCTCCTAGATGCTGCATACTGTTCCATATTCTGTACCCACCAGATTTAACATATCCAGCCCCCCAAGAATGGACAACTAGAATGTTCCCAACTCCTCACTACCACAAACAATGCTGTGATTATCTTCCCATATATGTCACTTATGAATCTGTATGGGAGGCTATGATGGGAGCGGTATACTCACAGCTGTAATCCCAGCACTTTGGGAGGCCAGGGCAAGCGGATCACTTGAGCTCAGGAGATTGAGACCAGCCTGGACAAACCCCATCTCTACTAAAAATACCAAAAAATGAAACAAAAAAAAAAACTATATGGGAAATTCTCCAGCATGTATTCCCAGGATCAGGAAAGCTGCGTCATGTGGTGTCAGTATACTTGGCTTCACTGAGTACTGCCAGGCTGCTCCCATTCTCCCTGCCACCAGCATAGCCTGAGGGTTTTGAAGGCTCACATCCCCACCAACGTCGCACAATACTCAGTGTTATGGATTGAAATATGTCCCCCAAGAAAGATACGTTAAAGTCATAACTCCCAGTAGCTCAGAATGTGATCATGTTTGAAAATGCAGTCAAGTTGAGGTCATTAGGGAGGGTCCTAATCCAACATGACTGGTGTCCTTGTAGAAAGGAAAATATTTGGATGCAAAGACAGTCACGTATAGAGGGAAGACCATATGGACAGACACAGGAGAATATCATGTGAAGATGAAGGCAGAGACTGGGGTGAGGCATCTACAAGCCAAGGAAGGCCAAAGATCATCAGCAAAACACCATAAGCTAGGAGAGAAGCCTGGAACAGATTCTCTCCCACACCTCTTAAAAGACCCCAACCCTGCTGACACCTCGATTTTGAATTTCTAGCCTCCAAAACTGTAAGAAAATAAGTTCCTGTACTTTTAGCCACCTAGTGTTTGGTACTTTGCTATGGCAACCCTAGGAAACTAATATCCTCTACTCTCCAAGTTCTGCCACTCTGCTAGGTGTAACATAAAATCTTGATATTCTTATTTCTGTTTTTCTACTCATTTGTGAGTTTGCATACTTTCTTCATATGCTTTTTAGTCATATGAGCTTCCTTGTAAACTGAAAGTTTTTAGTCTTTGATTGCTTTTTCATAGGGGCTGCTGTTTTTTTCTTGTTGATTTGCAACAGTTCCTTGTAAATTCCAAATATTAGATTGTTGATATTTACAACTATAGTCTCCCAAACAATTATCTTTCTGTTCATTTTATCAATTTCTCATTGGGCAAAATTGCTTACCTCCTATTTAATCAAAGTCATCCATTTTGGGCACATAATTTGTGTATTTGGGATTTTGCTTAAGAAATCCTTCCCCACTTCTATGTTACAAAGATAGTCTATTATATAATATTCCACAAACTGTATGTATTATCTTTAACATTTAGAGCCAATATATGTATATGGTGTGACATAGAGGCCTGTTTAACACACCAGTATAACAAAACACTCCAAAATATAGTGGCTTAAAACAACAAAAACATTTATTTTGCTTATGTATCTGCAGCACTGGCAAGGATCAGCAAGGATGGTTCATCTTTTTACCATGGTGTGTCAGCTGAGATGGCTCCACTGGGACTGAAAGATCCACTCTCAAGTTGGCTCACTCCTGTGGCTGGCAAGTTGGTGATGGCTGTCAGCTGAGAGTTCAGCTGGGACTGAGGGCAGGGGCACCTGAGTTCCTTTCCACTAGCGCCTCTTCACAGGCTGCTTCGGCTTCTTCACATTATGATGGCTGAGTTCCAAGATAAAGAAAAATTCAAAGGCTGTATGACTTTATAAAACCTTAGTAACACTTGCTTAGGCTATATTAGCTTTATATATAGCTTCAGAAATCATTTAGCATGACTTCCACTGTCATCACAAACCTGCCCAGAATCAGGGCGAGGAAACATACATTTCACCTCTAACAGGAAGGGCTCAAAGTCACTTTGTAAAGAAGCACACGTGGGAGGGAGATAATGCTGCAATCCTCTTTGGGAAGGGAATCTGCCACAGGATCCAATTCCCTTAGTAGGTCATCTTTATCATTTGTTAAATTCCTTACACACATGGGTCTGTCAACTGAGTGCTCTACTCTGTTACTCTGTTCTATTTGTATTTTGCCACAATAAGGCTATGTCTTAATATCTTGACACAATATGTCTTAACATCTGATAGGGCAAGTTTCCTCTGTGTTTTCCTTTCTCAAAGTTGTTATTCATGAACCTCTTAATCTTCCATACAACTTCTAAAACACATCATCAAGCTCCTTAAAAAAATCCTACTGGAATTTTGTTAAGATTGCCTTGAAATTATAAGTTAATTTGGGGAGAACTGTGGCCAGGCGCAGTGGCTCACACCTGTAATCCCAGCACTTTGGGAGGCCAAGGCAGGCAGATCACTTGAGGTCAGAAGTTTGAGACCAGCTTGGCCAACATGGTGATACCCCATCTCTGCTAAAAATAGAAAAATTAGCCAGGCGTGGTAGTGCACATCTGTAATCCCAGCTACTCAGGAGGCTGAGGCACAAGAGTCACTTGAACCCAGGAGGAGGAGGTTGCAGTGAGCCAAGATCACGCCACTGGACTCCAGCCTGGGCAATAGAGCAAGACTCTGTCTCAAAAAAAAAAAAAAATTGAGGGAGAATTAACACAACTTTATATTGTCATCTGATTAAAATATGTAAAAATTACTCCATTTATTCATGCTTTTTATAGCTTTTAATTTTTAATATTTTACCTATAGAGATCTTGTTTATTTCCTAAATATTTAATAGTTTTTGTTGCTTCCATGAATATTATTTTTTAACTATATTTTCTAATCAGTTTTTGCTGGTATTGAGAAATTCTGTTGCAATACATAAGCTGATCTTGCATCTGGCAACCTTGCTTAACTCTAATAGTATGATCTGTTGTTTTTGCTATGTAGATTATCACATTATCTGCAAATAATGATAGTTTCATTCCTTCCCCTTTAATTCCTATCTCTTTTTGTTCTTCATTTACAGTTGTCTAGAAAGTCCAGTGTTATGCTAACAATAGTGGGGGGTAATGGGTATCCTTGTCCTACTACTAGTCTTAAAATGTAATACATCTTTCTCCATTAAGTATGATTTGTGCTCTAGGTTTTTCAATATAAATAGGTATTTAACTTTATTAAATATTTTCTACATTTACTGACATAATTATGTGATTTTTTCTTTTTGTGTATTAATGTGGTGAATTATGTTAAACCATCCTTTTACTTCTGAACAAACTTATCAAATGACAATAAATTAATACTCTTAATATTAACATTTAATAAGCTACAACAATTTTTTTAGGGTTTTGGTATCTGGAATCATAAGCAAAAGTGGTCAGTAATTTTCTATTCTTATCCTTATCTAATTGTGGAACAAATGTTATGTTCAGCTCAAAAATGAGTGGTAGTTTTTGTTATTTCTCTATTTTCTAACTTGAGATTGCTAGAATTTTACTGTAAAACTGTCTGGGCCAGGTGCCTTTTTGGAGTGGAGGTCTTTGTTCTGGTGCCTATTGGTTTATTTAAGTTTTCTATTGCTTCTTTTACCAATATAGGCATTTAATCATGTTCTCTAAATATTTTCATTTCATATAAGGTTTCCAAATTTAGCAGGATGAAGTTATTCATAATTTAGTTATCTTACCAGCTGTATTGTATAGCTGTTTCTCCCTTTTCCATCAGTATCTTGTTTATTAATCTTTTTGCTGATTAGTCTTTATTGATTCACATATTCATTAACTATGAATTATTAGTAAGATAGTTCCTGCTGTTTATATTTCCAAAAAGTTGTGTTTGTCTAATTTGTCTATTGCTTGTATTTATTTGTTCATTCTTCACTGATTCTTGTCCTTATATTTATTATTTCTTTCCTTCTTGTGTACTTTGATTTGTTCTGTTATTCTTTTCAAACCTTTTGGGTAGAATTCTTAACTCACTTGATATTAACTTTTTTATTCCCAGAAAAGTAGATTTAAAGCAATAGATTCTTCTCTGACAACTGTTTTAGCTATGTCCTGCTTATTTGGATAGGAAGGATTCTTACTGTCATTTAGCGTTAATTATTATTTATTTTTACTAATTTATCTTATACTCATTAGGAATTTAACAAGTAAGCCTCCCTTTTAATTGAAGAGTTTCTTAGTAATATTATTTGATTTCCAGACATATGAGATTTTTCATTTTTTAATTTTATTCAGATGGGATTTTTATAGGTAACTTTTAGTCTTCTAGTGTTATGTTCAAAGAACATAATCTGCATAATTATCATTCCTTGGAATTTATTGAGGCTTCCTTTGCAGCCTGGTATGTGGCCACTTTTTACAAATGTTTTTTGCATGCTCCAAAAGAAAATGTATTCTCTATTGCTGTGCATAGTGTTCTACATAATTCTAATAGCATGAGCTTGTTATTATATTAGTCAAATTATCTATGCCTCTGCTTACTTTTGTTTGAGTTATCAGTTTCTAACCCTGGTGTCTTAAAATAACTATAATTGTTGATTTATAAATGTCTTTTAAAAAGAATATTTTGTAGAGTAACAACAGAGATAACAGAGAACAGTTTGTCAGATCCCCTCAAATCACAGGGATTTCATGCTAAGAAATGAATGAAAATTCAAGGCCTATACTCAGTCTTGGCTTGGACTGAGGGCTCCAAAGAGGCAACGTAAGTCTTGGCTACTTCATCTGCCCAAGGGAAACCTGTAAGTCTATGTGAAGGTAGGGCTAACCTTGATGTGCCCTTCAGGAGCTTCTGCCTCCAAGATCTGAATCTAAATGAGGATGGGCACAAGCCCCATCTTTGTACCAGTGGCAGATCTTACCAATCAATCACTCACTCTTTAGGTAGCCTCCCAGAAGCCAGAATGAGCTTTTTTGGCAACCTTTGTATCAACAGCAAATAAATGCCACCCTGACTTTTTTTTTTTTTTTTTTTTTTTTTTTTTGAGATGGAGTCTCACTGTGTCACCCAGGCTGGAGGGCAATGGCATAATCTCGGCTCACTGCAACCTCCGCCTCCCGGGTTCAAGCAGTTCTCCTGCCTCAGTCTCCTGAGTAGCTGGGATTACAGGCACACCCCACCACACCCATCTAATTTTTGTATTTTTTAATAGAGACAGGGATTCACCATATTGGTCAGGCTCGTCTTGAACCCCTGACCTCATGATCTGCCCGCCTCAGCTTCCCAAAGTGCCGGGATTACAGGCATGAGCCACCACGCCTGGCCAACCCTGACTTTTGAGACTGAAGCCATATCTAAGAAACTGAGGACTGTCTCTGAATTCTAGGTAGCAAAGTCAACCCAATGGCTCAATATCGATTGCTGACTGGCTCCAAAGATCTGGACACAAGGATCACTCTACACCCAAACTCCTCCAGTAACATGAAAACCCCTAGCATGTGAATAAGGTACCCACCTATTTTGTGAGATTTCTCAAAGTATTTCTGTTCTCCTCAGTCTGAATGAGGTTAATTTTCCTGAGCAACAAGAACAAGTGTGAATGCCCACTCCTCAACTTGGAGTCTTCTACATAACTTGGATGTTGAGAACTTAAATACACTATGGTGAGCTGCAGACTCTTCTTGCAGATGTAACAATGCTCTTGGTTTAAGCAGGTGTACCAGTCAGGGTTGTTGGCCACAAACAATAGAAATGGCTCTGCCTGAACTGAGCAAAAAAAGACTTTACTAAAGGCAGCTCACAGACTCCAGAATGCTTGGAGAAAGAGGTTCAGGGAATGGGCAGGCACAAAAGAAAGCCGGGTCCTGGAACCACAGCCCCAGATTCCCTACAGGCACATTTTGAAGAGTTCACCTGAGCCTGTGTCACCACTGCAAGTGCCTTCATTGGTGGCACAGCCCCTGGAAACCCGATGTCACTGCCATTGCTGCCGCTGCCACCACCCTAGCAGGACCATCCCCATTTCTTGGCCTCACCAGCTCTCAATTCAGAGCCTCAGGTAGGGTCGTGCAATTGTCAGAGCACTAGTGCTAACCTGCATCCTAGACACCTGGGGGGGCTCAGGAGGGCAGGTATTGATTGGCCTTCTAGGCTTCTCTACTGAAAGGCTAGCTCTGCTCACCCTAAGAATCACATGGCAGGAAGTTTCTCAAATGTAGGAAGGGGATTCCCATGCAGCACGGACCTAAAAACACAAAACCCACTAAGCTGGTTAGGGTGGAGTGCAGAATGGGCTCCTCAGCATCCTTTTAGTGGGGCATGGGTCCCATAATAATTTGAACCCAACTTGGACCTTATTTTCATCTTAAAGATAGAGGATAATATCAACCAACACATGTGTTTGAAGTAAGGTTGAAATGAAATGAAGTATGTGTGGGTGATTTGTAAATTATACAATATTATATGGATGTTAGCGATTCCACTCACTCCTTTGTTCTTTCGGCAAACTTCTCAGGCTTCATCTGGTGCTGGTCCATCACATAAATTTCATCTTCAGCCTCTCAGCAGACAATCTTGCCTCTTACTCCAGAGAGTTAACAGAACCCACATAAAAGAAACTCTACCAGCTTCCCACCACCAAACTGACAGACCCACCTGCATCTACTTCATCCTCTCCTCCTTCACCGCTGTTTCCATGGAGATACCCCACTCTCTATCCACAGCCAATCTTGCCTTAGATAAGTGGCTCCCACCCTTTCCTGCCTTCTCCAGAACCTGTCATTATCAGTTACCCTCTCTGTGTCCTGTATCTCTCTATTTCTTTGTCTCCACTAAATCCTTCCATCCTACTCTCTCCCACATTATCCTCCCTACCTGACCCCCCAGACCCACATTTCCCATTAGCTACCACCCACTCTTACTTCTTTCCTTCACAAACATCTCATGAGTTGCCTGCATTGACTCTCTCCTCTTCCTCATCTCCCGTCCACTCCTCAGCCTGTTCCAGCCTGACTCTCACACTTATGTATCCACCAAGCCTGACTTTGCCAAGTCCGAGTTGCCTCTCACTGATCTGTCTATGGCTTTTGACACAGTGACCCACTGATCCCTCCTTCTAGAGACAACCCCTTCCTTGGCATCCAGGACACTGTCCTCTCTCTCTCTCTCTCTGAATGCTCCTTGCAATTATCTTAGCCAGCTCCTGATTCTCAGGACAGCCTTTAAAGGTTGACTCCTCCTTCCCCTTCATGCCTCCCACATACACATCATCCATCCCTAAATTCTATCCATTCCACCTCCCAAATATTTATCTAATCTTTGCACTCCTACCCACAAGCACAGGACTATAAAATCCTCCTATCTGGTCTTTCCACATCCACTTTGGCCTTCTGAACCATTCTTCAACCAGCAACCAGAGTAAACTTTTTAACATATAAAAACGACCAAGTTGTTTCTTTGCTTAAAACCCTTCAATGACTTAAAATCCTTCAAATCCTTAACAGGGATTTCCATGTGCTACATGTCTCAACCCCGGCCCACCTCTTCCCCCTCCTCATTCTCTTTTCCCCTGGCTTGCCTGCATTCAGCTGGTTGCACAGAGTTTTCCTCTAATAGCCCGAGCTCCTGCTCAACCTGGGGCCATTCCTCTTCCTGAAGCCAGAGCCTCCCTTGCACTGCACAAGCCATGCACTGCATGACTCCAGGCGACACCGTTTGCCTCACTGGCATCACAGATGCAGAGTTGCTACAATGATTCAGCAATGAACTAGCTTAAAGAGGTGCGCTCTTCTAATTACCAAAGAGTCTTTGCACTAGCTGGCATCAGGGCTGTCTGAACACCCTTCCCCTGCTCATCTTTTGGATCTCTTAAGTGTCATGTGGAGGGAGAATCCTTTCCTGACCCTCCAAACTAGGTCAGGTCTCCCTGCAAGTCATGACCCCTCCACACTTTGCCTTTATGTTACTTACCATAATTATATACATTTGGGTAACTATTCATAATGTATCTTTCTTCCTGATGGACTATAAGTTCCCAAGGAATTGTGACAGTTTCTGGGATGCTCTACCCTATGTCACCCTGAGTCCACCAAGGAGGGCATACTCAACTAACTGAGAAGTGACTTATGGATAAACGAATGAGTCAACCACATGGGCTTCTGTTCTGGCTAAACAGCTCTCCTCTGCTGTCTGAATATATCTAAGGCCCTGTTCAGCAACTGTCTAAGTTTCCACGCTTTTAAGCCACAGGATAGAGGTCCAGTTGGTCGGTTTTCCACACACAGGAAAGGAAGTTCCCCAGGACCATAACACCATGTTGTTCTGTTATCATGGGGTTGCCATTTCTTTACTTATTTTTTTTTAAGAGATGGGATCTCACTATGTTGCCCATGCTGGATTTGAACTCCTGGGGCTAAAGCTATCCTCCCACCTCAGCTCCCAAGTAGCTGGGACTACAGGTGCATGGCACCATGCACCAGCTGGAGGCATATTTCAAACAAGCTAACCCACAGAACCATGAGCCTGCCCAAACTCTCCTCTGCTGGCTAGGAAACAAGAATAACCCTCAGCCCAGAGCATGTGGATGACCAGGACCTCACCCACCACCCCATCCTGGAGACCAGCTCTCAACCCTATACTCTTTCAGACCAGGAGCCTGAGCCTGTGTCCCTTTGGGCCACTGCTCGAGTGTGCCCTCTGAGAGGTACTGATCCACAGGCTGCAAGAGTATTTGTCCCATTTTTCTTATCGCTTCCCAAAAAGTAGCACCACTGAGTAACAATTACAGATTGCCTACTGTGTACCTGCCTTTGTACAAAGTAATACAAACCATAATATTTACCCTAAACAAGTTTAGTCTCCAGCTGTGGAGACAAGAGTGCATGTGAACAGAGAAGGAACTCTGAGCAGGGATTTGGAACATCCCAGCCTCGGCCTCAGCACTAAGCCCGTCTGAAAGCTGAAAAGGAAAGTGGTTCAATGCAAGAGTAGTGCATTGGGAAGCCGAGGTGGGAGGATCTCTTGAGCCCAGGAGTGCAAGATCAGCGTGGGCAATATACTGAGACCTGTTATCCACAAAAAAAAAAAAAAAAAAAAAAAAAATTAAAAGTTAGCTGGGCATGCTGGCACATGCTTATAGTCCCAGCTACTTGGGAGACTGAGGCAGGAGATCGCTTGAGCCCAGGAGTTGAAGGCTGCAGTGAGCTATGATTGTGCCACTCCAGCCCAGGTGACAAAATGAGACCCTGTCTCTAAAGAAAAAAAAAAAAAATTTGTGAAAGCAGAGGTCCTAGCCAGAAACCTGGAACTCTACTCCCCTCTGCTGTTTTCTTGTAGACTAAATAAAGATCTGCCATTGCAACCAAAGAGGGAAACAGAAATACAGGGCAAATAAATAGGAGGGGAAGAACAGGACAGAAGGACAAAGAAGGGGGAACAAGTAAGCTGCAATAGTGAAATAAAAGCTATTAATACAGAGTGTGTCTGATTATGACAACTAATATTTGTGTAGTTTTTCACACAGCACTTACACAGGGACTAGCTCTCTGGATTCCCCCAGCATCCCTGAGAAGTACATCATCCCAGCTTTACAGATGTGGGGACTGCAGCCCCAAAGATTGTGAGGTACCCAGTCTTACATAGCTGGCAAGTGACGGAACTAGGACCTGAAACCCTGGCCCAAATCTGACTCCAACACAGTCCTCATTCCTCTAAACTCCTTTCCTCCAGAAACAGCAAGTTTATAGGACAGACAAAGGAGAAGTGGCTCCCAGTTATTCTTCCCACTTCTGCAAAGCCTCATCTCTCCTGCCACACTCACCTCCTCCCACCCCCGCCCCAACCCTCTGCACAGAAAACTGCAGGTCACCTTATTGGCTTCCTAAAGAACATGGTAGTGTTTATTTGCCAACAACCTTGGCAGGACCTCTGTGCTGCCAAACATCCTGTCCTGGGAGCCAAAGGGTCAGCATGGGGAGGAGATGAGGCTTATGCCATCCTCATCCTTCCCTGGGACAGCTTATTACCTGTAGGCACAGGTCTGGTAGATACTGGGAGGATGTCAAAGACCTTACGATGGGACATGATGATCTATCAAAATAATTATAATAATAACAGCAATGACAGCAGCTAACACTTCTTGAGTGCTTACTACCCACCGCCACGAGAAGAGCTTTCAATGGCTTTGAACTGTGTTTAAGCCTCTTGACTATGTAATGAGGTATGCTCTAGTCTTCCATGAGAAACTAAGGCTCAGGGGATGAACTGTCATGTCAGGGCCACACATCAGCAAGGGTTAGAAGCAGGACTCAAGCCAGGTAAAGACTCCAGGGGCCAAACTCTTAACCACCATGAATACTGCCTCTTTGCTTTATGAATACCCTAGGTGGGGCAGCAGGGTAATATAAACCCCAAACGACAGGTACAATTAATGTCTACCAACATCTGGAGTGGCGAGAAAGGTTTCAAAGACGAAATAAGACTGATGTGGACCTGTACGAAGGAAGAAGACAGATGAGGGGCCCAGGGTCACACACAAGAGAAAGGTCAGAGCAAAGGTGAGATGGATTCTGGCAGGGCTTACACAGGGAAGGAGGGGAGATCAGAAGCAGCCCGAATGGTGCCGTGGAAGTTGCCATTGATGGCTCATCCTTCAGACTAACAGATTTGACACCAGAAAGAAGAACAGGGAGCAAAGGAGAACAGAGGAAAGGAAATCGTAGACACCAGGGGAGTTTCAAAAGTACCTAGTAGGAATGTGAGAATTTTTCCCATAATCTGATTATTTGGTCCTCTGGGGTGTCTGGGACAAAGTTTCCACCCTCAGAGTAGCTTCTTCCAAATAGTCCCAGTCGCCATCCTAGGAACCAAGCAGGTGTGTGCTCTTGAAACTTAGGAAGCCCTTTAGCTGTAAATAAAGGGAAAAGGATCTGGGAAAAGTGAGCCAATGGCAGGGGCAGGGAAGGCATTTGCAGTCAATTTGGGATGTCCCCACTGCATTGGATCCTCTCTGTCGTGGAAACGATCCATGCCCCTGTGTCATACAATGTTCAGTCTTATCTAATTCCAGCCATATCTACACCTCACAAAGTAGCACAGCGAGCTACCCACAATCTGTCCAATTTGCTTACTATGAACCTCCAAACAAAGTAGCCAGGCTCCCAGAGGACAGGGGACTTCCTGTCAAGCCAGTTGGGTGCTCTGTCCATCAGTCTCAAGCCTAGGAATGAAAATGCACTTGAAAATCCTTGTCAATGCAACCAGTGCATTCAGACTCTCCATTGTAGCCACATAACCTGTGTCCTCTGTCCTCTGTATCACTGACTATCACTAGAACACAGCTTCCTAACCTTCCCTGGGCCCCTGCAACCACTGAGAAACAAACAAAACAAAACCAGAATCTGTCTCCCAAAAGTTAACATTATTACTGGTCAGGAGAAAGGTTGGACATTTGGTCAAATTCCTCTAAGGTTTTGCAGTTCCCCATTATTAAGAAGTCCTGCTTCAGGAGCACAATGTTAACTGGTTCAAAGCTTTCATATATATATATATGTGTGTGTGTATAATGATTTTACCATTTAAGCTATAGAAGACAGCAACCACAAAATTGAAATTCTGTCTTTCAAAGGGTTTTACATACTCTCTAACTGAAAACAGCTTCACAATAAAATGATCCAGTTTTACAAGTAAGCGCTACCCAAAATAGTAACTATGGCCTTAAGGGCTATTATCTCATTGCTATATGAAGGATTTAGGGCATATAAATGTCCATTAACACAACTAAGCATAATAATCTGATTTATAAAGTACCCCTTGCCAGGGCCTTTGTGGCACCCTACAATTACACTGCCCCAATTAAAACATCCTAGAAGCCTAATAGGCTTACCCCGAAAGAAACAGCCCTGTAAAAGCATGACCCACCCCACCAAAAAATCTTGATGGAGGGGGTTCTACAGCAAGGTGGTGGCAGCAAAGAGGGTTTTTGGATGGAAAGGAGAGCATTTTAAATGTCTGATTCCCATGCTCAAAGCCTGCCAAAGTAAACAGGAGCGATAGTAACCCCAAAGCAAAGAGGCATTACCAGTATGATTGTCTGGTTGTCCATCTAAGGCCGTCCTAGTAAATTTGGCATTTGCTTCTCACAAAAGAACACTTCTGGGTCCTAAGCTTGGGAAATCCAAATGACATTTGCAGTTGGAAAGCAAGAAGAACTCTTCTGTTCCAGAGACCTATTTGGAGCATGAAATTTGAACACCTTCTCTCAACCTTGGCCCAAGTCAACCCCAAGTTGCTCAGCTGAAATTTGCAGAGTCTCAGCCACTTGTGTGTATGTGTGTTGGGGCAGATGGGGGTGGGGGGTCTCATCTGTCTTGACTACTCTTAGATAAGTCTATCACAACAAAATGGAAATCCGCCTCTCAAAATTTACCCTTCATTCCTAGATATCAGTGGACAAATGAAATTTCCAAAAAACATAAGAAGTTACTAAAGTAAATGTCTTCAAAGTTGGCTCAAAGCTAATCTTAGTGAAGAGTGAAAACTGCCCCCTGACTATACTGTAGAGAAAAGCATGTAGCAAAGGAGAACATTTCTAAAAATCTATTCACAGATAGGCAGAGGCAGCCATCCAATGCTGTGTCCCACCCACCACTTAACTCATTCACACCAACTTAGCAAAGATACTATTAATACTAATACTCAAAATGCTGGTGAGACTTCAGCCAGACAAGTACTCTGACACTACCAGTAGGAGGGTCAATTATTTGAGCCTCTCTAAAAAGCCATCTCTCAATAGCTACCAAAAGCCTTTAAAATGCCTAGATCCTTTGATCCACTGGAAATGTATTCTAAGGAAATTGGCAAAACATGTTCAAAGAGCAAAGCATACTAATGCTCCCTGTCACATTGTTTAATGTAGAAAGAGATGGGAACTGATTCAGCAATAAGGGAAGAATCATGTAAATTATGGTAAATCCATAGGCAAAGTATTGTAAAGCCTTTAAAAGTTATGCTTACTGAGAAACACAAAATAAGATATGAATAAAATGAAATAAAAACTGTATTCTTGGGTAGGAAGTCTCAGTAGTGTAAAGATGGTAATTCTCTCCATCTTAGTCTATAAATTCAACATAATCCCAATCAAAATCTCAAAAACAGTTTTGTTTGTTTTGTTGGGAAAGTACAAATTTAACAAAATGATTCCACGGTCATCTGGGAAAATAGGCCATGTGAAAATAGCCAAGAAATGTGTTTTAAAAAGAAGATTAACAAGTATAGTCTAGACCTCACTGTTATAAAATATGTTAAAACTATAATAATTTAAACAATAAGGAACAAATGTAGGACTAGAAAGAGTAGAAGGTTCAAAGGAAGCCAAGTCATATATAAGAATTTAGTATATGATAAAGGTAGCACTTCAGATCACAAGAGAAAATATAGATTATTCAACAAATGGTGTAAGATAACTAGCTAAATGTTTGGGGAAAAGTTTATGCCAGTACCCTATATTACATTTTTGTTTAATTTAAACATGAAAATAACATGCTCTTATAACATGAAAATAATAACATTTTTTAAACCGGTAAAGGAAAGACAGGGGAATGGTCTAAATTATCTTGGAATAAATTAGACTCTTCTTAACATGAAATAAAATAATTGAGAAAAAAACTAACAAGCTTGAATACATAAACATTTTTAACTGCTGTAAAAACACCATAACAGTCAGAGAAAGACAAAAAAAAATTGTGGAACTACTTCTATCACATACAACAAATAATTTTCTTAATATCTAAAGACATAAAATGTATCAATTAGAAACTTATAAATAACATGATACAAAAATATACAAAGTATGTGAACTGCAGTTTATAGAATAAAAAATACGAGTGGCTAAATGTGTGAATAAATGCACAGACTCACTTATAATGAATGACATGTAAATTTAAAAACAGTGAGATTATTGTTTGTTTGGTTTTATGTGTGTGGTTTTTCATTTTTTGTCCCCATTATTGATAAGAGTATGGGAAACCAGAAAGACTATGCATAGCTGATGAGAATGTAAATGCATAAACATTTTTGGAGAGCAACTTGTCCATATCTTTTAATACTTTACATGTGAACCCTCCCTTTAGCCCAGAATTTCCATTTCGGGCATTCATCCTACATAAACACTTGTACACTAAAACATATGTGCAAAGATGCGCACAGAAATATATGCACAGAGATGCCTGATGCAGCATTGTTTATAAGAGGAAAAAAAAAAGGCCTGGGCATGTGGTTTATGCCTATAATCTCAACACATTGTGGGGCCAAGGAAGTATTGCTTAAGGCCAGGAGCTTGAAACCAGCCTGGGCAGAATAGTGAAGCCCTGTCTCTACAAATATATATAGATATATAGATTTTTTTTTTAATTAGCCAGGCATGAGCCTATAGTCCCAGCTGCTCAGGAGGCTGAGGCGGAAGGATCACTTGAGCCCAGGAAGTTGAGACTGCAGTGAGCTGTGAGTACACCATTGCTCTCCAGCCTGGGCAATAAAGTGAGAACCTGTCTCAAAAAATATATATAAAAAAGGGAAATCACTTAAATAGCTATCAATAGAAGTTTGGTTAAAGATGAGATTTTCCTAGAATGGAATACCTAGCAGTAGTTTAAAAGAATAAGGTGGATTTGTATGTAGTAACATAAAAGATGTCCAAGATATAATACGTGCAAAAATGTCGCAAAACTGTATGAATAATATGAACCCACGTTTTCTGTGCCTGTACATGCAAAACTAATGTCTGAATAGAAATATAAGAAATTGCTAAAAAGGAGTTACATCAACTGAGTGAAAAAAAGGAGAGAAGAGGAGAGAGGATATTTACTTTTCATATCTTCAACTTTTTTTTTTTTTACAATGGCATGCGTTACTGTTGAAATCACAAACTAATAAAAAATAGTTGAAGTTTTAAAATTAAAATTCAAGTATTTTAATATTTGCCAAGACTCTTTTAAAGATCCAGAGAAGTACTTATAATGTAGCATAAAAGGAAAATCCAGATCATGTAATTATAAAGTATGCTCTAAATTATTTTAAAATTTATATGTAAATATGTACATGTAATAAAATGCTGGCAGGAAACTTACCAAAATGTTCATGGTAATTAATTCTAGTACTAATGTTTTAACATCTTTTTTTATTTACTCATTTATATTTTTTCAAGTTTTCCAAAATTAATATATAATCAGAAAAATAATTTACTGAGCAATTCAGAATTTGCTTAGCAAATTATTATATGTCCTACACTAGACTAGGAATCAAGGGCAGAGAAAATGTGGGACATAACTGCTTTCCTCAAGCAATTTACAGTTTCACAGATGAATCTGTACCTATGGCTAAAACATTTGTACATATAGAATCCGTACATGTTGCGATCAACAGAGAACAACAATGAGCCAAGTGATAAGCTGAATCTTATCAAAGGTCAAAATGTATGAAAGAGACAGTGTGATTAATGGGACAACAGAAAGGGAAAAAGAAACACATGTCCCAATTATTAGCACCTCCGTAACCAGACAACCAGGGAAACAGCCTTGGGAAATAACATTAGAACTGTCTTCCAATGACAGAGTCAGAACTATACACAAGCTTGATTCTGGGCATTAAGAGGCTCACTTCCTCAAAACAATGCCTTTGCCACACACTGATATCTAAAATTTTACTTTAAAGATTTATCTCCTTTTTTCATACTCTCTATCACTCTTAAAAAGCAAATGGATCTCGAAGTGCCAACACTTGACACTGGATAGGACCCCTCCAGGCTTCTGGTGCCCATGACAGACATCACTAGTCAATCTCCGCACTTCCTTGTGAAAGAATCTCAGAATCTTTCTCAGCACAACACTGCAAGCAGCTACAACCCACTGAGCAAAGCTAGGATCTGAGTAGAACACTATTTGCCATCCCTTATTAAAGTGATTGTAATAATAAACTCACATTTGAATAGGAGCTGAGAATTTACAAAGCTCTGTCACATCCATTATCTCATTTGAGCTGGTGTTGTTTTCTTTATGCCAAAATTGAGGATTTAAGAGTATCTGCAAATTGTTCAATGGCCGCTCTTAAGAGGTAGGCCCCAGATTCTAATGGGAAACACAATCTTTGTTCCAAGTCCACTTCTCTTCCTTCTCTTCCTCTTAAACATCAGTCTAAAAGAGTTGAGCCTATGCTATTCTGAGAGCCAGTTTGGGGAGGGGAGAGCATGAGGATCTTAGGAAGCACTGGGTCTCGGGAAAGAGCATCCCTGAAAAATGCAGGACACCAGAACCCAGAGACTATGGGCACAGGACATCATAATTTTGCAAAAAGCTAGTTCTTTCCCCTGAAGAGAGCAGTAAATATATTCAGGTTCCCACCTACAACTGTTATCTCACTGGAGTTCAACCAAGAACCCCATTAAGTTCAAGAACAATTCCAACCATATGAAAATCTGACAGGTACTAAGATGCACAGATAAGTTTCCGTGCCTTGGGCTCTGCGGCCTCATTCTTGCCAGTTTCCCTACAGCCTGCTGTCTGTTCTCTAGGTTGGGGAAGACCAGAGCCAGCCTGATGGTCCTCCCAAGGTCTCCCCCAAGTTCCAAACACCCAGTGGAAAATGCACAATCTACCAAGTCATTTTCTCCTTTGGTGCTTCAAACGTGACTCTCAGATTCCCCTGGGCAGCTCCATGATCATCTGAAGCTCCTCTCATCCAGCTCCATTTGGAGGCACATGAAGGTTAACTTCCATAAGCAAGAGGTCTGCCTTGCACAGACCTTGTGTGCACACGCGTTTGTGTGTGTGTGTGTGTGTGTGTGTGTGTGTGTGTGTCCAGGGACACCCATGAACTCACCCTCCAATCCAATCCAATATTAAAAGTGCAACAGTCCTAAAAGGGTTTTTTAAACACCAGAATTAGATAGCGTGTTGAATTTGAGGTTAACATATGGATTTTTGACTTTAAAAGGCTAGATTTTCACAACAAACACACGTTGCTATAGAGACGGCATAAGCCTATGTAAACTTCAGGCATTCATATTCATAGAAACTCCTGAAGCAAGACCAAATGTTGGCCCCAACATTCCTGCTCTTGCCAACTTCCAAAGAGTGCACAAATTATGCCAAAAATAAATGGGTGTGACTAATATAAGCTTAGAACATTTTTCAAAAATTTACCTTAAGGGCAACATTTGTTGATCTAGGAGCTGGGTGTGTAAAGCCTACTTCCCCCTTCCATAAATCCATCTGTTTTATTTACACTTCCTAAAAGACCTGCATGCACATTTTTTCCATAAATTGTACAACTGCTAGTAATCACGTATCATCTCAATCTGCGCCCCAGTTCTATTTTAACACTATGTCTCTTCCTTTTTGTTTGTGTTCCATTAAGCACATACTAGAGGCAAAGCAGTCAAGACTTAACCCTTCCATTCCCAAATACACACTCCAGGGCTGCCGAATTGGCCACAAGCTTTTACATAGGCGACAATTCCCAGGTCTACAAGCCTGGGGTAAATCCTATTACAAAAGCTCAGAGATGTCAAATTGGTTTCTGCTACTGACCTTCTTTCTCGCGACCCCTGCCCCAACCCTCCAGGCCCCAATCCCAAATCCCTCATTTCTCCCACACCAAGGTCAACCTGTATGACGACTGAGCTCTGCCCTGAATTTGCTCTATCCTGTGGTGGATACTTGCTGCTAATTACTGTAGTCACACTTCTTAATTCAACAAGCGCCAGGCGGCTGCCCGCCATCTCCCCAGTGGGATGGGTCGCTAGCTATCTCACGCAGGTCACTAAGTCGGCATTTATTTCCTGATAGGAGATGGCGTTACAAGGTAGCTGTTCCAACATGAATGGTAATCAACAATAATTAAAAGTGATACACCTATTCTGACTCATATGATAGTGTTAAAAAAAAAAATCCAAAAAGGGTGGTGGAAGGAAGGGGGAGAAAGAAAGAGAAAATAAACTACTTAGCCAAAGCCAATAGGTTTTTCATTTCAACTTAGAATTTCTGGAAAATGCTTGCTTCTGTTTCCTTTTAATTCATGCAGAAGGAGTACTTCCACACTGCAACCACAGTGAAAAGCAGTGAATTGGGCTTTTCCATAAGGGAAAGAAAAGCCAAATGAATCCCTTTACCTTGGCACTGGGGAGAACAGCAGAGCAGGGGTCAGGCCACACTCAAAATCTCCCTGTCCTTGGAGGCCATCGTGACTATCTCATGGGTGATGCCAACTTCCAATCTTAGAAACTGAAAAGATCAACTGCAACCAACTCTCGAGCATCCAGAAGTGGTTTAGCCTGAGCTGCATAAATGACTGTGGCCCACTCAGATTCTCAGCCCCCATCTTAGTCCTCCTCTGGAGAACACAGGCAGCCCAGGCCCATGCTATTACTCACCAGGCCCTACTGGGTAAATGGGCACTCCAGTCATCCCATGGGCCTCTATGCAGGGATCCTGTGCACACAGGGCAGCTTTACTTCAGCTGTGATTAGGATTATCTACGATCTACACTCTCATGCCATCCCCCCACCTTCTGCCACCCCCATCTTAAAATGGGTCCCCCAGAATCAGATCTGGAGACTACAATTCACTTGTCAGTTATATATCAATAAAGTGCTCCCAGGAGAAAACGGAAAGGGGATGAGGGGAACAGAACAGAAATGGGGAAAAAGCCAAGCACAGGTGAGATTCCGGCCCAGCCTCTGCCAGATTCCAAAGCATAAATGGGCCCACATTGAAGCAAGGCCACTGACCTTTGTCACTCCCATATTCGGTTCTCCGCTACTGGCCGCCTCAGAGCGAATGTAAACCCCCAGGCACTTCTGGCTCTCTGTACCTTTCCCCAAGCAGCTCCAGGGGCCCATGGGCATCCTCCAAAGAAGGCCACTGGGGCCAGTGTGGAGGCAAAGGGAAGTGAGGCTGGATGATGGGCACTCAGAAGGAATCCCAGGAACACCGACCTGTCTATTGCACCCCCAGGGAAGAGAACACTGTAGTATTTTAACATTAATTTCATAAAACAATTCTTAATATTAAAATCTTAAAGAAGCAGGCATGAATGGGGGAGAGAAAAATAATCCCATCACCGATTGTACCTACTATGCAGGAAAACACCGAAATGTAAAGTCTGCTTATCGACTGTCACACCTGGACCAGGAAATAAGAATGTGAGACCTAGACACCTGTGTATTCCAGTGTTCTGTCCTGAAGCACCTATGGAACTTCAAAGTGCCACTTGATCACCTCCCCTCATGACCAGCATGCAAGCATGACTATCCAGCTCCCACAGCATGGCAGAATTTTAAGGGACTGCCTCCCATGCCCAAGATACCCTCCTGCCTTCTGACTCCTGTGTGGACTACATCTTGCCTACTTTGGCCAGCTCAGGGAAGACAGACAAATGGAGGGTAGGAATTGCACAAGAGCCCACATGCCCCCCATGAATGCCTCAGAACAAGAGCCTGCTCTGATTGATTGATCTATAGTGGCTCTGATGGAAAGAGTCGTCAGACTGAGGAGAGTGTGATGATCTAGTTTTGATGCCTAATGCAGGAGAAGGAAGTAAAGGCACATCCCTGTGGTATAGACGAGGCTAGAACCTCATCTACTCCTGAGGGTGCATCCTCCCTTCCAAAGTCTGCCCTCCTCATTTCATATAAATTATACTCACACACAAAAAAAAACAAATGGGGGACATGTACAGTGGCTCACGTCTGTAATCCCAGCACTTTGGGAGGCCAAAGTCAGGCCGATCACTTGAGGGCAGGAGTTCAAGACCAGCCTGGCCAACATGGTGAAACCCCGTCTCTACTACAAATACAAGAATTAGCCAGGCATGGTGGCATGCACCTATAATCCCAGCTACTCAGGAGGCTGAGGCAGGAGAATCACTTGAACCCAGGAGGCGGAGGTTGCAGTGATCCAAGATCGTGCCACTGCACTCCAGCCTGGGCAACAGAGCAAAACTCCATCTCAAAAAAAAAAAAGAAAAAGAAAGAAAGAAAGAAAAGAAAAAAAGTAATGGGTTTTAAAATGCTTACAAAGGGCCGGGCATGGTGGTACGCACCAGTAGTCCCAGCTACTTAGGAAGCTGAGTGAGTCAGGAGGATCACTTGAGCCCAGGAGGTCGAGGTTGCAGTAAATTCTGATTGCACCATTGCACTTCAGCCTGGGCAACAGAGCCAGACTCTGTCTAGAAAAAAAGAGAAAAAGAAAGAAAGAAAATGTTTACAAAGTTTAGAATTTAAAAGTATATCAAAGGACTAGGCTGTACTGTTTGTCGTAAAGAAGTTAATAACCTCAAGAAGAACATAAGACATACAGACAGAGAGCAAGTCTTAAGACATACATCATAAACTGGCAAGATAAATAAATTCCCAAGTGCCAACATATATGTAATTTCAGGTAATCAGGTGCCTGCTCCTGTGATGAGCATAAACGGGGTTCTGGGCGCTCATGCAGTGAAGAGATGACTGTTCTAGAAACAAAGAAGGAGGTGGGATTTGAACAGTCCCTGGAGTTTGAGTTGGATTTAGACAGGAGAGCGAGAGAGGAAGGAACAACAGGAGAGAAGCCATATTCTGGGAATGTTTGGTGAAGCTCTTGAAGATTCCAGAGTACAGAAAATCGTTTCTCCTATACCCCACACAGAAACAAAGCCCTGTTTCCTGGCCACATCCCGTGGGCTGCTTTCAGAGAGGCCCTTCACACTCAGGGCTGCTCTCAGGGAACAGAAGGGCTCGATTTGCCAGCCGTTGGTGAGGGCAGAGGATGGAATTTCAACTCCCCAGCTCACGGGTCTTCCTGTGCCGCCCAATCCAGTCGCGGGAACCCGGGCCAATCCGTGGCCTCTAGTTAATACTTGAGCGCATTCAAGCCTCCCCCAAGAAAAAAATGAAAATAGCCAGCAAGGAGGGAAAGGCAGCCAGGGACGTCCCCCTTCCACTTCAGAAGAGCAGTAGAAACCGTCACCTCCCTATAGGACAACAAATCACCCCCATAAACACCCACCAGCCACCTCTCGCCCCTTCGTGATTTATTTTCCAGCAATTGGCCCGCATTTAGCAAAATTTGAACGGCAGTGAGAATAATAATCAGACCCAGGACCTGACCACCTCAAACTCTCCCTCCTGCCTTCCTACCCACTCTCACCACCCCCAGGACTGGCTGACAATGCTGTGAGCCCCACGCGGAAGCAGGCCTAGGAAGAGAGGGTGCAAACTTGGATTTCAGCCTCCCATCTCCTCCCAGCTCCCAGACTTCCCCCAGCGTGCACCCCTCTCCTCTTCCTGCAAAAGCAAGCCCTTCTCCCCTCACTCAGCCAAGCCAAATACGCACAGAACCAATTCAGTTTCCAGAAGTTAAAGATCAGCTCCAAGCCGAGACTTGTTCTAAAATAATGGAAGGGGGATGGGAGGGTAGAGAGGAGATGTGGGAACAGAGAGAAAAATTAAGGCTATTGGCTTTCTGTCATTTGGCAGTGAACCTGCCAAAACAAAGTTTGCAGCTTTTAGAGGCTTTACAGTAGGATGGGAGGTGGGGGGTCAGAGGGAACCTTTATCCATTCTGATTTTAAGAATAACTCTTCATCCTGTTCACTCACGGTATACCCTGGAGGGGGATGTGTTTTGTTTTGTTTGTTTTGTTTTGTTTTGTTTTGTTTTGTTTTGTTTTAAAGCAAGAAACCCATAAATGCCACCTCTTTCCAAATTGCCCTCAGTCTCCTTAGAGATGGGACTCTTTTCAAGAGGGGCACCTCCCCGACGGCTGTGGATTAACAACAATAACAACTCGCGCTTGCGAGGAGCTTTTAACTTTTCAAAGTCCTCCTCCATCCATCATCCCGCTTTATCCCCGTGACAGCCTGGTGATGCAGGTGGGGCAGGGATTCCAGGGCCAGCCTTCAATGTAAGCAGAGCAGATTATGTACCCAGCAGACCCAGGGGCCCAGGAAGGGACCGACTGCCCCAGAGAACCTCTCCCAACAAACTGCACCTGAAAATCCTCTTAACAAAAAACTACCCTTCCACTTCACACGACAGATGAGGCTCAAGAAACAAATACCCTCTGGAAAGAGAACCCATCAACCAGTGTGTAATGTGGGGCAAAGCCGGCAGGAAGGCTTTTCAGACGGCAGTGTTTAGTAGGGAAGGGAAATGGTCCACCACCAGGGAAGACACGGGGAATGGAGGAAACCTGGCTTGGCTCGCAGAGTTGCCTGAGGTCACCCCCAGGAATTGCTAACCCTATTTTAAAGGTAGGAAGACACAAAGAGGTCAAGTCACCCCCGTGTTTACTCATTCCTTGATTCAAACACTTTTTTAGTAGCTGCTATTGTGCCAGCCTAGCCCTGGTGTGTAAGATGAAGACATAGAGCCTGCCTGCGAGAAGCCTGCAATGGAGTGCAAGAAGCAGTGTGAGCATCAGGATGGCATCAGATCCTCCTCTCCCCTCCACCCTCCTCATCCCCTTCCCTCTCCCCTCACTTTGGGCAACAGACCATTGCCTTCTAAGCAGGCCTGCCTACATAGTCCAGGATGAAAAATGCAATTGATTTCAGAATGTGTACTGTAGACACATAGCAGAGACTTTTTTGAGAGATAAATTTTGGAATTCTAAAATCTCAGTTTTTATATCAAAAGGCAACTTCTGGAAGCCTCAGAGCATAGTGTCATAATTGGTAGAACAGGGAAAAATTTTCAGCAGTGATGGTTTCCCTTACCATAGGAGGGAACCCACCCCACCAGCTCTTTTTTTTTTTTTTTTTTTTTGACAGAATTTCGCTCTTGTGGCCCAGGCTGGAGTGCAGTGGCGCCATCTCTGCTCACCACAACCTCTGTCTCCCAGATTCAAGTGATTCTCCTGCCTCAGCCTCCCGAGTAGCTGGGATTACAGGCATGCACCACCACACCCGACTAATTTTGTATTTTGAGTAGAGACAGAGTTTCTCCATGTTGGTCAGGCTGGTCTCAAACTCCCAACCTCAGGTGATCCACCCACCTCAGCCTCCCAAAAGTGCTGGGATCACAGGTGTGAGCCACCATGCCTGGCCCCACCTCACCAGCTCTTATCCCACCAGCTGTGAACCTTGGTGAGTCCTTAGTGATCTGATCACATAAGGACACTGAGCCCTAGGGGTGTAGGAGGATTGAAGCCCTGATGCAATGCTTATCATTTTAGTCACCTATCACTCAGTCACAGTTCTGGTGGTTTAGCTATTTCTCTCCTCAAATGCACGGAAAACTGTGATTTGGTTCTCTACAAATGACACTTTCTGTTTTTGTGTTTGTTTTTCAAAATACCTTGGCATAACTCATACAATGAGATTAGAATTTGTTGGTGAACTATTTTTCAGCTCAGTAACCTATTTTTTTAATTGTGGTAAAAATAAAACCACATAACATAAAGTGTACCATCTTAACCATTTTTAAGTGTACAGTTCAGTAGTACTAAATATATTCACATTGCTGTGAGATACATCTCCAGAACTTTCTCATCTTGCAGAACTGAAACTCTATAACTATAAATAACTCTCTTTTGCCCCTTCCCCCAGCTCTTGGCAACCACCCTTCTACTTCCTATTATCTACGATTTGACTAATTTAGATATCTCATGTGAGTAGAATTATACAATGTTTTTCCTTTTGTGTCTGGCTTGTTTCACAGAGCATAATGTCTTCAAGGTTCATCCACGCTGCACCAAGTGTCAGAATTCCTCTCCCTTTTAAGGCTGAATAATATTCCATTGTATGTAAATGCCACATTTTGTTTATCCATTCATCCACTGATGAATATGTAGGTTGCTTCTACCTCTTGGCTCTTGCAAATAACCCTGCTATGAACATGAGTGTGCAAATACCTTTTCAAGACCCTGCTTTTAATTCTTTTGGATATAGGCCCAGAAGTGAGATTCTGGATCATAAGGTAGTCCTAGTTTCAATTTTTTTGAGGAACAATGATACTGTTTCCCATAGCAGTGGCACCATTCTACATCCTCCAACAATTCCCAGGGTTCCAACTTCTCCACATCCCTTTCAACACTTACTGTCTGTTATTGTTGTTGTTTATAGTAGCCACTGTAATGGTTGGGTAATGCCTCAGTTGTGGTCTTGATTTGCATTTCTCTGGTAGTTAGTGATGTTGAGCATCTTTTCATATGCTTTTTGGCCATTTGTAACTCAGCAACCATTTTTAAAAGTGTTGATTTTTGAAGCTCTGAAATTGAGTTTTCCTGTTTTGGGGCAGGCCCCAACTGCCACTTTTCACAGAGGAGGTCCCAGTGAAAAAGAGGCAGTTTCTGTTTTTGACTTTAACATATGACTAAAGTAAGGTTTCTCAGCCTCATCACAATTGACATTTTGGTTGAGGAATGCCCCGTGCATTGTAGGGAGTTTACCAGCATCCCTGGCCTCTAGATGCCAGTAGCATTCCGGCTCCCCTGGTGACAGCCAAAAATATCTCCAGACATTACCAAATGTCTCCGGGGGAACAAAACTGCCCCTGGTTGAGAGCCACTGGATTAGAGTTTTCAAACTAGCATGTTTGAGTTGGCCAACGTGACAATTTTAAATTTTTGAGACAACATTAAAAATTTTGTAGATATCACCTAAAAATTCAGATTTCCAGCTTCTCTTGAGGAAGCAGAGGATACAGGCTATCTTGGGCCTGCATTGCCCCATGGCAATATTTGGCTGGGCTGAGTAGCTACTGCCCCACCCAAGTTTGAGGTGGTTCCCTCAATGTAGCCCATAAAATAAAACCATTGTGAATGCCAGATACATCTGCCTCTAGTTTATCCAGTGAAATAATTCTGATTTGTCTGAGTTTTCCTACTAGTATGCATGATAATGTAAAATCCCAGACCACTGGACCAAAACTACTAGAATTATTTGATATTCCAAAGTTTACTCTCTGTCTTTGTCTGTCTGTCCCTCTCTCTCTCTCTCTCTCTCTCTCTCTCTCTCTCACACACACACACACACACACACACAGAGAGAGAGAGAGAGAGAGAGAGACAGCAAGGTTCACAGAACACTGGACTAGAAGCTGGGAGAGCAAGGTTCTAATCCTGAGTCTGTGTCCTTGATTAATTCAATTTAACAAGTATTCATTGAATGCCTACTACATGAAAGATTTCAAGTTGAGGTCCAGAACTCATATGGACCCTGGCTTCCTTAACTAATGCTCGTATTGAACAGGTGAGTTTCAAGAGCTGATTGAGCTCTAACCACCTACAATCCATACATAAACATAATATAGTAAAACCCTGCTGCTCTGGAAAAATTGAGGCTGGGAATAGAGAAAGAGAGAGTTTGGACTAGTGGCCAGAAGAGACTATAAAATCCTTTTAAATAAATGCAGTTATATATTTTTCACACTCATGTAGTTATGCACACTGGGCTGTGACAGACACGGTTGGCATGACATACATGGGGGTATACCACCCTGATCCCCCAGCAGGGCAGGACCTTCTGCCCAGCTATGGGGAATGTAGCCTTCCAAATCTGCCTCAGCTGCAGAGAGCTGCCTCTCCCAGCAGCCCACATCTGATGAGTCATCTCCTAGGTATAAAGTCCTGGTCATTTCGACCCAATGCAGGATACAAGCAGGCAATACTTGCCCCGGAACCCTCCAAAGCCAAGAAATGGCCCAGACTTTTTCAGGCCTACCTTGCAGTTCAACTCCTTCCACTACCCAACCCCGCTTTCTCTCCCTTCCCTTCAAAGGAATTGAACCCTAATAACATTTTGCACCCCAAACTTGGCATCAGCATCTGCCTGTGGAGTACACACACTTCAGCAGTTGGCTATTATTGGATAGGCATGCACGTATGTACATGTGTGTGAGATTTTGGTCAGGGATCCACCTCTTGCCCACTTGACCCAGGAGTTGATTCATCTATAGCTCTAAGTAGTCAGTGTGAGCCCATTCACCTCCCTACTGACTGATTTAGGAAGCGATTGTGATCCAGTGCTGGCCAATGAGATGTGACAGAAGGTCAATGAAGGGGTTTCTGAGAAATCTTTCCATAATAATAAAAAGCAACACACAGGGAGAATTTTCTTCTGCTGGACAAGGTCATATCTATTTTGATGTCAGAAATCTGGCTGCTATCTTGGCACAAGGAGAAAGCACAAAGCTCATTGAGAAGGGCAAAATGGAAAGAATGGGAGACACTTGTATATCTTGGGATGTTGATTTTGGAACCAACCTGCAACTTACCCTATGCAAGATAACAAATTATCCAGAATGGCCTAAACCATTCTGACCTGTGCTTTCTGTAACTTGCATTCAAAGGCATCCTACCCAATGTACAGGCAAATCAAGCACAGCTTAGTAGAGATTCTTGTGGAGTCTTTTTTAATGACTATATTAAAAATCATAAATACCATGCCAATCTTTTGTATGTGAGGTAATTAAAAGTTTGTCATCACTGAGCAATTCTTGCCTTTGAAATCCCATTTTGCTTGTAGAATGTTAGAAGAATTTGCCAAGGAGAAACAAATCTTATCCCAATTCTCACTAATTGTTGATTGTCAAAGTATTTCAAGTCCAAGGTAGCAGCCTCATAGTTAAGGTTTCCTCCTGCAATCCACTCAATACGGCTGACCCAGCCTGCGTGTACAAGTTATGCCCTGCACGTCTGGTAGAACCTTGTGGTAGCATCTAACTCTTCCAGACTTCCAGGGGACCATTTCTAGGTATAAACCCAGAACTCATTGAATGATTTCCTAACAGCTACATTTCCAAAGGAAAACACAACAAAACTTGTTCATGACAGCCATTAAACTTCTTGTGGGCTAATAGAAAGCAAAATTCTAAATGGAAAGAAATGCAAATTTCGACACACAGAGCACATGTGTAGGTCAGAGGGGCAATTCACTTGTGATCTGGCTGGGCCAGCAGGGCTCCACTCCCCAGCTGGACCTAGGCAATCTGTCTTCTGTCTCCATCAGGTTGTGGCTTCCAGAACTTGGGCTCAGAGACGGTTCCCTATGCCAATTCCCCTTGGCAGGAAAGACACCTTCTGGCAACACCGTTGCTATTCCCAGTCCTTCACCCCTGCCAACCTCCTCATGTTTTATCTATTTTTATTTGAATTGGTGATCAAGGGATTAACCCAGTTTATACAAATTCCATCTTCCAAAAAGCCATTATGGTGCAGTTGCAATTGTGATATTTCACTCTCCAAATGAATCAAATTGGATTTTAATGACAGTAGACTCCATTAAGCAACACCTGATTGGGTTATTTCCTGGAAATTTCATCTTCATTGTTTTCTCCATCACTGCTACCAAAAAAAAAACACATAGCAGGAGAGCTATCAGGGGCTGCCGCCAAGCTACATTGGATCATCCTTGAAATCATGGTCATGTTTCCTTCTAACAAGTCGAATGTTTCAGTTTTACTCATTCATTCCATAGGACACCCTCAACCCAGTGTCAATTTCTACTAAAAAAAAGCGGGGGTAAGGTAAATTGTTTTTTGTAGGGGACTTGGTAGTTGTAGGGGACTATAATTCCTCACAAGAAACTCTCATGTGGGGTATATAATTTGTATGTAAATTTTTTTTTTCTTTTGAGACGGAGTTTCACTCTTGTTTTCCAGGCTGGAGTGCAACGGCACAATCTCGGCTCACCGCAACCTCCGCCTCCCGGGTTCAAGCGATTCTGCTGCCTCAGCCTCCTGAGTAGCTGGGATTACAGGCATGTGCCACCACGCCCGGCTAATTTTGTATTTTTAGTACAGATAGGGTTTCTCCATATTGGTCAGGCTGGTCTCGAACTCCCAACCTCAGGTGATCCGCATGCCTCAGCCTCCCAAAGTTCTGGGATTACAGGCATGAGCCACCGCACCCGGCCATTTGTATGTAATTTTCTATATTTATTGAAATGCATTTTAAGTAATATGAAAGCATTTTTCTCCTTACAATGGAAAAACCAACTTGATTTTACATTTATTTATATAACCTGACTTAATTCTATGTAAGTCAAGTGAAAAAGGAAACAACTGCTCTGTGGAATCAACCTGAAGATGTCTAATTTTTCCTCTGATGCCACCAGACTTAAAGCAGTTCACGATCCTCTCTACAAAGAAGTATATTTAGGTTCTCCCTCTCCCTCTCCCTCTCCCTCTCCCCACGGTCTCCCTCTGATGCCGAGCCGAAGCTGGACTGTACTGCTGCCATCTCGGCTCACTGCAGCCTCCCTGCCTGATTCTCCTGCCTCAGCCTGCCCAGTGCCTGCGATTGCAGGTGCGCGCCGCCACGCCTGACTGGTTTTCGTATTTTTTTGGTGGAGACGGGGTTTCGCTGTGTTGGCCAGGCTGGTCTCCAGCTCCTAACCGCGAGTGATCCGCCAGCCTTGGCCTCCCGAGGTGCCAGGATGGCAGACGGAGTCGCGTTCACTCAGTGCTCAATGGTGCCCAGGCTGGAGTGCAGTGGCATGATCTCGGCTCGCTACAACCTCCACCTCCCAGCTGCCTGCCTTGGCCCCCCAAAGTGCCGAGATTGCAGCCTCTGCCTGGCCACCACCCCGTCTGGGAAGTGAGGAGCGTCTCTGCCTGGCCGCCCATCGTCTGGGATGTGAGGAGCCTCTCTGACTGGCTGCCCAGTCTGGAAAGTGAGGAGCGTCTCTGCCCGGCCGCCATCCCATCTAGGAAGTGAGGAGCGTCTCTGCCAGGCCGCCCATCGTCTGAGATGTGGGGAGCGCCTCTGCCCTGCCGCCCCGTCTGGGATGTGAGGAGCGTCTCTGCCCGGCTGACCCGTCTGAGAAGTGAGGAGACCCTCTGCCTGGCAACCGCCCCGTCTGAGAAGTGAGGAGCGTCTCCGCCCAGCAGCCACCCTGTCCGGGAGGGAGGTGGGGGGGTCAGCCCCCCGCCCGGCCAGCCGCCCGTCCGGGAGGAAGGTGGGGGGGTCAGCCCCCCGCCTGGCCAGCCGCCCCGTCCGGGAGGGAGGTGGGGGGTCAGCCCCCCGCCCGGACAGCCGCCCCGTCCGGGAGGGAGGTGGGGGGGTCAGCCCCCCACCTGGCCAGCCGCCCCGTCCGGGAGGGAGGTGGGGGGGTCAGCCCCCCGCCCGGCCAGCCGCCCCGTCCGGGAGGGAGGTGGGGGGGCAGCCCCCCGCCCGGCCAGCCACCCCATCCGGGAGGTGAGGGGTGCCTCTGCCCGGCCGCCCCTACTGGGAAGTGAGGAGCCCCTCTGCCCGGCCAGCCGCCCCGTCCGGGAAGGAGGTGGGGGGGTCAGCCCCCCGCCCGGCCAGCCGCCCCGTCCGGGAGGGAGGTGGGGGGGTCAGCCCTCCACCTGGCCAGCCGCCCCGTCCGGGAGGGAGGTGGGGGGGTCAGCGCCCCGCCCGGCCAGCCGCCCCGTCCGGGAGGGAGGTGGGGGGTCAGCCCCCCGCCCGGCCAGCCACCCCATCCGGGAGGTGAGGGGTGCCTCTGCCCGGCCGCCCCTACTGGGAAGTGAGGAGCCCCTCTGCCCGGCCAGCCGCCCCGTCTGGGAGGTGTACTCAACAGCTCATTGAGAACGGGCCATGATGACAATGGCGGTTTTGTGGAATAGAAAGGGGGGAAAGGTGGGGAAAAGATTGAGAAATCGGATGGTTGCCGTGTCTGTGTAGAAAGAGGTAGACATGGGAGACTTTTCATTTTGTTCTGTACTAAGAAAAATTCTTCTGCCTTGGGATCCTGTTGATCTGTGACCTTACCCCCAACCCTGTGCTCTCTGAAACATGTGCTGTGTCCACTCAGGGTTGAATGGATTAAGGGTGGTGCAAGATGTCCTTTGTTAAACAGATGCTTGAAGGCAGCATGCTCGTTAAGAGTCATCACCACTCCCTAATCTCAAGTACCCAGGGACACAAACACTCTGCCTAGGAAAACCAGAGACCTTTGTTCACTTGTTTATCTGCTGACCTTCCCTCCACTATTGTCCTGTGACCCTGCCAAATCCCCCTCTGCGAGAAACACCCAAGAATGATCAATTTAAAAAAAAAAAAAAAAAAAAAAAGAAGTATATTTAGGATTTACCAGAGTGCAATAATACAAGTCCCTGAGGGCAAGGTCATGTTTGTCTTGCCCTCACTGTATTTCTAGGGCTGCGCAATGCCTGCCGTGGAATCAGTGATCAATACATCCTTGCTGAAAGAATGAATAGATGAAGGCCTGGGAATAACTGAGACGTGTCCACGCTATGGAAAAACTACCCTAATGTTGTCTCCAACCAGTCTGCTTTCTATTTCACCTTCGTAAACAGTGCCCATCATCAGAAGAGGAGAAAATGGTAAAAACCATCCTGCATAGATGATTTTATGTGCATAAGATTATCAGAATAGGAGAGGTGAGAAAAGCATTTTTAAAGATAGCAACTTTGTCTTTCACCCCTCTCTCAAATCTAAATACTCTGATTTTGTTTCTTCTCCAAATAAAATCTTTATAAAATGAAATTCAACAAATTACCACTTTTGATTATCCAGAACTTTTTATTCTTTCCTAAGAACTAGTCAAACCACAACTGAACCAGGAGATAGCAAAGATTTATATGACCCCTATCACCCACCAAAAGCAACATTTGGGCTTCATTCCTGGGTAGCAGATTTGAACTAATCTAATGCCAATTTGTGCTTATAAGGAAAAGTATTTACTGAGTATCTATAGTGTGTAATATCCTTCAAGTGATATAGAAGGCAAGAAATACAGGATAAAGACTTAGACTATTCAAGGAGCTTACAATTTAGCTGGGGAGCTAAGACACATGTGGAAATAACCATAAAACACCACAGTGATTGATTCAACAAAGCAAAGCATAAACACAGACAAGTTAACGGGCAGAAAATAAGTGTTACACTTTAGAAGATTGCATAATAAATCTCCCTCTTACTAAAGAGAGCAAACCAAAATGCAAAATATTTTAAGGAGAATTCTAAATAATAAATTACATATTTTAATGGGCAGTTACAAAATTATGTTATTTATCAAAAATGCTACATTAAGAATATTGGCCATGAAAAGATAGATTCCCAAATTTACAGGAAAGGAATTTTTGACCCCATGCTATTAGCTTTTTAAGAAGGTAATTTGCTTTTTTATATCAAGTAGCTCTTCATGGATTACTTCTATAACTTAAGTAATTTTTTTTAATATTTAGGGACAAAGCCTAATTTAGTTTTCTGATCTCCTCCTGAAGCCTATTTGGTATACTTTCTCAACAGTCTTCATGTTAATAGGGCATATTAAACTGAATTTGGACAAATGTTAAGAATGGAATATTTGAATTGAATAAGAATGGAATATAATAATAACCTTCTTATGCTTTGATAAGTGCCCATTCACGTACCGTAAGGCAAAGCACAACGAGTTGGAAAATAAATGAATTCTGACACATCAAAAGCATTTTCTTTCCTCTGATATTTTATCTGTTTGTGGATTTTGAAATACTGTAGAATATTATCATGAATTCCAAGTATAATTATGTGTTTCTAGAAAAGAGACATCATTATTTGATAGCATAAATGGCTTTGGTATGATATCTGATGTCATTTCCCCCACTCTGTTCTCGTAAGTCATCCTAATTGAACACTTGGAGGAAACTCAGGCCCTGTCCACATAGGCAAAATCAGAAATGGCATTAAAGCTATGATAGAACATCCTACTAAAGAATTACTTCTACATGATAATTAAATCAAAAACCAGACTTAAAGGTGGGGGACAAGCACTAATCTCATACTCTTTTCTCATAAAGAAAATGACATCACCCCAAAACACAAGGGTTTTGTCTTTCATAAGATGCAGAACAAAAGAAGGATCATGCTCACATCCTAATCTTCTTGATTTCACTCCAGATGGAAAATAGAGGCAGGAAACTCTGAGTATGACATCATATCAGGATAATACCAATTCACTCCTTCAACTAGAAGATTAATACACTCACACTGGGCAAAATATGGCATGTATCATTATCCCTGGGCACTGATTTTTGTTTAAACAACTATTCTACTTGGTTACTTACTAAATAGAGTTTGTAGAATTTTCTACATCTATTTACATCCATGCTGGCCTCCATGGCAGTGGGGAGCATACAAACGGCTAGAAAACAGGTGCCTCAGAAAGTTGTCATTTGCCTAGGCCTGTGACCAGTGAGCTAAAGGCTCAGGAATAATAAAAAGTGAAATTCTTCCATACCTGCTTCCTCCTTCCTGAACAGAAATGCCTCCTTCCTTAGGGAGAGTACCCAATGGCAGAGCTACCAGTAAAGGCCAAAGAGGGAGTTGAAATGTTTCCTCTCGGAGTTTGTGACGGTGCCACACTTAGTTCTCTGTCACAATTCATGAGGACTCCTGGACTGAAGGAGACTGCTAATGGAGATCCAGTTGCTTATGGATGCAAACAATCACTCCACAGTAGAATATATTCAGAGTACCTCCATCCACCTGGATTCTAAAGCATCCACATCCTTTTTGCAATTAAAACTCCACACTCTCTGGAAAGATTAGGATCCACACACAAAGAGAGGTAGGCAAGGCAGACCAAAATGGTATTCTACAAGCAATGACAGTGCCAAAATATGACATAAAACACTATGTGATGCATTCCACAAAACTAGATATCAGAAGGTCATACTCTGGCCACTCTTGCCTACCCACCTCAAGAACTAGAAGGGTTTCAGAAAAGATCTCTAGTACCCTCTGAGTCCCTTTAGACCTAGATGATTTGGGAGTTTACTGTTAAGAGACGTAGCCATTGAGATCAAGGCACTGCATGCACGGGTGCGCGTGCATATATACACATGTATAGTGGCTGCCTTAGACAGCCCAACAGGAAAAGAATCTGAGGACCTATGCACAGCTTTGAGTCACAGAGTCTGTGGAAGAAACACAGCAGAGAATTTTGTATAGCACAAAATTTACTGCCCAGGCCCAAGAGGAGTCAAACAAAGAGCTTTCTCAAAAAGGGAAGCTATGAAGAGAGGAGAAGAGGGGATGACACTGGAAGAGCCCAACCGTCTAAGGTAAATTAAAATAGCCATAACTTCAAAAGAGGAGCCCCTTTCTACTTGGATTAAAGAGAAGAAAGCAGAGGGAATGGATCATTAGATCAAAGAAGCATGGTGACTTCTAGTGCCAGCCAAGATGGAGTAAACTGCATCATAGCCTATCCTTCCCACTAATTACAATTCAAAATTCTCATGGAGCACAAAAAGCAACTACCTGAGGACTCTGAAAGGTAAACAATGGCAGACAGCTCAAAGAGGAAAGTCAAAACTTGTAGAGTTTTTGGTACAACAATGAGTTTCCTTCTTTATCTTCCTGCATTAACCCAAAGGGGACCAAATTATGGAACTGTGAAGCAGGCATAAACAGCAAAACTCCAAGAGAAATCCCCATTTTCTGACCAGATGACTGGGATACTCTCTGGGCCTGAGAGTATGGGGGAAATAACCATTTATTTATTTGTTTGTTTATTTATTTATTTATTTTTCTCTCCAGCCCTGACCTAAGGCCAGTCCCAGTTTTTGAGCTGCACTGCCACCACTACACAGACATCTAAAACCCCAAGAGAAAAGCCTGTCTCTCTGGCCACAGGAAAAGGGGGTCCCTGTGCTCCAAAAAGTGTGGAGGGAATCCCTGTTATTTGTTCTCTCTCTTTTCTCTCACTACTTTGAACTTGAGGGCAGCCCCAGTTGTGCAGAATTATGTGAGAGAATGGGGGGAATGGGTTAACACTGAGAGAAATCCATCTTTCTGGCCAGAAAAATAGGGAAGAGAAGGCTCTGGAAAGCTGAAGAGTCTGGGGACAATCATAGAGAACAGAGAGTTGGAGGAAGGGATCCCCTAATTCTATGTCTGCACCAATACCAGTCTGAGGTGCACATATGTGAAACAGACTCAAAGAAGTATGTCAAAGACTTTGAGAGCCAGCCAAGCACCAGACTAATCCCTAAGTGGCACATGTTCAGAGAAGACCCAACAGCATAACAAATCTGTGGAAAACTGAACTGATATTGGATTCACTGCCCACAGAATGTGGGCCAGAACTCCCAGTCTGAACCTAATGGGGTTGGTTATCTGCCCAAAAGCAAAGAAAAGTAATCAATATTCTCCAGAGGATTTCAACAGGACTCACAGTCATGAAACATAATACTCAAAATATCCAGGATACAATCCAAAATTGCTCAACATGATAAAAACAGGAAAATCTGATCAAATCTCAAGGAAAAAGACAATCAACAGATGCCATTCCCAAGATGACTCAGGTGTTGGAACTACAACATAATGACTTTAAAACAGCTACTATAACCATGCTACATAATCATACCATAAAAGTAAATACTATTGGAATGAATAAAAAGACATTCTTAGCAGAGAAATATAAACTTTTTTAAAAAGAACCAAGTGGAAATTTTTGATCTGAAAAATACAATACAGAAAGTTTAAAAATTCACTGAACCTTCCCCTTCAAAAAACAAAAATAAAAAATAAATTCAATAAATAAATAAATAAATAATTCACTGAATGAGCTCAATAGAGAATGGAAATGACATAGAAAAGAGTCAGTTGGCCAGGTCAGTTGGCCTGTAATCCCAACACTTTGGGAAGCTAAAGCAGGAGGATCTCTTGAGGACAGGAGTTCAAGACCAGCCTGGCCAACATGGCAAAAGCCCGTCTCTACTAAAATTATAAAAATTAGCTGGACATGGTGGTGTGCCCCTGTAGTCCCAGCTACTGGGCTGGCTGAGGCATGAGAATTGCTTGAACCTGGGAGGCAGAGGTTGCAGTGAGCCAAGATGGTGCCGCTGCACTTCAGCCTGGGCAAGAGAGCATGACTCTGTGTCAAAAAAACAAAAACAAAAAAAAAAAAAAAAAAACAGAAAAGAGTCAGTAAACTTTTAGATAAATCAATGGAAATTATCCAGTCTAAAGAATAGAGAGGGCCAGGCACGGTAGCTCACGCCCGTAATCCCAACGTTTTGGGAGGGCTGAGGCAGGCGGAGCACCTGAGGTCGGGAGTTTGAGACCAGCCTGACCAACATGGAGAAACCCCGTCTCTACTAAAAATACAAAATTAGTTGGGCATGGTGGTGCATGCCTGTGATCCCAGCTACTTAGGAGGCTGAGGCAATAGAATTGCTTGAACCTGGGAGGCGGAGGTTGCAGTGAGCCAAGATCGCGCCATTGTACTCCAGCCTGGGCAACAAGAGAAAAACTCCATCTCAAAAAGAAAAAAAAAAAGAAAACAAGATTGAAAAAAAAGAACAAAGTCTCAGGAACCTACAAGACAATATAAAGAAGCTTAATATTCACTACATTTGGGTCCCAGAAGAGGAGAAAAAGATTAATACAGAAAAAAACTGAATAAATAATGGCTGAAATTTTTCCAAATTTGGTAAAAGACATAAATTACAAATTTATGCTCGGATGAATCCCAAACAGGATTAACTCAAATAAAAACACCCAACACATCCTGATCAAAGTGCTGGAAAAAATAAAAATAAAAATAAAGAAAATGTCTTGAAAGCAGCCAGAGAAAAATAACAGATTATATCTAGGGAACAAACATCTGCAGATTTCTCCCCAAAAGAAGTGGAACTTCTTTAAAGTACTGAAAGAAAAGAACTGTCAACAGATAATTCTATAGTCAGCAATAATATCCTTCAAGAATGGAAGAAAATAAAGACATTTTTGGATTAAGGAAAACTAATATAATTCATTGCCAGCAGACTTGCTCTGAAAGAAATGCTAGAGAAACACAAAAAGCTGAAGAAAAGTGATACCAGATGATATTGCTTTGCAAGTACCTGAGACTTTGTTCTTTTTTGTCAATCTTGTTTTCTCTCCATTCTTCAGACTGGATCATTTCCACGGATTTATCTAAAAGTATACTGACTCCTTTCTATGTCATCTCCATTCTCTATTGAGTTCATGTAGTGAATATTTTAACTCCATATATTGTATTTTTCAGATCAAAAATTTCCAGTTGGTTCTTTTTAATAAAAATTTATGTTATTATTGACTACACAAATAAAAGCAATAAAATAATAAATGTCTGGGTAAACATAATGGACTACTTTTTCCTCTTAAATTCATTGAAATATTTATAACTATTTACAAAAATTAGAACAGTGTTTAGTAGGGTTTTCAATATGCACAGATACAATACCTATGGCAACTGTAATGTTAAGGTGGTGAGGGTAAAAGGAACAAATAGCTAAGATAAACAGAAAAAGAAAAGGCTAAACACTTAGTCAATCACATAAAATATAAATGGTTTAAATATGCCAATTCGGAGATAAAGATTTTCAGATTAGATTTTTTTAAAAAAAGCAGCATATGCTATCTACAAAATAATATTTAAATATAACTATATAGATGGGTTAAGGATAAAATTATGAAAAATATATGCCATGCAATGCAACTATTAATTTTAAAAAGTTGAGGCCGGATGTAGTGCCTCTTTCCTATAATTCCAGCTTTGGGAGGCCAAAACATGGGGATTGCTTGAGGCCAAAAGGTTGAGAACAGGCTGGGAAACATAGTGAGACCCTATCTTTACATAAAAAAAAAAAAAAAATTAGCCAGGCATAGTGGCATATGCCAGTAGTTCCAGATACTCAGGAGGTTACTGAGGTGGAAGGATTGCTTGAGCTCAGGAGTTCAAGGTTACAGTGAGCTATGATTATGATACTGCACTCCAGCCTGAGTGACAGAGTAAGACCCTGTATGAACAAACAAACAAATATATAAATAAATAAACAGCTGGAGTGGCTACACTAGTATCAGAAAAATTCAACTTCAAAACAGGAAATTCACAGAGATAAAGAGACATGGTATAATGATAATAGGGCCAATTCACTGAGAAGACATAACAATTCTAAATGTGTATATACCTAATAACAGTCTGAAAATACATGAAACAAAACCTGATAGAAAAGCAAATATATACCAAAGAAGATAACTGGATACCAAATAAGCACATGAAAACGTGCTCAACATCAGTCAATAGGAAAATGCAAATATCAAAACCACAGTGAGGAATTACACACCTATTAGAATGCTCCTCCAACCAAAATATGAGAGTGCCAAGTACTGGGAAGGATATGGAGCAACTGGAACTCTCATACATTGCTGGCAGGAATGCAAAATGGCACAGCCACTTTGGAAGAGAGTTTGGCATTTCCTTATAAAATCAAATATATACTTACTATATGACTCAACAGTCCCATTCATAGGTGTGTATCCTAGAAAAATGAAGGCTTGTGGTGACACAAAAATCTTTACATGAATGTTCATAGAAGCTTATAATAACTGAAAACTATAAACAACCCAAATATCCTTTAGCTGGTATATTCAACAAATTGTGATACATGCACATGATGGAATACTACTCAACAATAAAAAAGAACAGACTATTGATGAATCTGAAATCCATTCACCTAAGCTAAAGAAGCCAGACTGAGCCAGGTGCAGTGGCTCACGCCTATGATCCCAGCACTTTGGGAGGCTGAGGCGGGTGGATCACCTGAGGTCAGGAGTTCGAGACCAGCCTGACCAACAAGGTGAAACTCCATCTCTGCTAAAAATATAAAAATTAGCCAGGCGTGGTGGCAGGGGCCTATAGTCCCAGCTACTCAGGAGGCTGAGACAGGAGAATAGCTTGTATCTGGGAGGCAGAGGTTGCAGGGAGTTGAGATCGCGCCACTGCACTCCAGCCTAGGTGACAGAGCAAGACTCCTTCTCAAAAAAAAAAAAAAAAGCCAGACCCAAAAGGCAATATACTGTATGATGCCATTTAGATTTCAACATCCTGGAAAAGGCAAAAATCATAGTGTCAAAGAACAGATCAGAGGTTGCGTTGGGTAAAGAATGGGAGAGGAATTGACTTCAAAGGGACAGCATGAGGTTTCGGGGGTGATAGAACCATCACCAGCATTCCCATTGTTAGCTATGACCCTGAACCTCAGCTCCTGGCCCATGTCATGATTATGATCAGGGTTATATGACTCTATGCATTTGTCAAAAACTCACTGAATTGAATACCAAAGGAATTAACTCTTACTATATGGAAATTTTAGAATAAATTTTGTTTTTTTTTTTTTTAAAAAAAAGCAGTGTGGTCAGAGTCTATCAGGATCTAAAGCAGTGGTTTTAAAGTCTGAAATCACCTGGGAACCTCAGACAAATTAAATAAGAATCTCTGAGGGGGCCAGGCACAGTGGCTCACACCTGTAATCCCAGCACTTTGGGAGGCCGAATCAGGTGGAGCCCAGGAGTTTGAAACCAGCCTGGGCAACATGGCAAAACCCCATCTCTACCAAAACTACAAAAATTAGCCAGTTTCGTAACCCAGTCTCTAATAAATAAATAGAAATTTTAAAAAAGAATCTCTGAGGGTAGGACTCAGGCATCAGTAGTTTAAAAAAAAACACAGGCTATTAAAATACACAATAAATATGGAGAAACACAGCCAAAGTGTGGGCTTGGCACCACAGCATGGGCATCACATGAAAACATGTTAGAGATGCAGATTCTTAGACCCCAGCCCAGCCCTGTTGTATCTAAAACTCTGGGGATGGGCCCCTGGGATCTGTGTTTTAACAAGCCTTCTGGGTGGTTCTGACTCTTACTTAAGTTTGAGATCTACACCTATGTTGCCTTCAATGTTATGAAAATCCACCACTTGGGTGACCCTGGCTACTGGCCTCTTCCTTCCCACTGGGGTCCTTGGTCTGCCATCTAATAGGCCAGCCCTGTCTCAGTACCCTAGTCTAAGCTTAATCTTGGACATGAGAAACTGAAGAGGCCAACGTAGTGGACACTCACCAGCATTCCTGTTATAGCTATGACCTTGAACCTCAGCTCCTGGCCCATGTCTTGTTCACTCTTTCTGAACCTCTATTGGTAATGTAAATTCTCTCTAGGATTAAAACCTTGCCTTGTTTTTCCAGCCCAAAGACTAGAATTCCATTTCTAAACCCAGCCCAGCAGCCGGAAGTCATGAAGCAGTCAACCTGCCTGGACATCCAGCTACGCTCTGCTGCGCCATTCTATCCACCCATCAAGACTCCCCTCCCTTCTACTGTATGTCACCATAAGTTTTCGTGCCTGTTCTGCATGCTCAATTGAACTTCCCTCTATCAGGTCACTCAAGCCATTCTCCTGTTCCCACTCTAACCTGCTTTGGAATCTATGGCTGCCTAATGACACTTACAAACAAGTACATTCAAGGTCAAACATCCTCAGGTCAAATTCGTGGCAAGAGGGATGATCTTTTAAACCTACATTTTTGGGCCGGGTGAGGTGGATCACACCTGTAATCCCAGCACTTTGGGAGACTGAGGGGGCAGATCACCTGAGATCAGGAGTTTGAGACCAGCCTGGCCCACATGGCAAAATCCCATCTCTACTAAAAATGTTTAAAAAAAAAAAATAGCCAGGCTTGGTGGCACACACCTGTAGTCCCAACTACTCAAGAGGCTGAGACCGGAGAATCGCTTGAACCTGGAAGGCAGAGGTTGCAGTGGACCGAGATCGCACCACTGCACTCCAGCCTGGGCAACAGAGCAAGACTCCATCTCAGGGAGGGAAAAAAAAACTTACATTCCCTCCACCTCTCCCTCTCTTTGTTTTAATGAAGCATCAGTAACTTCAGCTGTTATGATAAATTGAAATAGCTGCAAATCAGCAAAACTCATGTTTGATGGGTTATCTTCTATCAAAGAGTGAGAGATGCCTTGCCCTGATCATTCCTATTGCTAACATAAATTCCATTGAGTTCTTAGGCCTAAGAGGAAAGAAAGTAAAGAGAAGAAGAATGGACTGCACAATGAAGCTATCAGATCAGCCCACGTTGGGATGGGGTCAATAGATGCAAAATGAACACCATTCTTCAAAGTAATCATCTAACAGCATGGTAAACATCTACTGACCCCTTAGCAATAACAACTGATTTAACACATTCCGATGGTTCTATTTGGCAGGGAGGAATGGGAGACATTTATCTCTTCGGGATGGATAATTGCACTTGGCTGTTCTTTCCTTTCCATTCTCATTGTCACTAACCTGATCCAGAACCTTAGCACTACCCACCTAAGGAATGTTGCAGCAGCCCAGGATGACTGCTGGCTATGTGCTTTCCCATTCTAATGCACCCTACTCTATCCTAGGATAACCCTCCTAAAAGCCAACTGGGATTGAATTACTCCTCTGCCAAGAACCCTCTGCTGCACCTTATCCAAGGCCCACCATAAAATGATGCCAGCCCACCTCACCCAAAACCTCTTCCAGAAAGTCCCAGCTCCACCCTGGTTCTCTCCTCCACAGATGTCAGACCTGTATGTGGTCTGATGGCTCTCTCAGCCTCCTTCATTCTCTCCCCATTTCTGCCACATTTTCCCCAATAAATCTTGTGTGTGTCTAATTCCATTTTGGTGTCTGCATCTCAGATGATCTGAACTAACACAAATGGAGAGTGAAAAACAAAAAAAAAAGTCTGGCCACATTTATAAATTCATCCCAGGCTGCAAAGAGTTAGACAGCACTTCCCCAAAGAAAACTGTCACGTAAAACATTCAAAGATTCTCAGTTTAGCCATCATCTAGCCAGTTCTTCCCACTGATCACATTTTCCCAATTTATAGATAGGAATACTGAGCCTCAAGAGGTTAAGTAAATCGCCTGAAGATTATACAGCTAGTAAATGATGAAATCAGGGCTCTTGACTCAAAGTCCCAGTGTCATCCAACTACACTTGAGTGGGCTTGAAACGAATCCTAAGAGTTTTGTAAATGGTATATCATTATCTAACATAAGGTACTATGAACCACTGCCATCATCATCCTCATTTCTCTCTGAGGATCTTTGCAGTAAAGTGAAGGTAGTAGTAGATCTGTCATACTGAATGTTGAAGTCAGAATAATGGCTCCCCAAAGATGCCCAAACCCTAACCCCAAACCCTGTGATTATATAACCTTACATAGCAAAATGGACTTTGCAGATGTGATTAAGTTTAGGATTCTGAGATAGAGAGATGACCCTGGATTATTCCAGGGTCCCAGTGTAGTCACAAGTGTCCTTATGAGAGGAAAGCAGGAGCACCAGAGTCAAAAGAGATACAAGGCTAGAGGGTGAGAGGGAGCCCTGAAGATGCCACTCTGCTGCTTTGAAGATAGAAGGGGCTACAAGCCAAGGAACACAGGCAGCCTCTAAAAGCTGGAAAAGTTGCTGGGCGTGGTGGCTCATGCCTGTAATCCCAGCACTTTGGGAGGCCAAGGCGGGTGGATCACGAGGTCAGGAGATGGAGACCATCCTGGCTAACAAGGTGAAACCCCGTCTCTACTAAAAATACAAAAATTAGCCAGGCATGGTGGCAGGCACCTGTAGTCCCAGCTACTCGGGAGGCTGAGGCAGAAGAATGGCGTGAACCCAGGAGGCGGAGCTTGCAGTGAGCTGAGATCGTGCCACTACACTCCAGCCTGGGTGACAGAGTGAGACTCCGTCCCTTACAAAAAAAAAAAAAGCTGGAAAAGTCTAGGAAGCAGATTCTTCCATAGAGCCTCTGGAAAAAATGCAGCCCCACTGACACCTTAATTTTAGGATTTTTAACCTCCAGAATTGTAAGAGAATAAACCTGTGGCTGGGGCAGTGGCTCATGTCTGAAGTCCCAGCACTTTAGATGGCCAAGGGAGGAGGATCCCTTGAGGCCAGGAGTTTGACACTAGCCTGGGCAACATGGCCAGACTCCATCCTACAAAAAAAATTTTTGTAATTAGCTTGACATAGTTGTTCACACCTGTAGTACTGTCTACTTAGGAGGCTGCGATGGGAGGATCCCTTGAGCCCAGGAGTTTGAGGCTGTAGTAAGCTATGACTGCACCACTGTACTTCAGCCTGTGTGACAGAACAAGACCTTGTCTCTAAAAAAAAATAAATTAAAACTTTAATAAATTTGTGTTGCTTTAAGCCACTATGTTTATGGTCATTTGTTACAGCAGCAGCAGGAACCTAATACACTGAATACTCTAGACACATACCTCTCACTCACCCAAAAGACACATGCACTCACACGCACACACACACACACACACACATATGCAGATCGCTGGAGACTGTCCATCTCAGCTCCCCAAACCCTAAGTCTTACTTTAGCCTCTACATGGACATCAAGCCTCACAGTTCTTGCAAGTGTCCACCCCACCCGCTCCTCTCAGAGCTGCCTCAGATCCCCTTAAAGACTCTCTCCCAGTCTTCAGTTTTTGTGGCTCTCATTCACTTACCAGTGGAGCTATTCTTTTTATTAAGCAATTAACAGAAAAAGTCCAGATTTCCCTAAGCCAAGCCTGGGAGTGACTATGCAAGAGAGGGGTCTTTTATGTGAGATGTAAAATACATTATATCAAGACCTGGAAAAAGCACAACTCCCTTAAAAATAAATATACAAATAAACGGGGACTTCCTCCAAGGAAGCTTGCAGGAAGCTTAATATAAAAGTAGACCACCCACAGTAACTTTCTGAGCCAGTTATTTGGAGAACCCCCAAAAGAAAAAAAGGATTCCTTCCGGGTGCGGTGGCTCACGCCTGTAATCCCAGCACTTTGGGAGGCCGAGGCGGGTGGATCACAAGGTCAGGAGATCGAGACCATCCTGGCTAACACGGTGAAACCCCATCTCTACTAAAAATACAAAAAATTAGCCAGGCATGGTGGCGGGCGTCTGTAGTCCCAGCTACTTAATAGGCTGAGGCAGGAGAATGGCGTGAACCCGGGAGGCAGAGCTTTTAGTGAGCTGAGATGGTGCCACTGCACTCCAGCCTAGGCAACAGAGCAAGACTCCGTCTCAAAATAAATAAATAAATAAATAAATAAATAAATAAATAAATAAATAAAGATAAAAAGGATTCCTGGCCTCTTGGAATCCATCCCCTGCCTTTGGGAAGCTTCAGGGTTCAAGTACACCAGGACTATGTCTGATGGCTTCTCTTGGACTTAATGAGGAGGACAGAGGCACTGATACAGGATATTCTGGATTTAGTAAATATCCCTGAAACCTGTAGACATAACAGAAACTAAAGGATAGCCCACAAAATCCCAAGGACATTTCAAAAAGCCTGGCTTGAAGGCCCCAGTGACAATGCAGTAACTAATTTGGAGGGTCACTGGAGTTAACAGTGACAGATCTGTGAAAACACAATCTCAACGAAGTGTCGACTGCCCTCTTTCCACTGCCTGGTGCCCATTAATCTCTGTGTGGTTAGTGCTGATAATTGTTAGGAAAAGGAGAAAATAGATTGATGATAGCCCTTGCAACTCCCAGCCTGGGATCTGACCACGGAATTCACCCCTGAGCAGCAATCATGGAATCTACTGTTTTACGCAGTTGAACAAATGAACTTATAGACTGTCTGAGCACAGGATCTTTAGTTAATACCTCATTGGAGAATTAACATTTAAACTTCTTATCACATCCTAAGTGGATTATCAATTTAAATCAGAGATATGGAGAATTACGCAAGTAGTGTTTGTATGTTCAGTGCTAGCTTAAAAATTTCAAGGATTCTTTTACACAGCCAAAGGAAAATAAAAATGATTCTGAAACAGAAATTATTTGGGCCAGGCAACCTGGCTCACGCCTGTAATCCCAACACTTTGGGAGGCCAAGGCGGGCAGATCACCTGAGGTCAGGAGTTCGAGACCAGCCTGGCCAACATGGTGAAAACTCATCTCTACTAAAAATACAAAAAAAAAAAAAAAAAATTAGCTGGGCGTGGTAGCATGCACCTGTAATCCCAGCTACTCAGGAGGCTGAGACAGGAGAATCGCTTGAACCTGGGAGGCAGAGGTTGCAGTGAGCTGAGATCATGCCACTGCACTCCTGGGTGACAGAGTGAGACTGTGTCTCACACACACACACACAAAAATCATTCAGTGAGCAAAGGTACAGAGTATTTAGAAAAAGCATATTGCCCCACACTTAGACTTTCGCAGAGATCTGATAGTCTCTTTAAAAAAATGAAAGACCCTGGCCAGGCGCAGTGGCTCACGACTGTAATCCCAGCACTTTAGGAGGCCAAGGAGAGCGGATCACAAGGTCGGCAGATTGAGACCATCCTGGCTAACACGGTGAAACCCCATCTCTACTAAAAATACAAAAAATTAGCCAGGCGTGGTGGCGGGTGCCTGTAGTCCCAGCTACTAGGGAGGCTGAGGCAGGAGAATGGCATGAACCCAGGAGGCAGAGCTTGCCATGAGCCGAGATCGTACCACTGTACTCCAGTCTGAGCAACAGAGCGAGACTCTGTCTCAAAAAAAAAATGAAAGACCCTGCAGACAAAATATCAAAGATAAGAACCATGAACAATAAAATTAATAGGAATGATCATTAAAATTTTTTTAATTTTGTAGGTCAAAGATATTGAATAATATTAAAATATAAACCACAAATGAGATAAATAACTGCAACATATTTGACAAAAATAGGTTGATGTCCCAACAAAGACCTCTTTACTCAATAGGAAAAAGGCACACCACTAAAAATGTAAGCAAATAAGACAAAAGAAGGAAAATATATGATAAATATATGAATATAAAGTAATATCCAACCTTATTTAACCAAAAGGTACACATTAAAACAATAAGTTTTTCCCACCAAGTAAGACTTTTTAAATGAGTAGAAATTTGGCCAGGCACGGTGGCTCACGTCTGTAATCCCAACACTTTGGGAGGCCGAGGTGGGCGGATCATTTGAGGTCAGGAGTTCGAGACCAGCCTGGCCAACATAGCAAAACCCCGTCTCTACTAAAAATACAAAAATTAGCCAGGCATGGTGGCGCACACCTGTAATCCCAGCTACTGGGGAGGCTGAGACATGGGAAATGTTTAAACCCAGAGGCAGAGATTGCAGTGAGCCAAGATCATGCCACGCTCATGCGTGGGCGACAGAGCCAGACTATGTCTCAAAAAAATGAAATAAAATAAAATGAGCAGAAATTCCCTTTAGTTGCAATCTCTGCTTTCTGTAAAAAAAAAAAAAAAAAAAAAAAAAAAGGGAGGAACTACAAAACCTGTTCTTTGTATTGTTTAAGGAGCCCTTCCATACTTGTTTGGTTTTTTTTTTTTTGAGATGTAGTCTTGCTCTGTTGCCCAGGTTGGAGTGCAGTGGCGCGATCTCAGCTCACTGCAAGCTCCACCTCCCGGATTCACGCCATTCTCCTGCCTCAGCCACCCGAGTAGCTGGGACTACAGGCGCCCACTACCACGCCCAGCTAATTTTTTGTATTTTTAGTAGAGACGGGGTTTCACTGTGTTAGCCAGGATGGTCTCGATCTCCTGACCTCGTGATCCGCCCACCTCAGCCTCCCAAAGTGCTCGGATTACAGGCTTGAGCCACCGCGCCCAGCCTACTTGTTTGGTTTTTATCCTGGGATGTTTTCATCATCCATTTTCTACCTAACTATGTAGGTCAGGCCTTCTCTAAATAGAAAGGGGTGGTTTTTCAGAAAAAAATAAACAAATAAAGTTAAATCAGATCAAGATAAATAAAATAAAAATAAAATGGGCAGAAACCTTCTCACACACCACCAGTAAAAATGTAATTTAGGCCGGGTGCAGTGGCTCACGCCTGTAATTCCAGCACTTTGGGAAGCTGAGACGGGTAGATCACCTGAGGTCAAGAGTTTGAGACCAGCCTGGGCAACATGGTGAAACCCTGTTTCTACTAAAAATACAAAAATTAGCCGGGCGTGGTGGCACACACCTATAATCCCAGCTACTCGGGCGGACGAGATGGGAGAATCGCTTGAACCCAGGAGGCGAAGGTTGCAGTGAGCTGAGATCATGCCACTGCACTCCAGCACTCCAGCCTGGGTGACAGAGCAAGACTCTGTCTCAAAACACACACACACACACACACACACACACACACACACACACACACACACATAATTTAACACAATGCTTCTGCCACAAAAAAAAATGGAAAATACATCTTGAAACCTTAAAATTCCTTTTTGCTGAAGATTTCAAAAGGAAAATAAAAAAAAAATTCCTTTGACTCACTAATCACTTCTAGAGCTGGGTGCAATAGCTTACACCTGTAGTTCTAGCTACTCAGGAAGCTGAGGCAGGAGGATCACTTGAGGCCAGGAGTTCAAGGCCACAGTGAACTATGATTATGCCACTGCAATGCAGTCTGGCCAACGGAGGGAAACCCTGTTTCTAAAATTTTAAAAATAATAAAAAATAAAAATCACTTCTAGCACTAGTCATCTCACTGCTATGTATATTCTAAGGAAATCATTGGGAATGTGGGCAAAGAGAAGAACAGCATTTATAATGGTGAAAAACTGGGAAGTTCCTACATATTCAAAACTAGAGATTATTTAACAAATTATGAGCCAGCCACGGTGGCTTACGCCTGTAATCCCAGCACTTTGGGAAGCCAAGATGGGAAGATCTCTTGAGGTCAGCAGTTGGAGACCAGCCTGGCCAACATGGTGAAACCCCGTCTCTACTAAAAACATCCTTTCTCATGGAAACGAGTGGTGAGGATGTTCCAAAAACTCTCCTGGTTTCTCTCCATCGCTTTTAACTCACTCCACATCGGGGAGGAGAAACGGCTTACCTGGTGGTAAATGTGGGAAGAATAAACAAGGCATCCCGGGCTCACTCCCCACTCCTTACTCCTGGGAGCGATCTGGCTGCTGTCCCTGCTGTTCTCTGCTGTTCCTCCGGGTGAGGATCACACCCAGTACGGTGCCATCTGTGCCTAACTGGCTACATCTGTCTCATTCTGGGGTTCGGTCTGCAGCCCTGTGTTGCTCCCACACTAAGTAAGACCTCCAGCTTTTCCTTCTTCGGTAATAAAGAAGGTGTCCTGGTCTCCATTTGTACGCTTGGCCAGATTTCCCTGCTTTGGACACAGATGGGGAAGTAGGATCTAACTTACTGTGTCTCCTCAGAAATCCAACATGCATCAGTCAGGGTTCTGGGTGAAAAGCAATACAACCTTACTTGGCAAACTGAGGCAAAGAAGAAATTATTAAAAGAAGTAGCAAGGGTGAGAAGGCTGTTTTTAGATTAGACAGACGAGAGAACCAGGCTTAGGGAAGGTCATAAAGCAGGATGTTCAACAAGGGAGAACCAGCAGAGAGCCTGGGTCAGTGGCCTCCTCTTCAACGCGCCTTCTAACTGTTCCTGCCATTCTTGCATGGATTGCTTAAAATAAAGTTTGAAAACAAGCTGTCCAAATGGCCAAAGGATAACCTACCCACCATCCCTCCCCCACTCCCTTCTTCCTACGAAACCCAGATTAATATGTATCCATTGCCCCTCCACTTATTATTTATGGAAAGTGGATCCCACCAGAGTGATAACTGACCTAAGCCCATTGGCCTATTCTGTTCCCCTCATGACAGCCATTGGCTCATGAATGAGCAGGCCATCTGGGCCGGGCCAATCAGATGATGACTTGAAATTCTGGGGGAAACGTCTCTCTATATCCGTCTCCCTGGACCTGGGCAGGTAAGCATGTGACTCTGTGGGGGTTGTTCGCCAATTTAAAATGCAACTGACACCACAGAAGGCTAAACAGAGAGACAGAAAGAGAGTCACTCAGTCAAACCAACAAGAAGCCAGAATGGAGGCTGGGCAAACCCAGATGATAAATGTGCACCAATCATTAAAAGGCGAAAGAGTGGACCCGATTCAGAAAGCTTGGGTGTGCATCCTGGATCTACCCTTTTTAACTGGGTCATCTGGGTAAACTTAGCCTTTCTGAACCACACTTTTCTAACGTCGAAAATGGGGATAATAACAGTATTCCTCCTAGGGTTACTGGAGTCTGAAATGAGAAAATCCATGTGAAGCACTTGGTACTGGGTCTAGCTTATAGTAACTGCTGGACATGTTGCTATTTTTGTATACCAAAATGTAACCTCTTGCACATCACTTTTTTCTTTGTTAAGGCAGGATCTCGCTCTGCTGCCCAGGCTGGAGTGCAGTGGCACAAAATGGCTCACTGCAGCCTCAAATTCCTAGCTCAAGCAATCCTCCAGCCTTAGCCTCCTAAGCAGCTGGGACTACAGGCATGCCCCACAATGCTTGGCTAAATTTGTTTAATTTTCTGTAGAGACAGAGTCTCCCTATGTTGCCCAGGTTAGGTTTGATCTCCTAGGCTCAAGCGATCCTTCCACTTCAGCCTCCCAAAATGCTGGGATTACAGGCATGAACCACTGTACCCAGCTGTTTGTTTTTGAGACAAGGTCTCGTTCTGTCACCTTGGCTGGAATGTACTGGTGGGATCACGGCTCACTGCAGCCTCGACCTCCCAGGCTCAAGCGATCCTCCTGCCTCAGCCTCCCACACAACTGGGATTACAAGTATGATCTACCATGCCCACTGTGCACCACCTCTGAATCTCACCTGTCTCTTAGTCCACTGAGACCAGTTCCTACAGCACCAAACTCAGGCCCACAGTGGTCTCCCCAGTCTGTTTTCTCTGTGACACACTCACTCAATGTTCATGCATGCATGACCCAAAAATGCAGATGAGGTGACCTCCCATAGGCAAATCTTTGAACGGAGGAATGAAAGTGAGTAAGTGCTGGCCGGGTGCCATGGCTCACACCTGTAATCCCAGCACTTTGGGAGGCCGAGGTAGGTGGATCACCTGAGGTCAGGAGTTCAAGACCAGCCTGACCAATATGGTGAAACCCTGTCTCTAATAAAAATACAAAAATTAGCTGGGTGTGGTGGCACGCACCTGTAGTCCCAGCTACTCTGGAGGCTGAGACAGGAGAATCGCTTGAACCTGGAAGCCGGAGGTTGCAGTGAACCCAGATTGCACCATTGCACTCCAGCCTGGGTGACAGAGTAAGACTCCATCTCAAAAAAAAGAAAGTGGATAAGTGCTTTCCCATCTCTTCTCCTCATGAAAGTTCCCAATATGTATTTCAAGTGGCACAGGGCTCTTGAGAGGTCAACGAGTTGCCTACAGCATTGGTCAAATGCCAAATCAAATATGCATCCTTCTTCTGAAACTCCCCTGCCCTACCTCAGTCCCCTGTCCCTCACCCCAGCTTCCTCTCGGGCTCTGCTTTCTGGTAAACCCAGGCGGCTGAGCTCAGATTATCTGAGGTGGCACATTTTAATGGTCGGTTCTTATTGCTCTTCCTTTCCCTTTTCTCTATTTTCTAATTATTCTTACAATAAACACATCTTAATCTCACAATTTTAAAACCTTTTTTTTCCCCCTCAAGCCTATAATCACATCTCCAAGGCTAGTTTACCTATGTTATAAAAGTAACATGGGCCGGGCGCGGTGGCTCACGCCTGTAATCCCAGCACTTTGGGAGGCCGAGGCGGGCGGATCACGAGGTCAGGAGATCGAGACCATCCTGGCTAACACGGTGAAACCCTGTCTCTACTAAAAATACAAAAAATTAGCCGGGCGAGGTGGCAGGCGCCTGTAGTCCCAGCTACTCGGGAGGCTGAGGCAGGAGAATGGCGTGAACCCCAGGGGGCGGAGCCTGCAGTGAGCCGAGATTGCGCCACTGCACTCCAGCCTGGGCGACAGCGAGACTCCGTCTCAAAAAAAAAAAAAAAAAAAAAAGTAACATGATATTAGGATTAGGGGAAAGTGCAGGCATGTGACATTAAACATTGCTAGCAAAACACATACCCAACACAGGTATGGGTAGTGGGGAGCAGGAAGTCGGAGAGAGGGAGACAGTTATTCTTCCTGATTGTTTCTGGATGTTCTACAGCCAGCTCTGAGGCTGCTTCTCAGAAGAGGAAAGAATCCTGTGGAGAAAGAAAAGGAGGCAGGGAGGCAGGGATGGAGGGGGAGAAGGAGGATGGGCATCCTGTCTTCCTTTGTTCTCCAGCCTGGTTCCCTGAGACAGTGGGGAGGAGGGCCCCTTCTGCTCCAGGCCTTTTGTTCAGCAGAGGTGCTAACTGGTTGGCAGGCCCAGGAAAAAGGCAGACTCAGAGGGGAGCGGAGAAGGCTGGAGGAGCCACAAACCAGGTGTGAAAACCCCTGCAGAGCTGGAGCGAGCCATTTGCCGGTGGCTCAGACCAGCAATTGGAAGAATGCACCGAGATACTCTGCGCGAAGGGGCAGGAGCACGCCTTGGGGTATCTCATAATTAAAAAGCAGGAGGCTCCGCTGCAGAGTGTGGAAAAGGCCACCTCGACTGTTTCCACCACTAGGGAGAATTTGAGCCCCTTCTGTTTAGGAGTCTCCTGCTGCCCTAGGACCACAGCTCTGGATCTAGTGTGACCCAGGGTCTGGGCATCCACCCCTCCTCCTGGGTCAGTGTGGCTGAGTGACAGAGAGAAGCTCACACCATGGTCAGGGCTGGGGCGGAGGTTCAAACAGCATGAGAGACTCAGTGGGGTGTCCTGGAATTGGATATCAAGGTCACCTCTGAAACAAGTAGGTGAAACCTTATAAATCAGCACAAAACAATGAGAGAAGCCACCTGAGCCCTGCCTCCTAAATCCAATCAAGTCTCCCAAGGTATAGCCTCCATGGGTGATTTATTTTATTTTGTTTGTTTGTTTGTTTATTTGAGACAAAGTCTCACTCTGTCATCCAGGCTGGAGTGCAGTGGCTTGATCTCGGCTCACTGCAACCCCTGCCTCCTGGGTTCAAGCAATTCTCGTGCCTCAGCCTCCCGAGTAGCTGGGATTACAGGAGCCTGCCAACACACCCAGCTAATTTTTGTATTTTTAGTAGAGACGAGGTTTCACCATGTTAGTCAGGCTGGTCTCAAACTCCTGACCTCATGTGATCCACCTGCCTCAGCCTCCCAAAGTGCTGGGATTACAGGTGTGAGCCACCGTACCCAGCCAATTTATTTTTTATTGATGTATTGATTTCAAGAACAGGGTCTTGCTATATTGCCCAGGCAGGTAGTGAACTACTGGGCTCAGGCTATCCTCCTGCCTCTGCCTCCCTAAGAGCTGGGATTTCAGGTGTGAGCCACCTTTCCCAGGGGGTAATTTTTTTTTAATTCTCACCAAATACCTTTTATTAATTATGGTTTTAAAAAACACAGGACATAAGATTTACCATCTTAGGCCAGGTGGGCATGGTGGCTCACACACTTTGGGAGACTGAGGCGTGTGGATCACTTGAGCTCAGGTGTTTGAGACCACCAGCATGGCCAACATGATGAAACCCCATCTCTACAAAAAATGCAAAAATTAGGTAGGTGTGGTGATGTGCCCGTAGTCCCAGTTACCCAGGAGGCTGAGCTGAGAGGATTGCTTGAGCCCAGGAGGCGGAGGTTGCAGGGAGCCATGATGATACCACTGCACTCCAGCCTGGCTGACAGAGTGAGACCTTGTCTCAAAAACACATACACACACCTGTAATCCCAGCACTTTGGGAGGCTGAGGAGGGTGGATCACGAGTTCAGGAGTTGAAGATCAGCCTGGCCAAGATAGTGAAACCCCGTCTCTACTAAAAATACAAAACATTAGCCAGGCATGATGGTGGGCGCCTGTAATCCCAGCTACTCAGGAAGCTGAGGCAGAGAATTGCTCGAACCCGGGAGGCAGAGGTTGCAGTGAGCCGAGATTGCACCACTGCACTCCAGCCTGGGTGACAGAGTGAAACTCCGTATCAAAAAAAAAAAAAAAAAAGATTTACCATCTTAAATTTTTTTTTTTTTTTTTTGAGATGGAGTCTCACTCTGTCGCCCAGGCTAGAGTGCAGTGGTGCAATTTCAGCTCACAGCAACCTCTGCCTCCCGGGTTCAAGTGGTTCTCCTACCCCAGCCTCCTGAGTAGCTAGGATTACAGGCGCGCACCACGCCCAGCTAATTTTTGTATTTTGTAGTAGAGACGGGGTTTCTCCATGTTGGCCAGGCTGGTCTCGAACTCCTGACCTCAAGCAATCTGCCTGTCTCGACCTCTGAAAGTGCTGGGATTACAGGCATGAGCCACCACACCTAGCCCATTTAACCACTTTTAAGTATGCAGTACATTAATGTTAATTATGTACATTGCTGCGCGGCAGATCTCTAGAACTTTTTTATCTCGCAAAACTGAAATTTTATACCCACTGAACAACATCTCTTCTTTTCCTCCTCCCTTCAGCCTCAGGCAACCACCACTCTACCTCTACTTTCTGTTTCTAAGAGTCTGACTGTTTTGGATACCTCATATAAGAGGACTTATGCAGCATTTGTCTTGCTGCAACTAGCTGGTTCCACTTAGCATAGTGTCCTCCACATTCATCCATCTCTACTAAAATTACAAAAATTAGCTGGGCATTGTGGCAGGCGCCTGTAATCCCAGCTACTCAGGAGGCTGAGGTAGGAGAATCGCTTGAACCTACATCCTTGTAGCCTATGACAGGATTTCCTTAAGGCTGAATAATATTCCATTGTATATATGATGGATGATCTTGCTACATCATTTTACTGCTGAAAGGTGAATGGACTTGTGAAAATACCACTGTGTTGGCCGGGCACGGTGGTTCACACCTGCAATCCCAGCACTCTGGGAGGCCGAGGTGGGTGGATCACCTGAGGTCAGGAATTTGAGACCAGCCTGGCCAACATGGTGAAACCCCATCTCTTCTAAAAATACAAAAATTAGCTGGGCATGGTGGTGGATGCCTGTAATGCCAGCTACTTGGGAGGCTGAGGCAGGAGAATCTCTTGAACCCGGAAGGCAGAGGTTGCCGTGAGCTGAGATCGCACCATCGCACTCCAAGAGCGAAACTCTGTCTAAAAAAAAAAAAAAGAAAGAAAGAAAAAGAAAATTCCACTGTGTTGATTCAGTTCCTGCCCACAGAGAAAGAGACATTGCCTCTGACCAACTCAAATATCCGAGTTATGAGTCATTCGTTTGTCATTGATTTATTTACATATCAGGATCTACCAGTCCCAGTGTCCTGAATGCACGAGAGAAGATAGACTGAGTCCCTGCCTTCCCAGGATCTCCAGCCCAGTGGGGGCCAAACACACACCAACGAGCCCCAAAATGCCCAGCAAATGCCATAGTGAGAAGAGCCAGGGTGTGGAGAGTTTACAAGGAGAAGGCAGCCCACTGGGCTTGTGAGAGAGGCTAGGGAGGGGCTCACCAGGCACTGAGAGAGGGGAGCAATGGCAGGTACAGAAATCCAGAAAAGCCAAGAGAACAAGCCTGTTGTGACGTAAAAGCAAGTACACAGTGCCTACAAAGCATCCTTGCCCAAAAAAGAACTTAGATCTAATCAAATCTCTAGGTCAGAGTCTCTCAACCTCAGCAATACAGACATTTTGGGCCAGATAATTCTATGTTGCAAAGGAAAGAGTGCTCTCTTATATACTATAGGGGATTTAGCAGCATCCTTGGTCTCTATCCATTGGGTGCCAGGAGCACCCATCCAGTTGTAGCAACCAAAAATGTCTCCAGATATTGCCAAATATCCCTTCAGGAGCTAAATTGCCCCCAGTGGGAACCACTGCTATACTTGGGAAGTTTAATGTAGTGATGGGTTCAGGAGTGGCTGGATCAGGGCTCTGGCTCTGCATTTCTTTCATCAATTGCCTTCTCTCCTGTGTCAGCATCATCTCAAATCTAGCTTTGTTCAAGATACCAAGTGGTTGCTACAGCTCCAGACCTCACAGCTATGTATACTGACCAGACAAAGAGTTTCTTCTCCCACAGTCACTGAGCAAAGGCCTGACTTCGTACTAATTGTGCTAACCTAAACCTGTCCCCTTTCCTATCTCAATCACTGTTGTCAGGGGAAAGCTCCTTACTTCCTGGCTTGAGTTCACATTAAGTGTCTATCCCTGAATTAGTTCATTTACTTCTAACTCATATTAGTCCAGGCGTGGTGGCTCACGCCTATAATCCCAACACTTTGGGAGGCTGAGGTGGGTGGATCACCTGAGGTCAGGAGCTCGAGACCAGCTTGGCCAACATGGTAAAACCCCGTCTCTACTAAAATTACAAAAATTAGCTGGGCATTGTGGCAGGTGCCTGTAATCCCAGCTACTCGAGAGGCTAAGGTAGGAGAATCGCTTGAACCCAGGAGGCGGATGTTGCAGTGAGCCGAGATTGCACCACTGCACTCCAGCCTGGACATCAGAGTGAGACTCCATCTAAAAAAAAAAAAAAAAAAAAAAGACAAAAAATTGAATGCCTACTCTTATAGCCACCTATGTAACCTTACAGTAAATTCTCTTTTCTGTTTAACCTGCTTTAAGGAGGGCTCTGTTATTTTCAACCATTCAACTATTCAACCATTCAACTATTAAGACAAACCACATCTAGAGCATTTGGAGAGGGAACCGTGATGATGAGAGGAGCCCTGAAAGCAGTCCTAATGCAATCAGTACATTGAATAAGCAAGACACCTGATTATAGTGACCAAAACAGCTCATTTGCTCTATCTCTCAACCCTTTCATTTTTACTTACAAAGATATCAGCCTGTTCCTCAGAGGAAAATGTCATCAGTTTTTTTGTTTTTTTGTTTTTTTTTGCCCACTTCTAGGTCAGAGACAATTCTTACGTCACTGTAAATCCCAAACACAGTCTTGACTTCAAAATAAGGATGTCCTGTCAATATAATATTTGGCACACACTTTTTTTGTTTTGTTTTGTTTTTGTTTTTTTTGAGACGAAGTCTCACTCTGTCGCCCAAGCTGGCTGCTCCATGTCTTTCCTGTGGAAACCACTTTTTGAAATTCCCCCAGCGGTCTCAAGCCTGGAGTTAGAATGAGCACTTCCCACTCCTCCCTGAAAAGGGAAGTTGGGGGCCCAAGAGCACAGCAACAACTCTCTCCAAAGAAACCTCTTCACCAAGGCTTGTTCTTTTTCTTTCTCTCATCTCTGTTTTTAAGGATGTCCAAAAGTCAGGGAGCAGTTCCCCAGAGATTTCCCTTGAGAGTCTGCAAGTGAGGAATTGTTTTCCACACACTTTGCCAGGAAAAGTCCCATTCTAACACCTCTCACATTAGTATATAAAAAGACTTACTGCGGGAAAAAGTGTGCATCACAAATGAGCAAAGTCATGGAGTATCCGCAAGTCATGTGGGGAAGATGGACTCTCAGGGTTAAGAAAAGAATAGAAAGTTCAATACTCACTATGCACCATACGCAGAAAATTTAATCCCAGTTATTTTAGGCCATAAAATATAAAAAAGAAGTAGTTTTAAAACTAGAAATGTTGTAAGTGTGTATTTCACTGGTTTTGTAATAATATAGAACTTTCTAAGCCTCAAGACAATGGGGAGAAAAGCACAGAAGAAAAGCTAATAGTTTAACATTTCTTTTTAACTAGAACACTTAGTAGACATTGAGAACCTGCTGCTATATTGAAACTCAGAAAATCCTCTCCTAGGATCAGAGGCATAAAGATGCCAAGAAGTCAACCAAAGTTGTATGACAGACCAAGAAACGTCTGTTTCAGACATTTGGAATCCTATAAGATTCCATAAGTTACTTTCAATTGAACCAAATATAACATGTCCTAAACTTCACAGTGAGACTGCTGTTTCACATGACAGCCATATTCCAGATTAATGCAACCTGACAGCATGCTCTATTTTTCTTTTTCTTTTTCTTTTTCTTTTCTGAGACAGAGTTTTTAGCTCTTGTTGCCCAGGCTGGAGTGCAATGGCACGATCTCGGCTCACTACAACCTCTGCCTCCCGGGTTCAAGCGATTGTCCTGCCTCAGCCTCCTGAGTAGCTGGGATTATGGGCACCCACCACCACGCCCAACTAATTTTTGTATTTTTAGTAGAGACGGGGTTTAACCACATTGGCCAGGCTGGTCTCGAACTCCTGACCTCAGGTGATCCTCCCGCCCCGGCCTCCCAAAGTGCTGGGATTACAGGCGTGAGCCACCGGGCGCCTGGTCCCATGCTCTATTTTTCATTCATTCATTTCACAAAAGCTATTATGAGCCCAGACTGTGCAGCACTGTTCCAGGCTCTTGGCATCCAAAAGCTAACCAGACCGTGCTCCCTCCCTCATGTATTTTACCTTCTTTGGAGGCAGAGGGACAATAAATAAGTGCAGAAGTTAACAAACTTTTTCATATTGTGAGAAATGGCAACATAATATGAGCTCATATTTTTACAATCCAGAGTTGCTTTCATTAAGAATCTGTGCTTCTCAACCTTGGGTACACTTTGGACTAATGTAGAAAGCCCTTTTAAATACTGATGACTGGTTCCCATTCCCAGAGATTCTGGCATAATTGGCTAGGTAAAGCCTAGGCATTGGCCTTTTTTTTTTTTTTTTTTTTTTTTTTTTTTTTTTTTTTTTTGAGACAGCGTCTCCCTCTGTCACCCAGGCTGGAGTGCAGTGGCGCGATCCTGGCTCACTGCAACCTCCGCCTCCCTGGTTCAAGTGATTCTCCTGCCTCAGCCTCCCGAGCAGCTGGGATTACAGGCGCACGCCCGGCTAATTTTCTTTTTGTTTTTTGTTTGTTTTTTTTTAGTAGAGATGGGGTTTCACTGTGTTGCCCAGGCTAGTCTCGATCTCCTGAGCTCAGGCAATCCATCCGCCTCGGCCTCCCAAAGTGCTAGGATTACAGGCTTGAGCCACCGCGCAAGGCCTTTTGTTTTTTGTTTTGTTTTGTTTTTCCCATCCCCTCAAGTGATTCTAATGTACGGCCAGAAGAGAACTGAAAAGGGTATATAAAAGAAACTACCACTAGATGTCACTGTCCCCAAAGGTTTGAAGAGAAACAGTCCTCAAGTAGTCAATGGCTAAGTTCCCGCTAGATAAACAGACTTGATTTTGCCATATTTTGGATCCAAGCAAATGTCCAATACAAATATATATATATGTTCCTCAATTTATCTTTGGCCTGAATGAAGCAAGTCATACAAAACCCAAATGTGGCCGGGCGTGGTGGCTCACGCCTGTAATCCCAGCACTTTGGGAGGCCGAGGCGGGCGGATCACGAGGTCAGAAGATCCAGACCATCCTGGCTAACACGGTGAAACCCCGTCTCTACTAAAAATACAAAAAATTAGCCGGGCGTGGTGGCGGACGCGTGTAGTCCCAGCTACTCGGGAGGCTGAGGCAGGAGAATGGCATGAACCCGGGAGGCGGAGCTTGCAGTGAGCCAAGATCGCGCCACTGCACTCCAGCCTGGGCGACAGAGCAAGACTCCATCTCAAAAAGAAAAAAAAAAAAAAACCAAATGTATTAGTTTGCTGGGGCTGCCATAACAAACTTGGGGGCTTAACAGAAGCCCAAAGTGTTTTGTTGGAGAGTTATTTTCTCTTGAGGCCTCTCTTCTTGGTTTGCAAATGGCCATCTTTTTCTTTTCTCTTTTTTTTTTTTTTTTTTTTTTTTGAGACAGTGTCTTCTCTGTTGCCCAGACTGGAGTGCAGTGGCTGGATCTCAGCTCACTGCAACCTCCACCTCCTGGATTCAAGCAATTCTCCTACCTCAGCCTCCCGAGTAGCTGAGATTACAGGTGCACGCCACCATGCCTGGCTAATTTTTTGTATTGTTTTGTAGAGACAGGGTTTCACCACATTGCACAGGCTGGTCTTGAACTCCTGGGCTCAAGCAATCCTCTCACCTCGGCCTCTCAAAGTGCTGGGATTTCAGGTGTAAGCCACCATGCCCAGTCTTGCAGATAGCCACCTTTCCACTGTGTCCTCACATGGCTGTCCTTCAGCCCGTGTTGGCTGGGTCCTAATCCCCACTTCTTATAAAGATACCAGTAATACTGAATTAGGGCCCACCCTAAAGACTGTTTTAACTTAATGACTTCTTTAAAGGCCCTATCTCCAAATACAATCTACAGTCACATTCTGAAGTTCTGGGCCATTAAGGGCTTCAACATATGAATTTGCGGGGCGGGGCTGGGGGGAGGGCAGATACATTTTTCAAGAAATCACCAAGAAATCAAAAGCAAAACCAATCTACTTGATGAGTGGCAAATGAGTAGTTTCCCAGCCATCCACAATTCTAAAGATCTCTCACATAATAACTATGGAGCAAATTGGTTGCTTTAAAAAACAAAAAAGACTTTTAAAAATTATTTTTATTCTTTATTTCTTTAGTTTTTTTTAGCCAGGACATGTTCTTATATGAATTTTTTTTTTTTGCAAAAATCGTACTTCTTGGCCAGGCACGGTGCCTCACACCTGTAATCCTAGCACTTTGGGAGGCCAAGGCAGGCGGATCACCTGAGGTCAGGAGTTCGAGACCAGCCTGACCAACATGAAGAAACCTCGTCTCTATTAAAAATACAAAAATTAGCCGGGCGTGGTGGCGGGTGCCTGTAATCCTAGCTACTCAGGAGGCTGAGACAGGACAATCGCTTGAACCCAGGAGGCAGAGGTTGCAGTGAGCCAAGATCGCACCACTTTGCACACCAGCCTGGGTAAGAGAGTGAGACTCTGTCTCCAAAAAAAAAAAAAAAAAAAAAAAAGGCCTAATCCAAATAGGAAAAGAGGAAGAAAAACTCTCTCTCTTTGCAGACAATATGATTTTTTTCTTTTCTTTTCTTTTCTTTGCTTTTTTTAAGAGACAGAGTTTTACTTTTGTTGCCCAGGCTGTGCAATGGTGTGATCTCGGCTCACCGCAACCTCCGCCTCCCGGGTTCAAGCAATTCTCCTGCCTCGGCCTCCCAAGTAGCTGGGATTATAGGTGAGCACCGCCACGCCCGGCTAATATTTTTCTATTTTTAGTAGAGATGGAGTTTCACCATGTTGGCCAGGCTGGTCTTGAACTGCTAACCTTAGGTGATCCACCTGCCTCAGCCTTCCAAAGTGCTGGGATTACAGGCATGAGCCACTGCACCTGGCCCAGACAATTCGATTCTATACCTTGAAAACCCCATAGTCTCTGCCCAAAGGTTCATTGATCTGATAAACAATTTCAGCAAAGTTTCAGGATACAAAATTAATGTACAAAAATCAGTAGCACTTCTATACACCAATAGCATCCAAGCTGAGAGCCAAATCAAGACTGCAATCCCATTCACAATAGCCACACACAAAAATAAGGTACCTAGGAATATAGCTAACCAGAGAGGTGAGAGATCTCTACAGGGAGAATTATAAAACACTGCTGAAAAAACTCAGAGATAACACAAACAAATGGAAAAACATTCCATGTTCATGAATAGGAAGAATCAATATTGTTAAAATAGACATACTGTCCAAAGCTATCTACAGATTCAATGATATTCCTATCAAACTACCAATGACATTTTTCACAGAATTAGAAAAAGAAACATTCTAAAATTCATTTGGAACCAAAAAAGGGCCTGAATAGCCAAAACAATCCCAAGCAAAATGAACATAGCTGGAGGCATCACACTACCCAACTTTAAACTATGCTATAAGGATACAGTAACCAAAACCACATGGTACTGATACAAAAACACACATAGACCAATGGAACAGTTAGAGAACACAGAAATAAAGCCACACATCTACAACTATCTGATCTTTGACAAAACTGACAAAAACAAGGAACAGGAAAAGGTCTCTCTATTCGATAAATAGTGCTGGGATAACTGGCTAGCCATATGCAGAAGATTGAAACTGGACCCTTTCCTTACACCATGTACAAAAATCAACTCAAGATGGATTAAAGACTTAAATGTAAAACTTAAAACTATAAAAACCCAGGAAGAAAATCTAGGAAATAACATTCTGGACATTGACCCAGGCAAAGACTTCATTATGAAGCCTCCAAAAACAGTAACAAAAAAAAAAAAAAATTGACAAGTGGGACCTAATTAAACTAAACAGTCTCTGAAAAGCAAAAGAAACTATCAGCCGGGCGCAGTGGCTCACGCCTATAATCCCACCACTTTGGGAAGCCGAGGCGGGCGGATCACAGGGTCAGGAGTTCAAGACCAGCCTGACCAACATTGTGAAACCCCATCTCTACTAAAAATACAAAAATTGGCCAGGCATGGGGTGCCTGCCTGTAATCCCAGCTACTCAGGAAGCTGAGGCAAGAGAATTGCTCGAACCCGGGAGGCGAAGGTTGCAGTGAGCAGAGACCGCACCACTGCACTCCAGCCTGGGCAACAGAGCGAGACTCCGTCTCAACAGGAGAGAGTGAAAGAGAGAGAGAGAGAAAAGAAAGGAAAAAAGAAAGAAAAGAAAAGAGGGAAGGAAGGAAGGAAGGAAAGGAAGGAAGGAAGAAAGAAAGAAAAGAAAAGAAAAGAAAGAAGAAAGAGAAAGAAAGGAAGGAAGAAAGAAAGAGGAAAAGAAAAGAATAGAATGAATCACTGGGCACAATGGCTCATGCCTGTAATCCCAGCACTTTGGGAGGCCGAGGAGGGTGGATCACCTGAGGTCAGGAGTTTGAGACTAGCCTGGCCAACATGGTGTAACCCTGTCTCTACTAAAAATACAAAAATTAGCCAGGCATGGTGACAGGTGCCTGTAATCCCAGCTACTCAGGAGGCTGAGGCAGGAGAATCGCTTGAACCCGGGAGGTGGAGGTTGCAGTGAGCAGATATCGCACCATTTCACTCCAGCCTGGGTGAAAGAGCAAAACTCTGTCTCAAAAAAATAAACAAATAAACTGTCAACAGAGTAAACAGACAACCTACAGAATGGGAGAAATATTTGCAAACTATACATTTGACAAAGGTCTAATATCAAGAATCTATAAGGAACTCAAATAAACAGGCGAAAATCAACCCCATTAAAAAATGGACATGAACAGATACTTCTCATAAAAAGACACTCACGCAGCCAACAAGCATATAAGAAAAAATGCTCAATATCACTAATCATGAGAGAAACGCAAATCAAAACCACAACGAGATACTATCTCACACCAGTTGAATGGCTATTAGTAAAAAGTCAAAAAATAACAGATGCTGGCAAGGTTGTAGAGAAAAAGGAATGCTTATACACTGCTGGTGGGAATGTAAATTAGTTCAGCCACTGTGAAAAGCAGTCTGGAGATTTCTCAAAGAACTTAAAATAGAACTATCATTTGATCCAGCAATCTCATTACTGGGTATATACCCAAAGGAATATAAATGGTTCTACCATAAAGACACAAGTACATGTATGTTCATTACAGCACTATTCACAACAGCAAAGACATGAAATCAACATAAATGCCCATCAATGGTAGGCTGGATTAAAAGAATGTGGTACATACACACCATGGAATGCTATACAGGTATTTTTTTAAAAATGAGATCATGGCCTTTGCAGCACATGGGTGGAGCTGCAGGCCATTATCCTAAGCAAATTAACACAGGAACAGAAAACCAAATGCCACATGTTCTCACATACAAGTGGGAGCTAAACATCAAGTACACATGGACTCAAAGAAAGGAGCAATAAGGCCAGGCACAGTGGCTCATGCCTGTAATCCCAGCACTTTGGGAGGCCGAGGCAGGCAGATCACCTGAGGTCGGAAGTTCGAGACCAGCCTGACCAACATGGAGAAACCCCATCTCCACTAAAAATACAAAATTGGCCAGGCGTGGTGGCACATGCCTGTAATCCCAGCTACTCGGGAGGCTGAGGCAGGAGAATCACTTGAACCCGGGAGGCAGAGGTTGTGGTGAGCCAAGATCGCACCATTGCACTCTTCAGCCTGGGAAACGAGTGAAACTCTGTCTCAAAAAAAAAAAAAAGGGAGCAATAGACACAGGGGCCTATTTGAGGGTGGAGGGTGGAAGGATGGTGAGGATTGAAGAACTACCTATCAAGTACTATACTGATTACCTGGGTGACAAAATTATCTGTGACCACGTAACTTACCCATGTAACAAACCCATGCATGTAACCCTTGAGTCTAAAATAAAAGCTGGAAAAAAAGAGAGAGAGAAAAGGCCTATAATAATTTTATGTACTTATGTATTTTTTAAGATAAAAGTTACACAGGTACGCAATCAAAATTTTAAGCCATAGTGGAGGCTATAAATGAAAAGGAAAACCTTTCTTATCTCCATTCCCACTCCCAACCCCCAAACTCTTCATTCTAAGACAAAACATATTGCACTAGGACTATCCCAGAGTTCTGTAGAATATTGGATGACTCCATAGGAGTTATCCCCATATCCTAGGAACATGTCACCATGTGAGAGCTGTGGGCTGAAGAATCGTGACCTGGGGGTTGCCGAAAGTCCCCACCTACAACCAAAAGAAAGAAAAAAATGCCCATCAGGGTGTCTGCAAATCCCACCCCCAAAGCCACTCTTTAAGAGCCTTCTGGAGTCTCCCTCTCTCTTTGAGATGGAGTCTCCTCTGTCGCCCAGGCTGGAGTGCAGTGGGGCGACCTTGGCTCACTGCAAGCTCCACCTCCCGGGTTCACACCATTCTCCTGCCTCAGCTTCCCGAGTAGCTGGGACTACAGGCACCCGCCACCACTCCCGGCTAATTTTTTTTTTTTGTATTTTTACTAGAGATGGGGTTTCACTGTGTTAGCCAGGATGGTCTCGATCTCCTGACCTCGTGATCCGCCCACCTCGGCCTTCCAAAGTGCTGGGATTACAGGCGTGAGCCACCGCGCCCGGCCGAGGCTCCCTCTCTCTGTAGGGTTAAGTTATGATGTTGCCTGGGAAGCATGACTCACAGTCAACAGGCTATCACACATTCGTGCTCGTGGAACCCCACCTACAAGGAGCCTCTAGAACTGCGCTCTCTAATAGCCACTAGACACATATGGCTATTCAAATCTAAATTAGTTAACATTTAAAATTCAGCTAAACCATGAAGTCTAGCACCCCCTTTCCTGCACCCCCCTCACTATTCCTGGGCAACCACCGACCCTATGTACATGGGGTTGACCCCAGCTGTCCAGAGGCACAGATGGAAAGAAACTGGAAGGTACCACAGTGCCTAGCTAGAGTCAACTCAGCCCCCAGGACTCTCCTTTAAAATCTTTCTGCCGCGTCTCAACTGGCATTTTTGTTGAAGATGAACCACTTAGGACCTCACCAGGAGTCCAGAGTGGTGTGAGTACAACCAAGCAAGCCGAGCGAGAAAGGAGCCCCTGTGAGGAAGAGCTCCCACCCACCAATCCCAAACCCACTTCTCTTCCATGTCTTGATCCATATACGGCTTTCAGGACCCTGTGCCAAGACCCCGACAAGCTCAGGATCTTCTTCCGAAGTCAGAGCTAAGACAGTCTCAGCCCCAAACCACAGCCGGAATCACATGTCCAGACCAGCACTGAACACGCCCATCTGCCAGCGGAACAAAAGAACACCTTCCCCGGGGTGCCCAAATCCATCTGAGCAAGCAGCCCGCAGGGATTCCAGCTTTATCAGAAAAGTCATGCTGAGCCCTTTGGTAAGGATTTGCTGAGAAGAGAGGGCACCGCACCCCAAAAACAAACCAAAACAGCCCCAGGACACCCTGAGAAAAAGAGAAATTTCCCAGAGCTTCTCCTGGCAGGACTGTATCTAAATTGCCACCCAAAAAAATCCCAGAGTAACAGTAATTCCCCCACTGGTTCAAAAACACCAACAACACAGCAAGCTAACTTGAACTTCAAGCTGCCACATGCTATAATGAGTGTGTGGCTAAATACCTTTCACGAAATCTAAAATATAAGCCACACAATATCTCCTCTCAGCAACTCAAGCACACACATGCACACACTCAACTGAGTGTTTTCATGGCAAATGAAATATACCCTGTGAAAAGTTCCTCTGAAAATTTTCTTCTGAATTTTCATACCAGCCAAGTGAGTTTCACAGAAGCCGAGAAATACAGAAGCAAGTTTTTGCCCTTTTTTGCCCTTCTTTCCCACTCTTTTCCTCCTTCATGCCCTGTCTACTGCCCTCCCACTCCAGCCAAGTGAGCTCTGCCAGAGACAGCAGCGTGGGCATCTTTACAGCGCAGACTTCACTAGCCGCACAAGCCTGTGGCCACCTGGACCAGTGAGGAAAGAGACTGAGTTTAATCACGCTGACCAGCATCCCAGGGGCCTCCCCTCAGGGTGCGTGGAAGGAAGGAGCGGTTCCAGCAGTTCAACCAGATCTGAGAGCAGGCCTTGGTCGCCTCCCTAGCAAGGCGGCAGATTGTGAGTCTGGGTCCCCAGAGATGAGGTCTGCCCTCGGCTACCGTCCAGGGGGAGGGAGAAAGCCTGGCAAGGTTCAGGCCCTTCTATGCCAGTGAAGCACACAGTGGACCAAGTGCAGTGCCTGTGGACAGCAGCTCCAGCCTGGCGCAGGCCCAGCCCAGAAAGCTGCACCCTAGCCATAAACTTCTTTAGTGATTTCTGGGCTTCAGAACCCTTCATTATAAAGCAAACAGCCAAGAAAGGGAAAATCTTCGGGTTTATCAGTTACCAACATCCAGTTGCCATGAGGAAGTAGGAAACAGGCTACATGAGGACCAGCAGGAACTCAAAGCAAAGGCCAAGAAAATGGAGAGGACGGGCCAGGCACCGGTGGCTCACACCTGTAACTCCAGCACTTTGGGAGGCCAAGGCAGTGGATCACTTAAGCCCAAGAGCGGCCTCAAGACCAGCCTGGGCAACAGGGTGAAATCCTGTCTCTACTGAAAAAAAGAAAGAAAAAAAAATAATAAGCTGGGCATGGTACTGTTCACCTGTAGTCCCAGCTACTGGGGAGGCTGAGGTGGGAAGATCACCTGAACCCAGGAAGTCGAGGCTGCAGTGAGCCATGATCGTGGCACTGCACTCCAGCCTGGGGAACCAGAGTGAGATCCTGCCTCAAAAGAAAAGGAAGAGGGTGGTGGAGCAGAGGTGTCATTTTGGCCAACTTCCAATCTAGTCCAAGTTCAGGGACCCCGTATCTGGTCCACACACTAGTTCCCAAGGGTTTAGCCAGAGCCCTGGCTCAGGTCACATGGGGAACAACAGCTTTCTGCTGGGCAACCAGGGGAAACAAGGCCCAAAAGCATCTGTCAATCCGTGAGTCTGTCTGTCTGTCTGTCGACAAGACGACAGCTCTTGGCTTGAGCAGCCCTTGCCAAGGAGGCTAGATACAGAGGCCCTCCAGCAAATGGGACTCACAGATGTGTTCAGTTTGTCTGATACAGTATTGGCCCATGCAGAGTTTCTAAAGTTTGAAATCATTGCCAGCATTTAAAGATCAAGAGAAGAATTCCACCTTAAAAAAAAAAAAATCCAGATCATTGCTTCTCTTGAGAAATCAGCTCTCTGGCTCCATTGTGTTTACTTTCTGGCCAGAGCCGAGTCATGGCTGTCCCTTTGCAGCTGGGCATGTGCCCTCCACAGTCCCCCACTCTCCCTCCACTGTCCTCCACTCTCCACTGTCTCCCAACGCTGGAGCCCCTTTTACAGGCTATTCATCGCAGCTGTGGCTATAGCCTTAATACGCACTCCCAGCCGGCTTCCCTTGTGTGTGATGCCTCTGGTCCCATAAGCAATGGGCTGGGGCCTTACCCTAATGCATCTGAGCAGAGGCTGTACCCTGGGGGCATAAAGAGGCCATGGCAGTCCCAGTGCCCCCCAGCTGGAGGGCACAGGCTACTGGGGAGTTCAGGGGAGTGTATAGGAGAGCATTTTGCCTGAGGACCCTATGTTCTGCCGCCCAGAAAGAGGAGGCTGCAGGTTGGTCTGTCAACACCAATACTGGCCTTGGTGGAGGCTGGCAGGCCTGTATCCTCACCAATCTGGTCAGGAAGAGCACATGCAAACCCAAGGGAGGCTGCCATGGCCAGCTCTGCTGCAGGTGCTGCCCAGAGAACCTCCAGACACACGCTCAGTGCGCCGAGGTTGCAGGAGAAGCAGCACCCCAGAGAAGCAGGGCCTGATGTTGATGACACTGATGGCCAGGCTCAGTGGTATTGGGATCCCAGGGACAGCAGAGGGGTCTCCCTTATGGGACGGGGTGTTCTCATCCTGAAGCCCCCCACTTTCTCAGTCAGGGTCTCTGAAAAGAAGTGAATGGAACCATCAGAGGGTGTAACTGGGGAGCGGGTAATGGGGACTGGTTACCCAGGTATTTAAACTGCTCTTAGAGACCAGTTAAACCCATGAATGTAGCTCTTACTGTGTCCTCCGGTTTGGAGTGCTATTTGTAACTTGTGAGTGTCAGGACATTAGGCATCATTCCTTTAGGTGTCATCAGGTCTTAGAGCAGGATGGGCCTTCAGCAATCATCTGATGGGCGTCTCTTCCATCAACAGAGAAATGAAGCCCAAGAGGTCAAAAAACGCATATAAGGGGCCAGAGCTAGTGACCAGCAGAACCAGAAGTAGAACCCAGGAGCCCTGACTTCCGACTCAGCCCTTCCCACTGCCCCACACTGCTGCCATCACCTGGAAAGGAAATGGAGCAATGTTGTAGGCAACTAAATTCTTACTTGATTGAGCCCAGATTTCTATTTTTGTTTCTTTTTTTTTTTTTTTTTTCCTCACTCTGTCGCCCAGGCTGGTGTACAGTGGCGTGATCTCGGCTCACTGCAACCTCTGCCTCCCGGGTTCAAGTGATTCTTCTGCCTCAGCCTCCCTAGCAGCTGGGACTACAGGCACCCGCCACCATGCTGGCTAATTTTTTGTATTTTTAGTAGAGACGGGGTTTCACCATGTTAGCCAGAATGGTCTTGATCTCCTGACCTCGTGATCCGCCTGCCTCGGCCTCCCAAAGTGCTGGGATTACAGGTGTGAGCCACCATGCCAAGCCCAGACGACATAATTCTTACAGAATACCCTTTCCAGTAGCTTTCGGGAAATGACCCAGCTATAACACCACCTTAGGTGTGAGCAAGGTGCCAGCTTGAACTACCTGTTCCCATCTAGTTACTCAATCTGGGAAGGGCAGTCACAATATCCATGCCTGGGTCACTGCTGCAGAGTGAGCTGGGTGGCTCCCAAAGATAGGTGTCAGAGGTGGAAGTCATACTCATGACTGCCTGCTCCTTTTTGAACTTACTCCCCAGCCACCAGGCAAATGCGCAGGAGCTCTGCAGAGCATCCCAGTCTGGCCTATTGCCCACACCTTGCCCAGGCATTGGCTGCCACCTTGGCCCAGTTACACCAGCGGGAAGAGAGCTGTGTGGGGACCACAGAAGGTCACCACAGTAACCCAGATAATCCACTCATGCTGCAAAAATAGAAAGCAGCCTCCAGGCCGGAGGCATTCTAGGGTGGAGGGAGCCCTTTGAATTTTTTAGTGAACTTGGGTAAAAGCTCCTGGGTAGTCACTCTGCAAGGATTTTAAGGATTATCTAGAATGTTCAATAAATGTTTGTTGATTGATGCTTTTAATGTTCTTTGATCTTTTAAGTGGAAACTGTCATTTCAAGGGAAGTCCTTTTGTTTTCAGTTTCTTGGGATTACTGTGCAGGGACTAGTGATTGACAAATTCTTACACATTTTCCTCTAATTTCAAAAGTGTTTGCTCTTCACATTATATGTGATATGGTTTGGATTTGTGCCCCCACCCAAATCTCATGTCAAATTATGATCTCCAGTGTTGGAGGTGAGGTCTGGTGGGAGGTGATTGGATCACGGAGGCAGACTTCCCCCTTGCTGTTCTCATGATAGTGAGTGAGTTCTCATGAGATCTGGTTGTTTAAAAGTGTGTGGTACCTTACTCCTCTCTCTCTTCCTTCTGCTCCAGCCATGTAAGACGTACCTGCTTTCCCTTCACCTTCCACCATGATTGTAAGTTTCCTGAGGCCTCCCCAGCCATGCTTCCTGTACAGCCTGCAAAACCATGAGCCAATTAAACCTCTTTTATTTATAAATTACCCAGTCTCAGGTAGTTCTTTATAGCAGTGTGAGAATGGACTAATACAACGTGTGTGTGTGTATGTGTATGTGTATTCTCTTAAATTGCTCAGGCATATATGTCCTGAAAAGGCCGTATTTTCCACCATGGCTAAGCTGGCTGTGGCCCAGCCCTGGTGCTGGTGGGACCTCAGGCTCCTGCTCCCTGAGAAGGGAAGACCTAAGTAGGCAGGAGGAGCCAAGACAGCAGCTGCCTGAAAGCAGCGGCCGTTTTAAAGAGTCTTCAAGGTCCCAAATCCACAACAGGGAGGCAGAGAGGGAGGAGAGAGCAATAAAAAAGAAAGTAATCAAGTATGAAGATTATCCTCCATGGCTTTAATTCTATTTCCCCACTTCCAAAACAAACAGATGTACCAGTTTGCTTCTTAGGGCTAAGTGTGGTTAATACAACATTCCACAGCTCTCCACCCTCACCCCTGCCCTGTCAGGCCCACAGGTGGCGAAACCATACAATTTATTGTCATATATATAGAAAGTATATATACAATATATATGCAATATATACAATTCATTCTATATACACTATATATACACACACCATGTATATATACACACAATATATACACACACACACACTACATAGTATGAATTGTTACTATATATATATACATATACATTTAAAGCTTAAATGTCTCCTGGGCCTTGAGCAGGGGAGACTGATAGGTCTTCCCTTGCATTGATCTGAAATCCATTCCCCTGTTCCATAACATATATCCCCAGGAACTGAACATAACAAAGCACCAAGTTTTCTTTCTTCCACGGGATGAAACCTTGAGATAACTAAAAACTGCACTGACGCCTTCCCTGAGTTTCTGTTTTCTAACCCAAATGTCCCTGGTTCCATTGCTCATACGCCTCATCACCATCCAGTACAGTCGCAGCCATCTTTTCAAATGCGGTGCTTAAGGACTCAACACACTGCTCAATCCGTGAATACTGCAGTTCTATCAACTCCCATTTGCCAGATGCTATAGTTCTGTATATAAAACCTAAGATTCTACTAACAGTTTGGGTAGCCTCATGGCATTCTTTTTTCTTTTAATCCATTTTACCAACCCTACTCTCTAGTGTATGGAAGACGCTCAATAAATGATTCTGAGACGGAGTCTCACTCTGTCACCCAGGCTGGAGTGCATGATCTCTGCTCGCTGCAACCTCCCCACCCCCGGGGTTCAAGCAATTCTCCTGCCTCAGGCTGCCAAGTAGCTGGAATTACAGGTGCCTGCCACCACGCCTGGCTAATTTTTGTATTTTTAGTAAAGACGGGGTTTCACCATCTTGGCCAGGCTGGTCTTGAACTCCTGACCTTGTGATCCACCCACCTCTGCCTCCCACCACTCCTAGCCAATAAATGATTCTTCACTAAATGAATAGGTAGAATGAGTGTTTGGTACACACTGAGCTTTCTGTAGACTCACTTTTTTTCTTTTTTTGAGACGGAGTCTCAATCTGTCGCCAGGCTAGAGTGCAGTGGCGCAATCTCGGCTCATTGTAACCTCCACCTGGCCAGGTTCAAGCGATTCTCCTGCCTCAGCATCCTGCCTCAGCCAGGATGGTCCCGATCTCTTGACCTCGTGATCCGCCTGCCTCAGCCTCCCAAGGTGCTGGGATTACAGGCATGAGCCACCACGCCTGGCCTAGACTCACTTTTAAAATACGTGCATTTCAGAATAGATAGTGTTGATGTTGCACAACAATGTCATGTAATTAATGCCATTGAATTGTAGATTTAAAAATGGGAAATGGGGCCAGGTGTAATTCCAGCACTTTGGGAGGCCAAGGTGGGTGGATCATTTGAGGTCAGGAGTTCAAGACCAGCCTGGCCAACATGGCAAAACCCCACCTCTACTAAAAATACAAAAATTACTCAGGTGTAGTGGTAGGTGCCTGTAATCCCAGCTACTTGAGAGGCTGAGGCAGGAGAATCGCTTGAACACGGGAAGTGGAGGCTGCAGTGAGCCAAGATCGTGCCATTGCACTCCAGCCTGGGCGACAGAGTGGGACTCTGTCTCAAAAAATAAAAATAAACAGCTGGGCTTGGTGGCTCACACCTGTAATCTCAGCACTTTGGGAGGCCGAGGTGGGCGGATCACGAGGTCAGCAGATCGAGACCATCCTGGCTAACACGGTGAAACCCCGTCTCTACTAAAAATACAAAAACTTAGCTGGGCATGGTGGAGGGCACCTGTAGTCCCAGCTACTTGGGAGGCTGAGGCAGGAGAATAGCGTGAACCCGGGAGGTGGAGCTTGCAGTGAGCCGAGATCATGCCACTGCACTCCAGCCTGGGCAACAGAGTGAGACTCCATCTCAAAATAAGTAAATAAATAAATAAATAAATAAATAGATAAATAAATAAATAAATAAATAATTTTAAAAATATAAATACGAAATCGTAAATTTTATGGTATGTTTATCTAATCACAGTAAAAACCCAAAAACATGTTGCACAAATATTTCTCTTGACACATCTCTTTCAACCCTTCCTGATATAGCTAGGTATTAGCAGAACTATGTATAGGACCTGACACTTATCCCAGTAAAATTCCATCTTGCTATGTTGAGCCTATAAATTAAACTTTTGTTTATTCTGATTTCTGTCATCCAGCATATTTCTGTCCCTTCCTCCCTGATTGTGTCATTCATAACTTGATGACGATGCTTTCTATAGTCAAGATGCCAATAAATACGTTGACTGTATTGCTGGCTTTCAAGTTGTCATGCAGCTAGTTAGCTAAAGAGGCAGGACTAGAATGGGCCCAGCAAATGCCACCCAGTGCTTTGCACCATTCCACACTATCTCTGAGATGCCTGAACCCCCCACCCCAAGCCAAGAGCCAGCATACATCCTGGCACAGCCACACAGCTACAAAGGCACTACAGAGGACTGACCATCCCTATATAGGATCAAAAGGAACCGTTCTTACTCAGAGGCCCAGGAAGCACTCACAACGTTAGGTTCATGATGTTCCAGTGAACAAGATGAGATTTATGAACGAAATTTATAAATGCTTAAATGCTTGTACTCAAAGGGGGTGGGGAGAGTATCATATATATAATGTGGCGCTTCTCAAACCTTAGCATGAGCTTTTTCAAACACATAGCCAAGCCCTATACCCAGTTTTCTGGTTCAGCAAGTGTCTTAGTCCATTTTGTGCTGCTTTAACTAAAATACCTGAAACTAAGTGATTTGCAAAGAACTGAAACTTACTTTCTCTTACTTTCATCCCAGTTCCGGAAGCTGAGAAGTCCAAGATTAAGGCACCAACAGGTTCAATTGCCAGATGACAGACGCTGTCTGTTTCCAAGATGGTGCCTTGTTGCTGCATCCTCCAGAGGGGAGGAATGTTACGTCCTCACACGGTGGAAGGCGGAAGGGCGAACCAGCATGAAGTCCTGTATGAGGGAGGGCCCTCATGGCCTAATCACCTCTTAAAGGCTCCACCTCTTAACACCATCACATTGTCCGTTAAGTTTCAACACCTGATTTTTGGAGAAGATCCATTCAAACCATAACACGAGGTCTAAGGTAGAGCCGAAGAATTTTTATTTCCAACAACTCCACCGGTGATGCTGACGTTGCTGATTCAAGGACTACATTTTTGAGAACAATTAGTATAAGGAATGCATATCAACCTGATTCAAGGGACTCCATTTGAGAACAATCAGTATAAGGAATTCCTATCAATCTGCAGGAAGATTCTGGGCTTCCTAGGTTTCCAAAACCCTTTTCCAGAGGGTTCACAGCACTACAGAAGTCGGCTCCAGATACCGCCAAGAGAATCTGCCTTTCTCACAAATTCTGAAATCACGCCAGACCTCTGGTTTGGGGTGGGTTACATAATACCTCCTGGAGGCACAGGTAGTAAGACAATGGTTCAGAGTGACAAGACAAAAGAAACAACCTTCCCCACCAGCAGTACCTAAAGCTCTGTGATTTACATGCAGATAACAAAGCCAACACTCCCTCTTTTCTCCTCCCCCCATAAAAAGTAAAAGAAAGTGTTAGGATTGCCCCTCTCCTTTTTGCTACCCACTCAGGCAGTATATTGTCCTTTTGTGATTTCAAGCTGAACCTGATGCTCATTTTAAAGCTAATTTCATCTGCATGAGAATGATGGAGAAAATTAGCTTTGCCTGCAGCTATTCCCTATAGACCTGACCTGGGTCTCTCTGTGAGCTCCCTACCTGAGATGATGAGCTCAGGAGAATGATAGAGAAGCTCACTGCCTTTGCTGTTCACTAGTCTCCAAACCCAGGGAGAAGGTCCAGATGGTGATGATGATGATGATGATAATGATGATGATGATGATGATGATGATGAGAATTGGTATCAAACACTTAAAATGTGCCAGGCACTGTTCTTACTTCATCCTTACAACAATGCAGTGGATTAAGGCTGCTATGATCACCAGTTAATAGCCAGGGCAGCTGGAGCTAAGAATGATTATGTATCTTGCCCAAGGACACCTGCCATGGGCTGAATTGTGCACCCCTCCCCCAAAATTCATATGTTGAAATCCTACCTCCAGCAGCTCAGAATGTACTGTTATTCAGAGAGATAGGGTCTTTACAGAGGTAATTAAGTTAAAATGAGGTCACTAGGGTGAGCCCGAATCTAATCTGACTGGTGTCCTTATAAAAGCGGGAAATTGGGAGACAGACATGTATTAATATAAAGGGGAAATGATATGAAAAGACATAGTAGGGCCCAGGCACAGTGGCTGATGTCTGTAATCCCAGCACTGTGGGAAGCCAAGGCTTGAGCCCGGGAGCTGGAGACTAGCCTGGGCAACATGGCAAAACTGCATCTCTATAAAAATTACAAAAATTAGCCTGGCATGGTGACAAGTGCCTGTAGTCCCACCTACTAGGGAGGCTGAGGAGGGAGGATCAACTGAGCCCAGGGAGGTTGAGGGTGCAGTGAACCATGATTGCACCACTGCACTCCAGCCTGGGGGGCAGAGTGAGACTCTGTCTAGAAAAGAAGATAAAAGAGAAGAGGAGGAGAGGAAAGAAGCAGAGGGAAAAGGAGGGGAGGGGAGGATAGAGGAGACATAGAGAGAAGAAGATGGCCATCTATGAGCCAAGAAGAGAGGCCTGGAACAGATCTGTCCCTCATGGTCCTCAAAAGGAACCGACCTGACAAGCACCTTGATTTGACTCCGAGCTCCAGAACTGTGAGACAACAAATTTCTCCTGCTGAAGCCCCTCGGTCTGTGGTACCTTGTTATTGGCAGCCCTAGCAAACGAAGGCAACACCCAACCCTTATTCAAACCAGATACAACTGCTTCCACCCATGGGCTCTGGGGTGACTGTCATGCCACCTGGCCGAGAGAGCTCAGCAGCTGCCAAAACTATAGGCATCAAAGATGGGAGCACTGAGGCCCATTACTTCATCCATAGTCCTCCCACACATCCTATCCACCCCATCCCACGTTTTCTCCTTCCTGCTGGCTGCCTCCCCCAGCCGGTTCCTTGGGCCACTGATAGCCACCCCACTTCCCCAAGGCCCTTTCCCCACCTGGAACACCCTGGAGACCTTGTTCCCGTGAAGACAACCCCCTCTGCTTCTCAGCCTTTCTGCTAAATGCACCATCCACCTCCTGCTTCCGCAAGGAGAGGCTGCTTATTGTCCCACATGCCCAGGACCCAAGGCAAGAAGACAGAGAAGATATGCTTCCTGCTCCCAGTTGCTTCCTGCTCCCAGTTGCTTCCAGGACGTTAGCTTCCATCCTTGGCTTTTTCTCTTCTGACATTCCTCTTTCCAGACTATGCTTTACCTCCATTGAGAACTTTGGCACCCACCATCATCTTAAGAGATTTTAATATCCGTGTGAAGAACTCATCCAACATCCCGGGCTCAACGATCCCCAACCACCATGACTTTCACCTCCACTCCATCCACCCATGTTCATGGCCTCTGCCACACCTACACCATCTTCCTGAATCACCCCACCGCTGACATCATAAATCATGGTTTTGCACACTTTGACCTCACTTCCACCATCCCTGCTCCCTGCCCTTCCCTCCAGTCCCAGCAAAAACCTGCATTTCCACCACCAAGCCAGGCCTCTTCTCTCCCCTCCCCTGGGTTCCTTCCCCACCCCCGGGAGTGAGCTGGCTACCAGTTCTCTCCCATCAGCCTTCCGTCTGTCTTCACCGTTTTCTCTATATAGCTCTTTTCCATCAGTATTTAAAGTCAGCCAAATCTCTCTCATCTTTAAAGAGAATTCCATATGTATAAAATTTTTTCTGGATGAATATATAAGAAATTGATCATAACTGTTACCTTTGGACAAGGAGAGACGAGGGAGTCTGAAAAGTACAGAATTTTACTTTTCATTTTATACATTTGCTGTAGTGTTTGATTTTTTTACCACGTACATTAATATTTTTATTAAAAATAGCAAATAAGACCTGGCACGGTGGCTCACGCCTGTAATCCCAGCACTTTGGGGGGCCGAGGCAGGTGGGTCACTTAAGGTCAAGAGTTCAAGACCAGCCTGGCCAACATGGTGAAACCCTGTCTGTACTAAAACTACAAAAATTAGCTGGGCGTGGTGGTGCATGCTTTTAATCCCAGCTACTTGGGAGGCTGAGGAGGGAGGCAGAGGTTGCAGTGAGCTGAGATCACGCCACTACACTCCAGCCTGGGCAACAGAGCAAGACTCCGTCTCAAAAAAAAAAAAAGCAAATAAATAAATAAAACGCAATGATGTAACCACCTCCTCTTCTCCCTTAGATGAAGCCCTCCCTTGGGTCAGCTTTGGCTCAAGTGGTTACTTCCTCATGCCAGACTTTCTGTCTCTCTAACTCCCTGTGCTGGGGTTTGAATCCTGCAGGTGCTTTCTGATCTTTAAAAAAAAAAAAAAAAAAAAAAGCCCTCCCTCAACCCATCCTTCTGCTGCTCGGAGTCATGCCCTTTGCAGTCGACTGCACTCTCTGCCTCCACTTCCTGGCCTCACACTTGTTCCTTGCCCACTGAGACCCGGCTGTTTCATGCAACATCCCGCTGAAATGTACCAGCTGGCAAAAGGCACTCATCATCATCACTGTCACTAAATCCAGGGCTTGTACCTCCTGATTCTCCTTGATGGTCTTATGGCATCTGGTCCACTGACCACGCCCTTCTTAGAACACTCTGCGGCAGGCTGGGTCTCCCACTTCTTGCTCTAGATGACACTGGTGTTTCCCAAGGGACCAACCTCATCCTTCCCCTCAAGCACCACGAGAGTTCATCTTCACCCAACTTGTGGTTGAGTAGGATATGATGAAGACTCCACACCCCAGCCTCCGGGCTTGACCTCTTCTTATCTAACACCCACTGGTCATTTTCTCAGTCAGCAGGTCCTCTCCCTCCACATGCCCCAAGCCTGCCCACTTTTGCCACCACTACCCACAATGATGAGTCACCTTTGACTCTTCCCCCACCTTCTCTTCCACACACTCCACCACTATCCCCATGCCTCTGAGTTTATGGCTAAGCATTTCCATGACCTGCCCTCTCCTCTGCCTTATTTCTACTGTCACTGCCTTAGGGTTCAGGCCTGGCACACCTCTCTCCTAGATGAATGCAACAGCCGACTGCCCTCGATGACTCCAGAACGGTCCCTCTCAGATCTGTCCTCCCCACCAGCTGCTAGAGTGGAAAGTAAAAAGGTATGGCTGTTTATTTGAAAATGCAAAATCAGCCAGGCGTGGTGGCTTACATCTGTAATCCCAGCACTTTGGGAGGCCGAGGCGGGCAGATCACGAGGTCAGGAGTTCAAGACCAGCCTGGCTTAATATGGTGAAACCCCGACTCTACTAAAATTACAAAAATTAGCCAGCTGTGGTGGCATGCACCTGTAGTCCCAGCTACTCAGGAGGGTGAGGCAGAAGAATCACTTGAACCCGGGAGGCAGAAGTTGCAGTGAGCCAAAATCACACCACTGCACTCCAGCCTGGGTGACAGAGTGAGACTGCATCTCAAAAAAAAAAAAGATTCCTCACTGCCAACCTACAACTAAGACCTGTCCATCCCACTCACCTCCAATAAAGGCTGAGTTCATCTCACAGTTCATAAGCCCTCCAGGACCTGGCCTTGTCTATGATCCAGCCTTATTTCCTACCACTCTCCACCTCAACTGCTAAGCTCCAGGTTCCTTGAAAATCTGAGTTGACAAAGCACCCACTGCCATTTCACACCTCGATGTGCAGACTCCTTGGTGACATTTGCAGGACCCCAGGGGCAAGAGTACAAATGAGGCCCACGTGTTGTACCATGTGTCTGAATACAATTTTTAAATCAAGTTAACAACTGGCTCAATAAAATATTTCCTTTCTAAAATTGAGATGTAATTTGCATACCATAAAATCCATCACTTTAAAGCATACAATTCAGTTGGTTTTTGGTATTTGGTGTCCACACGCAGGACCCTGGAGGCCTGCCCGGACTGTTGGGTGAGCCAAGGCGCCCGTGCCTTATCCCTGCCAGGAACATACACCTCAGCCGCGGCACCCCTTTGGGTAATTCTGTTCCTCCTCCCACCACGAGAAGGGAAAGAGGGGGGAAAAGAGATCCCCAAGCCAGTTTGTTCCTTATGAATTGCCCTGGGAGAGAGGTTTACTCTGGGCCAACAACAAAATGATGGGCTAAAATTTTTTTAATCTTCTGCGTATTCTAGTTATTCAATTTATACTCCCCCACCCAGTGACTTCCAATCCCTTTTGCAATACACAGCAAAATACAACTCTGTCTCAGACCATATTTTTCAGATCACATTTCCCGGGGTTGTTTCAGTAAAATAGTATTCGCCGATATACAGAGCCCCTTTTCTTCCCGCATGTTTTCTCCCTATTCTCCACAAGAGGGAGCCAGCAGGTCCTGTTTGGGCCACGGCTTCTCCGCTCCTCACATCCCTTCTCCAACCAGGGCAAAGAAGACGTGGGATCAGAACCTGCGGGCGGTAAACCAAGCCCACAGCTCTCACACTGTTTGGTGAGCAGGGCTGTGTAGAACAACAGGATTTTTCAACAACTTATTTCAAGGGAATAAGAGGTGAACACCTGTTTTTGTTGTTGTTGTTGTTGTTGTTTGTTTGTTTTTTGTTGTTGTTTTGAGACAGAGTCTCGCTCTGTCGCCCAGGCTGGAGTGCAGTGGCGCGATCTTGGCTCACTGCAACCTCTGCCTCCCGGGTTCAAGTGATTCTCCTGCCTCAGCCTCCTGAGTAGCTGGGATTACAGACACATGCCACCACGCCCGGCTAATTTTCATTTTTTTAGTAGAGACGGGGTTTCACCATGTTGGCCAGGCTGGTTTCGAACTCCTGACCTCGTGATCCGCCCGCCTTGGCCTCCCAAAGTCCTGGGATTACAGGCGTGAGCCACCGTGCCTGGCGAACACCTGTTCTTTAAAAAAAAGAGAGAGGCTGGGCGCGGTGGCTCATACCTGTAATCCCAGCACTTTGGGAGGCCGAGGTGGGCAGATCATGAGGTCAGGAGATTAAGACCATCCTGGCTAACACAGTGAAACCCCGTCTCTACTAAAAATACAAAAATAATTAGCCAGGCGTGGTGGCAGGAGCCTGTAGTCCCAGCTACTCTGGAGGCTGAGGCAGGAGAATGGCGTGAACCCGGGAGGCGGAGCTTGCAGTGAGCCGAGATGGCGCCACTGCACTCCAGCCTGGGTTACAGAGCCAGACTCCGTCTCAAAAAAAAAAAAAAAAAAAAGAGAGAGAAAGAGTGATCTGGAAACAATGGAAAAAGCTTTCTGTTCATTGAAGTCCATAATAGCGTTGTATGTACATGTTTAGTGAGCACAAAATTATTCCACAAATATAAATTAACTGGTTTTAGAAAAAATACATGGAAGACATTTTTATTAAGTCTCAGTTGCTGTCCTATTTTTTTTTTTTTTTTGAGACAGGGTCTCGCTATGTTGTCCAGGCTGGTCTCCAACTCCTGGCCTCAAGGGATCCTCCTGCCTCAGCCTCCTAAAGTGCTGGGATTACAGACACATGCTACCACACCCGACTTAATGTATTTTAATGGAACACAAAACTGATTTTTTTTTTTTTTGAGACAGAGTCTCACTCTGCTGCCGGAGCTGGAGTTCAGTGGTGCAATCTTGGCTAACTGCAACATCTGCCTCCTGGGTTCAAGCAATTCTCCTGCCTCAGCCTCCCTAGCAGCTGGGATTACAGGCATCCGCCACCATGCCCAGCTAATTTTTGTATTTTTAGAAGAAACGCGGTTTCGATGTGTTGGCCAGGCTGGTCTCAAACTCCTGACCTCATGACGCGCCTCGGCCTCCCAAAGTGCTGGGATTACAGGCGTGAGCCACCATGCCTGGCCACAAAACTGGTTTTTAAAAGTTGTTTTTTAAATATTAGACAATGTAAATGATAAGGTGACTTGTTTTGTGTTCAAGAGATAGTTCTTCATGCCACACTGTAAAGCAGGTGGGATATCAGGTTAAGGAGACTGGAAGCCCTAAATATTTTGACACCAAGGACTTGTGTGGGCCAGTAGGAAGATGTACTTGGTGGCAGTGGGAGGGACGCTCTGGATTCAGGCCTCGGGACCACGTGGGCAGCCCTGGTCCCCGTGAGTGGAGGAGTGATAAGGGCTAGCGTTGGGTGACAAAGGCTGAAGAAAGGACACATATGTGAGACTGTGAAGGAGTAACTGACAAGGCCTGGTTCTTGACTGAAGAGGTGGAAGTAGGAAGAAATCGGAAGCAAGCTAGGCGACTGATTTGACATTGGTTGTGGTTTGAGGCAAGAGTAGCAGAGGAATGACAATTCACTCTGAATTCCACACTTTGTAATCAATCCCTTTATTGTAATCACAGTAGTATTTATATATATTTGAAAAACAGTAGAACATAGAAGTGTGAAATATGCATTTGAAAAATAGTAGAACGTACATGCGTAAGGCAAGATATATTTGCTCTACAGGCAGGGCTTGTTGCACGGGTCACAGACCCCCTTGCAATAACTCTGCAGCATCTTCCACTCCACCCTGGGCTCTTTGGTGTAGACTATGAGGAATATAAATCTGTGATAGTAAAGAGATATATTATGCTAGAAGCCCATCAGCAAAGAAACTGTCCTGGCATTCTTGTTCCAATGAAGCAGAAATGGGGACATATCCATAAATGGGCTGGGGTGGAGTTAGGGCAGGCCCAGGCAGCCTTCAAATTTTATGCCTTGAGTAGAGTTCGTACCTTCTGGCTTTTCCATCACCCTCCAGCCCAAATTTCCTTTTTTTTTTTTTTTTTTTTTTTGAGACAGAGTCTTGCTCTGTTGCCCAGGCTGGAGCACGATCTCGGCTCACTGCAAGCTCTGCCTCCCGGGTTCATGCCATTCTCCTGCCTCAGCCTCCCGAGTAGCTGGGAGTACAGGCGCCCACCGCCACGCCAGGCTAATTTTTTTTTTTTTTTGTATTTTTTAGGGGGTTTCACCGTGTTAGCCAGGATGGTCTCAATCTCCTGACCTCATGATCGGCCCGCCTCGGCCTCCCAAAGTGCTGGGATTACAGGCGTGAGCCACTGCGCCTGGCCCCAAATTCTTCTATGAAACAAACCTTCACAGTCCACTGAGCTGGTGTGGTTCAAAGTGCCATCAAGGGTGGTAAGAATGATTGAACTCTGATGACCAGATGATTTTCCTGCTCCAAAGCTCCCTTGCCAGGACACCCTCAAGCAAGAATTGCCCTCCTGAGCAGGGCTTCCTGAGGCCAGATGTGGAGGCTTTTCTTCAGAAATCTCCTGGTCAGCCATGAATAATCACTACTGTGCAAGAGGATGAGCTCCGGCCTCTCTTAGTCACCTTTGAGTCCATCTCAGCTACTGAAATGTCTGTCCTATGGAGTGGGAGGCTACCCGGATGAGAAGAGGAATAGAAACAGCACAAGGACCACGTGAACTCTCCCGTACTGAACCATAGTACAGGTCCTACAGGGAAGTTTGCCTTGTTTCCGACCCCACTCCTGAATGTATGACAGGCATTTGCTGAGAACAAAGGCTACCATTAGGCATCGCGGCTGATGCTGTGAGAGTCTAAAGGATACACTTTCTACCAGGAGGCTTTCCGCCTAGGAAAGGGGAGACATGAATCTAAATGCACTAGATGAGAGAGCTGTGTAGATGCGCGTCTTCCTCACTGGTCTCAGTCATTTTTTAACCTCCCGCTTACCCACAGTACTGCACCTGGCATGCAGATGATGCTCCCATAATGTTTGGTAAGCATTACATGCAAAATACAAAAGACAGTTCATAGGAGGAAGAGAATGTGTACATGTAATTGCGGTGCATTGGGGCCCATTTATAACAGGGTTTCTCAAGAGTGGCACTGTCAACATCTGGGGACAGGTAATTCTTTATTGTGGGGGCCGTCCTGGCTCTTGTAGGATCTTTAGCAGTATCCCTGGCCTCTCTGCACTGGATACCAGGAGCGCTCAGCCATGATAATTGAAAGTGTCTGCAGCCATTGCCAGATATTCCCAGAGATAACGTCACCCCCACTGAGAATCACTAGGTTATAGCTTTTGTGTCATCCCACTGTCCAATCCTCCTGCCAGGGTCCTGTGTTCTGAGGTTTTTCTATTCCATTTCTAAGAAAATTATGCTTCCTAAAATCTGTGACCTCAGAACTTTATTCTCTGTTTTTCAAAATGTTGATCAAGTCATGCAATAGTGAATTCAAATGAAACTGGTTAACGGAAAAAGATACTAGTAGTTCCCTCACCCACATTCATCTCCAGAATCCATTTGTCACTGGAACATCTGAATAGGGCCACTTGGAAGCAGCCCCATGACATATTAACATCCTACAACATAAACACCCAGATGGCACAAGGGAGGCCCCCACACCAACACTTCACAAGAGCCGCCCCAACCAGCCACTGAGCACAGGAGCTTCGGCTTACAAAAGGCAGCTTACTCCCACCTACCAGGATCACAGAGCATGGCAGAGTGGCCTAGTCACCTTTGAAAGATTGCCTACTCTGTCCAAGATCTAAAAGCCATTGCTTAGAATGGTGACAGTTTTAGGTTACATCCAAATCTGGATCTGAAACCACTTTCCAAGTGTCTGTGTGTCCCCACCTCCTGCTGCAAGGGCTGCCTCAAGATGGGATGCAGGGTACATGACCTAAACGCCCAAAACCCCAGTAAGCATTTCTCATTGAGATCCACCTGCTGGCCCTTCTTAAGGGACAGAGCAAGCGAGTGGAGAGAAAGCCCAGGGACTCGGGTCACCTGCAGAAATGACAATCAGGAAAGCCGTGAGCCGGTTCCCCCACTGGGGCATATTCTGCTTTCTCCTCTTGCCTGAGTTGACTGTGACACGAAGACATTCCTCAGACCCAGTCCCAGTTACCAGAGGTGAGTCAGCTCAGCCCAACAATCCCAATTCAATGCTTATTCACAAATTGTAATTTTAGTACAATAGGGCACAGCTTTAAATAAGAGCTATGAGAAACCCACCCACCTATGACATGGCAGTGGGCTGCTCATCTCCCCACTCTGGGTGGACATTCTGTTAGTCATAGAGGAGCATCTGGGCCCAGCTCACTTGTCTCCCCACTTTCTTGTATCTCCAGACATTTTACCAAACAGACACTGAGTCAGAATAAGTAGGTTTAGCAATTAAAATCTGCGTGGAGGCTGCCTTCAGAAGCATTTGGAGGATTTGGAAATAAATATTCCTCCACTGCAAATCAAACACTCATTGTAAAAACCTGAATGTAATATGCATGAAGACAAACTCGAGCTGAAATCTCATGACATAATCTTTTTCTCCTTCAACGAGGAACATAAAGGACTTCCATTCGCTTGCAGGGCAGGCTGAATAATTCAGAGTAGAAGCAGAATGGTCTCTAAGTACAAGAAGCAGTGAGATCCTGTCAAAGGAAGCATCTACCTGGTTCTGAACACAGAAATTTCCATTGGAAACACTGTGCAGACAAGGAATGCCCCTAGACGACACCCTATCACACTAAAGCCGGGGTGTTGAAATGAGGCAGAGTCAGGTAGTCTGAACACACCCGATTTCTGGTCAATGCTTCCTTCAGCCTCAGAGAGGAAGTCAAGAGCTAGATGTTTCTGTATTTTGGCCAACCCTACAAGGCCAGCTGGAGAAGGCCCCCTGCAGCATCTCATCCCAGATGGAAGGAAAGGCACCCGAGCCACCAAGCCTGACATCATGCCAGGAAGATGGTCCTTCAGGATGGGTCATCTTTGTCCTCTCCAGGCCTGTTGTGGGAGCTGTGAGCCTCCTGGACCTGCTGGACCGCTCTAACAGGAGGTGGTTAGAGCCCCAGCTTAATATGGCCAAGGTTTGTCTTCCATTTACATGAGGATCACTGGATATCCCCCTTTTATAAAGTTCCTGGATTACACACTGCACCTCCCACCCCTGGTAGCTGGTGCAAACATCTGCCACCCAGGATCCATGCAGATCCAGTCTCACACACATGCATACACACACACACACACACACACACACACACACAACCTAAAAGCATCATTCCCAGAGCCAGAGCCTGCCACAGCCTCCTACAGGCAGCCCAGCTCCTGTTCAAGGTGAGGTCTAAGAGTTCCCAGCAGAACAGGGCCTGTCCCAAGGACATGAGCTATAACAAAGCCAAATTGTTTCACACTCTAGTCTTGACTAAGGAGCTCTCATTTTTCCATCTGGATGTCCAAAGCCACACTGCAGGCTGGCAGTGGATCCAGGCTAGAATGGACTTCTACTCTGAACGTAAGACACTGTTTCCATCATTCATTATGAGATACAAAATCTACATTCAAATGTCTCAGTCTGTAAAACTCCAGGCTAGTGGTTCTTAGCATTTTTAGGGTCACAGACTCCACTGAGAAATTGATAAAAACCAAAGACTCTTTGCCTGGTCAAATGTACTTTCACATAAAATTGATGGCACAGTTTTAGGGCTTAAAAGAAGCCCTGAAAACCATCCATAAATGACTAAAAGCCTCTTCCCTGGTCACTGGATTGTAAAGCAAGAGGGCACTTCCTAACCACTTTGCACCTGCCCAACTTCAGGTAATCTCAGTTAAAACGTCTCTTGTGTTAGGGTAAAGCACCAGTATTTCCTGGACTGGTCAAGAGTTAAGCCTGCAAGTAGCAGAAACTTCCTGGCTCACTTCTATGTGCTGGCAATGGGCAACATCTCTCAGCAGCTATGATTTTTTTTTTTTTTTTTTTGAGACGGAGTCTCCCTCTGTCGCCCAGGCTGGAGTGCAGTGGTGCCATCTCAGCTCACTGCAAGCTCCGCCTCCCGGGTTCACGCCATTCTTCTGCCTCAGGAGCGAGTAGCTGGGACTACAGGCGCCCGCCACTACGCCCGGCTAATTTTTTGTATTTTTAGTAGAGACGGGGTTTCCCGTGTTAGCCAGGATGGTCTCGATTTCCTGACCTCGTGATCCGCCAGCCTTGGCCTCCCAAAGTGCTGGGATTACAGGCGTGAGCCACCGCACCCGGCCTGCAGCTATGATTTGTTGAGCGGTTACTACATGCCAGGCCCAAAGCAGGGCTCCCATGCATTTTTGTCCTTTAACCCTTAAAATTACCCTATAATTGCAGGATCAATGTTTCCATTTTACAGATGAGGGCATTAAGGCTCAGAGAGGTGAAGTGCCCTTCTCAAGAAGTCCTGCAAGCTGCAAGTATGCCTGCCAACGCACTAAGGGCCCATCAATTGCACCAGGCATGGTCAGCCCGAGCAAATGCCTTCCTCTAAATTAGTAGGACTGGGCTAAAATCCCAGAGTACTTGGTGAGAGAGTTGCTAAAAATTTTGACTGTTTGCAAACTGGGATTGTCTTCATTTTTATTTGCCTTTGGACTTCCTGTTTAGAGATGAAAACAAGCACAGAATTTTCCGGAGGCCTACTCTTTCTGAATTTGTAATAGAACTACAAAAAGAACACTAATTTCAAGGAAGCCTCCATCTCCTCTTATAGATAAGATGTGTGTGTGATGAATGAAAACAAAAACTTAGCTCAGTGTGGAAGTTGATCATCAATAATGACATCAACTCAGCTTTAGTCACATTTAAAAAAAACTAGGAGTCTAACAACTGCATTTTAAAATAACAGTGACTGAACAAGCTTGGTAAGTAAGATCATTAGACAGACATTTAGAGAGTGACTTAGCCCTATGCCTGGCACTGTTCTATGCCCTGGCAATGCAGAGGTGGTAAGGCAAGGTCCTCTCCACAGCAAACTCATCATTAGCAGGGGAGGTGGGGAAGACATGTGATTAACTGGAATAACAATGTGTTAACTGCTTTACCAGTGATTTGACTGAGGTGCCAAAGGCCAGAGAGCAGGAAGTGAGTAATGCTGGGGAAAGGAGAGGAAAGGCCTCAGAGGCTCAGGGAAGGTCTCAGGAGGTCAGGGAAGGAAGAAGAAGATCTCTCCAAGTCCAGAAGGGCACTGTGGATGGAGGACACAGCGTCAATGGGAACCAGAGGGAAACTCATTAGAGACGAGAGCTGGCTGAGGTGCAGGCTCCATGTGTGGCAGGAGGAGATACAGGATGGGAGCCAGAATAGGAAGGCGGTAGCCACATGCTGAAGGCCTTGGTGGCTGGGCAGTGGCTCACACCTGTAATTCCAACACTTTAGGAGGCCGAGGCAAGAGGATTGCTCAAGCCCGGGAGTTCTAGGCTACGGTGCACCACGCCGATCAGGTATCTACAGTAGGTTTGTCATCAATATGGTGACCTCCCTGGAGCAGGGGACCACCAGGTTGCCTAGGCAGAGTGTACCAGGCCAGGTCAGAAACTAAGCAGGTCAAAACTCCCATGCTGATCAGTAGTGGGATCATGCCTGTGAATAGCCACTGCACTCCAGCCTGGGCAACATGGTGAAATCCCATCTCAAAAAAAAAAAAAAAAGGCCTTGGTCAACTATGAGGAGTCACCAAGAGGTTTTTTTTTTTTTAATGGAGAAAGGACTCAGTGACATTTATATGGTAGAAAGATAGCTGTGGCAGACGCATGAAAGGTAGAATTTACCTGGGAGAAACCGTAAGCAAAAAAATGGAAGAGAAAGTCTCTGCAATTACTTTAAGCCAAGGACGAGGAAGGCTGGATTCCAGATATTCAAAAACAAACATTCCCACAGCAAACCAGCAGGGTCAGATGGTGACAGGGAAGGCACAAAGCAGAAAAAGAAATGCCTCCGAGGTTTCTAAGTGGAGCCGTCAGTCAACGATGATGCCGGTCAGAGAAAGGAAGCCCAGGAAGAAGAGCCAGTCCCGAGGTAAGGAGACAACAAGATGATGAGCTGTGTTTTGGACAGGTTGATTTTGAGGTGGCCAAAGGAGAGTAGGTAAATCGTCTGCAGATGACAGCTTTAGAAGATTATAAGCATAAAGCATGAAGAAAAAGAGACAAGAACTAAGGATAGAAGCTTAGGAATATTAATTTTAAAAAGGAATTGAAGGAGAGAAGAGCTAGCAAAAGATACTGAGTATGAACAGTTGAACCTGGGCTGTGGTCAAGACACCTTCCAAGAAGTCAAATACCAAAAGCCACAGAGAGGTAAGGGAGAATAAGACCCAAAAGGAAGGCCCTCAATCAGGCTGTTAGAAGTTCCTTACTGCGTTTTCAATTTCAGCAGAACCTTACGGGATTTGGGAATGGAAGCCGAAAGTTGATACTACTCTTTGAAGAATTTTAACCAAGGATGGAAGAAAAGAGATCATCCACCCTCGTGACAAAGCCTTCCTTTGTCATGGAGGGAGTGTGTGACCTATTACATGCCAGACCATGTAACCTCACCAGCCTCATCACGTCACGCCTGTGTTTGAGTGAGGCAGGTGAAGAGGGACATGCCTATACTGTGGCTAACGTCCAGAACTGGCTAATGATCCTCATTGCTAGTACCGCCAAGTATTCATAGTTCAGGACTTAAATTGTCCTAGAAAATGTAGGGTAAAGACTACTGCTCAACATTCCAGTGAGAGGCTGAGACTTCAGTGGCCCATCGGAAGAGGAGACCTATTTACTAAGAAAACACAAAACCAGGCCAGGTGCAGTGGCTCATGCCTGTAATCCCAGCACTTTGGGAGATCAAGGCAGGAGACTGTTTGAGCCCAGAAGTTCAAGACCAGCCTGGGCAACATAGTGAGACCCCAGTTTCTGCAAAAAAAAAAAATAATTTTTTAAATTAGCTGGGCATGCTGGCATGCACCTGTAGTCCCAGCTACTCAGGAGGCTGAGGCAGGAGGATCATTTGAGCCCAGGAGATCGAGGCTGTAGTGAGCTATGATTGTCCCACTGCACTCCAGCCTGAGTAACAGAGTGAGACTTCACCCAAACCAAAAAATAAAAATAAAAAGAAGAGAAAACATAAAACCAACAGTGCAAGTGGCAAATATACTGCTGTTGATAATTTTGGTAATACCAAGTTGAAGGTTCCAGGAAGCAAGCATTTTCAGACACCACCGGTGAGGATTTACAGTAGCACAACTTATCAACAAGTAACTCAAAAAAAAGGGGAAGAAAAACCTAAAAGATTGCAGACACTGTAGCCCAGCGATTCAACGTACACAAACTTATTCTATAAAAGTCACAAGGATATCTGCAAAGATTTATCTACAAGCATATTTATCATAACTTTGTTTATAAGAGTTTAAAACTGGAAACAATGTAAATTTCCAACAACAGGAAATTAGTTAAACACATTGTTATACATCTCCATAGGATACAATACTCGGCAACCATTTAAAATGTTAAGTAGGCTGAGCATGGTGGCTCATGCCTATAATCCCACCATTTTGGGAGGCCAAGGCGGGAGGATCACTTGAGCTCAAGGGCTTGAGACCAGCCTGGACAACATAGTGAAACCTCATCTCTGCAAAAGAATTTTTAAAAATTAGTCAGGCATTGTAATCTCAGCTACTTGGGAGACTGAAGCAGGAGAATCACTTGAACCTAGGAGGTGGAGGTTACAGTGAGCCAAGATCACGCCACTGCACTCCAGCCTGGGCGACAGAGTGAGACTGGGTCTCAAAAAAAAAAAATTAGTCAGGCGTGGTAGTGCACACTTATAGTCCCAGCTACTCAGGAGGCTGAGGTAGGAGGATCACTTGTGCCCAGGATGTTAATGAGCAGTGAATGCATCACTGCACTCCAGCCTGGGTGACAAAGTGAGACCCTGTCTCAAAATAAAATAAAATAAAATGTTAAACAGGCAACTATTTAGCAACCCAGAAAAAACGGTCACATTATATTATTAAATTTTAAAAAATAGTTCACAAAAGATAATGAGTACATTAAATATGTATATATATATACACACATGCACTCATACACACTCAGACAAAAGACTAGAAGAATGGACACCAAAATAGTAACACATTCAAATGAAAGAGGAAGAATATGCACCAAAATAGTAACAGTATCTAAATTTCTGGATGGCACAATAATGGGTGGTTTTAATTTACTTTTTGCTTCTCCGTATTTTCCAAAATATTTATAAGAAACACTCTATAGCTTTGGTAATTAAAAATAGTCTGTTATTTTTAATATAATAAAAATAGTTTCATATAATTAAATAGCTTAATATAATAAGATAGTCTTTTTAAATATAAAAGTAATAGAATCTGATCATTTAAAATCCAAAAAGTATTAAAGCATATTAAGAAAAAATTAAAAGTGTTCCATTCCCCTAATTCCTCCAAATCAGATTCCCCATAAAAAAAATCACAGAGGCCTTTGTTACATTATTGTGGATTTTTTTCTATCTAAATATATGTATACATTAAAAGTAATTTAAAAGATTTTTTTTAATTTTAGATAGTAGAAGACTAAGATCAGGAATCAGCAAGCTTTTTCTTTTTTTTTTCTTTCTTTCTTTTTTTCTTTTTTTTTTTTTTGAGATGGAGTCTCACTCTGTAGCCCAGGGTGGAGTACATTGGCACAATCTCGGCTCACTGCAACCTCCACCTCCTGGGTTCAAGCGATTCTCCTGCCTCAGCCTCCTGTGTAGCTGGAATTACAGGCGCACACCACCATGCCCAGCTAATTTTTTGTATTTTTAGTAGAGAAAAGGTTTCACCATGATGGCCAAGCTGGTTTTGAACTCCTGACCTCAAGTGATCCACCCGTCTCGGCCTCCCAAAGTGCTAGGATTACAGGTGTGAGCCACCGAGCCTGGCCACAAACTTTTTCTATAAAGGTCCAGATAATTAATATTTCCAGCTCTTTTGCAACTACGCCACTCTGCCATTGCATCACGAAAGCAGCCATAGATGATATGTAACAAATGAGCATGGCTATCTTCCAATAAAACTTTATTTACAAAAACAAGCAATACAGCTGGGCGCAGTGGCTCACACCTATAATCCCAGCAGTTTGGGAGGCCAGGGTGGGAGGATTGCTTGAGCCCAGCAGTTCAAGACCAGCCTGGGCAATATAGTGAAACCCTTTCTCTACAAAAATTTTAAAAATTAGCCAGGTGCATGCCTGTGATCCTAACTATTCTGGAGGGTGAGGCAAGAGGGTAGCTTGAGCTCGGGCGTTCAAGGCTACAGTGAGCTGTGATGGCGCCACTGCACGCCAGCCTGGGCAATAGACCCTATCTCTAAATTAATTAATTAAATAAATAAAATAAAATAAAGCAATGGTCTGGACTTGGCTCATGGGCCAGTTTTCAGACCCCTGGACTTAAGTGAACAAATAAAACAAAAAAATGCCAACTTAAGAAAAAATAAAAATGCCAACTTACTGAGCATGCTGGCTGAAGAATGCAGCTTGTTTGTTTTCTGTTTCATGTTAACATCAGTTTCAGTTCAAAATGTCCATGCTGGCCGGGCATGGTGGCTCATGCCTGTAATCCTAACACTTTGGGAGGCCAAGGCAGGCAGACTGCCTGAGCTCAGGAGTTCAAGACCAGCCTGGGCAACACGGTGAAACACCATCTCTACTAAAATACACACAAAAAAAAAGGCTGGGTGTGGCGGTGTGCACCTGTAGTCCCAGCTACTAGGGAGGCTGAGGCAGGAGAATCACTTGAACCCGGGAGGCAGAGGTTGCAGTGAGCCAAGATCGTGCCACTGCACTCCAGCCTGGACAACAGAGCAAGACTCCATCTCCAAAAAAACCCCAAACAAACAAAATGTCCATGCTTCTGAGTGGCCACGTGGTACTTCTTCATGTTTAACATCAGTAATAATGATGCCCTTTTATACATTGAGTTCCCCACCTTCAACTTGGGTTCCACATAGCAAGTGCCACCCCCACCCACTGCTCCACATCCAGGCTAGCTGGATAAGGGTCCCACACCAACCTGCTGGGATCTGCCCCACCTTGGAAACACTCACTCAGTACCTGCTGTGCAAGGCACTGTGCTGCCATCACAGCCTCACAGAAATTATGAGCTCATTGTGATCAAGGCCCATGTCTTTTTCGCTTTTGCATTTCTAGTGCCAGCACACATTGATCATGAAATTAGAGTTAAATGAGTGGATGAACGAGCTATATGCAAACTAAGGATCTTATTCTCAGACACTGTGGCTTGGTAGTGAAAAAGGCACCGGCACATGGTGTGTACTCAATCAACATGAGACTCTTTAACGCCGGTACATAATAAACTCCACAGCAGCAAATGCTAGTGCTGCAGTCACCAGTATTTTAGGTAAGTATTCCTCAGAGTTCTAGGTGGATGTGAATCATTTGGACTTCATATTAAAATGCAGATCTTAATTCAGGAGGTCTGAAGTTGGGCCCAGGACTCTGCATCTTTGACAAACTCCCAGGGATGCCAGTGCTACTGGTTTAAGTAGCAACTTGTAGCAGTATGAGGCAGAGGTAACAGCTGAGCAGTGAGGACTTGGAGAAGACACTTGCCCCCACAAAAGCCTAGATAACATGGCCACTGTTCCCTGTGAAGCTTTGTTATGCTGGCTAAGAGAAGAAGCCTATTTCAAGATGGGCCTCTCAGAGAACTCCACTAGTACAGTCCTTCTTGGTCCAGGTTTAGGTTCTCAGTTTTACAGATCTAGAAACTCACTTTTATCAGTCTTCTGGCCTAACTAGAATGTCCTGATCACAAAGCACTGGGAAAGAAGAAATAGACTAAAACAGGGGCAAGAGCTGGGGAAATTAACCAGGACGGATAAGACTTGTCGCCACTCAAGAAAGAGTCCCCATTTCAAATGACCACATCGCAAAGGGCAGAGAAAACTCTGTAAAATGCAGCATAGCATCCATACCCTAGGGTTCTAGTCTGGAGAAGAAAAGGGACGCAGTGTCCAAATCAAAAAGGCTTCTTTGATCAGAAGGATGCATGACTCAGAGCTCAGGGAGGCCCTTGGAGTTGAGAGAGATGCCAGGTACAGGTTCCAAAAGAAAAGGAAAGCAGAGACCCAGGCACAAGGCTGGCCAGCGGACTGGCTGCACATGGGAGGCTGTCCCTGACAGGGACAGGCTCCCACACCCTTAGGACACTCAGCACAGGCACGGAGACAATTTCCAGATCCACACATTAGTGGGAAAAGAGCTAACACACTGCCCTCCCAGGGGATCCTGGATTCCAGCCTGGCCCCCGTCCAGCCTGCAGCAGGTAATTATTGCTGACAGCTGGGTGGAGCAATGACTGGCAGGGACTCATACAGAAGCCATCAGGTAATACCAAGCTGAATCCTTGTTAGCCCTATATCAAGATTACTACATAAAATAAGAAAGCCAGTTTATCATAAGAACTGCATGGCCAGTTACAACAGGCAAGTCTTCCACATACCCTCCTCCTGGTGGAGGAACCTGAAATATAATCCATAGGTTACTTACTACATGCACCAAGTCCTAGGGATCTGGATGGTCCTAGTCAAGTTCACCCCTAGATCTGCCAAGCCCCCAGAACTCGCACCTCAGCCAGGCAATGAGCCCCTAGGCTTTGGCTGGTGATCTAGGAAATCCTAATCTTCTGTCTCTTTCCTAGGCCTAAGCACAACTACATCCTCTATTTTCACTGCCATTAACAACCCAATTCTGGCCGGGCGCGGTGGCTCATGCCTGTAATCCCAGCACTTTGGGAGGCCGAGGCAGGTGGATCACTTGAGGTCAGGAATTTGGGACCAGCCTGGCCAACATGGTGAAACCCCGTCTTTACTAAAAATATAAAAATTAGCCAGATGCGGTGGTGCACATCTGTAATCTCAGCTACTCAGGAGGCTGAGGCAGAAGAATCGCTTGAACCTGGGAAGTGGAGGGTGCAGTGAGCTGAGATTGCACCACCGCACTCCAGCCTGAATGACAGAACAAGACTCCATCTCAAACAAAACAAAACAAAAACAACCCAATTCTTTATTTTCCATGTTTTCATACCACATTGTGCTTTCCCAACTTCTCAGATTATTTTTCTTCGGTTACATTTTAAGTTGAATGACTCATTACCTAGCTAGAAGTTGTCTTTAATTTTGCCAGTAAGCTGCACCAAAAGGAGATGAACACCCAGGTAGGTATTCTCATGTCAACCCCATTCTGCTATAATTTGTAGGCTCTTATCATCATGGCTTAGTCAATAAACATTTATCAAGTACTTACTTTTTTTTTTTTTTTTTTGAGACGGAGTCTCGCTCTATTGCCCAGGCTGGAGTGCAGTGGCACAATCTCCGCTCACTGCAAGCTCTGCCTCCCAGTTTCACGCCATTCTCCTGCCTCAGCCTCCCGAGTAGCTGGGACTACAGGCGCCCGCAACCACGCCCGGCTAATTTTTTGTATTTTTAGTAGAGAAGGGGTTTCAGCATGTTAGCCAGGATGGTCTTGATCTCCTGACTTCATGATCTGCCCTCCTCAGCCTCCCAAAGTGCTGGGATTACAGGCGTGAGCCACCACGCCTGGCTATCAAGTACTTACTTTATTCCTTACATGATACTAGGCACAGTGGAGACAAGTAGGAATAACATGTCCTTGCATGTCTCCTGAGCAGGGGTTCCTGGTCTAGGGAGAGAGACAATATGTAAACAAGTATAGATGAGGCTGATACAATGGGTGGGTTAATGAACAGGGTTCTGGCCAAAGTACCTTGGAGCTCAGAATGGTAAAATTGATGCCCCCCAGAGAACTGAGTAAGGGAGTGAGTCACGAGAGATGTAGCAACTTCAGGGCTGGAGCTGGAAAGATAAGTACTGAGTTCACCGGTTCTAAGGCACACAGTTTTCACATTTTAACATCACTAAATTAGTATATGTATCATAGAATCACTGTCAGCCCGGGTAGGGGGGTAAATACGCCCTGGTTGCCATCGCCTAACACCATTAGCCACAGTCAGGAAAGCGTCAGTATCCAACCTTGCAGATGGCTGTCAGGAGCTTGGGAGAAAATTCCAGAGACAATAGTGGAGCACTCTTCTAAGAAAGGTTGCATCACCAGTGCATCTGATGGCAAAGAGGATGATACTGTGTGGAAAATCAGAGTTCAAAAGTGATAAAAGATGAAAATGTTCTGCAAGTAGATAGTGGTGATGGCTGCACAATCTTGTGAATAAACCTAAAAACCATCAAATTGTACACTGGAAAAAAGGTGTGTTTTATGATATGTGAAATAATAACTCAATTTTTTTTAAGTGGGAAAAACGTTTGACAAGATTAGAAAAGTTGTAGATATGAATGGTGGTAATGGTTGCACAACAGTGTGAATGTATTTAATATCATTGAACTATAGATTTTATTTATTTATTTATTTATTTATTTATTTATTGAGACAGGGTCTTACTCTGTCACCCAGGCTGGAGTGCAGTGACACAATCATGGCTCACTGCAGCCTTGACCTCCCGGGCTCAATCAATCCTCTGACCTCAGCTCCCAAATAGCTGGGACTACAGATGCACACACCGTGCCAGACTAATTTTTGTTTGTTTTGTTTTGTTTTGTTTTGTTTTTGGTAGAGATGGGGTTTCACCATGTTGCCCAGGCTGGTCTCAAACTCCTGGGCTCAAGCCATCAGCAGGCTTCGGCCTCTCAAAATCCTGGGATTACACACGTGAGCCACTGCACCTGGCCTGAAGTATATGCTTTAAAAATGGTTAAAATGGGCCAGGCGTGGTGGCTCACGCCTGTAATCCCAGCACTTTGGGAGGCCAAGGTGGGTGGATCACCAGGTCAGGAGATCAAGACCATCCTGGCTAACACGGTGAAACCCCATCTCTACTAAAAATACAAAAAATTAGCCAGGCGTGGTGGCGGGCATCTGTAGTCCCAGCTACTTAGCAGGCTGAGGCTGGAGAATGGCGTGAACCCGGGAGGCGGAGCTTGCAGTGAGCTGAGGTCGCGCCACTACACTCCAGCCTGGGTGACAGAATGAGACTCCGTCTCAAAAAAAAAAAAAAAAAAAAAGTTAAAATGGTATATTTTATGTTACCTATATTTTACCACAATAAAAGAAGTGGGGAAAGAGTACCACTACAAGGCTTTCTCCCATCCACTAACAAAATCGTGTGATGACTCAACCTTTGTTTCAATAGTTCTGTGGAAACCGTCTATGTATGAAGATCCCTTGTGTATTGCAGCTACAGGTGATTTAAGAGTGAAAGTGGGAAGTTGTAAAACTAATAAAATAGAAGCAAATCATTACTAACCTCCCAAGATAGCTACAGCAGAGGCTGGAGTGAATCACAACTACATACCTATTGGGGCAAAACCCTAAAATTCTGGTTGGCGGCAGTTGCATGGATCAATAGAACCCTCATCTTGACAGAGGGTCTCCCAGCTGGTGCTGAAGACAGAACTTCTGGCTCTCAGAAGATTCCTTTTATCTCCTCTCAAATGACCACAGCAGGGGTTGCACACCAGAGCCTAAAAGCCTGGAGGACTGGGCAGCAAAAAGAAGAGTGACAAAGAACAGGTTATCACCAGGCTGTTCCCAGGTTTTCCTTCCAGAAGATGAAGAGTCATCATTCCCTCTCCTGAGGGTTCACACAGCCAACCAATGGACTGTTCTTACAGCCAAGTGGAGATGTGACATCTCACTCCAGCATTAAAATAGCACAGTTCCCTCTGTCCAGCCTGTACAACCCCTTACTGTGAGCTACCTACCAAACTAAGAGCTAAGGTGGGAAGGCCCTACACTCACCACAGAGACCAAATCACTTGCCTGCCCAAACATCTGAAGATAAAAACTTTTTTAACAAATAAGTTAACTAAGATCAGAGCTCTCTATTTGAAGTGATCTGTGGGCAATAAATCTTCTCCGGGGGGCTTTATTTAACTTCATTTATAAAACGTGCTAAACAATAGGAAGGAATGTTGCCAGCTCCTCCTGTCTGACCAGGTCCACAAACTGAGCAGGTAGCCTCCGCTTACAAGCCATGAACAGTTAGCCTCACAAGCAGCAACCATGAGCTGAACTTCCAGCATCTCTCCAAAGAAAATCCTACCGGGGAAACCGCTCCAGAAAGTCCCTATCAGCAAAGTGGATGATCAAGTTTAAGGTCTCCCTAGTTCATCTGTGGCAATGAAATGTTTGTATTGAGTTTTGCATTTCACATGTTACTAGGTGGCCGTTCATGATTTTCATTTCTCATGTTTGTTGATGCCTGACTCAGGGCTTCTGTGTGGACAATTAATAGAGAACGGTCTAGGACCTGGACTCTAGGTGACATGTGATGGAGATGGAAGTCAACGTGAAGACCTTTCCAAAGTCAATGCAGAAAGAAAGCACAGCCCATTAGAATTGCCAGGATGAGTGACCAATTCCATGTGGGAAGTGAGAGCTTAACAGTTAAGGGTAAGTGAAAGTTTCTAATGCGGGTTAGAACCAGGTGTGGCCTTTAGCCAAAAGAGCATCCTAACCAGAAGTCAGTGCTCTCCCTTCTGAGACTGGACTTGGTCATCTCTTGAGATCCCACACTTACTTTGGGGGGCCTCCTGGCATCTGTATAATGACCACATGGAATTGGGGCCACTGTCAAGGATCCTGGTCAACTTGTTGAAGCTTTGTTTACACTCTAAAAATTGCCCAGGTGGAAGGAGGGGTATGAGCCCCTCATTTCTGACCCTGAAACGCAGCACTCTGAGCTTTGGGGAAATCTGTATGTAGGTACGACTCGGTCAAGTTGAAATTTGAGTCAAATATTTTCATGATCACTTGTTGCTTTTTTGCCATTCAACCCTAAAGATTATTTTGTGGTCAAATTTTCACCACTTCAGGATGAACACCGTTGTCCTTCGAAGATCAAAACAGCACTCACGCTCACATACACTGACTCCAGAGGAAGGAATGGAAGAGGGAGAGGGCATGGCTACTTGATCAACCACACATTTCAACCTTCAGGAGACTGAAGCTCCTCTCACTTCCAAAGCAAGCAATATTCAGTTTGGAAGCTTTGAGAGGGTTAGAGGCAGATGGCATAATATTTAAAAGCTTGGATTTTGTAGTCTAAGAGATCTAAGCCTCTGTTCTTCCATTATTAGCTGTGTGCCCTTGGGCCATCCATTTAACCTAAGCCTCAGTGTGTCTATAAAATGAGGATAGGAGTAATACCCACTTCACAAGTGTTCCTGTGAAGGTTAAATAAGATAATGCAAATAATGCATGTAAACTGCTTAGCACAGTGCATGGAACATCGTAAACACAAAATTATATTATCACTATGGATGACTTGAAAGTGAGTAGAGTTTGACAAGCTTCTCTATCTCTCCAACAGCAAGCACAGCCGGAAGGATATGGATTATGCAGTGCTTTTCAAACATATTGAGCACAATACCCATAAGAAATACTTACATATTGCAGCCCAGTTCACACACCCATAGATAAATGACTGAAACAAAATAAGTGCTACCAAATAATTATCTTTACTGTGGCAACACGTGACGTACCCCGAGACTTCTTTTTTTTTCGAGACGGAGTCTCGCTCTGTCGCCCAGGCTGGGGTGCAGTGGCGTGATCTTGGCTCGCTGCAACCTCTGCCTCCAGGGTTCAAGCGATTCTCCTGCCTCAGCCTCCCGAGTACCTGGGATTACAGGCACCCACCATAACACCTGGCTAATTTTTGTATTTTTAGTAGAGACAGGGTTTCACTATGTTGGCCAGGCTGGTCTCGAACTCCTGACTTCAAGTGATCCACCCGCCTCGGCCTCCCAAAGTGCTGGGATTACAGGTGTGAGCCACGGCGCCTGGCCTGGGACTTCTTTACTAGTCTATGTGTTTCATTTATTTATTTACTTTTGAAATTTTTCAACCTTACAGAAATGTTGAAAGAATGATACAAAAACACTTTTTACCCTAGAGCAGAGTTTCTCAACATCAGCACTATTGACATTCTGGGCTGGATAACTCTGCTGTGGGGGGGCCATCTGTGCATTGCAGGATATTTAGGGCTATGCCTGGCCTTTACCCACTAGATGCCATTAGTACCTCATACGCACACCCAGATATTACAACCAAAAATGCCATTGTTTTCTGAGGGGTAAAATCACCCACAGTCCATTGAGAACCATTGACCTAGGCCTACCAATAGTAAACAGTGTACCATATTACTCTACCTTCCTCTCAATACAGGCACACACACACACACACATGCACACACACACACATGCACACACAAAGAGACATTTTTTGGTTGAACTGTTTGAAAGTAGATGACAAACTTCATGATATTCAACACCAAAATAGTTCATCGTGTATCTCCCAAGAATAATGACATTCTCTTACACAGCTGCATTGCCATTACTGTGCCTAAAAAATTAACATTAATATCTTTTCTTTCTCCTTGTTTTTCCATGTTGTGTGTAATCCACTACATTGGTTTTTGCCCCACTATGGGTCATGACCCATAGTCTGAAGATTCGAGAAGGAGGATTACAGAAGTGAACATAACTCTCTTCTCCTAAAGATCTCTGAGAAGCCAGAACAGAAGCCCATGCCTGCCAGCATTGAAGGCACACAGCCAAGTGCACGTTTATAGGAGCCTCACCAACACGCCCTGCCGTTTCTCTCCCTGGCTGCTCCCACCTCACAGAGCACCCCCCATAGCAGCACTGAGGGCAGATGACCCAGCCAGTCCCACCCTGCAGGGGACCCAGGAGCTCTCCCAGGCGCCAGTGGGCACCAAGTGGTGTGTGCCCTGGCCCGGCGTCTGCCCAGGGCTGGTGGGGCACACTAGCCTGACCACATCACAGGCCCAGGCTCAGGTTCAGGTTCAGGCAGGCTGCCCACCCCTTCCCTGTTTGCTAAACTCCTTTCCTTTACCTGCACTGGCTCCAGGAAAGTGGTTACAAGTGGGTCCAGAAACTTGCCAACAGGCCAGGGCTGAGAAACATGAAAGTGTGTGAGTCACTGGCCGTCTTTGATTCTCCTGACCTTATAAATCTGGCCTTTGAATCTAACATCAGGATCCAAACAGCAGAGAAACCTGAAAACTAACACAACCCAAAATGGATAGGGAAATTGCCGCCAGAGCCCCCTGCATAAGCCTCCCCAGGGGTCTGGAAAGATCAGTGAGGGGCAAGAGGTAAAGGAGAGCTTCTTACCTAAGCCCCAGCCAGCACCTCTGTCATCCAGGCAGGGAGGCCCCTTTTGGACTTGCTCTTGCTTTGGTGTTCTTATAAAGGCTTGAACCTGTAAAAGCCAGACTTCCTTGAAAGTAAAGAGTCTCTCCAGCTTGCAGGCTAGAGGCAGGGGAGTTAGATCAGCTCTGGCATTTGAGGAGAAAGCATTGCCTACAGCCTGAAAAGCTGAGGAGAAACCTCCACTGAGGCTGACGGTTAAGTCTAGGAAGCAGTTGCTATGACAACAGCCCATCACCTCTAAGAAGAACCCAAAATACAGGTTCTGCATCCCAACTCCAAGAGTGTTGGAGCGATGTGCTGCCTGATAGGGGGCAAGATGTAGGGGAGGGATTTCAGCGATGGGGCTACAAAAGGATAGAGTTGTCCCAGAAAACAAGAAGTGCCATCTCTGTGTCAATGCCCTATACTGTTCCTGTGATTCAGGACAAAGGTGAAGAAGACATTTCCAAAGCTGGCAACATAGCACGGACAGTGATCAGAAGCAGCTATGGGTGGGAGTGCTACAAATATTCACTGATTGTGAACTATTTTCACCTACTATTATGCCTACAGTATCTTCAAGGCTATTATCACAATCCAAAATTATCTCATTTCTTTCGTTTTCTGTCTTTCTTCCCCCACTGAACTGTAGGGACGTGAGAGCCTGGTCTATTTTGTTCATTGTATCCTCACTTCTGAGAACAATGCTCAGAACACAATAAACAGTGCTCAAAAGATAAGAGACCAATGAGTGAGTGAGTGAGGGAGGGACCACAATGTCTTGATCTGCTAAGGGTGCCATAACAAATGCCATAGACTGGGTGGCTTCAACAACAGACATTGATTTCTCATAGTTCTGGAGTCTAGGGGAAAGTCCAAGATTAAGGGGCTGGCAGATTCTATTCCTGGGGAGGGGTCTTTTCCTGGCTTGCAGATGGCAGCTTTCCCATTCCAGCCTCACAAAAAACACATGCACATGAACACACACACACACACACACACACACACACACACACACACACACAGACAAAGAGATAGACAGAAAGAAAGCAAGAGCATGCTCTATGATGTCTCTTCCGGTGAGGGCACTAATCCCATCATGAGAGCCCCAACTTCATGACTTCATCTAAACCTAATTATATCCCAAAAGATATATCCCTAACTCTATCCCATCTCCAAACACCAGCACACTAGGGGTTAGGGCTTTAACATAGGAATTTGGGGTGTGGCAGGACATAAGTCAGTCCATAGCACATGATCTCCCCTCAACTACAAGTCAAGTACGATTTTCCCCACTTAACAGAGGAAGAAAGCAACACCCAGAGATGTCAGGTCCACTGAGCTAATCAGTGGTAAGCCTGGGCCTCAAAACCAGAACTCCTGGCTCCAATTCCCACAATGCCTAAAATTAGTGGAGAGACAAAAATTGTCTTTATCACTTCTGTCATCTCCTTGTGTCCTACAGTTTGGCAAGACTCATAGGACAATCCCAAGGATGATGGCTTTGCTTTCAACAACTTGAGTCTAAAAATGACAGGACAGTTTCTCAAACTGTGGGAAACTCCCTTTGTACCTTTCCCGTAAAGCAGGGATCCCCAACCCACTGTACTAGTCCATGGCCTGTCAGAAACTGGGCCACACAGCAGGAGGTGAGCAGCGGGCAAGAGAGCATTACCGCCTGAGCTCTGCCTCCTGTCACATCAGCGGTGGCATTAGATTCTCTTAGGAGAAAGAACCCTATTGTGAACTGTGCATGCAAGGGATCTAGGCTGCATGCTCCTTATTAGAATCTAATACCTGATGATCTGAGGTGGAACAGTTTCATCCTGAAACCAGTCCCATTTTCCCATCCATAGAAAAAATTGGTTTCCACAAAACCAGTCCCTGATGCCAAAAAGATTGGGTACTGCTGCCTTAAAGGCACCCACAGTGAGGCTGGGGCCTGCCTGAGAAGTGACTCAAGTTTGTCTTCAGCATCCCGTGCAACCTTTACCCACCCACAGTTCCCTAGGATGGCTGAAGATGCCCACTCCAGAAGCCAACTCTGTGGATAACAATCTTTTACATTTAGAATTGTGGATCTGGTTGGCTCTGGCAGAGATTCAATAAGTGACTAATTTTAAGAGGCCCAGAGAGACAAAGTGACTTAAATACAGTCATGAGCAAGTTTTCCAGATTTCTCCAAACTAGTCCCAGACACAGCACCATTTCAGAAGGAGCTACCTGGGTGTGTAGTTACAGGGAGCACAAAAAGAAAGAAAGAAAGACACAAGGATTCCAGAGAGAGGAAAAAAAAATAACTTGTGGCGTTTCAGTTATTTCAGATTAGTATGCAGGAGAAGAAACATTTAGGAACATTGAGGGGCATGGGGACCTTCCAGAGCCTCTCCACTGTTGGCACAGGTGGTCATTCTCCTGCCTCTCCCCATCCATCTGTGACTGGCCAATTGATCCCACTCCCTTCCTGTTAACAGCACCCAGTGCTGAGCTGATTTATCTTCACAGAACCCAAGTTTCTTTTTTTGTTTCTTCAGCTACAGAAAATGGACACAGAACCGAAGTTTTTTTTTGTTTGTTTGTTTGTTTGTTTGTTTGTTTCTTTTTGGACCAAGTTTCACTCTTGTTGCCCAGGCTGGAGTGCAATGGTGTCATTTCGGCTCACCGTGTCCTCCTCCTCCCGGGTTCAAGAGATTCTCCTGCCTCAGCCTCTCGAGTAGCTGGGATTACAGGCATGCACCACCACGCCCAGCTAATTTTGCATTTTTAGTAGAGACAGGGTTTCTCCATGTTGGTCAGGCTGGTCTCGAACTCCTGACCTCAGGTGATCTGCCTGCCTCAGCATCCCAAAGTGCTGAGATTACAGGCATGAGCCACCACGCCCAGCCCCAAGTTTTTGATATCACAGGGATGTTGTATAAGATCAAGCTAAAACAGCTCCTTCCCTTGAAATCCCTAAAACTGGGCAGTCTCTCTGTCTCTGTCACACAAACACACACAAACACACACACACACATTGTTCCTCCAACTCCATTTCTGCCACCACTACCAGAAACTCCCAAAACTCAGCCTAGAAAACCTATGGAGTCACCTTCAAATGGGGATTCCTGAAAGTTTAGGACAACCTGGGCATCTATGGTTGATCCTTGCATTGCTCTGGGGCACACCCGCTGTACAGAAAGATAAAGGAGGGCATCATCTGTTAATGTCCTCCATCCCAGGCCCTGGCTGGTGCTTTACAAACAGTATCTAATTATCTCAACAGTCCTGCAAAAATCCCCTTTTAACTAAAAGATGAAGAAATCAAGGCTCAGAACGATAAAGTGCTATATCGCAAACACCGCTAAAAATCTGACACTAAAACACGTGCTCTTTCCATTAAACAAAACTATTTCCCCACTCATCATTCTAACATATTTCAAGCTGAAAATACATAGCTTTCTATTCTCCAAAATAAAAGACTATAATTAATTTAGACTAGAAAATGAAAAGCTTTTTAAAAAATTAATCACAAATAATATTAAAATTGCAAATTAGGGTAAAAAATCAAGGGCAAATGCTAAGATTTTTGTCTCAAAGCAAAATGAACTCACCTAGAAAAAAGACTGAATACTTTAGCATACGCTCATAAAGAGCCAGAACATTATGCTTTGCCAAATCTAGCAATATCCCTGGCTCTCAGCAGAGAGAGAGCAGACCAGGGTAGAAGGGGGTCCCCCACTTTACAACAGCAGCCTCCCCACACTGGAATGTGACCCCATCAAGGTTAAGCATGGCAGAAGGAATATGTTGCTTTGCAAAAGTTAACCTTTCTCATTACCACCTAGAGAGGATCCCAGGCTTTCTCTCCTGGATGGAAAGCCTCCTTACATTCTCATATGCTCTTTTCAGTGGAAGAAGAAAAAGGCACAGGGTAAGGGCAAGTGTCCTAGAGCTGAATATAACTCAGGGAATAGGCATGGGGTGAACTTGTCCATCTAATGTCACACTCATCAAACATAAAAAACTTCCAGCCATTAGTCCAAGGGAAAACTGGTAGACAAGGGCAGGAACCCATGGTGGATTTTTAATGTATTAAGTGGTCTCAGAGACTCCCTGAGGGGTTATCAGGGCTAAAAAATGGTCTCATTCTACAGAAAAGGACCCAAGCCTTAGGCAGACACCAGAATGCAAATGCATTATGGTACAAAGAGAAACATAACTCCACCTGGGCCCAAATCACCTGCAGCAAGATCTGCATTATTCACTCTTTATGCAAGCAACTTGGGAAGCCAAATCCTGACCTGCAGCGACTTTATTTATTTGCCATGAGCCATCCACATCACAAAGACCAGAAAGGCTCAAAGTCTCTATGATCAGCACTTTCATTGTAGGAGATCCAGGTGTGAAACCAAATTGCAGCAGAAGAGGGCTTGGTGAATGAGACATCAGAGCAAAGGTGATTCAATGAATGAAAGATTAATGGCCTCAGCCTGAGAAGAGCCTGCTGCACATTGCTCACACAGAGCTGTCTTGACAAACCCTTTCCTTTCCATTCCTGCAGGCTACTGAGGCCAGAAGTACTCTAAGAGAGCTCAGTGAGAGTATTCTTCCTGCAAAGCAAGGATGACACCACCACCATTTCTCTTGTTTTGCGGCCAACCAGTCCTGCTTCGAGGGCCACTCTGTCTTCAGATGCATCCATTTCCCTGAAGGCTCAAGGCCTCAAGTCCTTTTGGCTTGGGAGCCCTCTTGTGTCTCTCTTTCTAGTAGCTTGCTTATCCTGCTCTCATCCAGCACCCGTGACTCCCACAGAGATAGCTTAACTTCCTAAGTTCATGGTTCAGTTCAGCACCCCCACCCCAAGCACTGATAAGAGTACTCCTAGGCAGAAAGAGGAGCAGAAGCGTTTGGAAAAATGCACTTTGGACTTGACCTGCCTAGATAAGCAAAGCAAAATGTGTGGAGATTACCAACTTTGCAAGGAGGTCTCTTTAATGAAATTCTCCAGGGCTGAAGAATGTAATAAAATTCTTCAGTGTCAGACACAGGCTTGGCTGCTCCAAAAGAGATCTAAAACAACTGTAGTTTAGACAAGAGAGAATGTAATTTCCCTTTTATGTAATAGTCTGGGTATATCTAGGGCTGACACAGTAGTGCCCAGGATTGAGACTCAGGTGCTTGCTATGTTGTTGATCTGCCATCCATGGGCATAGTCCTTATCTGCATGGTCTAGGATGTCTCATGCTGACATCCACACCTCTGTCACTGGCAGTAGGAGATAGGGGAAGTTCAGCAGAAGTGTCCTCCCCTTAAAGGCATGACCTAGAAGCTGCACACATCACTTCTGCCCATCCCATTGGCCAAAACTTGGTCCTAGCTACAAGGCAGATTGGTCTTCTTGTCATCTTAGCTGGGCAGCCCTATGCTCAGCTGAAAATTCTATTTCTATATAAAAATGAAAGAACGGATATTGTCTCTGCCCAGTTACCCTGATTTCTCCTTTCTCTATTTCCATTACTTTCCTTTTAAAGTCAGGCTGTTCCACAGCTCTTTAATGAGAACAATTATAAACTGGTGTATAAAATTAGATTAGAAATATGCTGAATGATTGAGAGTAAAGATGGATTCAAATGTCCTATTAATAAATCAAAATGCAACATTCACACAATAGCATTCTAACGCTCAAGACTAGGAGTATTTCTCCATGAATATGTGAGTGGAGGTGTGGGCAAGTTTCCTTGAGAAAAGGTTTTCTGAGTGGGGAGAGTGGCAAATAGGATTGGGAAAGGAATTTGAAGTTCCACTGGGGAGGGGCCTACACAGACAGACTAGAGAAGATGCTCTTCCTTTCTTGAGGCTGGATTTTAATTTTTGTTTACACATTCAGTTTTATAGAAATTATTGTGTTTCTCTGTAAATAACTAGGGGGTACATAGCACTGGGTTTCTTAGACAAAATCTTTAGACGATATTTGTTCCTGAATGAGGTCGTTCTATGCTCAGCTGTCATGGACCAAAGCATATATCCCAAGTGCACAGTAACAAGGTGACTCTGTTACCACACTTCCACCCTCCCTCTCCCAATCATCAATGAAACGCCCTATACTGTTTTTAGCTGAAAGAGAAATCTCTAAGCTCTTTAAAAATAAATGAAATGAAAATGAGATATAATTACGTACAGTTGCAACCATAACCATAGGGTTGGTTGGTATAAATGTTGCAATATTTTATTGGTCAGCTTCTGATCTACCACATGAAACATTTTTTTTTTTTAATTTCAAACTCTTCTCCTCACCCCCACTCATTACATACTTATTCCAACCATTGTTCCCAAAGGACAACAGGGGGTTTCTCTGCAGCATCCGTATAGAAGGGAGGGGTTTAGTTCACATACTGTTGTCTTTTGTTGGGGTAGAAGGGGCGTTTACAGTTGACGATTTTAATATTAGTTCTAGCTATTTCTTGCCTAGAATGTCTCACTTAAGAATGAGCTCAACTCTCTCTGTGCCTTCAAACATGAACACGCCATATTTCAAAGTGCATGAAACAGGAGCAGTGAAGTGTCGACTCAGTTTGAGGAAATTGAATTCCCAAATTTTATTCCCTTGGCCCGATTAGATTCCATTAGCTGGAGATGGTCTTTCAACAAAAAAGTATGTGTTCCTCCCCATTGTAAAATCCATCCAATAAAAATGTTTAACCAGAGAACAGAGGAAACTAGCTCCAGCAGGAAAGAAGAAGAAAGAAAATAGATGAGGTTCCCCATAAAATCCCAGATTGAAGAAGACTCTCTGTGTTAGAGCAAAGGTCAGTCTCCCTCCCATAGAAGCTTCTGAAAATATACTCTTCTCTTGCAAATGGAAACTGTGCAGCCTTTCTTTCAAAAATATCCCTCCACGAAAGAACATATGTGCCTGGAGTTAGTCAACAAAAAATATCATTTCTGGGTTGGTCAGCCCATATTTGAAGACTGCAGACTGGAAAGACCCCGGAGGCCTGAGAGGGAAACTTCTGCCCCCAAGGAAAGACAGAATCCAAGCCAGGGATTCTTGGCCCTGTTTTAACAGCACGTAGAAACCTCAGAGTGTTGGGAGGAAAAAGAAAACAAACAGCTGAAAAATCAGCTTTTTCTTTCTCCCTCCTTAGACTTTTTTGAGTTAAGAAGGGGGTTAAAAAAAAAAAAAACAAAACCTCCTCCAATGTTTTACAAGGTCTGTAGCCCTCTAAACATATCAATTAATAATTTAATAAGCAAATCAACTTGCTTGTCACACAAAAATATATTCTTAAGCTAATAATGACATTTTGGAGCTATAAAGATAAATCATTGGGGTTTTGTTTTTTATGTTGCACACATTCAGATTTTTTTTCAAATTTTAACATCTAGCAATACCCCACATTGTCTAATTATGCCAAATTCATTCAATAAAAAAATTATTGAATTTCTGCTATGTGTTAGGCACCATGCTAAAGCCCAGGGATAAAACAGTGAGCAAATAAAGACATAGGCTCTGCCCTCAGAAAGCTTACAGTCAAACAGAAGAGATGGACTTTCAAGCAATAATTATATGAGCAATTCATTTTTTAAATGTTCCCATTGATCTTAAACCCGAAATAAATTTGAATCTACCTTAGCACAAGCATGTCACTACCATGTGACATTTTTATTATGGAAGTGGTGCCTCACATAGGTGTGCATTCAGGGAAAAGTCTAAACAAGATCTGGCAGAAGCTGTCCATGCCACACCCATTTCCCCTCTCTCTTACCATCTCAGGACAGCTGCCCAACTTCCAACTGCCAACCTGTCTCTCTTCGCCTAAGGGCTTTCTCTGCCTATTGGACCCACTCTGCCGGATAATTACCCACCACACCACCATCTAGCTGCCCTCAACCAGTGACTGACCAGGCTGGTGTATAAATATCCCAGCTCCCTCACCTCTTGGGTAGCACATGTGGGTGTGTTTTCTACAACCCTCCAAAGTTCCCAAATGAGATTAAGCTCCAGTTCCACATTTTGGTAACCTGCTTGATAAAGCACATTTCGTTGGCTGCCTTCCCTTTCCATCTCACTTCCTCCCTCTCCCACAGTTGTTTCCTAGAATCATTTCCTAAATAATTTACTTGCAGTCAAATCTTTCCTTCAGGATCTGCCTCTAAGCAGAATCAAAGAGCTTCTCTGATGCATGCTGCTTCTTCATTAAATAAATCATTGTTTAACCGAAGTTTCTCAGCCCCTACTCTTTCATTTTTCTCATCTAATTTATTAATGTTCATCTTTTTAAAGAAAGAAAGGTGGGAATGGGCATGGTGGCTCATGTCTGTAATCTCAGCATTTTGGGAGGTGGAGACGGACGAATCTTTTTGAGCCCAAGAGTTCAAGACCAGCCTGGGCAACATGGCAAAACCGCATCTCTACAAAAAAATACAAAAATTAACTGGGAGTGGGGGCACACGCCTGTAATCCCAGCTACTCAGGAGGCTGAGACTGGGAGGATAACTTAAGCCTGGGAGGTTGCATTAAGCCAAGATAGTGCCATTGCACTCCAGCCTGGGTGACAAAGTCAGATCCTGTCTTTAAAAAAGAAAATAAAGTCAAGCTATGGACAAACAGAGATGCAGCTGGACCTTGGGAATGACAGAAATCAGGGCCTTGGCCACGTTGGGATGGACTCTGCACCTTTTCCCTACCACTCTCCAAGAACTGAACTTACATTTCTCTTTCATTAAGAACTGGTTCTGGGCTGTAGGCAACAAAATCTATATGGCTTAAGGAGAAAAGGATTTTTGAAAGGACATTATTTGTCCTCGGACTGACAATCAGCTTGTATACACCTGCACAGTCTTACTGGCTGTTTACAGCCACTTCCCTTCTGCCTGGTCACAGCACCCTGTCAGGTGCAGCAGGGCCCAGGCTGTGCCACTTGTGAAGTATTTTGAAAACTACCTTGGATTAGCTCACAGAATCACTGAAAGTGTGGAGAAACAGGTTTTAGGCTGGTCTTCCTAGAACAACTCCCAGAACCCTGCTAAAGAACTGACCCAATAAGGGACCTGATACCAATCCACTAGCCACTCACCCAAACTGCTTTCTCACATATTTGCAAATCAAAATTCCACATAGGATTATCTGGTTAGGAGAACCTAGACCATGATTCTACTCTCTTGCTGCAATGGAAGCTGGGAATTGTAGGTTGGCTGGTTGGTTTACGGTTTTTGGAACCTACCTTGAGGTGACAAGATTCACGAAACATGGCACTACTGAAATGTGGAAATATTTACAAGATTTGGGCAGCCACACATGGTAGATTTCCATTATAACTCACAAGGCGGAAAGCAGTGGCCACAAACTGTACAGCTTATAGCTTCAACCACTGAAGAAAGATTGACCTGACTAGCTGTACTCTAGTCTAAAAATTGCAGGGGACAGATCATTGCCCCCAAACCCTCAGGTGCCCATCTGAGACCAGGGTGGCAGGGCCATGGAAGTACATGGCTGTTCTTGAGTGACCCACGCATATAAGGGAGAGGGAAGTGAACAAGGAACAGCATCCAGAAAAATGGGGGTTTGGGGCAATCTAATGGAGAGGAAGAAAAGAAAAAGTGGAGGACACATGATGGCTTTTATAGCTTCTGCTTAGAAGAGGACATGTCACTTCTGCTCACAGCTGATTGGCCCAAGCAAGTCACATGGCCAAGAGTGTCAAGGGGTAAGGATTTCTCATTATTCTGCAGGAGGGCCCAGTAGGGAGCGTACAGTAAGTATGGGCGGCTAATATTTTTTTAACACTGCAAGAAAGCAGGCACTATTATTTGGGTTGCCTATAGAATAACCACTCCTAGGACCATAACAACATATCAGGTGATATGTGCATCTCTCTTTACCGTTTTAAAAGTACATTTTTTAAACTTTCTTTTTTTTTTTAATTGAGATGGAGTCTTGTTCTGTCACCCAGGCTGGAGTGTGGTAGCGCAATCTCAGCTCACAGCAACCACTGCCTCCTGGGTTCAAGCAATTCTTCTGCCTCAGCCTCCCAAGTAGCTGGGATAACAAGTATGCACCACCACGCCTGGCGAATTTTTGTATTTTTAGTAGAGATGGGATTTTGCCATGTTGGCCAGACTGGTCTCAAACTCCTGACCTCAAGTGATCCACCCACCTCGGGCTCCCAAAGGGCTGGGATTACAGGTGTGAGCCACCATGCCCAGCCCATTTTTTAAACTTTCAATCATTCATTTAATCTTCACAAGGCCATGAAGTATTGTGAGACTCGGGTAAAACATGTGACTTGGCTAAGATCTCCCAGCTAGCAAGTATTCGAGGTGGAATCTGGACCAGTTTCATTTCATTCCAGATACAGGACCAAATTAAATTCCTATACTTTAAATCTCAGCTTTAAAGAAAAGGAAGAACAAAGGTAGATTATACTATCTGATTTCAAGACTTTTTATAAAGCGATAGTAGAAAAGGCAGTGATGGTATCAGAACAAAACAGAAAGTCAAGAAATAAACTTATATGTATATGGCAAATTGATTTTTACAAAGATGCCAAGGCACTTCAATGAAGTAAAAACTAGACATTCAACAAATGGAGCTGGGAGAATTAAATAGGCATGGGCAAAAGAAAATCTCAATCTCTAACTCATAGTATATACAAAAAATTAAAATAAATTGGATCATAAACCTACACATAAGAGATAAAACTATAAAACAAACAGTAGAAAACATAGGAGAAAATCTTAGTAGCCTTGCATTGGGCAAAGATTTCTTAAAAATAGGGACACAAAAAAATCGATGAATTGAACTTCATCAAAACTTAAAATTTTACTCTTGAAAAGATACAGTTCAGAAACAAAACTAATAAGAAAAGACAGTTAAGGAATCAATAAGGAAAGCCAGAGACCAGGAGAAAATATTTGCAAAACAAATATCTGGTAAAAGATCTGTGTGCACAATACTTCAAAAACTCTTGCTGGGCTCGGTGGCTCATGCCTGTAACCCCAGCACTTTGGGAGGCCGAGGCGGGCAGATCACCTGAGGTCAGGAGTTCGAGACCAGCCTGACCAACATGGAGAAACTCTGTCTCTACTAAAAATACAAAATTAGCTGGGCGTGGTGATGCATGCCTGTAACCCCAGCTACTCGAGAGGCTGAGGCAGGAGAATCACTTGAACGCGGGAGGCAGAGGTTGCAGTGAGCCAAGATTGCACCATTGCACTCCAGCCTGGGCAACAAGAACAAAACTCGTTCTCAAAAAACAAAGCAAAACAAAACAAAAACAAAAAAACTCTTATAACTCTATAAGAAAAAAAGGGCAAAAAAATGAATACATACTTTATAAAAGATATACAAATGAAAAATAAGCACATGCAAAGATGCTCAACATGATTATTCAATAGAGAAATGCAAATTAAAGCCACAGTGAAACACCACTGTGTATACACACATTGGAATGGTTAGAATTTAAAAGACTGACAATGTCAAACATTGATGAGGATGTGGAGTAAGTGGAATTCTCATACTTTGCTGGTGGGAGTACAAACGCTTTAAAAAATAATATGGCTGGGCAAGGTGGCTCATGCCTGTAATCCCAGCATTTTGGGAGTTTGAGGTGGAAGGATCCCGTGAGCCCAGGAGTTTGAGACCAGCCTGGGCAACATAGTAAGACCCTGTCTCTAAAAAAAAATTTGTTTTAATTAGCTGGGCATGGTCGTGCATACCTGTAGTCCCAGTTACTTGGGAGGCTGAGATGGGAGGATTGCTTGAGCACAAAAGGTCAAGGCTGTAGTGAGCTATGATGGTGCCGGTTCCATCCAGCCTGGGCAACAGAAGAAGATCCTGTCTCAATAAATAAATAAATAAACAAACAAACAAACAAACAAACAAACAATATGGCTCTTTTTTTTTTTTTTTTTTGAGACAGAGTTTCACTCTTGTTACCCAGGCTGGAGTGCAATGGTGCAATCTCGGCTCACTGCAACCTCTGCCTCCCAGGTTCAAGCAATACTCCTGCCTCAACCTCCCAAGTAGCTGGGATTACAGGCACCCACCACCACGCCTGGTTAATTTTTTGTATTTTTAGTAGAGACGGGGTTTCACCATGTTGGCCAGGCTGGTCTTAAACTTCTGACCTCAGCTGGTGAAGTGATAAACAAATTGTGGTACATCCATACAACAGAATACTACTCAGCAATAAAAAGGAATGAACTACTGATATACACTGAAACATGGACAAATCTCAAATGCATTATGCCAAGTGAAAGAAGCCAGACTCAAAAGGCTACAAACTGTATGATTCATTTCTGTGAAATTTTTTCTAAAAGGTAAAACTAGGGTGATGGAACTACATCCGTGGTTGTCAGGGTCCAAGAGGTGGGAGTACGAGATTGACTAAAATTAGGAAAGAAGAAATATTTGGGAGTGATAGACATGTTCTACACCTTGATTGTGATGGTGGTTCACAAATGTCTACATTTGTCAAAGCTCTTCAAATCGTGCACTTGATACTGGTGAGTTTTATGTTATATAAACGGTACCTCAATAAAGCTCACAAAAGTAAAGGAAGAAAAACCTGCCTAACTGTTTTCTGCCCTTTCTGAAGCCCTCCTGTTCTTGCTTGTACATTGTATGCTGTATGGGTATCCTTGTTTGAAGTGTGGTTTTCCCCTAATTGTTCATTGATATGGTTTGGCTCTGTGTCCCCACCCAAATCTCATCTCAAACTGTAACACCCATAACCTCCACATGTCGAGAGAGGAACTTGGTGAGAGGTGATTGGATCATGAGGGCAGTTTCGCCCATGCTGTCCTCATGATAATGAGTGAGTTCTCATGAGATCTGATGGTTTTATAAGGCAGTTTTCCCTGCTCTTGCTCGCTGTCTCTCCCGCCGCCTTGTGAAGAAGGTGCCTGCCTCCTTTCAGCCATGATTATAAGTTTCCCAAGGCCTTTCCAGGCGTGCAGGATTGTGAGTCAATTAAACCTCCTTTGTTTATCAATTACCCAATCTTGGGTAGTATCTTCCAGTTATAAATTACCCAATCTTGGGTAGCCCATCTTCAGTGTGAAAATGGCCTAATAGATTCATCTTTCTAGCTAAGATGCAAATTCTCTGAAGGGAAGGAGTTATTGCAAACAAACTTAAGCCAGTTTCAGTATATGCAATGTTGGTTCTCTTTGGTGGAAACAGTAGTCACTGAAGAAGATGTTGGAGGTGGGTGAGGTTCCAGGTGGGTGAGGTTTATCTGCTTCCCACACCCTCCCTGTCCCATGACATTGATGGGAAATCTCACATCAAATTCTGCCACATATATGAACATTCACTAAAAAAGAACTTATTAGCTAGTAAATGAAAGACAGTTTATAAAGTCTGATCTTTAAGGGCCGTGAAACCCAAGCTCTCTACCCTTTGAAGTGCTTTGGCCACTGTCTTATATGAAAAGTTTATCTGAGACAGATATGACAACAGTCTCATATGACAACATTCTCTTATGACAACATATGAGGGTAACACATATGTTACCCTCATACGTGGCATTGGGCAACCAGACATCCTCCTAACAAGTGGCTAGATGTAGGACCAGTTGGGATCAAGTTTCTGATGCCTTCCCTGAGGGTGCAGGCAGCAGGCCTTCCTAGATTTCTCTAACCTATTTATGTGAGTGGTTCTGAACTATTTTAGCCCCATCCACGCATCTCAAATATCTTCAGTTTCACCCAGTTAAGAGCCCACATTCACTGTGCAGACTACTAGCTACTACTTGAATTAATAAAAACCCTTTCTGACATTCACTATGCTAAGCCAAACATAAGGTACTGATCAAGATATGGATATCATTGGTGCTCACAGCAGCTGCCTTAACTTCCTAATTGGAATGGAGCTGACTATGCCCTGATTGTGTTCTTGGCAAGAGGTGCTGCCCTTGGAGTCAGAGCTTCTACCAAATAGCACAAACTCAATATTTTCTGTCTATGCTGAACTTTGTGAAGGTAAATTATAGATATCTTACTGAGAACATAGCCTCTCTTAAGCTCTTCCCAAAATGTTTGACTTCTAATAGATGCTTAGTATCTATTAAGGAGTATAAGCCAAGCACATTAAGAACAGAGGGGTTTTAAGCAGAAAGAAAGGAGGTAAGGAAAGGATGGAGGGAAGAAGGAAAGAAGGGAAAGAAAGAACAAGTGAGCATTGGCCTAAACTGCTTAAAATTGTTGACTGTGTGAATTTTAGCCCCCAGACCTTCCTTGCCTCTGAAGTTGCAGATACTTGATCCTGGGCTCTGCTTCCGGCCCAGCTTTTTGGAAGGCTTTGGGGACTGGAGGTTTTTTTAAACAGAACCAAATATAAGGAAATAACTCTGTCTGTGAAAAGGCTAAATCACTCTGTGTAAATAAAACTGGGGAATTTCTGGAGTGAAAAATAATTGCCAGAGGCTAATTAACAGCCTAAAATTAGTCCAATTAGACCACAGAAGCAAGGCTCCTCTAGGTCTCTGGGTCTGCCATTTCAAGGAAGCTCCACTCCTTCACCTCCCTGTCACCTTCCAGATCCTTTCTTAAAGAAAACCAGTTCTGGGGTCCTGGAGTTGGAGCCCCTCAGGGCTGAGCTAAAAGGCAGGAAAAAAGAAGTGATGGTGCGAATAGACAGAGCACCAGGCAGTCCCTGGACCCTGAAGACCACCCTGACAACTACCATTCCCGTCATTTCCAGTTTGTCTTTTTTTTTTTTTTTTTTTTTTTTTTTTGAGATGGAGTCTCTCTCTGTTGCCCAGGCTGCAGTGCAGTGGTGAGATCTCAGCTCACTGCAACCTCCGCCTCCTGGGTTCATGCGATTCTCATGCCTCAGCCTCCCGAGTAGCTGGGATTACAGGCACCTGCCACCATGCCTGGCTAATTTTTGTAGTTTTAGTAGAGATGGGGTTTCACCATGTTGGCCAGGCTGATCTCAAACTCCCAACCTCAGGTGATTGTCCCGCCTCAGCCTCCCAAAGTGCTGGGAGTATAGGTGTGAGCCACCGCACCTGGCCAAGTTTGTCTTTTTATGACAAGACAAAAGTTTTGGGATTCAAATCCCAGCCCTGCCATGCTCTAGATCTATAGTCCTGGGAATATCACTTAGCATTTATGAACCCTAGGCCCCTCATCTGTGAAAAAAAAAACAAAAAACAAGCAAACAAACAAAACACAGTGTCTGCCTGTAGTGGCCATCCAATATTTTTCCTTACCCAGTATCCATCCCCCCACCCTTTTTTTTTTTTTTTTTTTTTTTTTTTTTTTTTTTTTGGTTTTTTGGGTTTTTTGAGGTTGTTTTTTTTTTTAAACGGAGTCTCACTCTGTCATCCAGGCTGGAGTGCAGTGGCATGATCTCAGCTCACTGCAACCTCCACCCCTCGGGTTCAAGCAATTCTCCTGCCTCAGCCTCCTGAGTAGCTAGGACTACAGATGCCTGCCACCACGCCTGGCTAATTTTTTTGTATTTTTAGTAGAGACAGGATTTCATCATATTGGTCAGGCTGGTCTCGAACTCCTGACCTCAGGTGATCTACCCGCCTTGGTCTCCCAAAGTGCTGGGATTACAGGTGTGTGCCACCGTGCCCGGCCATCCTTTTACTTATAATAGCACCCTGTTTATATTTGGTGCAACAGCTCCTCACCCACTCTTGGCCTACATGGCTCTGGTGATACAAAATCAACACCATCCCCTAACCCATAGTTAGACAGGTTGTCACATGACCACGATCTGGCCAATTGGTATCTTCTATCCTGGCCCCAGGGTGAAATGTTCAGTTATGAGTCAGACACCCCACTGGGATCACTGAGACTCAGTCCTGAGACTTATCGGCACAAGCTCCTCTCTGTCTTCTAAACTCGAAGCTGAAAATGATGTGGACCCAGTGTTGCTGCGGTCACCACACACAGAGAGGCTGCCTGAGAACGAGGCTGAGATGAGAGAGAAGAGTACCAAATACTGACGGCACACTGGGATAGCGCCAGGGACTGGTCCATGATAGAAGGGAGTAAGTTCCACTTTTTATGTAAGCCAATTTGAGGTGGGTTTTTTATCATCTGAAAACCTTTCATTATGATTTCAGTGGACTCTGAAATCATGACGCCTGAGTTTAAATTGTGGCCCCATGCTTATTAACAGTGGCACTTTGAGTAGATTACTTAATATCTCAATGACTCAGCTTCCTCATCTAATAAATGGATAATAATAGTGCCAACTTCATAAAGCTGTTGTGAGAATTAAATGAGTGAATATGCATAAAGCACTTACAATAATGCCTGGCACATAGAAAATGTAGAAAATGTGTATTGGTGTTAGCTATATATATATATATTTTTTTTTTTTGAGATTGAGTCTTGCTCTGTCATCCAGGCTGGAGTGCAATGGCGCCATCTCGGCTCACTGCAACCTCCACCGACCTCCCAGGTTCAAGCGCTTCTCCTGCCTCAGCCTCCGCAGTAGCTGGGATTACAGGCGCCCACCACCATGCCCAGCTAATTTCTGTATTATCAGTAGAGATGGTTTCACCAGGTTGACCAGGCCGGTCTCGAACTCCTGACCTCAGGTGATCTACCAGCCTCAGCCTCCCAAAGTGCTGGGATTACAGGCATGAGCCACCGCACCCGGCCCGAAGCAGGATTTTAAGCAAGGAGGTGACATCTGACTTTTGTTTCTAAAGATCACTCCAGTTTTTGTGTTGGAAGTAGACTGTGGAGCAAGGGTAGAAACGGGAAGACAAGTCAGGAAGCCCTTGCAGTATCCAGGAGAAAGATAATGCATATCTCAGCATGTTGGCTTTATTCTCTCACACCATCTTTCTCCTGATAAAGGAACTATGTCTGCTGGTGGCTTCTAGGCTCACATCCTCACAGCTTATGACCAGAGGGCAACGGGCTTCTTCTGTTTAATTCAAATTTTGAAAATAAGTAAAGTCCAGTGGAGGGTATGTACCCACTGTGCATTCCACTTGCCATACGCAGCTGGCACTCCTTGAATGCATTTTGGAAAACAAATAAGTAGCACATAAACATGAAGACTTCTACCAGGTTAATTGTGTGAGATGGATTGTAGTGCATCGTTTACAGCCTCTTGCTCATTCTACTTTATGACCAATGGCTATATGTGCAAACTTGACTAGATAAATGTCATAGGGGTGGCCAATGACCATGAGAGAAGCATACAGTCATACCCAGAGAATTGGGTTCCTACTTTTGAATATTTTATCAACATTTTTATCCAAAAGAATAAGGGCAGAATCATCAAGTAAGGCATGGAAGAGGACAGGGAGGACATAGAAAAAATAGGCAGTGTCAAAATCAGACTCTGAAAACCAGCAGCCCAATAACTGAACCTATAGACATGTACTGTTTGGCCAGCACAGTAGTGGCCCACTTGTTGATTTTAATTTTTTAAGTTATTGGCTGATATGTACAAATCAGGGTTTTTCATAGGAACTCAGATTTCTAATTTGTAGTTAAAATGTTGTAGTGTACTCCAGGTATCTGGCAATGCTGAGCCACCTTTTCCCAGTCCCTGATCAGCGGGATTCCCTGGAGAAGGAGCCTCTCACTCCCCACATACATTCTCCTTCTGAAATGTACAGTACCTCCTCAGTCCCCGTAAAAAAAAAAAAAAAAAAAAAAAAAAAAACTTGAACCTCTAATTTTTAAGTGTATTTTCTGAGACACCATACAAAATCCAGAATAGTGTTCTAGAACTAACATGGTAAAAGAAATCTCAAACCACGGGAATGCAAAACTTATGAGTAAGAACAGAGACATTTTCAATTAGGTGCATTTATATCATAGAACAAGTATGAAACAGGCTAATGTGTTAATTTTGGCATGTCTGTCATGAGTGAGACCTTTAGTCATGCCAAATCACAGAGATAAATTTAGAGTCATTCAAAGCCATTAGGATTATTGGCTCCTACATAAGAAGAGCAGGATTAATAAACTCGAGCCTCAGTGGAAACCAGTTCTTTGGCCCATGTCTGTCTTTCTAAGCCATAACTACAAAATGTCTAGGGTGGATACATTAGAAACAGGAACTGGAGTTGACTCAAATTATGAACCAAAAATTCAAAGAGATCACACTCATTTCTGAAACCGAGTGCTGAACTGAAATACAACATTATGTTTTTCTAAATTGTGGACTCATCCAAAAGGATTTCCATGAAAACCAGTAAAATCCTACTGAACTAACATGAACTGAAGCTGAACCAATGTTTTCTAAAATGATTTAACCAGAACATTAGAATATTATCTGAACTAAACCAGTATTTTTTTGTTTGAATATCTTCTGATAAATATCTTTAAAGGCTTACATATTTCTGCTTTGATTATTGTGCATATCAAAACTGCAGGAAACAATATTTCAATCAATAATTAACTCTTAAATTCCAGCAGATACTGCTAGTTGCCTACTAAATACCCATTCCATCCTTTCTTTAACAAAACCCAGATTTATTCAAGGAGACAATGTATCCAACTTCCTTTTCCTAACCTCCCTTGGAACTACATGTGGCCACTTATCTAAGTTTCAAACTATGAGATTTAAGTGGAAGTTGGGTGGAACTTCCAGGAAAACCTTTTGCCATGGAGGCATTCTGCATTCTTCCATCTTGGAATTTAGTTGAGCTGTATGGCTATAGCTTCAGTATCATAAGATAAATTTAAGGATAGAAGCCATACACGAAGAATGGTAAAACAGAACCAGAAGAGATGAGAACATTGTTGACACCCTAAATGTCCACATTTCTTTCACAGATAAATAAATCTTTATTGTATATGAGCTAATGTTTTGGGAATTTTCTGTTATATGTAGCCACACCATATCCTAACTGATAAAGATAGCACATGCTAATATTATAGAAAGCAACTCAGTATGTGTTTTTAATTCAACAAATATTCATTGAATACCTACTATGCACCAAGAATTGCATTAAGGATACTGACATATCTCTTGCTCTCATGGAACACAGAAGAAAGAAAATTTGGCTAGGCAACTAGATGCAGACTCAGCCCAACTATTAACTAATACAGTCTTTGTACTTAGAGAAGTCACCTGACTTTTCTAAGCCTTAGGTGCTTCTTATGTAATATCCTGGGGTTTGACCACATTTTTCTAAGGTCACTTCCAGCTCTCTCATTCCATGATTCAGTTGGTTTTCATAGAAAGTCTGTCATTTCCTTGCTACCCATAGAGACTTACCCACCCTCAGTCCCCAAAGGCCAGTGAATATCCACATCCCTGCATAATGGAGCAGGAAAGCGCGAAAGAGAAACAGAGATGCAAATCCTGAGCTGTCATCCCATCCTTACGTGGATTTTCATTTGGCCTTCGACATTCTTTTAAATTTAGATGAGTTCTCAAGATTTTTAAAAGAGGTAATTTTGGGCTGGGCGTGGTGGCTCAGGCCTGTAATCCCAGCACTTTGGAAGGCTGAGGCGGGTGGATCATGAGGTCAGAAGACCAAGACCATCCTGGCCAACATGGTGAAACCCTGTCTCTACTAAAAATAAAAAAATTAGCTGGGCGTGGTGGCGCGTACCTGTATGCCAGCTACTCAGGAGGCTGAGGCAAGAGAATAGCTTGAACCAGGGAGTCAGAAGTTGTGGTGAGCCGAGATGGCGCCACTGCACTCTAGCCTGGCGACAGAGCAAGACTCCATCTCAAAAAAAATAAACAAATAAAAAAAGAAAGAAAGAAAAAAAGAGGCAATTTTACATAAAGTTATGCGTTTCCAGCTTCTCTGAAACTTTCCTGGAAGATCCGGCAACACCAGGCCTTCTTTCTTGCATGGTCACAGGAGATGAGAGCAGAGTTGTCTAAACAAGGTGAGTTATGTTTGTCCCCACCCCTTCCAGTTATCTTGCACCCATGTTTTCATTCATTTTCTCTCCCTAGAGAGCCCTTGTTGGTATATTAGTTTGAGGCCCTGTTCCAGACAAATGTGGCCTCATGAGAAAATGACAAGTGAGCCATGATTGTCTAATTTCAGGGTCCCCTGTGTAGTGTCAGCTCTGCTTTAATAACTTTGCTAGAATATTTATTAGATTCCACAACCAGCAGTGAGAAAAGCCAAGAAACAAAACAACTGACATCTAAAAACACCGAAAAGGTCCGGGAATAGTCAGTACCAGCTACTTCTGGAAGTGGAAGGTTAAGGTAGGGCTAGCAAAGGAATATTGACTGAAAACTCAATTAAAAAGCAGTTCAAAGAGACTTTCACTTTGGCTAAGATGGAATAGCAGAGACCAGATTTACTCTTCTTCCACCAAATGCAACTTATAAAATAGACAAATATATGAAACAGTTGTTCTGAAGACATTGGGTATAAGGCAATGAAGTATACCAATTCCTGAGAGACAGGAAATAAACAAAATGAGCTCTTTGAGTGCCCCGGCCTACTGGCTTGAGAAAGTTTCCAGGTCCACCCAAGATTGGCAGAATATACATTTTTTTTTTGGTACACAAAAAAACATTTACCAAAATCGTCCAATTCTGGGCCATAAAACGAATTTCAATAATTTAAAAGGGTTCGAGTTATACAAAGTATGCTCTGTGACCAAAATGAAATCAATAAGAAAAATATATCTCAATAATTCTGTGCGCTCTCCCCTCCTGTCCTCTTGCCTTTATCTTTCTGCACCGCCACAATGGTGCACATGAATGTCCTGGCTGATGCTCTCAAGAGCATCGACAATGCTGAAAAGAGAGGCCATGAACTCAGGTTCTTATTAGGCTGTGCTCTGAAGTCATCGTCCAGTTTTTCACTATGATGATGAAGCATGGTTACACTGGCAAAACTGAAATCATTGATGATCAAAGAGCTGCCCCACAGGCAGGCTAAACAAGTGTGGCGTGATCAGCCCCAGATTTGATGTGCAACTCAAAGATCTAGAAAAATGGCAGAGTAATCTTCTTCCATCCCACCAGTTTGGTTTTATTGTACTGACAACCTCAGCTAGCATCATAGACCATGAAGAGGCAAGACAAAAACACACAGGAGGGAAAATCCTGGCATTCTTTTTCTAGATGTGTAATACAGATTTACAAATAAAATGCCTCCTGGACAAAAAAAAAAAAAAAATTTCAAAAAAACCAAATGTTTGAAAACTAAATAACTCACTTCTTAATCCATAGGTCGAAGAAGAAATCAAAGATAAATTAGCATTGTGAACTGATGCAAAAGAAAACACAACACATCAAAATGGGTGGGATGCAGGGAATGCAGAACTTAGAGGGAAATCCATAGCACTCAACTAAAGTAGGAGGAAAAAAGTGCTCAAGTCAACAACCTCAGCTTCCTTCTTTCTTAAGAAACTACATAAAGAAGAGAAAGTGAAACTCGGAGTAAGCAGAAGAAAAAAATAATAATACCAAAATTTTAAAGAAGTCATACTAATTCTACATGAACTCTTCCAGAAAGCTAAAGAAGAGGGATGGAATCCTATGAGATCAGCATTCTATAAATCAAACCAAAGACATTGCAAGAAAAGAAAACTTATGAACATAGATGCAAATTTCTTAAAACAAAATTTTAGCAAATTGATTTCAATTATATACAAAAAGAATAATATATTTTAACCAAGAAGGCTTTATCCCAGAATTGCCAGATTAGTTTAACACTTGAAAACTTTCAGGGTGGGGCACAGTGGCTCACGCCTGTAATCCCAGCACTTTGGGAGGCCAAGGCAGGCAGATCACCACCCGCCTGACCTACAAGGTGAAACCCCGTCTCTGCTAAAAATACAAAAAAATTAGCTGGGCGTGGTGGCATGCCTGTAGTTCCAGCTACTCGGGAGGCTGAGGCAAGAGAATCACTTGAACCTAGGAGGTAAGGTTGCAGTGAGCCGAGATTGCGCCACTGCCCTCCAGCCTGGGGGACAGAGACACGCTCCGTCTCAAAAAAAAAAAAAAAAGAAAGAAAGAAAGAAAGAAAGAAAAAGAAAAGAAAAGAAAGAAAAATCTCGGCTGCACATGGTGGCTCATGCCTGTAATCCCAGCACTTTGGGAGGCCGAGGTGGAAGGATTGCTGGAGCTCAGGAGTTCAAGACCAACCTAGGCACCATGGTGAAGCCCCATCTCTATAAAAATAAAAATAAAAATAAAAAAATAAAAAAAATTAGCCAGGTATGGTGGCACATGCCCATAGTCCCAGCTACTTGGGGTGGGGTTAGGGGTGGAGGGAGGTTGCTGAAACAGGAAGATCACTTGAGCCCAGGAGGTTGAGGCTGCAGTGAGCCGTGTTCGCTGCATCACTGCTCCAGCCAGAGTGACAAAGTGAGACCCTGTCTCCCAGAAAAAAAAAGCATTTGAAAATCAATCAATTTAATTCATTATATTAACAAATTAAAGGTCAGGTGTGGTGGCTTACACCTGTAATCCCAGCAGTGTGGAAGGATCACTTGAGGTCAGGAGTTCGAGACCAGGCTGGCCAACATGGTGAAACTCCATCTCTACTAAAAATACAAAAAAATTAGCCGAGTGTGGTGGCAGGTGCCTGTAAACCCAGCTACTCGGGAGGCTGGGGCAGGAGAATCTCTTGAACCCCGGAAGTGGAGGTTACAGTGAACCAAGATCACGCCACTGCACTCCAGCCTGGGTGACACAGCGAGACTCCATCTCGAACAAATGGAAAAACAAACGAACAAAAATTTAAAAAGAAAAAACATGTGACCAGCTCAATACATACAAAATAGAGCATTTAACAAAATCTAACCTCCATTCCTGATGAAAATTTTCAACAAACTAGGAACAGATGGGAACTTCTACAACCTGATAATGGATAACTGAAAACCCTACAGCTAGCATCATACTTAACGGTGAAAGACTGATTGCTTTCCCCAACATCAGAACAAGGAAAGAATGTCTGCTGTTACCACTTATATCCAACACTGAACTTGGTAAGATGTAAATTTTCCCCAATTTGATCTATAGCTATAATAAATCCAAGTCAAAATCCCAGCAGGCTTTTTATATTACACATTAAATCATACATATATGTATACATTAACATTTACATTTTACATTATATTATTCATTTTTACATTAACAATGTGGTTTTTAAAATTGACAAGCTGATCATATAAGTCATTTAGGGAAAGGCACGATGGCTCACGCCTATAATCCCAGCACTTTGGGAGGCCGAGGTGGGCAGATCACTTGAGATCAGGAGTTCAAGACCAGCCTGGCCAAGATGGCGAAACCCCATCTCCACCAAAAATACAAAAATTAGCTGGGCGTGGTGGCGCATGCCTGTAGTCCCAGCTACTTGGGAGGCTGAGGCAGGAGAATGGCTTGAACCCGGGAGGTAGAGGATGCAGTGAGCTGAGACCGTGCCATTGCACTCCAGCCGGCATGACAGAACGAGACTCTGTCTCAAAAATAAAAAATAAAAACATAATTCATTTAGAAATGCAAAAGACTTGGAATAACCAATTCAACTTTGAAAAAGAAGAATAAATATGGAGAATTTACCCTATGTAACTTTAAGACTTAATATAAGCTACAATAATCAAGATGGTGTGGTATTGAATTCAAAATAGACAAATAGAAAAATAGGAGACTAAGAAATAGTAACTTGCGTAAGTGCAAAGGCAATTTGATGGGGAAAATGGTCTTTTTTGACAAATAGTGTTGAAATAATTGGATATCCATATACAAAAAGGAAAAAAAAACCCAGAACTTTGACCCATCTCACGCTATACAGAAAAAATTAACTGAAAATGGTTCAGGAACATGGCACTCCCCTGTAGTCCCAGCTACTCCAAAGGCTGAGATGGAAGGATCACTTCAGCCCTGGCTTCAAGGCTGCAGTGAGCTGTGATCATACCACTGAATTCCAGCCTGGACATCAGAGTGAGATTCTGTCTCGTTGTGTTTTGTTGTTGTTGTTGTTGTTGTTGTTGTTTTTTGGCGGGGTGAGTCTCGCTCTATCGCCCAGGCTGGAGTGCCGTGGTGTGATCTCAGCTCACTGCAACCTCCGCCTCCCAGGTTCAAGCAATTCTCCTGCCTCAGCCTCCTGAGTAGCTGGGACTACAGGCACATGCTGCCACGCTCGGCTAATTTTTTTATATTTTAGTAGAGACTGGGTTTCACCATGTTGCCCAGGCTGGTCACAAACTCCTGAGCTCAGGCAATCCACCCACCTTGGCCTCCCAAACTGGCAGGATTACAGGCGTCAGCCACCATGCCTGGCCAAGACTCTGTCTCTTAAAAAAAAATTAATTAAAAATAATTTACTCAAAATGGATCACAGACCTAAACCTAAAACTATTAACATCTAGGGAAAAAAAAAAAAAAAAAACAAGAGAAACTCTTTGTGACCTTGGGTTAAGCAAATATTTCTTAGAAACAGCACCAAAAGCAAAATCAATAAAAGAAAATCAATACATTGGACTTCATCAAAATTAAGAACACTTATGGAAGATTCTAAAATCTCTTATGGAGAAAAAAGAAATAAAACTGAGAACATTTGCTCTTTGAAAGATATTGTTAGGAGAATGAAAAGGCAAGCTGCAGACTAGGAGCAAATATATGCAAGTTACACATTTGATAACAGATTTGTATCCAAAATATGTAAAGAAATCTCAAAACTCAATAAGAAAACAAAACAACCAAATTTTATAAATGGGCAAGAGATTTGAACAATTTACCAAAGAGGATATACAGATGGCAAATAAGCACACGCAAAGATGCTCAACATCATTAGTCATTAGGAAATGCAAATTAAAACCGTGAGATACCACTACATACTCACTAGAATATCTAAAATTTAAATGGTTGACCAAATCACTTGTTGGCAAGGATGTTGAGCCACCTAGAACTTTCTGGTTCACTGCTGGTGGAAATATGAAATGGTACAACCACTTTGGAAAACAGTGTGGCAGTTTCACTAAAGGTTAAACATGTTGTTCAAAGTTCAACTAAAAAAAAAAAAGTGAAACATGCACCTGCCATATGGCTCAGCCATTCCATTCCTAGGTGTTAACCCAAGAAAAATGAAAAACCATGTCCACACAAAGACCTGCACATGAATGTTCATAGCAGTATTATTTGTAATAACTAAAAACTGGAAACAATCCATATGTCCATCAACAAGTAAATGAATAAACAAATTTTGGTGTATTAATCCAATGAGATACTACTTAACAATAAAAAGGAATAATCTATTGATATACTCAACGACCTGAATGAATCTCAGAGTAATGATGCTGAGTGAAAAAAAAGCAGAATCCTTCCCCCCTAAAAAGAGCAAGTACTATATGATTACTTTTACATAAAATCTTAGAAAATACAAACCAATCTAGTGGCAGAAAGCAGATCAGCAGTTGCCTGAGTGGGCAACGGAAACTTAAGGGGCAACTAATATGCTCATTATCTTATTTTTACTTTTTTGGGGGGGAGGGGGACAGGGTCTCACTCTGTCACTCAGGCTGGAGGGCTGTGGTGTGATCATAGCTCACTGACCGCAGCCTCGACCTCCCGGGCTCAAGCGATCCTCCCACTCAGTCATCTGAGTAGCTGAGACTACAGGCATGCACCACCACGCCCGGCTAATTTTCAAATTTTTTGTAGAGATGGGAGTCTCACTTTGTTGCCCAGGCTGGTCTCAAACTCCTAGGTTCAAGTCATCCTCCTGCCTTGGACTCCCAAAATGCTGGGATTACAGGCGTGAGCCACCATGCCCAGGTGCTCATTATCTTGACTGTTGATAATTTCATGGGTGTATACACATGTCAAAACTTATCAAATTGTACATTTTAAATAAGTGATATTTATTTTATGTCAATTATATCTCAATAAAGCTGTTTTTTTAAAAAAAATAACAATTTGATCCTTAGCTTCCTTCCCCAATTCTGTGCAACTGGGCAACTGACCTCCCACAATCCTGCCACTAGACTTAAGGTTTATTCTCTGGAGGAAGTTAATGGAGCTTCTAAGGACTGACTGAAGGACAGCGGGCACCACTGATGGCAAGGAATTACAACAAAAAAAGGAAAGTCCACAGAAGGAATGCTGAGACTCACTGCTCTTTGGCCCCACCTGGGTCCCAGGACCCTGGCAGCCCGGTCTATCTCCTTGGGCAGAAGACTGGAAGACTTACTGGCCCAAGAAGAAATGATCAAACATCCTGACATTGGAGGGTAGCATAGCCAGATAACCCAATGGGGAAGATAGCAGTCAACAGGCTCCACTCACAAGATCAGAGCTGCTATTTGGCTTTTTAATACCCCACTCTTAAATATAAGCAGACAGCTAAAATTAGAATTTCACTGTTCTGAGAAAATGAAAGGTCAAGAAAGGCTTGTACTGGGGGCTAGAGAGCATTGTCAGAAAGATAAATTATATTCTTTAGAAAGAAGTCCTTTTAAAATGCCAAAAACAGAAAAACCATGAAGTAGCAATTTAAGCATATTAGGATGTGTGAGGATAAATATTACAAGAACCAACTGAAAGAATTGAAAGTGGTTGCCTCTTAGGAAAGGAAAATAGGGAGGAATGAGGAAATTACCGCAGCAACAAGTTTAGGAGAATTATGTGCCTCTTTAAATTATGTGCCCATGGGCCAAGCACGGTGGCTCATGCTTGTAATCCTAGCACTTTGGGAGGCCAAGGTAGGAGGATCACTTGAGGCCAGGAATTCCAGACCAGCCTGGGTAACATAGCAAGACGCTGTTTCTACAAAAGAAAAAAAAATTATCCAGACATGTGGCACACATCTATAGTCCTAGCTATTTGGGAAGCTGAGGTGGGAGGATCACTTGAAGTAAGGAGTTTGATGATACAGTGAGCTATGATCAAGCACTGCACTCCAACCTGGGTAACAGAGTGAGACCTTGTCTCTTAAAAATATATGAATTTAAAAATAAAAAAATTATGTGCCCATGTAACTTTGATTAAAACTGGTAAAAAAGTGAAAGAAAATTCATTAGAGATGAATAAAGCTCTTGAAAAATCAATGGATAATCACATGTCTCTGTTTGCCAGAAACATTCCCAGTTTTCATCTATTAATAGCACTCCCTTTTACTCTCAAAACATGCCCATTTGGCTAATTTTATGATGTGTGAGGTTGACCCCTCCTGAATCCACTGACCAACCGAAACATCACCTTAACATCAGACACAGTGTTCTGATATGATGCAGCAGGAAGTACACGGCTCCACCTATGAAATATCCTTGCCAAAAGCAAAACTTGAATTTCAAGTCTCCCAGTCAGGGTTTCTCAACCTCAGCTCTACTGACATTGGGGGACACGTGGTTCTTTCCTGTGGGCAGCTGTCCTGTGCACTGCAGGATGTTTAGCGGCATCCCCGGCCTCTACCCACCAGATGCCTGAAGCACCCCCACCCCCAGGTGTGACAACCAAAAGTCTCCAGACATTGCCAAACGTCCCCTGGGAGGTGAGGGAAGCAAAGTCTCCCCCAGCTGAGAATCACTGTTGTCTACATCTTCAGTACCAATGTACAGGAAACAGGATGGAAAAATAGGTTGAAGGACACCAGCAGAATACAACCAGCCACATTCAGAACGTGGGAAGTTCTGAAGGACAGATGACCCAACTATATCAACAAACAAATGGCATGGGGAAGGTATAGGGGAGGGACCATGACAGTATAAACCCCTTAAAATATGTCAACAAATGCAATGTGTGGACCTTGTTTGGATCCTCATTTAAACAAACTGCAAAAAGACATTTTTGACACAACCGGAGAAAACTGTGTTCGAAGGTATTATGACACTAAGAAATAATGCTAATTTTGTGGATGTGATAATGGTAACTATGGTTACACTATTTTTTAAAGCTTTCTGTTAGAGACACATATTGCTGTACTTGTGGATAAAGTGTTACGACGTCTATCTGGTTGCAGTGAGGGAAAATGGGGACTAGATAAGATAACATCGAATCGGCGACCAGTATTGACATTGAGTGATGGGTACACAGATGTTCATTATACTCTTCTCTCAACTTTTTGTGTATGTTTGAAAGTTTTTGTAATAAAAACTGAAACGTAATAAATCAAATCCATGAAATTAACAAAGCATGGCTCAATGGGAAGCTTCCAGAGTTTGGGGCTGTATCCCTAGCTCCTAATAGTTCTGTTCATTTTAAGCAGGGAAGTCACTTCTCTGGCCTACAGAAAAAGGGATCTTGAATTAAGAGATGTTCATAGTTTCTTCCAGGTGAGATTTTTAATGACTCTGTGACATTTCTTGAATAAGTGAGCTGGGTAACAGCCCTGAGGACCCAGCAGTCTCAAAAGCTTGACTTTGTGGTGGAGATGCTGGTGGACTTGCTGGTGGTGGGTACTGGCCCAGGGCTCCCAGGTTAAGCAATGTGCCCCCTCCTCGGCCCCTTCACTAGTTTAGAAGTAGCAAGATCAACTGCCTCGGAACATTCTGAATTAGAAAGCGTCTGCTGAATAAGGCTTGCGTCAAACTTCTCTTTAAGCGGCTGTGGCTGCAGTTTGAGTAACTTGTCAGGAAAGTGTGAACTACAAGTCAGTATTACAAAAGTGTTTATTTTCAGCCTTTCCAAAAAACAGTGAGAAAGAGGAAAGCATGCATAATAAAGCAGCCGGGCATCTGAGGCAAAAGTTGGCTTTTCCTTAATCCTCTCCTCCCATCCTCCTACCCTTTTTGACTACAGGTACCCCTTTTCTGTGAACTTGAATGCAGCCTCCCACAGGTTTGGACAAAAGAATGGCAGGAAGAGGACAGGTGGAACAGGATGGAGGAAAGAGGTAGCCCTCATAGGTACGGGTGCAGAGCTCAGAGTGGCAAAGGAACAGCAGAAGTCTTGTTCTCCCATGCCCCTGCCAAGTCCTGCTGCAACAAAATGATGAGCTTGGAACCGACTGCCAACTGCCACAAAGGGAACCCTTATTACAGAGAGCTCCCTGAAACACCCGTGGAAACAGCATGCAAAAGATCTCTGCTCATGCTTTGAAGAATGCAGAAAACTTTCCTTGCCACCGTATGTGGAGCATCGCCCACAGAGAAGGGAAGGGGAAAACTCACACCCATCTCCTCCCCTCCACCCCAATCCTGGGCCCCAACTAAAACCTCAGCTTCTTTCCCTCAACCTATCACAAGGGCCTCCCACCAGTCTTCCATCAGTGAGGGTGGGCTTTTGCAAATGCAAGCCTGCCCGAGCTACTTACTCTACTCTTTAAGATATTTTCACAAGCCCTTATAGCTGGGGGGAATAAAATCCAGTGTACAGAAGTTCTAGTAGAGGCAGTGAATACTAGTGATTTAAAAGCATCCTCAGAAATCACAGGCAATGCAAGAACCCCTGGATAAACATAAAATGAGTTTCTCTATAATACTCAGATGCCAGGCCTAGGGCCAGAGCCAAAGGAATCCCACCTAGACTCTGGGGCCCTTGGTTTTGGGCCTGTTCCCCAGCTTCTTCTATGCTGCAGCTCTTCCATCTCCTCAGAAGAGAAGTGGTGGGGGTGAGGGGTGTCAGTTACCAAACGGCAAGTCCCTCCCTGAAGAAAGTGCTGTGGAAAGGGCAGCCCCAAACAGTGGGTTCCCCAGCCTGAGGGAGTAAAAAGGATGGAGCAGCCCCAGGAAGGCTAAAGTGTGCATTCCAAAAGTCTTGAACACCTAAGTTGTCAATCAAAGCAGTTCAGCTGGCAGCCGAGAGACCAGCAGCAGAGGCAAACAAGAGTCCTGAAGGGTAGAGAGAGTCAGAGTCAGCAGAAGGAGGATCAGGTCAACTCTGAAGATGAAGTACAAATGCCTAAGGCGTTTTGCCCTCCTTTGAAAAATGTGTAATTACACAAGTAATGCATGAATAAATTATACTGAGAAAATATATCACTTCAGGCCAACATGCAGAAACCCCACCTCTACTAAAAAAAAATACAAAATTAGCCAGGCATGGCGGCGCATCCCTGTAATCCCAGCTACTCGGGAGGCTGAGGCAGGAGAATTGCTTGAACTGGGGAGGCAGAGGTTGTGGTGAGCTGAGATCATGCCATTGCACTCCAGCCTGGGCAACAAGAGCAAAACTCCATCTCAAAAAAACAACAACAACAATAAAAAATTAAGATGCTAGGCTAATGTCTCTACATTTCTCCATTTCTGCTCGCCTTTTTTTTTGAGATGGAGTCTTGCTCTGTCGCCCAGGCTGGAGTGTAGTGGCGCGATCTCGGCTCACCACAACCTCTGCCTCCCGGGTTCAAGGGATTCTTCTGCCTCAGCCTCCCGAGTAGCTGGGACTACAGGTGCATGCTGCCACACCCAGCTAATTTTTTCATTTTTAGTAGAGACAGAGTTTCACCATATTTGTCAGGCTAGTCTTGAACTCCTGACCTCGTGATCTGCCCACCTCGGCCTCAGCCTCCCAAAGTCCTGGGATTCCAGGTGTGAGCCACCGTGCCCGGCCTCTCCTGGCCTTTTCCCCTGGGTCACAAGATGGTTGCCGTAACTCCAAGCATCACATTTCCAACAACTCCATCCCAAGGCAAAAAGGAAAGGGAGAAGCAGAACTTTTCACCTTCATCTACTTACTTCATCTACTATACTCTGTTATTAGAACAACAACAACAAAAACACTTCTTAAAAGTCAACAGCAGGTTCCATGCTCTGGTTCTGCCATGTAATCCAATAAGGATGAAGCCGAGCTCTGTATCAGCATCACCCTCAAGCCATCCAGTGCAACCAGCCCAACCAGGCGCTCCTCATCCTGGAGAAGGCACAGTGGCTGTACCCAATGCCGCGAGTGTGTGGCCTGATGGAGTCTCTCAACTAGGAACCACAAACTGCTGGTGACCAACCCCAACCCACAGACACAACCCATGCCACCCACAGGAAAGCAGGTGGGACCGATGCTCCCTAGGCCAACGGTGAAGCTGGAGGAGGAGAGAGCACCAAAGGCTACACTGCAGAAGGAGTTGCAGCTGTGAAAAGGGTCAAGCAATGTAAGGATTATTATGAGATCCTGGAGGTGAGGAGAGGGGCCTCAGATGAGGACCTGAAGAAGGCCTACCACAAACTGGCCCTCAAATTCCACCCAGACAAGAACCATGCACCTGGCACCACTGGAGCTTTCAAAGCCATTGGCACAGCATATGCAGTACTCAGCAACCCGGAGAAGAGGAAGCAGTGTGGCCCGGCACGGTGGCTTATGCCTATAATCCCAGCACTTTAGGAGGCCAAGGTGGGCGGATCATGAGGTCAAGAGTTCAAGACCAGCTGGTTTGAGACCAGCCTAGCCAACATGGTAAAACTCTGTCTGTACTAAAAATACAAAAATTAGCCGGCAGTGGCGGTGCATGTCTGTAAACCCAGCTACTCGGGAGGCCGAGGCAGGGGAATTGCTTGAACCAGGGAAGCAGAGGTTGCAGTGTACTAAGACCAAGCCACTGCACTTCAGCCTAGGCGACAGAGCAAGACTCTGTCTCAGGAAAAAAAAAAAAAAAAGAAAGAAAGAAAGAAAGAAAGAAAAGAGGAAGCAGTATGACCACTTGGGCGATAACAGGAGTCAGGCAGTCAGGTCCAGCATCGTCATGGGGATTTCCACCACGGCTTTGAGGCTGACATCTCCCCTGAAGACCTCTTCAACATGTTCTTTGGCAATGGCTTCCCTTCTAGTAAAGTCTACGTCTACAGCAATGGCTGCATGCGCTATACCTACCAGCAAAGGCAGGGCTGCAGGGAGAAGCGGAGTGACGGCAGCTTGCGGGTGTTCGTGCAGCTGATACCCATCCTCATCCTCATGTCAGCTCTCAGCCAGCTCATGGTCTCCAGTCCACCCTACAGTCTGAGCCCAAGACTGTTTGTGGGCCACATCACAGGCGAGTCACTGACCACCTGAGTGTCATCTACTATGTGGCAGGCATTTTCTCCGAGGAGTACACAGGCTCCAGCCTCCAAACAGTCAAACCGAATGTGAAAGATGATTATATCGCCAACCTCTGGAACAACTGCTGGACGGAGAAGCAGCAGATGAAAGGCTTGCTGTACCGAGGCCGCTACTTTGGTGACACAGATATGTACCACAAAGCACAGAAGATGGGCAGCCCCCTGCTGCAGCCAGCTGTCACAGGATCAGGCCTCCCTGCATGGATAATCCAGGGCCAGCCATGCCACCAAGGTCCAAACTATGAAATTCCTGGAGAATTTTTGGTGACATGCACTAAGCCAAGGCGATGGACTATATATTTAAGGAAAGACATACAAAGAAACAAAATTAAAATGGAATTGGAAGCCAAAAAAAAAAAAGTCAACAGCAGACTAGGTCACATGCCTACCCCTAGACAAATCACAGGCAAAGGGGAGTGGTATAAGCATACTTGGCTTAGCTCAATCGTGATTTGACACCTGGACCTACCTTCCCTGAGCACAATGCTGCCCTTTGATACCTGAATAAGATTTGAGTTGTTAGCATTAAAGAAGGGGGTGAGTGGGAAATGGCTGTTATTAAGCAGCCAGTACTATCTACCACAACTGAAGTCCCCTTTGACCACCCCCCAAATCTTGAACTGCCTCCCACCTCTCCAGAGCAAACCACTCTTACCAGTTTGATGTATGTTATTCCAAACTTTGCATATGGACATATACATATAACAAAATACCATAAAAGACATGGGGCATTTAATAGACTTTTTTTTTTTTTTGAGGCAAAGTTTCGTTCTTGCCGCCACAGCTGGAATGCAATGGCGTGATCTCGGGTCACTGCAACCTCCACCTCCCAGGTTCAAGCGATCCTCCTGCCTCAGCCTCCCAGAGTAGCTGAGATTACAGGCACACGCCATCATGCCCGGCTAATTTTTGTATTTTTAGTAGAGATGGGGTTTCACCATGTTGGCCAGGCTGGTCCGGAACTCCTGACCTCAGGTGATCTGCCTGCCTCGGCCTCCCAAAATGTTGGGATTACAGGCGTGAGCCACCGTGCTGCACCTTAATAGACTTATGATAGTGTATGTGGTGGTGGGGGGCGGGGGTGAGTATCGTAAACATGCCATCCTACTCTAGGCATTTTTCTGCAATTTGCTTCACCACTCAACAATAGATCTCAGCAATCTCTCCATAGCAATAACTACTGATTTATTCTGTCTTTTCAACTTCTGCCTAGGATTTCCTAGTATGGACACATCACAGTTTATTTAGATATTTCCCTATGGATAGCATCGTGGGTTGTGTTCCCAGCAGTTTCTAAGTACACCTGTGGATAAAGGCAGAGGATGCTCTCTTTGCCCCTCAGATCCATCCTTGTCTGCTCTGCATCCAGGCTGCTGATAACATGAGCTGACTCCCTCGCCTTTTGGCATCTGGTTGGATGAAACCGATGTGAGTGGCAGGAAATCAAAGGGTGAAAAAAAGAGAACTTGGAGTGTTTATCCACCGGCTCACTTCCTACCACGCTGCAGGCTGGCAGTGGCCGTGTTTCTCTTGCAAAGGTCACAGGTCCTGTTAGGGGCCTGTCCTAGAGCTAAAGCTCTCAGGGTGTTCCTGTATCTGCTCTTGTCCCCTTGGCCTTCAAGCCCAGGAGTAGCAGCACCTCCACCTACTGCTAGCCCGAGGTGCTTCACCAGCCCCTATTGGTTTCTCTTACTTTCTCTAAATACCCCCTTTATTAACCTCTCTTTGACTTTACCTCTTCAGTGTACTGGCTGCTTCCTGATGGATTCTGACTGATGGAGCTAATTCTGTTCACTTAAAAGGGCAAGAACGATGAAGACCACAATGTCAATTTGGCGGGGCTTTAGTTGACCTCCCAGTTTGTCTCACTGTTTCTCCCAGCATCTCCCCTTCCCAGCTCTGCTTTTATGTCCTCTCTGTCACTTGGTCCTTATAAGCAGCATCCCAGATGGCCCCTACTCCAGATCTATCTGGTCCCTGGGCCTCTACTCTATATACTACCCCATACGCACGCTACGCTCCCATCTAGACTGAACTCTCCTCACATGTGGAACCCACAGGAATCTTCAACTGACTGCTAAATCAGAGCCAGAAAATACTCTCAGTTCTCATGGAGCAGAAACAGGAAAATGCATGTGATCCCCAACTACAAAAATACCCCCCAGAAACATGATTCAGAGCCCAAAAGCTCCCTGTCACCCCTCGGAGGTCTCTAATACCTTACCTCATACCTCCTCTTAAGCTCAGCACTAAGTACTCCAGGCTGCGAGATTAGTTTAGCAACCAGTCAACAAGTTTCCAAAATTCCCAGCCTAGTCGTTAAGAATATGGGATTTTCAGCAATTTCTCATCTGGGTGTATACCCCAAGGAGATGAAATCACCACCTCATAAACACATCTGTACTCCCATGCTCATTGAAGCATTATTCACAATAGCCAAGATATGGAAACAACCTAAATGTCCATCTATGGACAAATGGATAAAATATGATGCGTACACACACACACACACACACACAGAGACACACACACACACACAGACACACACAGAGGAATATTATTCAGCCTTAAAAAAGGAGATCCTGTCATTTGCGCCAGAACATGGATGAACCTAGAAGACATGTGCTAAGTGAATTAAGCCAGACACAGAAATAAAAATATTGCATGATCTCACCTATACATGGATTTAAAAAAAAAAAAAAAAGCTCAAATACACAGAGGCAGAGAATAAAACAGAGGTTACCATGGCCAAGGGGGAGGGGGAGAGGAAATGGGGACATGTAGGTCAAAGGACATAAAATAGCAGATAACGCAGGATGAACACCTTTAGAAATCTAATGTACAACATTAGGGCTAAGTTAATAAAATTGCATTGCTTTAAAATTTGTGTTAAATAAGTAGATTTTAGCTGCTCTTGTCACAAAAAAAGTAACTGTGAGATGATAGATATGTTAATCAGCTTCACTATAGTAACCATTTTACTATCTATATCTGTATCCTATAACATCATGTTGTAAACCTCAAAGATACACAATAAAAATTATTTTTAAAGAAGAATATGGGCTGAAAAAATCAAGGTTCAAATTTTGATCCCAACACTCAGCAGCTGAGAGGCCTCATGAAAGCTATTCCACTCTGTGCCTCAGTTTCCTCATTTGTAAAATTGAAATTATAAAATTACCTCATAAAGCCCAGGCATGGTGGTTCATGCCTGTAATCCCAGCACTTTCAGAGGCTGAGGCAGGTGGATCACCTGAGGTCAGGAGTTCAAGACCAGCCTGGCCAACATGGTAAAACCCTATCTCTATCAAAAATACAAAATATAAAAATTAGCTGGGCATGGTGGTGGGCACCTGTAATCCCAGCTACTCAGGAGGCTGAGGCAGGAGAATCGCTTGAGTCCGGGAGGCAGAGGTTGCGGTGAGCTGAGATAGCACCATTGCACTCCAGCCTAGGCAACAAAGCGAGACTCTGTCTCAAATAAAATAAAATAAATTAATTAAATAAAATTACCTCATAGGATAGTTTCAAAGATTCCATAATATAATATATCTAAAAGATCTTGGCCGGGCACAGTAGCTCATGCCTGTAATCCCAGCACTTTGGGAGGCCGAGGCGGGCAGATCATGAGGTCCAGAGATCGAGACCATCCTGGCTAACACAGTGAAACCCCATCTATACTAGAAATACAAAAAATTAGCCAGGCGTGGTGGCACACACCTGTAGTCCCAGCTACTTGGGTGGCTGAGGCAGGAGAATCGCTTGAACCTGGGAGGCGGAGGTTGTAGTGAGCCAAGATCACACCACTGCACTCCAGCCTGGGCGACAAAGTGAGACTCCATCTCAAAAAAAAAAAAAAAAAAAAAGATCTTAACAAGGTGCCTAGTCCACAGACAGCCCTCTATAAATGGTAACAGATATGGTTTTTCTGAACTCCGTATAAGTTGGTGTGGGAGGAAAAAGAAAACATGGGCCCTACCCTCAAGAAGCCTGCAATCTACTTTGGAAGATGAGATGAACATTCTTATAATAATGAACAGCACAGATGACCCTATATTTTTAAGTGGTAAATTATCTGATTTGAGCTACAGTGAAACAGTATTGGAACTATCTTTTCCACATACCTGTCCATTCCTTTTTTTTTTTTTCGGCAGGGTCTTGCTCTGTCACCTAGGCTGGAGTACAGTGGCATAATCACAGCTCACTGCAGCCTCAACCTCCTGGGCTCAAGTGATTCTCCTGCCTCAGCCTGCCAGGTAGCTGGGACTACAGATGTGCACCACCATGCCTGACTAATGTTTTTTAATTTTTGTAGAGATGGGGACTCACTGTGTTGCCCAGGCTGGTCTTGATCTCCTGGGCTCAGGTGATCCTCCTGCCTCGGTCTCCCAAAGTGCTGGGATTACAGGCATGAGACACCACACCCAGCATTTCTTTTTATATTGTCTGTAAGTTTCTTTATTTTATTTTATTTTATTTTTGAGACGGAGTCTCGCTCTGTCACCCAGGCTGGAGTGCAGTGGTGCAATCTTGGCTCACTGCAACCTCCGCCTCCCAGATTCAAGCGATTCTCCTGCCTCAGCCTTCCGAGTAGCTGAGACTACAGGCACGCCACCACACTCAGCTAATTTTTTGTATTTTTAGTAGAGATGGGGTTTCACCATGTTAGCCAGGATGGTCTCGATCTCCTGACCTTGTGATCCGCCCACCTCAGCCTCCCAAAGTGCTGGGATTACAGGCGTGAGCCACCGCACCTGGTCTGTCTGTAAGTTTCTTGAGGGTAAGCACCAAGCATTATTTTGTATAATAATAATGTTATCATTTGTGTAATATATCCATTTTGTACACCCATTACTTTCTGTGTAGCCATCGCTCCACACACAGCAGGCATGCAAATGCAATTTGTCCGTATAGACAGAAAGTATTTGCACAGCACGTTAGAACAAGCACTTAGTTCTTTACAAAGCGCTTTGAAAGGGAAGATCATTTATTTTCATAACAACCATGTGAGATAGTTACTATTATTATTAGAATCTGGATTTTCCAAACGAGGAAACTGTGGCTCAAAACAACTAAGCATCTTCTTCAAGTCACACAATCAGTTTATGATGCGGTTGGTCTGCGATCCAAGACATTTGACCAGAATAAATGTGGAGCCTCTTCCTATAAGGGCCACAGAAGTCCACAAGCTGAAGAAGTGTATCCTCTGCCAAATGTCTTTTTCCAGCCTCAAGTATGTTCTCTTTTTTCTAACCTTTCTCTTTGCTCTCTCCAACTGAGACAGCTGGCTCCAGTTTTTTCTTTTAGCCAAAGGGAATCCAATGCATTAGCATTTCTTTTGAGGGAGGCAGAGACTCTCCTGTTTATCCAAGCCCCTATCAGACTTATAAATGTATAATATAGTCATTAAACTCTGAAATACATGACACAGTCATAACCACACACAAGCTATTAAAAAGTTCCTAACCTCCAGTGGGAGTTATTCACTATGCTTACTGTTCTCTCCTCTTGGCAGGGCCAAGAGAGAACATGGGCTCTGTTTGGGAGAAATCTTTTCTTTTCACCAGGAATCCTTCTAAAAGCAGTTATATTGCTGATAAAAACCTTATTTATTTGTATGCTTCTGAATGCATTGGAAGGCAATCACAAAAAGCACGGTATGCTCTTTGCAGGGAAAAAAATCAAACAATACTGAAATGTGTAAAGTAAAAACAGAAAGTTCTCAAGAGAATGAGAAGAAGTCACAAAGTGGGAGAAATTATTTTAAAAAGATATATCTGATAAAGGACTGTTATCCAAAATATACAAAGAACTCAACAATAAGAAAATGAACAATCCAATTTTTTAAAATAACCAAATGACCTAAACAGACACCTCAACAAAGAAGATATCAGATGGAAAACATACACATGAAAAGATGCTCAACATCATGTGCATCAGGGGATTTCAAATTAAAACACAATAAGATGCTACTACCCACCTATCAGAATAGTTAAAAACCAAAACAGTAACACCACCAAATGCTGGCAAGGATGAACAGCAAGAGGAACTTTCATTCATTGCATGTGGAAATGCAAAATGGTACCGCCACTTTGAAAGACAGTTTGGCAGTTTCTTACAAAACTAAACATACTCTTACCATATGATCCAGCAATCGTGCTCCTCGGTATTTACCCAAATGAGTTGAAAACATGTCCGCACAAAAACCTGCACGTGAATGTTTATAACAACTTTATTCATAATTGCCAAAACTCGGAAGCAACCAAGATGACTTTCAGTTGGTGAATAGATGAACTGTGGTACATCCAGACAATGGAGTATTATTCAATGCTAAAAAGAAATGGGCTATCAAGCCATGAAAAGACATGGAGCAATCTTAAATGCATATTACTGAATGAACAAAGCCCATCTGAAAAGTCTACATACTGTACGATTCCAACTATATGACATTCTAGAAAAGGCAGAACTACGGAGACAGTAAAGATCAATGGTTGCCAGGAGCTGGGGCGGGGGGGTTGCCTGGATGAATAGGCAGAGCACACAGGATTTTTAGGGCAGTGAGGCTACTCTGTATGATTCTGTAATGGTGGATGCATGTCATTACACATTTGTTCCAATGCACAGAATGTACAGCACAAAGAGTGAACCCTAGGGTAAACTATGGACTTTGGGTGATAATAATGTGCAATGTAGTTTGACCAATTGTAACAAATGTATACTTTGGTGCAGATTTTGATAGTGGGGGAGACTGGGCATATGTGCGGACAGGAGGTATATGGAAAATCTCTGTACCTTCTTACTCTAGTTTGCTGTGAGCCTAAAACTTCTCTTAAAAATTTGTCTATTTTTTCAACTAAAAGTTTTTTTTCTCATGTCTCCCATGCCCAATCTATTTCCCTTGTGTAACTGTTGTTTAATGTTTAGCGTATTTTCTTTCCATCTTTTCTTTCTCACACACTCATGATGTCTATGTATATGTAAGAATTTTTATTTTTTTATTATTATTTTTTTAACACGGAGTTTCACTCTTGCCGCCCAGGCTGGAGTGCAATGGTGTGATCTCCGCTCGCTGCAACCTCTGCCTCCTGGGTTCCAGCAATTCTCCTGCCTCATCCTCCCGAGTAGCTGGGAGCCCACCACGATGCCTGGCTAATTTTTGTATTTTTGGTAGAGACAAGTTTCACCATGTTGGCCAGGATGGTCTCAAACTCCTGATATCAGGTGATCCGCCCGCCTCCTCAGCCTCCCAAAGTGCTGGGATTATAGGCGTAAGCCACCGCACCCACCCTATATGTAAGACTTTCTTAAAGATCAGTGGCTGTTATGTATACATACATGAGTAGAGCAGGGTCTTCTTATAATAATGGAAATACTTAAAAATACCTAGCTGTTCCAAGCAAGGAATAGTTAAGCAAACTATTATTTATTGCTAACTGAGCACTGTGTAAAGGAAACAACTTTGGGCTCTAAGGCAGTTAGAGTAGAGTGGTAGTAGGAATAGCAGTGGTAGAGTCAGACAGAACTGGGTTTAAAATCCCCCATCACTATTTAAACAAGTAGTGAGTCTTCTCTAACCCTCATTTTTCATCTGTACCATAAAAATATTAGTGCTCACTCAAAGGATTCCTGTACAGATTAAATTAAAAGTGAGAATGTATACAAGGTCCTCAGCAAAGGGCTTGGCACCTAATAGATGCTCCATTAGCTCCAATCCCTTCTTGGCCATAGACCCTTGTCCTGGTGATCATTATTACCCAAGAGCTTGCCTCAGTGCCTGGCACAAAATAAGCAGTAAAATAAATGTTGGCTGAGTTGAAGTGCAGTGGAACAATATAGCTTTTAAAAATCAATATTTGGAGACATGGGATATGGTTTAGTATTTCAAGCAAGATGAGACTGAATAGAGAGAATCCAAGGTAGACTCAAGGTTGGAAGGTCAGGGTTGGTGGAGGTCAGGGAAGTCCCAGCCACCCTGCACAGTGGAAAGGGCAGAGAAGGAAGGAAACCATCTCAGGTGAGCTCAGCCATTCTCAGCACCAAAGAGGTGGTGCCCAAGGGGCTGGAAAAGCTTCTGGTAAACTTCACATCTGCCCCGGTAACGAGGTTTTCTCTGCGTTGCTGCCATGACTCTCTGCTGACACATTAAGAAAGAGAGCCCAATCCTATGCAAAAAATGCAGAAAAGTGAGTTCTCATAAGAGAAAAGGAAGGAGGACGCTCATGGCACAACCTATAGAATACTGCAGGAGCATTTCTTTTTTTTTTTTTTTTTTTTTTTTTTGAGACGGGGTCTCACTCTGTTGCCCAGGCTGGAGTGCAGTGGTGCGATCTCAGCTGCTCACTGCAACCTCTGCCTTCCGGGTTCAAGCAATACTCCTGTCTCAGCCTCCTAAGTAGCTGGAACTACAGGCACCTGCCACCATGCCCGGGTAATTTTTGTATTTTTAGTAGAGAGGGGGTTTCACCTTGATGGCCAGGCTGGTCTCCAACTCCTGACCTCAGGTGATACACCTGCCTCGGCCTCCCAAAGTGCTGGGATTACAGGCATGAGCCACTGCACCTGGCCTGCAGGAGCATTTCTTTTTTTTTTTTTTTGAGACAGAGTTTTACTCTTGTTGCTCAGGCTGGAGTGCAGTGGCGTGATCTCGGCTCACCATAACCTCTGCCTCCTGGGTTCAAGTGATTCTCCTGCCTCAGCCTTCGGACTAGCTGGGATTACAGGCCTGCACTATCATGCCTGGCTAATTTTGTATTTTTAGTAGAGATGGGGTTTCTCCATGTTGGTTAGGCTGGTCTTGAACTCCTGACCTTAGGTTATCTGCCCGCCTTGGCCTCCCAAAGTTCTGGAATTACAGGTATGAGCCACCGCGTCTGGCCAGGAGCATTTCTTAAAACAAAAATAACTTTGGTTTTATATTACAAAAATATATCCCCCAACCGTAAGAGGAAAAAAATCATCCATTATCTAACCAGAGAAAACTCTTGTTAAGACCTTGCTCTTATGCCCTTGTAGATTTTTTCCTATGCCTGCATACATATATCTTGCACATATCATAAGTGTAAAATATTATATGTGTTTTCCATACAGGATATCCTCCTATCATGTCAATAAACAATCATCTACGACATCATTTTTAGTGGCTGAATAAAATTCCAACGTCTGGCTAACCCATACCTTATCTAACCAATCATCTATTGTCAGACACTTGGGTCATTTCCAAAATCTTGCTACTCTAAACAGAGCTGCCAGGAACTTCCTTAGAGCCATGCCCTGAACTTCTGATCCTCTTTCACAGAAGGGTGAAAGAGAACAATGAGCTATTTGCTAAAGTCGACTTCAACCCCAACCCACTACCCTCTTGTCCCCACCCATGGTGATACTCAGAAGTCCTCTGGAGACCAGCTGGGGTAATCCACGGTCAGGACCTCGGATGCCCAAGGATTTGCCCCCGCTCGTAGAAGGAGCATCTGAGTCTCTTTGAATCCACATAATAATCATTATTATTTTTTTGAGACAGGCTCTTGCTCTGTCACCCAGGCAGGAATGCAGTGGCATTATCAGGGCTCACTGCAGCCTCGACCTCCTGGGTTCAAGCAATCCTCCCACCTCAGCCTCCTGAGGAGCTGTGACTACAGGCACGCATCAGCACATCCAGCTAATTTTTGTAATTTTTTGTAGAGACAGGGTTTCACCATGCTGTCCAGGCTGGTCTCAAACTCCTGAGCTCAAGCGACCCACCCGCCTCAGCCTCCCAGAGTTCTGAGATTACAGGCGGGAGCCACCATGGAATCCACATAATTAGATGTGGGGGCCCAGAAACCAGGCCAGCTCTAGCCACAATTGGGAGACAGATTCAGGAGGTCCTGGGTCACCATCTTGAGTGTTTCCCTTCCCCAATACTGTCATGTCCTCCCAAGAGGAAACTACCTAGTCTCCAAACCCCTGAGCCCTGCTCTCAGATTGACAACCTCATTTCTACAGCTGTGACAGCAGTCAGGCTAGAAAGAGCCATACCTTCCAGTAACATCTTTTTATGAAGCTCCGTTTAACATCTTGAGTCAGCCATGTTTGGAACTAAACACTGCAGAGAGGCATAAGGTGAATAAACCATCATCCTTGCCCTCAGGTGGCTTCTACTCTGGATTACTCTCCCAGAGCTGTCAAACTGGGTGACTTCAAACAACAGAAATGTGTTTTCTCACAGTTCTAGAGGCTACAAGTCAGAAAGCAAGCTGTTGGCAAGCCCACACTCCCTCTGAAGGGTCTAGGGAAGAATCTTTCCTTGCTTCTTCCTAGATTCTAAGGGTGGCTGGCAAACCTTGGCACTGCTTGGCTTGCAGCTACACCACTCCAATCTCTGCCTCCACCTTCACATGGCCTCTTTCCCTGTGTTTCTGTGTCTCTGTGTCCAAACTTCCCTCTTCTTATCAGACACTAACCATACTGGATTTAGGGCCTCCCTAATCCAGCGTGATTTCATCTTGACTAATTATTAGGTTGGTGCAAAAGTAATTGCGGTTTTTGCAATTACTTTCAATGGCAAAAACTGCAATTACTTTTGCACCCACCTAACAAATTTGCAAGACCTTATCTCCAAATAAGACCACTTTCTGGGGTTCTGTGTGGACATGAATTTTGGGGAGACACTACTCAACCCAGTACACTCACGGATAGAGGCAAAGATGAATGTAAAACATCAGGCCTGGCGCAGTGGTACACACCTGTAATACCAACACTTTGGGAGGCCAAGGTGGGAGAATCACTTCAGGCCAGGAGTTCAAGAGCAGCCTAGGCAACAAAATGAGACTCTGTCTCTGAGAAACAAAACGTAAATAAAAATAAATAAAAATCAAAACTGCAGGTATGAAATTACCTAAAACTAAAAGCTAAAATAAGCTTTAAATGAACCAGGAGGGAAAAGATGTAGGTGTGAGTATGAGGTGTGAAGAATTGTGAGCCTGGGGGTTTCTTACAAGCACCTTTAAGTCACTTTGTCTTGTACTTCCTGGTCTGGCTATGTCTAGAAGTCACACTTGCTATGAGACCCCCATGGGCCCCCTAAATCTCCCTGTGGAATAACGAATACTTCTTGACTTCATCTTTTTTTTTTTTTTTTGCCACTACTATTTCAGTATAACTTCTTGATTTCTCTCCAGCTTTACTCACAAGCCCATTTCCTTTCAACCATAAGTTCTGGAGACAATCATGGCAGGAAAAAGGCAAACCTTAATGAGGAACATACAAAGGCAAAACTGCAACAGCTTTTCCCCCAATTTGCTGTGCTTTCTGCACATTTTTTCCCCTTGCCTCTGCTATTTCCAGTTTTGAAAAGTGGGGAAGGTGCGGGAAGCAGCATTATCCTTTTTGAATCTGTGAGGTTGCTCTTTCCTGCCCCAGCTGTGCACTGCTGCTCACACAGCAGGGTCATAAAATCCCAGTGAGATAATGAGGGTGGGGCCCTCCCCTCGAGCGAGTGCAGGCAACAGTCTCTGCACTTCCAGAGCTGACCCTCAGTGCTGAAAGAGCTTGGTGGGCGCTGAGATTTCAGAGATGCCACTTGACAATCAAGTCGTTAAAGAGGCAGCAGGGTTTTCTTCAGAAGCATATGCTCCCATACCTAAACCTTCCCCTTGAACAACCTCAGAAAGGTTACAATTTTTCTCCACCAACTCTTATGGATAACAGCAGAACTCAGAACAAGGGCTGTCACAGTCGATGCCCCATCCAGAGATTCCCCCCAGCACAGGGTCCAGTGGGACCATGACCCTGACCCCAGGCTTTCTTCTGCAAGTATCTTTGACTCATGGTCTAAGAACTGTCTTTGGCTGCCTGGGGAGACTGTCCTGAAAGCACAGGGGAGGAAACCCTTTGGGAGCAACCCTCAAGCAATGAGTAACAGGAGGTGATGAAAAAGACCCCAACTTTCTTGCCCTTGGCAAGAGGAGAGACAACTCTGAGGTTTCTCTCTGCAGTCTCCCAGAGGTCCCCAGCAGGAATGAACCTGAGGGCCCACAGTGGGAACCTGCTCATTAACGTATCCTGTACTGTCTCACTTCCCCTCTTTCTTACCTGTGCCTCCTGGGGTCGCCTCTCAAATACACGATTTGCACTCAAATCTGTATCATCAGATCAGTTTCTGAGGGCATCCAACTTAAAACACATAGTTGCATTAATGTGTATTTTCCTGTTGGATGGTGAGCTCCCCACAGACAGCCAAAAACCATATTTCTCTGAGAACTCACACTGCCAAATGCTTTCTGTGAATTACCTCATCTTATCTGCATGACAACCCTAAGAGGCCACCACTATTATTATTATCCCCATTTTACAAATGAGAAAAATGAAGCTCAGAGAGCTTAAGTCACTTGCCCAAGGTCACACAGAAGAGCTGGGATTTGAACCAAGGTGGTCTCTCTCTGAAGTTCACACTCTTAATGACTGCATGTCAGATAGGGTATTCAATCATGGTGTGAAAGGAAGGAAGATGGTAGCAAGCAAACTTGACAAGCACTGGTACAGTGTTCATTATTGGATGCTAGAGATCAGCCAATTTCTCAAACATGTTTAAGACCCAGTGGAGACAGGGGCCATCAGAGTGTCCTTCCCCAGATTGTCATGTACCTTTTTTCTGTTCATTTATTGATTCCTCTTATGTCTAAGACACTGAATTAGGACCTGTGGAGGTCACAAATTAAAGCAAATTCGAGGAGCTTACAATCTACTAGAGGGTGTGGGAGAGGGACAAAGATAAGGTAGAAGTGCCTGGAAAGATAAATGACAAGACCAGAGCTTCCATCAGGCTCAACTGATTCATGGCCAAGTGCGTTGAGCAGAGAAGTGCCATGTTTTCAGAGAAGGTGGCCCCTGGGAACTGGAGTGGACAGCTGCCCTGGAAAAGTAAGGCTTAGAGAATGAGGGGAGTTTGCTGGCTAGGAGCAGAGCTGGGGAGGGAAAACGAAAGGGGAGAGGCACATGAGCAAAGCCATAAAGCCAGGACATACCAGGTGATTCTCTTCATCACTCTGCCTCCCCCACCTTTCCTCAGGTCAGAACAACTGGGGAGTCAAAGGGGGTGATTGAAAAAGATGTTTACCAGGAGGGAAACCATGGTTCAAGAGACAATAGCTGAGGATTGTAGATACATGGTAATTCACGACTACTTTTCAAGCCAAGACATGGATAAAGTATACAAACCACATACTGAACAAGTCACCTTTCTTGCAGGTCTAAGAGGGCTGATTGAGTAAGATGACGCATGTGACCGCTGTGGCTCCCCAGTCTGAAAACTTGGCACCAGAAGACACTGTGTAACTGCCAGTCTTACTGTTGTGCTTGGATCACACCACTTGGAACTCGGGAGTTTCACATACTTAGGGGGCTGAAGACATTTCCCTGAAGCCTTGGCAATTGAGACCTCATTTACAGCTCCTGTGCTGGGACAGGATTTCTTCTTTGCTTACCTTCACCCTTCACCCCAGTGAGGGCGTGGGCAGGAGAGATTGGCACACTGGATAAGAAAGAGAGAGAGCCCAGCCAAATACTCGGCACCATTTTGTAAGGAGCAATCAGGCGTGGAAAGCCTTGAAGATTCTGGGCTACCTCAGGCAGAATGTGCTCAAGAAGAACCTTACCCTTTTTGTTTTTAATTTATTTTCTCAAAAATTGAGATGGGCCAGACATGATGGCTCATGCCTATAATCCTGGCACTTTGAGAGGCTAAGATGGGAGGATGGCTTGAGCCCAGGAGTTCGAGACCAGACTGGGCAACATAGTGAGATGCTATCTCTACAAAAAAAAAAAATACAAAAATTAGATAGGTGTGGTGGCACATGCCTATAGTCCCAGCTACTTGGGAGGCTCAGGTGGGAGGATTGCTTGAGCCCAGGAGGTTGGAGCTGTGGTGAGCCAAGATCGCATGACCACATTCCAGCCTGGGCAACACAGTGAGACCCCATCTCAAAAAAAGAAGTGAAAAAAAATAGAGATGGAGTCTGTGTTGCCCAAGCTGATCTCGAACTCCTAGGCTGAAGTAGTCCATCCACCTCAGCCTCCCAAAGTGCTGGGATTAGAGGCATGAGCCACCGTGCCCACAGGTCTTGCTCTTGGTGGCTGTGTTCACAGCTAACAACCCCTCATATTCCTTCAGCATGCGCTAAATACACATACAATCTAAGTAAACACAATGTCTGTTCTTCACAGCCTACGCCAAGTCCCAAACAGATGGCTGCCCCAAGGCTCCTTTCAAATAGAAATTCCACAACCACCATTCTTACCAGCCTTACATTGGGCCACCTAGAGTTTTATAGCCAGGGCTATAGGAAGGCAAGTCCCAGGATGCAAGTCCCAAGAGGTTAAAAATAGTTTGCCATTTCTTCAGCAAGATACCAGGCATTGTTGAAGTGACATTATGTAACCAACAAGCTTATGTAAGGATCATGCCCCTGGCTTTCCCCACACCCTGCCCTAGACAAGGCAAATACAGGTGTATTGATGCCTATGGGGCAATCTTTGCCCATGGGGGCCTGGGAGCAAAGGATAAATGCTTCCCCATTTCCTCTCCCCCAACCCTAGGATGTTCCTGAGATGCATTTCATAAATCTTCTCAGAAGGTTCTGCGTAGGGGTGGCCAACGCAATAACTCATCATTTTATTGTGATGGGGTTCAGAACACACTACCCCAAAATATGGCACCTTGGCATTTGAGAAAACAGCAGAAGCTGGAAGGTCTCTCTGACCTTTTCTTGACCTTCTCCCCTGAAACAGACCGGAAAAGGATGTGCTTACATTCCCCTAAAGTAGGTCATAAGGACCAGGTGCAGTGGCTCACGCCTGTAATCCCAGCATTTTGGGAGGCCAAGACAGGAGGACTGCTTGAGGCCGTGAATTCAAGACCAGCCTGGGCAACATAGTGAGACCCTGACTCTGCAAAAAAATCAAAAAATTAGCCAAGCATGGTGGTGCACATCTATGGTCCCAGCTACTCCGGAGGCTAAGGTTGGAGGATTGTTTGAGCCCATACGGTCAAGGCTGCACATTGCAGCTTTGATGGTGCCACTCCACTCCAGCCTAGGCACCAAAGCAAAATCTCGTCTTAAAAAAAAAGTAGTTGATAGGTCATAAAACCCTCATTCAGGCCAGACGAGGCAGCTTGCACTATGGGAGGTCGAGGTGGGAGGATCACTTGAGCCCAGGAGTTCAAGACCAACCTGGGTAACATCGTGAGACCTCATCTCTATAAAAATGTTAAACAATTAGCTGAGCATGGTGGCAAGGTGGGAGGATCACTTGAGCCAGGAAGGCAGAGTTGCAGTGAGCACTGTACTCCAGCCTGGGCAACAGAGTGAGACTCTGTCACAAAATAAGTAAATAAATACCCTAATTTCAGAGGTGCCCTCCCTATGCCTGAAGGAAAGAAATGTCCTTATCCCTGAAGACACAGAGACACAGAGAAGAATTTGAACAAACGAATCTTGCTAAATTCCCCCCAGTTGATTACTATTAGGTCATATCCCCTTTGTCCAATCATACCTCTCAGTGACTGTCCACTCTTCATCAAACCTAAACATAAAAAAACACAAGCTTGACTGGGTGCAGTGGCTCACACTTGTAATCCCAGCACTTTGTAGGCCAAGGCGGGCAGATCTCCTGGGGTCAGGAGTTCAAGGCCAGCCTGGCCAACATGGTGAAACCTTGTCTCTACTAAAAATACAAAAATTAGCCAGGCGTGGTGGCGCTCGCCTGTAGCCCCAGCTACTCGGGAGGTTGAGCCAGGAGAATCGCTTGAACCTGGGAGGTAGAGGTTGCAGTGAGCTGAGATCGCGCCACTGCACTCCACCTGGGTGACAGAGCAACACTCCATCTCAAAAAAAAAAAAAAAAAAAAAAAAAAACCACACAAGCTTCCCTCTTTCGTGGTTCTTCATTTTTTTGTTTGTTTGTTTGTTTTGAGATGGAGTCTTGCTGTGTTGCCCAGGCTGGAGTGAAGTGGTGTGATCTCGGTTCACTGCAACCTCCACCTCCCAAGTTCAAACAATTCTCCTGCCTCAGCCTCCCGAGTAGCTGGGACAACAGGCAAGTGCCACCACGCCCAGCTAATTTTGTATTTTTAGTAGAGTCGGGGTTTCATCATGTTGGCCAGGCTGGTCTCAAACTCCTGACGTCAGGTGATCTGCCTGCCTCAGCCTCCCAAAGTGCTAGGATTATAGGCATGAGCCACCACGCTCAGCCGGTTCTTCATTTCTGAAGGCCGCATGCTACATCAAATATATTAAATAAGTTAATATGCTTATTTTTATTTGTTTATTTATTTGTTTGAGATGGAGTCTCGCTCTGTCGCCCAGGCTGTAGTGCAGTGGTGTGATCTCGGCTCACTGCAACCTCTGTCTCCAGGGTTCAAGTGATTCTCTTGCCTTAGCCTCCCAAGTAGCTGGGGCTACAGATGCTCACCACCATGCCCAGCTAATTTTTTTTGTATTTTTAGTAGAGATGGGGTTTCACTATGTTGGCCAGGGTGGTCTTGAACTCCTGACCTCAGGTGACCCACATGCTTCAGCCTCCCAAAGTGCTGGGATTACAGGCGTGAGCCACTGCACCTGGCCTGAATATGCTTCTTTCTTGTTAACTTGTCTTTTATTATAGGTGCCTCAGCTAAGGTACTTAGGAATCTCAAAAGATATCACTTGGCTTCTGAAAGTGACCCAGTAGGGCACAGTGGTGTGGGTCTCCTTAGATCCCGTCCTCTGTTGGTGCTGCACATGAACCTTTTCTCTTGTAACCAGTCAGACATTGACTCTGAGAAGTCCTCATGCAACCCATAGAAGGAGGAGGAGATGATCCCTCTATCTACAGTGGATAGGCATAACAGGTGAATTCTTTTCACTAAATCCCGTTTCACTTTGTTGATTCACTAGAACTCATCTTGTGGGAGGACCACTGACTCACCATGCAAAAATGGGAAGATAAGTTTCATTAGAAGTGGGATGTTTCACACGCTTCTTACATACACACATCAGGACTCAAAGTGGGGTGACGTGGTTTGGCTGATGTCTAAGTGCCCTCAACCCAACATCGAGATTTTAACCAAATATAGCAAGGAGTCTTCAATTTGAGAATCCAGCTCCCTCTTCCAAAGCAGATGATAGGTGAGAATAAGGGAGGGGGTTGGGAAAGTGGGAGAAAGATGGGATTCGAGTTAAAATAAACCCGAGAGGAAAGAGCAGAATTCTAAAGAGAAGGAAAGAACTCATCTACATCTTCTTCTGTTTGAGTACCAAGGTCTGACCGTAGTCGTTTTCAAAGCGACAGAAAACATCCAGAAAGATATGTGTCATGCATGGTAAAGGTTGAGTTTTATCTGGAGTGGGAAAATTAAGACTGCAAATAGTTAAAAAAAAAAAAACAAAAAAAGTAGTGTTTCAGTTTTCAGCACTCATCACAGATCAAAATTCACATTTTAAGCTCAAAACTAACTGTTTTATAAGTTATAAACTTATCATTTTGATATATTAAAAATGTGAACGCTGGAACAAAAAGTTATTTCTGAATTTTTCGAAAGTGTGTGGGGAAAAAAAAAAAAACCTCCTTTTCTCCATGTCCTTCTCTGGCAGCAGGGAGCTGTTGACATCTACCAAAGTCCTGAGTATCTACTTAGTTATACAACATCCTGAAGGCTAGCTAGAAGCATGAGCTGTGCAATCCCACTCCTAGGTACTTACTCAAGAGAAATGAAAAGCTACATTCACATGAAAACCTGCACAAATGTTTACCCACCTTTATTCAGCCCGCGCTGGGCACAACCCACATGTCCTTCACCTGAAGAATGGATAAACAAACAGTGGTACATCCATACAACGTAATATTTCTCTGCAACAAAAAGGAACAAAAGATGGATGTATGCAGATTTTGCTAAATGAAAGAAAATAGTCTCAAAGGGCTGTATGATTCCATTTGTATAACATTCTAGAAAAAGTAAACAGAAAACTGATCGCTGCGTATACAGGGGGCAGGGGCAAATAGAAGGAAGGGATCGAGGCTGGGTGCAGTGGCTCACACCTGTAATCCCAGCGCTTTGGGCAGTCGAGGCAGGAGGATCACGTGAGGTCAGGAGTTTGAGACCAGCCTGGCCAACATGGTGAAACCCTGTCTCTACCAAAAATACAAAAATTAGCCAGGTGTAGTGGTGCATGCCTGCAGTTCCACCTACTTGGGAGGCTGAGGCAGGAGAATCGCTTGAACCTGGGGAGACGGAGGTTGCAGTCAGTGAGCCAAGATTGCGCCACTGCATTCCAGCCTGGGTGACAGAGGGAGACTCCGTTTCCAAAAAAAAAAAAAAAAAAATTAGAAGGAAGGGATTGATTACAAAAGGACGCAAGGGAATTTTTGAGGGTGATGGAGCTGTTCTGTATCTTTATCATGGTGGTATTTCACTTGTCAATCCTCATAGAATTGTACACTGCCAAAACAAAGTGAATTTTACTTTATGTAGATTATACCTCAATTTAAATTATTTATTTCTTTATTTTTAAAGACAGAGGTCTCCTTATGTTGCCCAATCATGCCTCAGCCTCTAGAGTAGCTGGGACTATTGGCGCACGCCACTGCTCCCAGGTTATATACATCAAAAAAAAAAAAAAAAAAAAAGACATGGGCCTTGGGGTCACTAGCCTGTTACAGAACCTCAGCCCCACCATTTCCTTAGCTGTGTGACCTTGGACAAGTTCCTTAAGCTTTCTGGGCCTTGGTATCCTCATCTGTACATGGTGATGCAATAGTTCCTGGTTCACAGGTTAGGAGGATATAGTGAATGTGTATATGTAATGCAGTGTCCAACACCCATTCTGCATTAGATCTCACTATGACTAGCCAGCCAACAGTCACAGTATGAAGTCACTTCTCAGGTGGGCTTAAAAATCTGTCTGCCCTGTGCTCTATCCCCCACCTCCTTCCAAGTGGCCCTCTGCCCAGCCTGGATTCCTGGGAGGTACCACCCCAGGGCAGCTAGCTTCTTGGCATTTTATTAGACTACACGAAACATTGTTTGATTATAGGTTCTAATACTCTTTTTTCTTTAGTTTTAGGGGGCAAGTGTGTGTGTCATATTGCCTAGCTAACACTTTCTCTTGAAAACTTTCTGTCCAACTTAACTGTTTTAAAGATCCCAAGCAGACTTTTTCATAGTTAGGAAGTTATGTGAAATGTCCCATTCATTATATTAAGTAACAAGATGAACACTTCCTGATATATTTTCATTGGTTAGGATGAAGTTCGGGGCACTAACCACATGTGCACTGTGGGCAGGATTTGACAGGGACAATCATGCTGTTAGAGTTTATGGAGCACCCTGTCTGTGCCAGGAGTGCTGGACCTCTAGGCAGTCACATAGCTCCTTCCCAGCTTCTGAACCTGAGTATACATGCTGTCAATATGCAGATACCCCACCTGTTGGGGTCTCTGTTTCTCCACTGTGGTTTTTTTTTAGATGGACTCTTGCTCTGTTGCCAGACTGGAGGAAGTGGTGCGATCTTGGCTCACCGCAACCTCTGCCTCCCAGGTTCAAGCAATTCTCCTGCTTCAGCCTCCCGAGTAGCTGGGATTACAGGCGCCCACCACCATGCCTGGCTCATTTTTGTACTTTTAGTAGAGACAGGGTTTCGCCAAGTTGGCCAGGATGGTCTCAACTCGGCCTCCCAAAGTGCTTGAATTATAGGTGTGAGCCACCGAGCCTGGCTTACTTTTGTTTTTTTGGAATTTTTATATTTTTAGTAGAGACAAGGTTTCACCATGTTGGCCAGGCTATTCTCAAACTACTGACCTCAAGTGATCCACCCACCTCGGCTTCCCAAAGTGCTGGGATTACAGGCATGAGCCACCGCACCCGGCCTCTCCACTGTGATTTTAAAGGCCCATTCTGGACCCATTCCAGGGCTCTATGACTTGGAAATTGCATTGTAATCAGTGGTGGCTAGAAGATAGTTCTATGGGAACTGATAATGGTGGCGACAGTGGTGGTGAAGATGAGGATGCTTCCAACCTGGAGAAGAGGAAGAAGTTAAAGTGGGGCAGGCATGATGGCTCATGCCACAATCCCAGCACTTTGGGAGGCCGAGGTGGAAGAATCACTTGAGCCCAGGAGTTAAAGACCAGCCTGGGCAACAGAGCAAGGCCCGTTTCTATAATTGTTATTAATTGAAAAAAAAAAAGAAGTTAAAGGAGTGTTTTTAATGGAAGTAGCTAATTTACAAGTTTCCATTCCTTTTGCTGCTTTGAGACTACTTGTGAAGGACTAGAAAGATACACGGCCCCTCGAATGCGGTAGGAGAATGGGGAGAGAGCACAGGAGGGCTTCAACTGATATTTTTAAGGTTTTATTCCTTAAAACATTTGTAAGTCAATTCAATAAAGCCAAAAGTTAAATAGGGGTGTTCGGAGTCCATACCTATGAGTTATAATGCACTCTGCACTTTTTCACGTTTGAAATATTTCTCAATCATTTTTTTAAGAGACACCATCCCTTCTTAAGTAGTCATGAAAACTGTGGTACAGGGCATTTTTCATCACAGAAAGGGTATTTCTGTGTCTAGCTGAGCAATCAATTATTCCTTGGATATAACACCCCACTGATTCGTTCTCCCTCTCCCCTCTGAATGTTGCACAGGATCCTGCCTATACCGATGATTGGATGAACGAGTGAACTGGCGGGTACTTAAGTTCCTTTATTCTCTTACTTTTTGATTTTTTTAATTTTTGAGAAGGATTCTTGCTCTGTTGCCCAGGCTGCAGTGCAGTGGCACAATCTCGGCTCACTGCAACCTCTGCCTTCCGGGTTCAAGCAATTCTCCTGCCTCAGCCTCCCTAGTAGCTGGGATTACAGGCATGGACCATCACACCCAGCTAATTTTTGTATTTTTAGTAGAGACAAGGTTTTGCCATGTTGGCCAGACTGGTCTCAAACTCCTGACCTCCGGTGATCAGCCTGCCTCGGCCTCCCAAAGTGCTGGGATTACAGGCGTGAGCCACCACATGCGGCCTTAAGTTCCTTTAAACCCTTCATACTAGCAGGTCAGCTCCTCCTCCATACTCCTCGCTGGACCCCGGGCTGACAACCTGCTGATGGAGCAGCTTTGAGCAAGCTTTGCTCAAGGGCAGCTCCCGAGAGAACTCGGGTGCCCTGGCTGGGCCAGGGAATAAAAAGGACTGTGCGTTTCAAAGGAAGGGGCGAGGGGAGGGGTGAATCAGCCTCGCCTCAAAGGCTAAAAATAATCTGGCTTTGTAGACTCTTCCTCCAACTACTCAGGGCCCGGAAAACGGGAGGGGGGGAGAAAAGGGTGGGATCTTTGCATCAGTCCTAACTATTAAGCGTGTGTTTGTCAGAAAAGAGTTAAAAGGGAACCTTCATCCTTGTCTGTCTTCCAAGTCTACTTCTTATAACTTGAACTCATCACTCATCTCGTTTGTAATAAACGCAATTAGAAGGAGCCAGGTGGGTTCCCGCTGTTGCCTTGTCCCACTGTTGTCTCTTGTCTCACAGTTTAGAGAAAAGCCCAGACAGGCACCGAATGCAAGTCAGCCTCCCTGGAGCCTGTATCCCCACATGTACCTGAGCCTGGACATGTGGCCTATATGGGTACAGAATCCTATCTCTTTTCAGGTTGTTTGGGCTGATCCCCTACATACATTCATAACAAAGGAGACAATGAGCAGGAGATGCTTGTACCCTCCTTGAGCAAATCCAAGTGGCGTTCCAGCCTTCCTGTTGTCAGATGCAAGCTTCCTGTGTGTGCCAGGGATGGAGTTTTCTCTTTACTCCTGGTCTGCAAATTCTCTCAGCAAGACAAGGACTCCTTGCTGCCCAGCATGCTTCTCTACCCTGCCTGAACCTGGGTGTTTGTAAACCTGTCAGAAATTCCAGAGGGCTGACTTCCTTTATAAACCAGGTTAGAGACAGTCCAGGAAACCTACTTACTGGCCAGCACCTGGGGATGTCGGAGCTACAGCCTCCTAATGGGCTCCTGGACTGGGCAATTTTCCCTGAGGCAGTAAGCAACATGGGCGGTTCTGCTCCTTTTCATCTGCTGAGTAAAACCTTTTCCCGGCAAACTAGGTCTTCTTAAGTGCAATGACTTGTGTGTGGAACTGCACACCATGACTGGCTCCAGCCTAGCCACCCTCCAACACAGAAGTCTCACGCAGTGGGACACAAGGCTGCCACATAGACACTTCCCTTTTCTTGGTGACTATGCCACCTCCGTTGGTTGGAAAGGTATATCAAGGAGTCCAGCTTCCTTAACCCAGGTGTTATTGCTACATATTTGCCAGGATTTTATGTGCTGCAGAAACACTTCAAGTTTTCCATAGGATCGTTCCGAGTCAGGATGGTTCTGAGCATCTTCCAAATGAGGTGAGAAGGCAGTAAACTCCCTGGATGTGGACTTGAAAAACCATCAGATTCCACCCCCCTAAATCCCAAAATACACTTCTTTGTTCTTTGAATTACTTACAAAAAAGAATATGAACAGCTGACATCTCCTCAAGACTTGCTTTCTACCAGGCTCTACCTGTGCTAAGCTTTTAAGTAGATCACCTCCTTCAGTCCCCACATTTACAGGAGTTTGGGGTTGGGGGTGGGGGGCTGAGGTTTTAACAGAGTCATGAAAGGTTCCACTGTCATGCAACCCATAAAAGGGATTCAAACTCAGATCTGTCTAGCTCTACATCCAGAGCTGGTAACCATGATGTCCAGAAGTGCTCTGTTGAGATGCAAGTGGTCTAGTGTGGAAAGTGTACAAGGACAAACCTTGGAAAACTTGTGTTTGAATCTCTAGATCAGATTCTAATTTTCTTTCTTTTCTTTTCTTTTTTTTTTTTTTTAGAGATGGATTCTTGCTCTGTCACCCAGGCTGGAATGCAGTGGCTCCATCATAGCTCACTGCATCCTTAAGTTCCTGGCCTCAACTCATCCTCTTGCCTCAGCCTTCCAAGTGCTGGGATTACAGGTATGAGCCTACATCCTAATTTTCTATGTGACTGTGAGGACTAGCACCATCTCTCTGGATGTCAGATCCGAGGAAAATAAATAATGGTATTAGGTCAGCCTGTTTCTCAAAAGTGCTTGCTTGTGTTTTACCGCTAATCTCTAAAGGAAATGGAAAGGAGATAAGCAAACAACATACAAGAGGAAGCGACCAGGATTCTTCAGCCTTGCCAGTCTTCTTAGAAAGGATCACAGGAGGGTGGGGCCCTCTTTCTAGATGGTTTCTGGAGACCAATCCCCTCCCACCTGCCTTCTCCGGGTGGTCTAAAACCTTCCCACTATCATTAGACAAAGGAGTCCTAAAAAACAACCACCTCGAAATGGGCCAATGTAGGTGTCCAGGTCTCAAGGGCTTCATTTACATCTCGAGGGAAATAAGCTGACCCCCTTTCCAGTTACTGAAGCCATTAAACTCAGAAAGGGCTCTCCCCAAAAGCAAGCAAGAGAGATGTCTGAGGCAGAGCCTGAAAAGGCCCCATAACGGGCATCAAAATTATTTGAAGTTCGATCTATATCTTTTAAAATATAGACAAAGGGCTGGGTGCGGTGGCTCACGCCTGTAATCCCAGCACTTTGGGAGGCCGAGGTGGGCAGATCACGAGGTCAAGAGATGGAGACCATCCTGGCCAACATGGTGAAACCCCATCTCTACTAAAAATACAAAAATTAGCCAGGCATTGTGGCAGGCACCTGTAGTCCCAGCTACTCGGGAGGCTGAAGCAGGAGAATCTTTTGAACCTGGGAGGTGGAGGTTGCAGTGAGCCAAGATCTCAATGAGAGGTGAAGCCAGATGGACTTCCTGGGTCAAGTGGGTACTTGAAGAACTTTTCTGTCTTAGCAAGGGGATTGTAAAATGCACCAGTCAGCGCTCTGTAAAAACACACCGATCAGCGCTCTGTAGCTAGCAAGAGCATTGTGAAATGCGCCAATCAGCGCTCAGTAAAATGCACCAATCAGCGCTCTGTAAAATGCACCCATCAGCAGGATCCTAAAAGTAGCCAATTGCAGGGAGGATTGAAAAAAAGGACACTCTAGTAGGACAGAAAGGGAATACCGGAAGGGCCAATAAGAGAATAAAAGCTGGCCACTCCAGCCAGCATCGGCAACCCGCTGTGTTCCTTTTCTACGCTGTGGAAGCTTTGTTCTTTCGCTCTTCACAATAAATCTTGCTGCTGCTCACTCTTTGGGTCCGTGCCACCTTTAAGAGCTATAACATGGCCGGGCGCCGTGGCTCACGCCTGTAATCCCAGCACTTTGGGAGGCCGAGGCAGGCGGATCATGAGGTCAGGAGCTTGAGACCATCCTGGCTAACACGGTGAAACCCCGTCTCTACTAAAAACACATAAAAAAATTAGCTGGGCTTGGTGGCGGGCGCCTATAGTCCCAGCTACTCGGGAGGCTGAGGCAGGAGAATGGCGTGAACCCAGGAGGCGGAGCTTGCAGTGAGCCGAGATGGCGCCACTGCACTCCAGCCTGGGCGACAGAGCCAGACTCTGTCTCAAAAAAAAAAAAAAAAAAAAAAAAAAAGAGCTATAACACTCACCGTGAAGGTCCGTGGCTTCATTCTTGAAGTCAGCAAGACCACAAACCCAACGGCAGGAACAAACTCCAGACACAGCACCACTGCACTCCAACCTGGTGACAGAGCGAGATGCCATACTGTTATTCCTCCCACCTCATAGATAGGGAAACTATTCTCCACTTCATTGCTGCCTTTCCTTTAATGACACCCAGGGATGTACTACAATTGGCCTGTGGCTTCTCCCACCTCGGACATTATGGATGTGTGCCTTCCCTTCACGAAGACTGTATGAGAATCTTTATTATTATCATTTTCAAACTATAAAGTATATAATAAACATTATGGTAAGCATAATTCCCTCCAAGCTTCACCCTTCTGCAAGGCTGAGAAGCCCCTTCTACTCCTCTGAGAATCCCTGAAACATGAAGTTGCTTTGGGTGTTGCATTATTTCAGGTAAAGACCCAGTTTAATGTGGTGATAAGCAGCTTGAACTCAAAGCATGGGCTCAGGAGTTACAAATTCCCACTCAGCACCTCCCCCTTGTGTGATTTTCAGCTACTCATATATCCTCTTAGCCTCAGTTACTTACCTGTAAAACGGGGGTAATAATAGGACTTATCCATAGGGATGTTGGGAAGATTAAATGAGCTAATGCATATATAATGCCTGTCACAGAGTAAGTGATCAAAAAATGTCAGCTACTTTTCTTATTAAAGAGACTTTGGATGGAGGTTGATTTAAGCAAGACCTTTTAGGTAACAATGGCTAAAACCATACTTCCAAGGATGGGAAAATTATTGCCATTGATTTCAAATTATCTTCAGATGTCAGACCAGGCATATTGACATTTGGCTGAAAATGTGATATCTAAAACAATGTCTTAGATTCTGAGCATGGGAGGGGGTATGGGGTAAAGCCTACTGACTCATGTAACCCAACTGAGTGCCTTTATGAACCTGACATCCATTTACAGGGAAGAGTGAATCCAAGAGATGCTATAGGGTGATCCCTCTGAGACCACAGCAGAACTGAGCCCTGTGGGCTGCAGATGTAATGAGATCACTGTTGCCCTGCCCCAGGGGACAGCCCTACTCACTCTCAACCCCCACTGAGCTCACAGTACCAGCTCTCACCCTGCTACCACCTCCCCTCCAGCTCACATGTTCTCATCTCTTTGTTGCACTGAGAACTCATAGAGACTGGGCCATGAGGCCTCATTCATGTCTGTACATCCACACCTGGAACACACAGTACATGTTCTGTAAACCCTTACAGAACTCATTCACGGGAAGCTATTAAATGCTCTCCTTTCTTCTCCAGGGTTGATCTATGTAATCAGTGCTAGTACTATGGCCTATGTGTTTGGGTCAAAACGAACGCCGGCCAGCCTTTAAATTCTTGCTTTCCCAGATTTGATCTGACAAAGATGCTTTGTTTGACCAAACTTTAGTCAGGCTCCTGAATCTTCTCCTACATTTATCTGTACACTTCCTTGTAAAGACAAGTTTAGCAAGAACCCGGCTAAATTGGTTTAGCCAGAATCCCCCACCCTCCATATCTGATCCCTCTCCATATCTGATTGGGTTCCTCATCCTCCACCATCCCCAGGTGATGTGTGATCACCCTGCCCTGTCTTCAGCAAAAATCCTGTTAAGCTAGAGTCTCCCTTATCCCACCCGCCAACCCCCACCCTGCTCCTGGCTATAAATTCCCACTTGCCCACACTGTATTCAGAAGTGAATCCAGGTCTACACTGTGATCTCTTTTCCCCTAGTGAGATAGTCATAAACAGAAACCTGTTTTTACCACTTCAATTACTGTCTAGCTCTGGTTTTACCTTGTCAGTACATATGGCTGCCCTTCATTTAAGAGTCACCTCAAAAAGACCACTCAGTCACAGTCTTTAAATTCTTTATATTTTAATTGTGTAAGTACCTTGCCTCTCTGGTATCTTGTTCCCAAACATTTCTTCAGCTGGACCACTTAAGCCAATGAAAGAGCGAATCTATTTAACATTGATTCCATTAGCTTTGGTTTCCTGAACTCCTTTCCAAATTGGGGAGATGATGGGAAAAGGAGCACCTCTCCATAGCCTTCTCGGACCTGCCACAGGAGAGGCAGGGGAGCTGTGGTTGTTCTCCCACACTCTCATTTGAGTGTGACCTTGTCTCCCCACCCCAATCCTACACATGAAGATAGCAGAGAAGTAACATACCTGTATAAACTTAATAAGAGCGTCTCTCAATGGACCTAGTGGAGCCTGTATCCCCTACCCATAAATAGATTAGTCTTGCATCCTGGCAAGAACCCTGGATTTATAATCATGGGCCCTGCCTCTTGTTGTGACATTTCAGATAATCACTTAGCCTCCTTAGACCTCAATTCTTCATTTTTAAAAGCAGGATTAGCCTAAAATATTTTAATGTTCTCTGTAACACTAAAGACTGGAAAGCACTATACAAACATGAAGAATGACTGGTCTCCCTGGAAAATGCCTTCCTTTCCCCACAGCACAAGCTGGTAGAAAGTTTCTGAGAGCAAAAGTCCCTAGGGAAACAGAAAAGGCCAGCAGATCACAGATCACATTCAAAACAGAAGAGGCTGCAAACCTCCCCAGTCATGTCTTATTTGTGCAGAGTATCTCCTGAAACCTTGGTGGAGACATGAGAATCTCCTGAAGTTACCTTCTCAATGGAAGAATCTAAGCATCAATTGTCCTTAAGTCATATCAATGAAAATCTTAGGCCTGAACTGGAAGCTCCTAATATAGTAACCGATGTAGTAACTGGCCCTTTTAGAGGGCAGAATATGTCAAGAATTGACTACAGAACTAATAGTGCAACCTCTGCTCTATCGTCCAAAGCTATTTTGGGTCTTAAGCCATAAGTGCAATTAAAAAAAATCAATGCTTTCAACAACTGAAAGTCAATTGAGTTACTTAAGCTTTCCCCCAACATATATGGCCATTGACTCTCCAGGAGTCTGACTACAGCATTTGGGCCTTGTGCAGACACCAAACTACTTAGCTAGCAGATAAAGATATAGGGAGCTCTAATCATCCAATCAAGAAACTATTAAAGTATGGGTCATAAATCTTCACTTCTGTCACAGTTCACCAAGGACAAAGTCTGATAACCTTTCGTCCTCACTGAGAGGCAGCTTTATGGAGCTGGAATGACTGAGGGTCCTGTTTTGCCTTGTCTTAGCTGTAGCCTAAGGTGTGGTGCATAAGCATCATCAGAGAACTTTTGTTTCCATAACTGAAAGGGAGTCTTCTTTCCCCAAAGGTACCCAGGAGGTTTTTGCCAGTGTAGCCCCTCAGCCTTAATCCTGAGTGTCTTCCACCTCCAGGAACACTGCCTGTGACCATGAGCAGGCTCCCGAGGACTCCTTGAGTCCTGCCCCTCACTCACAGAGCTGTGAGTGTCAGAGGATGGAGGAGCAGTGTCTACCCCTGGACCTGAGCTCACTGAGGGTCTGTCCTGTGGCCAGAGTACCCTGGGGGTAAACTGACAGGGGCAGGGTGCTCCAGGCACCTTGGGCCCCATCCCAGCACCACTAGCACTGAGATCAATAGCTCAGCATACATTCATTACGCATTCCAACATACCAGTTGGGAAGCTCTGCTGGAGACCCTCTGCCCTCTAAGCCACGGTCATGGTTTCCTCATCTGCAAAATGGGAGAATAATACCAACACCACTGGGTGATTGACTCCATGAGATAATTATGGCAGCCAAGTGCCCAATACAGTGCCTGACACACAGCAGGTACTCACCTATGGTGGTGCATTTCCCTAGCCTCTCCCTCCACTCTAAAGTCCAACTGCTGAAGTCCCTAAGAAACACCTGATATTCCAGTTCCAGAGTGCTATGATCTATCAATATCCAACCCTTGAAAGAGAACTGTAATGAATAGTTCAGTTCAGCTTTTCCTTTGTTAAGGAAAACCATCCAAGTTGAAAGTAAAGCAAAAAGATTACTGCATGCCTTTCCAATGTCATACAAGAGCATTTTCTAACAAGCCCACCTACAGGTTATCTGACATTCTGTAACACAGGTTCTCAAAGTATGGTGCCTGGACCAGAAGCATCAACACTGTTATAAACACAAATTCTTAAGCACCACTCCAGACCTATTAAATCAGAAACTCTGGGATTTCTGTAATTAACAAGCTGTCCAGGATTGGTGTACTGGTCTAAGGAAACATGACTTTCCTCTGTTCTAAGTAAACATAATTTTGTGCTTACAAAAGTGCCTGACACAAAGTAAATGCTACATAAGTACTGGCTGTCATAAATTAGCCTATGTAAATGTAAAATCGTGATGGTATATACATTGGAGCAAAAGGCATGGGCAGAGGACTAAAGATCTCTGAGTGGAAGCCTCAGGGCTGACCCAAAACTGTCACAAACAAGCAGGCAAAAATCAGAGAGGCACAGACTAATGTGGTTGTCTGTAGTTAATGAGCAAGGGGAAATCAGAGGCAGGGTATGGATGAGACAGACACAGCTGGAATGAAGTCTTTTTTTTTTTAGACAGGGTGTCACTCTATCACCCAGGCTGGAGTGCAGTGGTACAACCCTAGTTCACTGGAACCTTCACCTGCTGGGCTGAAGTGATCCTCCTGCCTCAGCATCCCCAGTAGCTAAAACTATAGGCACGCACACATCTGGCTAATTTAATTTTTTGTAGAGATGGGGTCTTGCTATGTTGCCCAGGCTGGTCTTGAACTTCTGGCCTCAAGCAGTCCTCCTGCCTCGGCCTCCCAAAGTGTTAAGATTACTGGCATGAGCCACCGTGCCCAGCCAGATGAAGTCTTAAGATCATACCTGGGAAGTCTTCAAGCTTTCTGGAGCAAGTTTGACCTTTTAGCTGAGAAGATGTTGGTCTCTGCTGGCTGACACTTCCAAGTCTGAAAGGTGTCAGGCCTACCTGTCTGTGCTTGTCTCCCCTGTTGCTGGCTGTGTTCCATTTCTCACAGCTCTCCAATAGCCTCGGGATGGTGCCACTGTTATCTCTGGGGGCATGAAGCAGGCAGCATAGAGCAGATGAAGTTTAATCCTGGAGCCCACTTGTATTAGTTTGTTTGGACAGCCATAGGAAAATAACATGGACCAGGTGGCTTATAAACACCTGAAATTTATTTCTCACAGTTCTGGAGGCCAGGAAGTCCAGGATCAAGGTACCAGAAGATTCTGGTGAGGGTCCATTTCCTGTTCTCTCTGCATCCTCACATGGTAGAAGGGGTAAGCCTAGCCCTCTGGGGTCTCTTTATAAGGGCACTAATCCCATTCATGAGGATTCCACTCTCATGACCTGATCATCTCCCAGAGGCCTCACCTCCTAACCATTAACATGGGGATTAGGATTTCAACATATAAATGTTGGGGTTGGGGGACAAAGACATTCAGGCCATGGAACCACCCACCATCCTGCTCAGGTAACTTCCTGGCTCTCACAGCTTCACAGGGTTGAGGTCAGTTCCTTCTAAGGTCTGGGGCCAGAGCCCTAAGAGCCAAGTTTTCAGTGGGGGCACTGTTAACTGATGTAAGAGATGGCTGGTTATAATGATCATCCTGGACAATACAAACATGAGGCTCATGGTCATACATACACCACGTACTAGCAAAAATCTGGTTCCTTCTCAAGTGGGTTGATCCACTTACAAATGGCTGCATAAACAACAAAAACTGGATTCGGGTATTTTTTTTCTTTTTTAGTTATTATTATTTTTTATTTTTTAGAGACAGGGTCTCACTATGTAGCCCAGGCTGGTCTCGAGGTCCTGACCTCAGGCAATCCTCCTGCCTTGGCCTCCCAAAGTGCTCAGATTATAGGCATGAGCCATTGTGCCCAGTCCTGGCTTTGGTTATAAAATTAATTTTATAAATACTGGAATTCCAGCCAAGCACGGTGGCTCACACCTATAATCCCAGCACTATGGGAGGCTGAGGCGGGTGGATCACTTGAGGCCAGGAGCTCAAGACCAGCTGGCCAACATAGCAAAACCCCATCTCTACTAAAAATACAAAAATTAGCCAGTCATGGTGACACACACCTGTAATCCTAGCTACTCAATAGTCTGAGGCACAAGGATTGCTTGAACATGGGAGGCGGAAGTTGCAATGAGCCGAGATTGCATCACTGCACTCTGGCCAGGGTGACAGAGTGAGACTTGGTCTCAAAAAATAAATAAATAAATAAAGACTGGAATTCCATTTGAAACATAAGTTTGAAGAGAAATCATGTTGATAAGAGAGTCCCTTTCTTAAATGCTTGAAAGTTCTGTATTCCTTATATTTCAAATCATTGCCAATTAATGCAGTAATGACAGTGGGGTTGTTTTAAAGTGATTTAACTGTTTTGTAATCACTGAAAATAATTTTTAAGTTAAATTTTTTTTTTTCAAAGCATGGACTATTCCAAGCTGTTGAGAAAGGGGAGGAAGGAAGGGCAGAGGGGAGTACATCAGCAAATTGAGACTTGCCCGCCACTATTGCTGGGTATATTCTGCTACATACAGCTGCCATAAGGGGCAACTAAGGAATAATTGCAAAGCTTGGTGGGTTGAGGAATGTCTGTACAAAGCATGCATTATAAGGCAGGGCATGGTGGCTCATGCCTGTAATCCCAGCACTTTGGGAGGCCGAGGCAGGCGGATCACTTGAGGTCATGAGTTTGAGATCAGCCTGGCCAACATGGTGAAACCCCATCTCTACTAAAAATACAAAAAATTAGCCAGATGTGGTGGTGCATACCTGTATTCACAGCTGCTTGGGAGGCTGACGCAGGAGAATCACTTGAACCCGGGAAGCAGAGGTTGCACTGAGCCGAGATCGAGCCATTGCACCCCAGCCTGGGCAACAGAGCAAGACTTCATCTCAAAAAAAACCCAACCAAACAAGCAAACCCAAACAAAAAAACATGCATGAGAGAGAGAGAGAGCGGGGAGGGGGGGGGGGGAGGAAATGGTAGAGATACTAATTATAGGTAGTCCTGCTTGGCTTAGAGATATAGGTATATGTAAACATGTGTAGTAATATTTCACAGTATTTCACAGTTTTCCAAATGCTTTTGCATAACATTCAAGGGATACTTAGTGAGCTTTTACTATATGTAAGGTATTAGGTCTACAAGGAGGACTTAGAGGCCCCTGCCCTCAAGCAGTGCACTTTCTAGTTGCACTAGAAACATCCAAATGAATTTTTTGCTGTGGTCAGTATGATAACCTGTTGTAGATATATGTATAGCGAAGTTAAGATTGGAATCTCAGTGTATTTATTCATTTATTTTTTTACAGTTCCGCATTGATCAGCCCAATGAAATTTCAGTTTAATTTACCCTTTATAAAGAGGATAATTAGGGAAGTAACTGGGAACACCAAGTCTGGAATCAAACTGCCTAGATCCAAATTTCAGCTATATTGCTTACTAGTTGTGTGATCCTGAACAAATAATTTAACTTCTCTGTGCCTCCGTCTGTAAAACAGGGATAGTAATGGTACCCATCTCAGAGGGGCAATTGTAAGGATTAAATGAGTTAAGAATGTATGTAAGGCACTTTGAAGAGATCTTGGCACAGAGTAAGCACTACATGGATTTCCTATTCTATTTTTATTTATTTAGAGATCTACTTGAGAGGATATTTCATTCATCCCTAGTGGATGGAAAAACAACATTGCAAGAAAATGGAAACAGGGAGGAAGCAGGTTTGTATGGTTATTTGGTCAATTTGCTGCCCTAGAAAAATACACTGGCATCCTAATGGATGCTAGGGCGTGATTTCTAGATAAGTCAACAGAAATTGCTCTTAGCTAGCACTATTCCTGAGCTTATGCTCTGGCATAGTGCCCACACCTTTACCCCTCTGTGATCTGATGCCCCAGGGAGCAGAAGATGAATGCCATTATCCAAGCCAACCAAGCCAGTTAGGATCCATACTAGTGGGGGATAGAACACACACAAAAAAACAACCTGATGGGAGAGGCCTGCAAATAGAACTTTTAACCCTGACAGACATCCACGATAAGTGAGTTCCATGGCTGGAAGCCATCACTCCATCTGTCTGACAAGTCATTCAAAAAAGTTCACCATCTTCAGGTCTTTAAAGATGAATGCTTATCAGGCCAAATGGCCGGAGCCGTGTGTTGAAGCCCAGAGTCCCTGACTTCCCTTCTCCACTCCGATGCCCCTTCTAAAAAGTCATCTAAGGAAGTCACTTAACCACTCAGTTTCCGTATCCACACAAAGAAGAAAGCATTCGGTGCCCTTTGTTCCTCCTTATCACCCTAGAGAGTTTACAGTGTCTGTGTAACTAGTGCTCTGAAGATGCAAAGAATCCTAACTAAAGTGTCCAATATTGCAGAGACCACCAAAATGCCTGGTTAATTTACTTTGGAATCATTGATGTTTCAGGAATTTGAATAAATGAGTGATGTGGAGGTAGGTGTTAGGTCTGGTCTCTGGGAATCTGGCAGTGTAAGGAGAGAAAATCCTGAATACATCCTTCCTAAAAGACACTTTCTCAAGTATTAATGCTATCTTCTTGTTCATGGGCCTATACATACATATTCTGGCTCACTCATGTATTAAAGTAATTTCTTTCATTTACTCTGCCCATTGTGCACAGTAAATATGAAGTGATGCTGTTGCTGAAAGTAGTGCTTTTTGGAAACTGCCTCAGTATAAAACAAGTCTTCCAAGTTTTGAAGCCACAGGGTGTAGTAAGGAGCACACAACCAGGCCTTCTTTACCACTCCAAGTAGAGGGTCTGAGCAAGAATGGGAAGATTGGAAGTAATAGTAGAAAGATAAAGCAAAAAAAAAAAAAAATTGAAGGCTGGGCACAGTGGCTCACACCTATAATCCTGACATTTTGGGAAGCCAAGGCGAAAGGATCACTTGAGCCCAGGAGTTCAATACCACCCTGAGAAATATAGTGGGAATCCATCTCTACAAAAAAATAAATAAATAAAATTAAAAAATTATCCAGGCATGGTGGCATGCACCTGTAGTCCCAACTACTCAGAAGGCCGAGGTGGAAGGATCACTTGAGCCTAGGAAGTCGAGGCTGTAGAGCAATGGCACAACCACAGTTCACTGCGCCACTGCACTATAGCATGGGCCACAGAGCAAGAACTTGTCTTAAAAAAAGAGAATTGAGGCCGGGCGCGGTGGCTTACGCCTGTAATCTCAGCACTTTGGGAGGCCGAGGTGGGCAGATCACGAGGTCAGGAGATCGAGACCATCCTGGCTAACATGGTGAAACCCTGTCTCTCCTAAAAATACAAAAAATTAGCCGGGCGTGGTGGCGGGCACCTGGAGTCCCAGCTACTCAGGAGGCTGAGGCAGGAGAATGGCATGAACCCGGGAGGCAGAACTTGCAGTGAGCCGAGATCGTGCCACTGCACTCCAGCCTGGATGACAGAGCAAGACTGTCTCAAAGGAAGGAAGGAAAGAAGGAAGGAAGGAAGGAAGGAAGGAAGGAAGGAAGGAAGGAAGGAAGGAAGGAAGAAAATTGAAATGGGATCATCTTAGTGGTCTACTTTTGGGGTTTATCTATGTACTTCCTGTTTGATCAAACAATGCTGAGGTTGACAGTGCTTCTGATATTATCGTGCAGCAGAGTAATACAGATTTCTGGGCCCACCCTAGTAATTTTCGGTGTCTATATGTGCAGGCATCCTGAGGATACAAGATGTACATCTGAATTGTTTGTCCTGCCACAAACAATTCAGTGGTTTCCCACAGCTCTTAGAATACGGACCAAATAAGTCCAGGCTAATGATTCTTAACCCTGGATGCTTTACCTCAGGAACTTTAAAAAACTACCCATATCTGGCCTGGCACAGTGACTCACACCTGTAATCCCAGCACTTTGGGAGGCTGAGGCAGGCAGATCACCTGAGGTCAGGAGTTCAAGACCAGCCTGACCAACATGGAGAAACCCCATCTCTACTAAAAATATAAAATTAACTGGGCGTGGTGGCACATGCCTGTAATCCCAGCTACTTGGGAGGCTGAGGCAGGAGAATCGCTTGAACCCGGGAGGTGGAGGTTGCAGAGAGGTGGCAGTGAGCCGAGATCACACCACTGCACTCTAGCCTGGGAGATAGAGTGAGACTCTGTCTCAAAACACAACAAAACAAAAAAACTACCCATATCTCTCCCCCTCTCTCCCAGTTGAATCGGAATCTTTGTGGGTGGGGCCTAGGGGCTAAATGTTGCAAAAGCCTCATGGTCTGGCACGTCTTGCCTCTCCAGTCTCAGCTCCACCGCCCACCCCTCCCTTGCTCTGCTCGCCCTAACTGGCTAAGTCCTGGTACCAGACACAGTCCAGGGCTTTTGCACAGGCTGTTCTCCTCATTGGCTTACACATCCATACCCTGACCTCTCAGACTATATCAAATTACACACTCTCCTAGCACCAGACGCTTGCCTCCTTAGCACATTTTGTAGTTGCATTGTGTGATCCTTGGATTAATGTCAGCCTCCTCACTGGGCTGTGAAGTTTTTTGCAATTAGAGGCTGGTTGGTTTCTGCGCACTGTTGTGTCTTCCCCAGCGCCAATGCAGGGCCTGACAAATAAGAAGTGCTCATTACTTATAACAAATATGGGAAACAAATGGCAGGATGGAAAATCCCAATATTCTCTGTCACAGATTTTAAGAGATTAAAAAAAAAATCTATTTTTTAAAAGTCATGTAAATCTAAGGAAGTATTGTCACAAAACATTGGACCCCATTTAATCTTAGCTACAGTTCCCCTAGCCAAGCTTCAAAGACAAGCATCATTTGGAAAATAAAATTACAGAACTAATATAACAAGCCATATCCTGCTGAAAGTTATTTTGGGAGGTGCCTACAAAAGGAGGGTTGTACGCTGCCTTTTCAATGCCTAGATGGGGATCTGCAATTTGAGGCCTCTCCTCCGGAGAGAATATTTTCTGAAAGAAGAGTTAGACCAACTGATAACTGCACAGCAGAGCCTGGATCTGCTCCCATACTGCTTCCAATGGGGCCTCTCTGTCAGATAGTCAGTTAGTTCATAACTACCATCTGTTGCTAATCCAGAAATGCAAATCGACATGACTTCGGTTCACATATTTGTAGGCTGAAACATCAGAGAGCTTACACCTGCCAGAACCACCTCTTCTTTAGACCTCTGAAAAAAGCCGAAGCTGGCAATCCTAAGCAGAGGTTTCCAGACTAAGCTGAAATGCACAGCAGATAAAGTTAATTCACAAAACGAAGAACGGTCTGTGTAGGGGGTGGTGGGCTGTAGATTCCAGATTCAAGACGCATAGAAATTGATGCATTTGGGATATATGTATTTGAAAGACTGGAGGCAAGTAGGAAAGGTAATACAAGATTTTAAAGTTATAAATTAGCTCTAGTTCTCTCTTCTCTGTCCTCGACTATTAAAATGCTCCTGCTTAGGAGGTGGAGGATTCAGGAGGCCTGTGGCACTAAATTGCAGTTACAGAACATATTGCTACATACCCATCTTCCACCCTACCACAAAAGTCCATGAGAGGTAGGGAGACACTGGCCTGCAGCAATTATTTTCACTAAATAAAACCAGCTGTTTCCTAGACCTGGAACTGCACAAAACTATGACGTTTGGCCTTAGCATCCTGCCACTCCCCTCCAGAAGCCTCTGTGTCTTCCCAGCCAGCCACAAGTGTCAGAGGGCCTCAAGCAGCCATCGAGAATGCCCAGGGACCAGATTTGGGCTCCAACCTCTAAGACACCCATTTCCTTCTAACATAAAAGGAAGGTAATTAATTCTTACCCTGCAGGGCCATTTGGGAGGGTTCTATAAAACAACAATTGTCAAATCCCAGTTGGCACCCAGTGAATGTTAATTTCGTGTGTGAAATACATTCTCCTCAATATCAAAACTTCTAGTGTCTTGGTAATCTACTCTCAAGTGGATATGAAATCATCTGAGAATCTAATTTACACGGCAGTGTGAATGACTGAAAATGGATTTCCCTATCAACTTCTCGGTGTAGACGGCTGAACAAAAAAAAAGACATTTAGAGAAGTAAATTCCCAGTGTAGGGTCTAAATACCAGGGACAGTGCAGTGTAGTAAACACCAGCCTAGACCTGGGAGCCAGGCTTCCCAGGTTCCAATCCTGCTTCCATCCCTAGCTGCCAGTGAGAGACCTTAGGCCAACTACTTAACCTTTCTGTATCTAGTTTTCCTTATCTCTAAAAAAGGTTTGATATTAATAGTGCCACATCTCATAGGATGGTTGGCAGACTCAATGAAGTAATATATGTGATATACTTCAAACAGTGCTGACACCATAATAAGTGCTCAATAAATATTAGTCATTATCATTGACAATGGCATTTCAAGCATAAGGTAGGATGCCTGAGTGGCTGCTTCATTCTCCAAGCTCAAGCCAAATGCCCCCTCACCAGATGGCCCCTGCTTATAGGAAAGGAAAGCAATCTACTTTGTTTAGAGTGACAGGAACACAGCTCCAAATTGAATGAGAAGACTCCCTGCCTTGTAACAAAGAGAAAGTAGGTGCCAGAAGAAATGCACTTTCACTTGTATTATTGCCACCAGAAGAAAGGAAGGAGTGGGGATTATACAACCTATAAGTGCCTTTATATTTTAGTCAAGGAAAATTTAAAAGGAAACTAGGAAGCCATTCCCCAAAGCTCATCCATAACATAGATTCCTTGGGTTTCCACCCCACTCTATACAGAACACAGCTGTTCTACAACCCTTTACCTTTTCTTGTTTGGTTCACTCTGTCACCAGCTCCCATCCCCAAGCCCAGCAGAAGGCCACCTTGCTCTGCCCCATCTAATGGCTAAGGACCAAATAGCACAGGCAGGGAGGACAAGAAACAGGAAAAAGAAGCTTGCTGAGAGTTTTCAAACCTACATCAACAGAGGTCTTGTATATTTTTGGTATATCAGTTTGCTAGGACTGCCATAACAAAGTACCACAGGCTGGGTGGCTTAAACAATACAAATTTATTTTCTTACAGTTCTGGAGGCTGGAAGTCCAAGGTCAAGGTGTTGGCAGGGTTGGTTTCTTCTGAGACCTCTCTCCTTGGTGTAAATGACTTTCTCCTCCCTGATTCTTCACATGGTCTTCTGTGTGTGTGCTTGTGTACCTAGTCACTTCTTCTTATAAGGACACCAGTCATATCGGAGTAGGGCTCACCCTAATGACCCCACATTAACTTAATTGCCTCTGTAAAAACTCTACCTCCAAATATAGTCACATTCTGAGGTATTGGGGGTTAGGAGTTCAACCTATGAAATTTGGAGGACCAGGACCATAATTCAGCTCATAACACTTGGTTAGGCTAATTCCTACATACTTTATGGGTTTTGATGACCATTTTTGAATGTTCTCATATTTTTTAATAATCTTTCTTTCTTTTCTTTCTTTCATTCCTTCCTTTCTTTCTCTTTCTCCCTCTCCATCTCTTTTCTTTCCTTTCTTTCTTTTTCTTTCTTTCTCTCTCTCTCTCTTTCTTTTTTTCTCTTTCTCTCTCTTTTTTTTAATAGAGACAGGGTCTCATCATGTTGCCCGGGCTAGCCTTGAACTACTAAGCTCAAGCAATCCTTCTACATTGGCCTCCCAAAGTGCTGGGATTATAGGTCTAAGCCATCACATCCAGCCTCTCATATTTTTAATTACATTATTAGGTGGTTATTGCTTAGATAAATACTATTAATTTTTATATGTTGACCAGCAACCTTCCTGAACTCATGTATTAGATCTAATTCTTTGTTGGTTGTTTCCTTCACCATCAAACAATAATACATTTGTCTCATCTGACAACTTCTTTCTCAACTAGCTTTATTTCCCAAGAACTGCCATTTCCCATAGGAGTCCTCTTCCTTTTTCAGTTAGATTCCCATGGACAACTCTGTATGGCCAAATCCAGAGGGAGATACAAGATCAAGCATGGTATTCTTAATTTTTATTTATTTATTTTTTATAGAGGGGGGTCTCACTCTGTCACTCCAGGCTGGAGTGATCATGGCTCACTGCAGCCTCAAACTCCTGGGCTCAAGCAATCCTCCCACCTCAGCCTCCCAAGTAGCTGAGATTACAGGCATGAGCTACCATGCCCAGCTAGGTTTTTTTGGGTTTGTTTTGTTTTGTTTCAGAGGGAAGAGGCTTAAATGGACAAAGAAATCAGCACGTGGTGAGAAAGAGATTGAAGAGAGAAGAGAGAATGGGAGTCATTTGGTATATTGAAAATCTGGAATGATATTTTAACAGAGATGTCAGGATTAGCCTTGGACAGGAAAATGGAAGAAAGCAAAGGTAGATGGAGACATGGACAAGATGGCAGATGGGGCATGCACAGATAGGCTGCAGTGCCTCCTGTCTAATAGTCTCAGCAGCAAAGTCATCTGCAATAAGACATAGCAGTGTTGGGTGGCATGAGGAAGCCTGGATGCGGATGGAGGGCTGAAGAAGAACTGTAAAGGTTTGTTGTAGTCACACTGTTTTTTCTTCATCCTACCATGATTTGTTACACAGGTTTAACTTAGAGAATAAACCACTCCCTGCTCTTATCTCCATGAAAACTGAGAACAAGAGCTCTTGGCCAAGAATTTAGTCAAGTCCCTTCCAGAAAGTTCAGGAAGTAAGAGAACATCCACTAAGAGGTGATCACTCCCTTCTTATTCCTAGTAGCTTATAATGCCTGTAAGAAATCGTGTTTGTCTTTGGGAAGGGAATGTGAAGTGCATGCATATATCTGTCTAGCAAGTTCAAAAACCGCCTATTGAAATTGTTAGGAGAATGACTATTCATGCTGCAGCTATGTGATGAGGGAAACCTAAAAGTCAACTCAGCTTAGAGAGACCATGTCCACACCCCTACACCCGCACCCTTCACTTTGGGCCCCAGAATGAGATACAGGGAAAAGATTGCATGTCACTGGTCCAAGGAGGGTGAGGGACATAAGAAACACAACTGGATCCAACCTGGAGCTTGAAGCCCAAAGCCAAGAGCTAGCCTAGCTCAGTCCAAGTTGTAGCCCAACCTGTAGACCTTTGAGCATGAAAACAAATGATTGTTGTTTTGAGTAACTGAGCTTCAGAATAATTTGTTAGAATAACTGTGGTAATAACGGACAGAGACACCACCTTATGTCAGAGGAAATCAACTCTAGAAAAGGGAGTGAAGAGGCTGGGTGCAGTGGCTCACGCCTGTAATCCCAGCACTTTGGGAGGCTGAGACAGGTGGATCACGAGGTCAAGAGATCAAGACCATCCTGGCCAACATGGTGAAACCCTGTCTCTAATGAAAATACAAAAATTAGCTGGGTGTGGTGGCACACGCCTGTAGTCCCATCTACTCGGGAGGCTGAGTCAGGAAAATCACTTGAACCCAGGGGGCGGAGGTTGCAGTGAGCCGAGATCGCACCACTGCACTCCAGACGGCTGTACTCCAGCCTGGTGACAGAGTGAGACTCCATCTCAAAAAAAAAAAAGAAAGAAAAGGGAGTGAAGAGTAGAGGCTCACATTTTTGAGTTACATAAAAGTGGTAACTTACCTAGTAAGATGTATTTATTCACTTGTTCATTCATTCAAAAGTTGTCTAATGAGCTGTGTTTCAGATACTGGGAACAAAACATTGAATGAAACAGAGGAAATCCCTGCTCCCACAAAGTTTGTATTCCCATATGCAAGAGGCATTTGCTACAGGCTTACGTTGAGCAGGGGAAATAGTTTTAAAATGTCTTAACCTTGATGTAGTAAGCTCACTTACATTTGTTTAGCTACACAAGTTCTCAGCCATTTATATAACCCAACTGAGTTCCCTTCTCTGCTTCTCTTTCCAGAGGAGCAACTTGCCCTGAGTGCCTACTACTTGACAAGCACGAAAACTACATCATTCTTCATCCTTACAAAATCTTTAGACTGGGTAACAGCATTCCCATTATATGAAGAAACTGAGGTGAGAAAGTGAAATAATCTGTCCATGGTCACATAGCTGGGAAAAACCTGACATTTGAACCCAATTGTATATAGCTACAAAGCCCTGTTTCTGGGAACCATATTGCCTCTTCCAAACTTGGTATTGCCCTGGAAATTTCTGGGTTAAAAGAAGATATTCTTGATCCTTAATTGGATTTGAGGGTGGCAGGGGGAGTGTTCAAAGACATTTTTGGGACAACTACAAAAGTCTGGACTATATTTTAGGTAGTAGTATTATTGCACTAATGTTAATTCTTGTAAGTGTGATAATCATATCATAGTATGTAGGAAAAATAATGGCCTTATTCTTAGGAAATGCATGATAGAGTGTTCAAGATGATATGTCAAGTTCTCTGCAATTTACTTTCAAAGGGTTTGTCACATTGTGTGTGTGCTTACAGAAATGGATGGATACATGCATACATAGACAGGCAGACAGCTATCTCAAAAGAGAAAGAGAGGAAAAAAAAGGCAGACAGAGAAAGCAAATGTTAACAACTGCTGAATCTAGGTGAAGAATATATTAATTTTGTGGGGGTTTTCTTTCAGCTTAACTGTAGGTTTGAAATATTTTCAGAATAAAAATTGGGGGGAAGAAAAAAATGAAGGTTTTGGAAAAGATGGTGTCTCTGTCTCTTACCTTGCTGTCATTTGAAAAATGCCACAACCAGCTGGGCGCGGTGGCTCATGCCTGTAATCCCAGCACTTTGGGAGGCCGAGGTGAGTGGATCACAAGGTCAGGAGATCGAGACCATCCTGGCTAACACAGTGAAGCCCAGTATCTACTAAAAATACAAAAAATTAGCCGGGCGTGGTGGCACACGCCTGTAGTCCCAGCTACTCGGGAGGCTGAGGCAGGAGAATCCCTTGAACCTGAGAGGCGGAGGTTGCAGTGAGCCAATATCGCGCCACTGCACTCCAGCCTGGGCAACAAAGCAAGACTCTGTCTACAAAAAAAAAAAAAAAAAGAAAGAAAAAAAGAAGAGAAAACTGCCACAACCTGAAATAGATCATCCTTGCAGGAGGCAGCCCTGTCCGAAGCCTGGGTCAAGTTAACAATCCTCCCTGCAAACCCACGCTGAGTGTCCATTCAGCATACTCAGGAGCTGACCAAAGAGGGTGCTGGCTCCCCTGCTCCTTCCTCCAGTCTGGTGCACCATGATGACTGTTTGGAAGTTGACTTTGATAGACAAGAGGATGTTTGTGCACTGCTGGAAGAGACTGTGAAGGGTGAGTCAGAAAAAGGCTGGGAAACAGATGAGGGGGCAGAGAGATGGGAAGTTTGTAGCCAGGAGACAACTTAGGGAATGTCTGGGAAATGAGGAGGAGGGGAGGCTGGGAAAGGGTCAACGAGCAGTGGCTTATCTGAAAATCCTTTAGTATAAAAACAACAGAGGAAGACTTATTTGGTGTTGTTTATTTACCTACTACAAGTTGACACTGAGGGGTAGGTGAGCAGCCCCTATCTCTGTTTTCTCATCTTCTAAGGGAGCATAAATTTCCTTCCTGACTCTTTCAGACAAGCCCTTCTTTCCTTGGCAAATCACTGGTCTTCTTCACCTCAATGTGCCCAAAGCAGGAACACAGACATTTGGAGCTGGAATGTGCATGAAGAAATTCTAAGAGGGCATGGGTGGAAACAGGAGGACCAGTCTGAAGGTCTCTGCAATCTAGTGACCAATGAGAGTGGTCTAGACAGGGGGTTACAGAGGAGGTGGTGAGAGGTGGTTGGATTCCAGATGCATTTGAAGGCAGAAGTCAGCTTTCCACAGATGCCTTGCCTAGAAACATCACTGACCTTTTAGATTTCCCTTCAGTATTCCCCTCTCTGTGGTTTGTATTCTTGAACTGGAGGGCTCAGTTTCTTATAGCAACAAGGTGAGTTGGGGTATGGACAGATGAAGACAGATCCATCTCTGATCCTGGAGACACCATTCGAAGGGCACATCTTCCTAATGAAAATCAGCCAGCAACATCAAAGGAAGTTAAGTCCAGCTCAACACTCCACTTTTCCAGGAAGCCTCACTCTCCACAGTGTGATGGCTTCCTTCTATGAGCTCAACGGCAGTCTCATCTATAGTAATAACATCCTACCTGACATGAGTATAGTACTTTACAATTCTTTCATACCATTTGGGGAGGTTCTTCCTAACCCCTCGATTAAGGTGGGCCCCCTGTTGTATGTTCCCATAGGACCTTATTCTTCTCCTATTCCAATTTTCACTATATGTTATTGTAGATGCTTGTTTAATTACTTGTCTTTCCCGCTAGATTGAAAAGCTTTATGAGGAAAAGACAATGTTATAGCCTTAGTACCTACCACAGTGCCTGGCTCATAAGAAGCATTCAGCATATCCCTACAATTGAATGGATAAATGATCATTAACTCTTTTAATCTTCAAAACAATTATTCCAAAGTGGGTGGTACTGACTCCACTTCATTGATGAGGTGAAGGAGCTGCTGAGAGACTATGGTCACATAGCAAGTTAGCAGAGGAACTGGGAATAGTACCAGGGTCTAGGCTTTTTCCACTACACTCTACCTGGAACAAAAAAAAAAAATCCATTCATTTAATCAATCAATATATACTTATTGATTATTCTCTATGTCAGGCTCTATTGTATGCTGATAGAAGGACAAACAAAAAAAAGGTCAGATTTGCATTTGGATGCTATTAAAAGAAACCAAATGCAGGGAAACGGACATACAAACACATAATTGTATTAGAGTGTAATAAATACCACAGAAGCTCTAGGAGGACTGTCTAACTCTGCTCATAGGAGGAATGTCCAACTCTACCTTTAATAGGTTCCATTTGATCTGGGTTTAAAAAAAAAAATAGGCCGGGCACGGTGGCTCATGCCTACAATCCCAGCACTTTGGGAGGCCAAGGCAGGCGGATCATGAGGTCAGGAGATTGAGATCATCCTGGCTAACACCGTGAAACCCCGTCTCTACTAAAAATACAAAAAATTAGCCAGGCATGGTGGTGAGCACCTGTAGTCCCAGCTACTCGGGAGGCTGAGGCAGGAGAATTGCTTGAACTCAGGAGGTGGAGCTTGCAGTGAGCTGAGATCGCTCCACTGCACTCCAGCCTAGGCGACAGAGTGAGACTCCATCTCAAAAAAAAAAAAATAATAATAATACTAGGTGTGGTAGAACAGGATGGGGAAGGTTATTAAGGGAAAAGGTGAATGGCTGGTGCCTCCAAAGCTGGGTACCCTTGTTTCCTGCTCTGTGACTAAAGATTCTTAATCACATATTCCACCCAAACCCCAGCAGCTTGCCTCAGGAAATGGAGGAATCAGTCCCGGGAGCCCAGGATTGCTTAACTCAAAAGTAGCCAAGACAGGAGACTCATAATGTGGGGCCAGGTTGCCTTATAAACATCCCTGGAGCTTGCCTACCTGGGCTACTACGAACTGATTAAAATGTCATCATATGAATGGTGTTTGTTATTGCTTCTCAGCCTTTTGGTTAAGATCAAGTGTAGTATGAATGGTGTTTGCTGGATTCAGGCAGTGTTCAACCCTCACTTATCACACAGAGTGGCCCGAACACTTCATTTTGATCAATGTATAAAATTTATTTTTGTGACAAGTAAAAGAACACTGCAGGTCTTTTGACATGGAATAAAGTGAGGTACAAATTGCTGTGGGTAAGAGACAGTTGGGGCCAAAGGAAGATCACTGGTTTATGGAGACTTGGGAGAATCTGCCTCCTAAGAATAAAATAAATCAGCCAGGGGCAGTCAACAGTCCTTCCTTCATCAAGAAATGGCACAGAAGGGCAGCCAAGAGGTTATCCTATGAGCATTGTTATGTCACAGTAGGAATTGGAGTCGGGGGGAGGGGACGGGGTTGGGGGGAATTACCATTAGCAGTTGAAGTGGTAGGAAATTTTTACATAGGAGAGTATGGTGATCATATTTGCATTTTAGAAAATAATGGATAGCAGTTTGTTAGGGGAACAAAGGACAGAGACAGGGAGACTATTTAAAACATTAATAAAAAATACCAGTGACAGATGATGAGGCACCTACCTGATGGGAATGGAGAAGAGGAGATGGATTCAGAAACTACTTAGGAGGTACAGTCATCAAGATCTAGATGACTAATTGCATGTAGGGGGTAAAAAAGTAGGAAGAAGAGAGGATGATGACTCCTGCATTTCTGGCTTGGGAAAGTGGTTAGATTGTGGGCTGGATGTGTGCATGATTATGTGTGTGTAGCTGAAAAGGCAATTTAGCTTTGCAACTGTTGAAGTGAATATGGACCATAGACATAGATATCCCTAGGTAGCTGAATATGTAGCCTGCAAATCAGGAGAAAATTCTAGGTGAAGATGGTAATTGCGAATCATCAGAGTCTATATGGTAAGTGGGAGTGGATGAGGCAGCCCATGTAGACAGACCGCAGAGGGAGGAGAAGGCCGAGGACCAAACTTGCAGAACACCCACATGTGAGGGGCAACCAAAAGCAGCTGCCTGTGAAGGAGATTGAGGAGTCAAGCCACACAAACTCAAAACTGTAAACATCATTGGGAGCCTTAGACAGTCTAGCTCAGTTGGAGTTGGATTTGACTATATGTAACAGAAACCCAACTACAGTGTACTAACAGACTTCTTATTCAGAGGCAGGCAGTCCAAGGCTGATGCCCAAAGAAGCCATCAAGACCCGTGCTACTTCCAGCTCCTTCTGTCCTCATAATCATAGATGATTGCTCCACATCCAGGTATTAAGCTCTTATTCCAAGCAGGAAGGGGAAGGACAAAGGGCAAAAGGCATTTGCCAAGTCTCTCCCTTTTTATGAGGAAAAACAATCATTTTCTGATAAGCCCTATTCACTGGACTAAAACCTACAACCCATTGGCCAAGATTGGGTATATGAATATATCACTGCATGAGTACCAGGGCAAAATGAGTATTTTTTTAAACTTTTTGCTTTGGAATAATTTCAAATGGACAAAATTTGCAAAAGTAGTACAAAGAATTCTTGTATTTTTTCACCCAAAATTTCCCAATACTAACATTTACCACAATTACTTTATCATTTTCTTTCTCTCTCTCTCATGCATGCGTGATGCTCATTTACTTCTAGTTTGGTATGTGCTTCCTAAAAATAAAGACTTTCTCTTACATAACCACAGTACAATGATCAAAATCAGAATATTAACACTGATACAAGGCTATTATTTAATCTACAGCTTTTGTCAATTGTCCCACTAATGTCCTTTATAACAGAGAAGAAGCTTTTTTTCTGGTCCAGGAACCAATCCAGGACCAAACATTGCATTTCGTTGTCATGTTGGTTTAGTCTACTTTAACATGAAATAGTTCCTCAATCTGTCTTTGCCTTTCATGTTGTTGGTATTTTTGAAAACTGAAGTCCAGTTACTTTGCAGAACATCCCTTATTTGGGTTTGTCTGACAGTTCCTCAGGATTCAGGTTAGGTATTTTTGGCTAGAATACCACAGAAGTGATGCTGCAACCTTCTCGATGCATCATGGCAGAAGCTACCCTATTTTGACTTGTTCTGTTACTAATGATATTAGCTTTGATAACTTGGTTAAGGTGGTAAGGTAGTATCCGTCAGATTTCTCTACTATAAAGTCCCTATTTTACCCTTTGAAATTAATAAGAATCTGTGAGGAGAGGCTTTGAGATGATATAAATATCATGTTTCTCATCAAAACTTCACCCACTAGTTTTAGCATCCATTGATAATCCTTGCCTGAAACAATAAGATGGTAATTTTCTAATTCTGTCTTTCCATGTATGAGTTTGCCTTGCACCATATGGAAAGCTTTCCTTTCTCCACTTATTCATTTATTTCCGTACGGACTCAAAGATTTTTATTCTACTTGATAAGTTACAACCCATTACTATCAGAGTTTATTTTAACATGGAATTGTCCCAGATTGGCCATTAGGAACCCCTTTAAGCTGGCTCTGTGTCCTATTGACATGTCCCCATCATTCTTTGGGGACTTTTCTTATTGAGATTATTATTTTTAACAGGGTACATTGCTACCTTGATAAAATCAGCCTTCTGTTAATAAGGAACAAAAGGAGAAACAAAAATTGTGTGGGCAACCAGAAGTGTCTACCACACCTAGCTCCTCACCAGCCAAGAGGTGGTGGCTTGAATCCAGGCTGACAGCCTTGCTTTTTTCTAACATAACAACTTTGTGACTACATTCCAAAAAGAGCCTTGAGGCCATTTAATTCCATCCATTCTTCTCCTCACTGTAATCCTTTATCACTTATCCAAACTGAGTGCTCCTAGAGCCAGGTCATCTGTGTTGCACAACTCCTGGAGGTGCCATTCATATTGCAGACTATGAATGATGTGCTAGAACAGGAGCCAGCAAATTTTCTTTCTTTCTTTCTTTTTTTTTTTTTGAGACAGGGTGGAATGCAATGGTATGAACACAAGGCTCACTACAACCTCTACCTCCTGGGCTCAAGCGATCCTCTCACCACAGCCTCCTGAGTAGCTAGGACTACAGGTGCACACTGACATGCCTGGCTAATTTTTTTCTTTTTTTTTTTTTTTTTAAGAGATGGGGTTTTGCCATGTTACCCAGGTTGGTCCTGAACTTCTCAGCTCAAGCAATCTGCCCATCTCAGCCTCCCAAAGTGCTGGGATTACAGTGGCATGAGCCACTGTGCCTGGGCAATAAACTTCTATAAAGGGCCAGATAGGGCCAATAGTCTCCACTGTGTGGGCCACACAATCTCTGTTGCAACTACTCATTTCTGCTGTTGTAGTGGGAATGCAGCCATAGACAATGTTTAAATGAGCGGGCATGGCTATGATCCAAAAAAACTTTATTTATGGACACTGACATTGAACTTCATATCATTTTCATGTATCATGAAATGCTCTCATATTCATTTTTAAAAACCCATTTAAAATGTAAAAATTATTCTTAGTTTGCGAGCTATACAAAAATAAGCAGCTGGCTAGATCCGGCCATAGTTCACCACCTCCTGCTCTGTTCAGTCTGAGCCATCTTGTGCGGTGCTCCTGCCTCTGGAGGTCTCTTCTCCCTTACCCTAATCTCCAATCTGCTATCCTGCTCTGGGCTTCCTCTCCACCTTCTACCTTCTTCCTTCCCAGATCTTTCTTCTGTGCCCTGCTTTCATTCAATTGTATATAAACTTCTTTCCACTTTTAACCTCCTGGCTCATTCCTTGCCTTAACTGAAAAGTAACTGTAATCCCTAAGGAACATGATTCCATTGCTGAATTCTAGAAAGGATGCTACTCATTTTCCCATGCCCCACAACCCATGGGTATGGAAAGTGGTACTGGCGCTCTCCACATTCCTCAATCCTACTTCTAAACCTTTAGCTCTTCCAACCTCCAGCAAAACTCCCTCCTCCTTTGATGCTCTACCATCTGAGTCTTTGAGCAATAGCTAACATATGCTGAGCAATATCCTGAGCAAAACCAGGAGACAGGTACAATTGTTATCCCCTACTTTGCAGAGGCAACGAGGGGTTAAAGTCACACAGCCAATAGTAAATGGCAGAGCCAGGATCTAATCCCAGCAGTCCACACTTACTCCCAAGATGTTACACTGCCTTTTCTCTATGACCACATGGATCACCATCCTCCATTCAAGCCTCTGAATTCCATTATCTCCTGGATCAGTTAGGTACCTGGGCGGAAACAGGTGCACATTCAGCCTGAGTCATTTGAAAAGGATCTAGTCAAGGAAATATTTACAAACGTGTAGAGCAGTGTTGCTCAACCTTTTGTCATTATCTCCTTATTTCATCCTAAGAGAAAAATTTAAATTTCCCTTGACAAAATTTTGGTGAGTAGGGTTGAGCTTTGGAGGCCAACAAACCATTTCATATCTAAGATTGTTTTGCTCCCCCAGACTAATTTTCACCCCTTTAGAGGCAATATTACCCCCATTTAGAATGTAAGAATGCATGGAGAGGGAAACCATAGTGATACCACAGCCCTCCAGGCTAGTGACTGAGATACCATCTCAAGGCCAGAAGTGGTGAGGGAGGGAGGTATTACTGGAAGTCGGAGACATCTGAGAGCTGTGACATTCTGTCAAGAGATTGGTATGGCCCCAGGACTGATCCATTCTTCACACTACAGTGAAAGTCATCTTTCTTTCTTTCTTTCTTTCTTTCTTTTTTTTTTAGAGATGGAGTCTTGCTCTGTCACCCAGGCTGGAGTGCAGTGGCCTGATCTCGGCTCACTGCAACCTTTGCCTCCCGGGTTCGAGTGATTCTCCTGCCTCAGCCTCCCGAGTAGCTGGGATTACAGGCATGCGCCACCATGCCTGGCTAATTTTCTGTATTTTTAGTAGAGACAGGGTTTCTCCAAGTTGGTCAGGCTGGTCTCAAACTCCCGACCTCAGATGATCACCCGCCTTGGCCTCCCAAAGTGCTAGGATTACAGGTGTGAGCCACTGCGCCTGGCCGAAAGTCATCTTTCTAACTGGAAACAGTGGGCGCCTTTGGAAGACAGAACTGGATAGTGGAAACAAGCAGGAAGAAGACCTTTTCAGCTTTTGAAGGCTGTACAATATGCATGTATCATCTAATTTTAAAATAAAATGTAATTTTAAAAATTGACCTAAAATGCAAATATGGTCATTCTTTCTCATGCTCAAAACACTTCAGTAGCCCATCTGCCACCAAGTTAAAATCCAAATTCATCCACATGTCACACAAGGCCCCCGGCATATTTCTTTAGCCCATCTCTGCCACTCTCCACCTCAAAACCTGTGTCCAGACATGTGAATTGCTGAAAATTGAGTGCATTCCCTAAGCAATGGTTTTCCTTTATTGCCAATTTGCTCATAATACCATGTTGTATCAGACATCTGTTTCTTATACCTGCAGTTTCCACATGCTAGAACGCAAAGCCTCTCCCTCTCCTCTACTTTTCTTCCTGGTGAATTCTTCATTCTTCAAGATCCAGTTAAAATTACCTCTCCTGGCTCCCACTCCCACTTCCCAGAGAACAGTTAACAACCTTCTCTGTGTCACCACTGTACAGTACAGTGATTAAGAATATAAGTTCTAATGCCAAACTATGTGGGTTTTGATCCTGGATTTGCCAATTCAGTTGGTCACATTGGGCATGCTACTTAACCTCTGTGTTTTGGTTGTCTTATTTATAAAATGGGGATTCAAATAGTTTCTATCTTAGAAGGAGAGCCTTCATTCATTAAATATTAACTAAGCATTTGTTTTTCTATATTGAAACCAACCAAAATTCCTGCCCTGGTGGAACTTAGATAGATTCTAGTGCAGGGGTTGGCAATCTACAGCTCCTGACCAAACTTAGTCACTTGTTTTATAAAGTTTTATTGGTACATGGCCACACCCTTTAGATTATGTATTATCTATGGCCACGTGCATGCTACAAAGGTTGGGTTCAGTGGTTGCAACACAGACCATATGGCTTGTACAGCTGAAAATATTTACTATCTGGCCCTTAAAGAAAAGGTTTGCTGTCCCTTGTTCTAGTGAGATTAAAGTAGTTCACACATGTAAACATGTAAAGTGTTTAAATTTTTGAATCATTGACTAGCACTTGGTAAGACACTCAATTAATACCAGCTTTATTAATATGATTGCATTCCTTTACTGTAGCACCTAACACCAGTACTCAGTTAAATTTTTTGCTGAATAAATCAATGAATGGAGAGGTAAAGAGGAACCAGAAGTTGGGGTTACAGAAGTCACTGATGGAAGAGTTTCAAGATAGTAGAAGTGGTCAGCCCTGTTAAGTGACAAGCCAAGGACTGAAGAAAGACTGGCAGATTTGGCAATCAGATGAAGTGACCTGACCAAAGAGCAGCTTGTGTGAAGTAGTGAGGACAGGCGCTGGTCTGCGACTGGTTTAGGAGGAAATGGAAATGAAGAAGAAGAGATAGGAAAGTGGAGATTATATGATGACAAGTATCAAGATAAAAATGAACACATTTGGCCTGCTACCTGAATTTTTTAAATCGGCTCACCAAAAAATATCAGGCTTATTGAAATATTGGAATATCTGATGAAGTTTCCTCTTATCTTTGAGCTGTTTGGGTTTGGGTAAAATTTCAATGCTTAAAATTCACGTCTACAACTAGCAGGCAGAACCTTAAAGTCCAGAACCATTAAAGGGTTTAATAATGGTGAGGCATATGATGATGCTGATGATGATAATGTTTCTTTCTTTCTTTTGTGATCTTAATCACTGTGTGATCTTAACTAGTTTGAAATGAGAATTTCAATGGAGACAGTAGTGTAAATTTACCAACAGAACAATTACAGTCGTGACAAAACAAAAACTATACAAGCATATTTTTGTTCATTCTATAAATTTGTACTGAGTACTTTATATACACTAGGCATTCTGACAGATATAATTATGTGGGTATAAAATTTAGTTTATTTGATAGTTGCTTTCCCCACCGCCTCCAGAAATTCTTGATTTAGTTGGTAAAGAAAATCAGTTAAGCAAATAAGTTCACTATTTGTAGAAGTGTAGATGGGTTATGGTGGGGGCACAAAATAATAAAATAATGTATTTAAAACTATTTTCACATCTGTGAAAAGCTCTATACATCTGTGGCATTAAGACTAAAGAGAATGGTATCAAGTCATAGCTGCTTTCTAGAAAACATGCATGAGACATTTAGGACCTCTGCATATTACCACTGAGTTGTTTTTCTTTTAAGGGGCTACAAAGGAGTATGTTCAGCATGATCTTATTTTTATTAAAATTATACTTTCTATACAGAAAAAGACTATAAAAATACACACTTAAAACATTAGCAGTGACCCACAGCTAGTATCATACTGAATGGGGAATAACTAAAAGCCTTTTCTCCATGATCTAGAACACAACAAAAATGCCCATTTTTACCACTATTATTCAACTTAGTACTGGAAGTTCTAGCTAGGGCAATCAGACACGAGAATGAAATAAAATGCATCCAAATTTGAAAGGAAGAAGTGAAATTATCCTTGTTTGCAGATGATATGATCTTATATTTGGAAAAATCTAACAATTGCACACACACAAAAATATCTATTAGAACTGATCACTGGGCATGGTGGCTAACGCCTGTAATCCCAGCACTTTGGGAGGCCCAGGTGGGTGGATCACGAGGTCAAGAGGTGGAGACCATCCTGGCCAACATGGTGAAACCCTGTCTCTACTAAAAATACAAAAATTAGCTGGGGGTGGTGGAGCGTGCCTGTAGTCCCAGCTACTCGGGAGGCTGAGGCAGGAGAATCGCTTGAACCTAGGAGGCAGACGTTGCAATGAGCCAAGATCGCACCACTGCACTCCAGCCTGGCGACAGAGCAAGACTCCATCTCAAAAAAAAAAAAAAAAAAAAAAAAAAAACAAGAACTGATCAACAAATTTAGTAAAGTTGCAGGATACAAAATCTACACAGAACCAGAAGTGGTGGCTCATGCCTGTAATCCCAGCACTTTGGGAGGCCAAGGTGGGTAGATCACTTGGGCTCAGGAATTCAAGACCAGTCTGAGCAACATGACGAAACACCATCTCAAAAAAAGTGCAAAAAATTAGCCAGGCATTGTGGCACACACCCAGCTACTAGGGAGGCTGGCAGATGGCAGGATGCCTTGAGCCCAGGAAGCAGAGGTTCCAGTGAGTCAAGATCACACTGCTTTCTAGCCTGGGCAACAGAGCCAGGTCTGTCTCAAAAAAAAAAAAAAAAAAAAAAAAAAAAAAAAAAAACTCAACACACAAAAATCAGTAGCATTTCTATATGCCAACAGTGAGCAATCTGAAAAAGAAATTTTACAAAGTAATCCCATTTACAATAGCCACACATAAAATTAAATACCTAGGAATTAACCAAAGAAGTGAAAGATATCTATAATGAAAATAACAAAACACTGATAAAAGAAATTGAAGAGGACACACAAAAAAGGAAATATATTCCATGTCCATGGATTGAAAGAATCAATATTGTTAAAATGCCCATACTGCACAAAGCAATCTGCAGATTCAATGCAATTCCTATCAAAATACCAATGGCATTCTTCACAGAAATAGAAAAAAAAATCCTAAAACTTATATGGAACCACAAAAGACCCAGAATAGCCAAAGCTATCCCAAGCAAAAAGAACAAAACTGGAGGAATCACATTACTGACTTCAAATTACACTACAGAGCTATATTAACCAAAACAGCATGGTACTGGCATAAAAACAGATACATAGACATATGGAACAGAATAGAGAACCCAGAAACAAATCCACACACCTACTGTGAACTCATTTTTAACAAAGGTGCCAAGAACATCCACTGGGGAAAAGACAGTCTCTTCAATAAATGGTGCTGGAAAAACTGGATATCCATATGCAGAAGAATAAAACTAGACCCGTATCTCTCACTACATAGAATAATCGTATCAAAATGGATTAAAGACTTAAATCTAAGACCTCAAACTATGAAACTTCTACAAGAAAACATTAGGGGAAAGTCTCCAGGACATTGGTCTGGGCAAACATTTCTTGAGTAATACCCTTCAAGCACAGGCAACCAAAGCAAAAATGGACAAATGGGATCCCATCAAGTTAAAAAGCTTCCACATGACAAAGAAAGCAATCAACAAAGTGAAGAGACAACCCACAGAATGGAAGAAAATATCTGCAAACTACCCATCAGACAGGGGATTAATAACCAGAATATACAAGGAACTCAAACAATGCTATAGGGAAAAATCTAATAATACAATTTAAAAATGGGCAAAAGATTTGAATAAACATTTCTCAGAAGAAGAGATACAAATGGCAAACAGGCATATGAAAAGGTGCTCAGCTGGGCACCGTGGCTCATGCCTCTAATTCCAGCACTTTGGGAGGCTGAGGCGGGTGGATCACCTGAGGTCAGGAGTTCGAGATCAGCCTGGCCAACGTGGTGAAACCCCGCCTCTACTAAAAATACAAAAATTAGCCAGGTGTGGTGGTGTGTACCTGTAATCCCAGCTACTCAGGAGGCTGAGGCAGGAGAATCGCTTGAACCCGGGAGATGGAGGTTGCAGTGAGTCAAGATCATGCCACTGCACTCCAGCCTAGGCAACAAGAGTGAAACTCTGTCTCAAACAAAAAAAAAAAAAAGAAAAGAAAAGGTGCTCAACATCACTGATCATCAGAGAAATGCAAATCAAAACTACAATGAGATATCATCTTAACCCCAGCTAAAACAGCTCGTAACCAAAAGACAGGCAATAACAAATGTTGGCAAGTATGTGAAGAAAAGGGAACCCCTGTACACTGTTGATGAGAATGTAGATTAGTACAGCCACTATAGGGACAGTTTGAAGGTTCCTCAAGAAACTAAAAATATGACTACCAAATGACCCAGCAATCCCACTGCTAGATGTGTACCCAAAAGAAAGGAAATCAGTATATTAAAGCGATATCTGCACTCCTATATTTGTTGCAGCACTGTTCACAATAGTCAAGATTTGGAAGCAACCTACATGTCCATTAACAGATGAACAGATAAAGAAAATATGGTACAAGGCCGGGCGCAGTGGCTCACATCTGTAATCTCGGCACTTTGGGAGGCCAAGGCAGGCAGATCACGAAGTCAGGAGTTCGAGACCAGCCTGGCCAACATGGTGAAACCCCTCTCTACCAAAAATACAAAAATTAGCCGGGCATGGTGGTGCATACCTATAATCCCAACTACTCGGGAGGCTGAGGCATGAGAATCACTTGAACCTGGGAGGCGGAGGTTGCAGTGAGCTGAGATCGCGCCACTGCACTCCAGCCTGGGCAATAGACTGAGACTCTGTCTCCAAAAAAAAAAAAAGAAAAGAAAAGAAAAGAAAAAAGAAAGAAAGAAAATATGGTACATATACACAATGGAGTGCTACTCAGCCATAGAAGAAAATGAGCTCCTGTTATTTGTAACAACATGGATGGAACTGGAAATCATTAACTGAAATAAGCCAGGCACAAAAAGACAAACATAGCATGTCTTCACTTATGTGTGGGATCCCAAACATCAAAACAATTGAACTCATGGAGATAGAGAGCAAAAGAATGGTTACCAGAGGCTGGGAAGGGTAGTCGGGGGTGGCAGTGGGGAGATGGAGACAGTTAATGGGTACAAAAAAATAGAAAGAATGAATAAGACCTATTATTTGATAACATAACAGGGCGACTATAGTCAATAATAATTTAATTGTACATTTTTTAAAAAATTAGTCGGTGGTGGCGGGCGCCTGTAGTCCCAGCTACTCGGGAGGCTGAGGCAGGAGAATGGCGTGAACCCGGGAGGCGGAGCTTGCAGTGAGCCGAGATCGCGCCACTGCACTCCAGCCCGGGGGACAGAGCGAGACTCCGTCTCAAAAAAAATAAAAATAAAAATAAAGAACTTAGAGTATAACTGGATTGTTTATAACACAAAAGATACATGCTTGAGGGGATGGATACCCCACTTTCCATGTGATTATTATGCATTGCATGTCTGTACCAAAATATCTCATGTACACCATAAATATATGCACCTACTATGTACCCACAAAAATTAAAAATTAGAATTTTTTTTTTCTTTTTTTTGAGAGGGAGTTTCGCTCTTGTTGCCCAGGCTGGAGAGCAAGGGTGTGATTTCAGCTCACTGCAACCTCCGCCTCCGGGTTCAAGCGATTCTTGTGCCTCAGCGTCCCGACTAGCTGGGATTACAGGCATGCATCACCATGCCTGGCTAATTTTGTATTTTTAGTAGAGGTGGGGTTTCACCATGTTGGTCTGGCTGGTCTTGAACTCCTGACCTCAGGTTATCTACCTGTCTCGGCCTCCCAAAGTGCCGAGATTACAGGTGTGAGCCCAGACCCCCAATTTTTTTTTTTTTTTTAATGTAAAAACATGGCCAGGCACGGTGGCTCACATCTGTAATCTCAGCACTTTGGGAGTTCAAGGCGGGTAGAGCACTTGAGCCCAGGAGTTAAATACCAGCCTGGGCAACATGGCAAAAACCCATCTCTTCAAAATATACAAAAATTAGCTGGGCATGGTGGCACACAACTGTAGTTCCAGCTACTTGAAAGGCTGAGGCAAGAGGTTAGCTTGATCCCGGAAGGCGGAAGCTACAGTGAGCCAAGATCATGCCATGGCACTCCAACCTGGGAGACAAAGCGAGACCCTGTCTCAAAAAAGAAAAACCCGGTGGGGTGCGGTGGCTCATGCCTATAATCCTAGCACTTTGGGAGGCCGAGGTGGGCAGATCACGAGGTCAAAAGATCGAGACTATCCTGGCCAACATGGTGAAATCCTGTCTCTACTAAAATACAAAAATTAGCTGGGCGTGGTGGCATGTGCCAGGTACTCGGGAGGCTGAGGCAGGAGAATCGTTTGAACCCTGGAGGTGGAGGTTGCCATGAGCCAAGATCACGCCACTGCACTCCAGCCTGGCGACAGAGCAAAACTTCTTTAAAAAAAAAAAGAAAGAAAGAAAAGAAAGAAAGAAAGAAAGAAAGAAAGAAAGAAAGAAAGAAAGAAAGAAAGAAAGAAAGAAAGAAAGAAAGAAAGAAAAGAAAAATCAACCATTAATAGCAGGGGTTATATCTGAGTGGTGAGATTACTGGGACATTATTCTTTTCTCAATACTTTTTTGCACTTTAACTGTTTATACAGTGAACAAGGCTTACATTTCTTTTTACTTTTCTTTTTTTAAAATTGAGACAGGGTCTTGTTATGTTACCCAGCTAGTCTCGAACTCCTGAGCTCAACCAATCTTCCTGCCTCAGTTTTCTGAGTGGCTAGGACTATAGATATGTGTCACTGCACTTGGCTATTTTTTTTTTTTTTTTTTTTTGAGACGGAGTCTCGCTCTGTCGCCCAGGCTGGAGTGCAGTGGTGCCATCTCGGCTCACTGCAAGCTCCGCCTCCCGGGTTCACGCCATTCTCCTGCCTCAGCCTCCTGAATAGCTGGGACTACAGGCGCCCACCACCATATCCGGGTAATTTTTTATATTTTTAGTAGAGATGGGGTTCCACTGTGTTAGCCAGGATGGTCTCGATCTCCTGACCTCATGATCTGCCCGCCTCGGCCTCCCAAAGTGCTGGGATTACAGGCGTGAGCCACCGCGCCCGGCCAAGTTTTTTTTTTTTTTAAATTAAGGCTTGTGTTATTTCATAAGCACAAATAACAATGGAAAAAAAACATAGAGTTTTATACAGCAACAATAAGTTACAAGCATATAACGCATGCTTGTAAGCATACATAGGCTAGAGGTTTTTACATTTTTGTAGATTGCCCAATGTTAAGTTGTTACACAAAAAGCACCAAAAATTTCTCAGCCTACAAATATCAGCAGATGACATCTCAAAGAGATATGTCTAAAAACTGCTGCTTAGTCCTCTTCTGCAAGGTGGCAAACCAAGCCCAGGCACCCGCTGCTGGAAGACTGAGATTTACTTACAACCCTGCAGAGCAGGGAATGCACACAATGAAGCCATGCTGTGTGAATCACTTAGTTTGGCTGAAAGTAACAAGACACAGAATAAAGGTGGCTTAAATAATAGACGCTTACTACTTCACATAATGTGAAGTCCAGATATAGGTAGTTTCCAAGACTGGTTATGTCAGTTATCTTGACGATTTCAGGATTCTAGGTCAGCTTTCCTTTGACTTCCATGGCTTTCCCCTCCTGGTAGCTCCTGGCATCACTGCTTCACACAAGAACTTCTAAAGGCAGGAAGGGGTGGGTGGTGGCATTTCTGCTCACTCATCTTTCTTTTTCTCAGGGATTCAAATCTTTCCCAAAATGTCTGTTCCTAGCAGACATTTTCCTACATTTTATTGGCCACACTGTGACAGTTCGGTGTAAGGAAAAGCACAGGGAAAAAAACTATGCTCAGTTAAAAGAAGAAACACAGCCATCCCTAAATCAAGAACTGGCCCAGAGAAGGGGATTACCATGATCATCATTATTGCCCTAGACCAGCAGTGTCCAATAGAATTTAATGTGAGCCACAAATGCAAGCCATATAAATATCCCTGAGTCAGTCTTTGGAAACCTAAAAGCAAGTCTTCATTTTCTCTTATGTGAATGAATTACAACAATGATAAGCAACACTGCCTCCCACCAGCATAATTAGCAGTGGGTGCAAAAGGTGTATCCAGCATTATTCCAACAAAGTCACATCGATTATAAAATTTGGACTCTGAGTTCCCCGAGTTATGGTTTGGTGTGACTCTGACTATCTGTGTGACATAATTGAGTTACTTTGCTTATCTGGGCCCCAGTTTCCTCATCTTAAAACAGGTAGTTCCTTAATGTCCTTTAGAACTCTAGTACTACATGGTTTTATGCTATAAAATCGGCTGGAGCACCTTCCCAGCCACCTGACACCAGCAAGCCCAGGGCCTTAGGCAAGGACACTTGAGAAGCCATTCAGGATACTTTCTCTGATGCTGTGGAGTAAAATGCACTTTTAGAGGGAAAGAAGAAAGCAAGTTGTGCTGACTTGTCGTTCATTTACTCAGTAAGCATCACAGGGCATGCACTATGTGCCATAGTGGCTCAAGATTGAATAAGAGAGAATAAGATGTGGTCCCTGCCCTCAGTAAGCTTACAATCTAGTGGGAAGGAAATGTAGAAGAGCAATTACCGAAAGGTATGGAGAGGACTGGGACAGAGGAGAGGGTATACATGCCTTGCACCTCGCCCAGTTGAGGTGAGATGAGAGAAGGCTTCCTGGAGGAAGTTTTATCCAAATGAGGCCTGAAGGAAGAGTACTTGGTTGCCTCTCCTGGCATTGTGGGGAACTGTCTGGCCTAGCAGGCATGTCATCATATACTCTACCTGCTTTTCTTCTTTTCTTTGACTTGCTGTTTTTCTATTCCTTTTTTTTTTTTTTTTTAACAGAGTCTCGCTCAGTTTCCAGGCTGGAGTGTAATGGCGTGATCTTGGCTCACTGCAACCTCTGCCTCCCAGCTTCAAGTGATTCCCCTGCTTTAGCCTCCCAAGCAGCTGGGACTACAGGCATGCACCAGCATGGCCGGCTAATTTTTTTTTGTATTTTAGTACAGATGGGGTTTAACCATGTTGGCCAGGATGATCTTGATCTCCTGACCTCGTGATCTGCCCACCTCGGCCTCCCAAAGTGCTAGGATTACAGGCGTGAGCCACCTTGCCCGGCCTTCTATTCCTTTTTCTAATGCATTTGCCCCAGCTATCTGTATAGCCTGCAATCTGGTAGATGGACCACAGGGAAACCACTGCAGCAAACTAAAAGTGTCTATCTCAGATCCTTCCACCACCATCATTTCCAAAATCACCGTCACTATCTCCACCACCATCACCTTTACCACCATCACCACTATCATCCTCATCCTTCCCATCACCATCTCCACTGCTATCTCTCAACACCATCATCATCACCACCACCACCATCATCACCATGAGCACCACCTCTGTCGTCATCAAAAAAGCACACAGGTGAGCCTTGCTTTAACTAATCCCAAAACTATATTTAAGATATGAGTTCTATGAACAAATTCAGGAATGATTATTTGCTTTTCCAAATTATCTAATCTAAAGTAACCCTAAATAGTTAAGCTTCCCTAGTGTTTTTAAAATGTGCTTTGGTTTACAAACATTTTAATTGCCCAGATCTCTTCAGTAGCATGCCTATTTTAAGATGTAAGCATAACAGAAATAGGATTTTCAAGCTGACAGAGAAGGGCAAGTATAAAAAGTTTTTAAGGACTCTTTCTTGATTCATTAAATTAATTGAGAAGAGTTTTATAGCATGCACAAATCTACTAAACATTAAGCAGTTTTAGTTGGCCATAAATCAGGGACTGTAAAGGGAAAAGTGAATTTCATCAATAGTACTGCTATATAGAAATAGTATATCTATATAAAAATATACTTATGTAAATACATGATACATGTACTTATATATGTATCATGTTTATATTTTATATTTGTATATGTAAGTATACAATATATCATATATGAGATAAATGTATATTATTATTACAAATACCCTGGCTGGGCACGGTGGCTCACACCTGTATCCCAACACTTTGGGAGGCCAAGGCAGGAGTATCATTTGATCTCAGGAGTTCAAGACCAGCCTGGACAACATAGCAAGACCTCATCTGTACTAAAAATTAAAAAAATTAACTAGGCATGATGGTGACCACCTGTAGCCCCAGTCACTAGGGATGCTGAGGTGGGAAGATCGCTTGAGCCTGGGTTGAGGGTGCAGTGAGCCAAGATTGCACCACTGCACTCCAGCCTGAGTGACACAGCGAGACACTGTCTCAAAAAAAAAAGCACAAAAACAGGCCAGGCATGGTGACTCACACCTGTAATCCCAGCACTTTGGGAGGCCAAGGCAGGTGAGTCACTTGAGATTGGGAGTTCGAGACCAGCCTGGCCAACATAGTGAAACCCCATCTCTACTAAAAATACAAAAAAAATTAGCTGGGCATGGTGGTGCATGTCTGTAATCCCAGCTACTCAGGAGGCTGACGCAGGAGAATTGCATGAACCCAGGAGGTGGAGGTTGCAGTGAGCTGAGATCACACCACTGCACTCCAGCCTGGGTGACAAAGCAAGACTCCATCTCAAAAAAAAAAAAAAAAAAAAAGAAAGAAAGAAAGAAAAAGAAAAAGAAAAAAACCACCAAAACAAAAACAAAAAACAAATATCTTTTTCTATGTTGTAAAATTTGGGTTAGGGGTTGAGGTAGATTATTAAGATGGCTACAGATTCCTCTCATCTTGTATGCACATCCCTTGTGATATGACTTTGCCATTCTTCTCATCAACAAGGAGAGTCTATGTCACTACTCCTTGACTCTGACTCTGGGTTGACTGTGTGACTTCTTATTTTCTTTGTTGTTTTTTTTTTTGAGACGGAGTTTCGTTCTTGTCGCCCAGGCTGGAGTGCAATGGCATGATCTCAGCTCACTGCAACCTTCGCCTCCTGGTTTCCATTGGTTTTCCTGCCTCAGCCTCCCGAGTAGCTGGGATTACAGGTGCCTGCCACCACGCCCAGCTAATTTTTTATATTTTTAGTAGAGACAGGGTTTCACTCTGTTGGCCAGGCTGGTCTTGAACTCCTGACCTCAGGTGATCCACCAGTCTCGGCCTCCCAAAGTGCTGGGATTACAGGTGTGAGCCACCGCGCCTGTCCAACTGTGTGACTTCTTTTGCTAATGGGATAGTAACAAATGTGATGCAAGCAGAGGCTTAACAAGTACATGCACATTGGGGGTTGTTCTCTCTTGCTGATCTGGGAACCCTGCCACCACCACCATGTGATGCAGTTCAGGCTGGCCTGTTGGAGGATAACAGATCATGTGGAGCAGAGACGAGCTGGCCCACCTCAGGCCCTACCAGAGCAATCAGCTTGCCAAACACGACATACATCAGCGAGGCCATCCTAGACCATCCAGCCCTAGCTGAGCCAGCCCAGACCAGAGACTCATGAGAAACAGTAAAATGTTCATCATTTTAAGCCACTAGATTTTGTGGTGGTTTGTTATACACCAAAAGCTAACTGATACAGGGACCATATCATATTGTATTTTGTTTTCTTCCTTTCTCCATTCCAAAAAGGTTGGGTAAGATGTTTGGTTTACTGAAGTCAGAGTTGCCACAACATACGATCCTTCATTTTCTTCCAATTCTAAAAGCTCTGATTCTCTTATATTATTAAGCTTCCTTTCCCAGCTTTGGTCTTTACAGAAGGGACGGGAAATAAAGGTAGTAAAAATGAGGCATGTTTTTAGGAGTGAGAAGGGAGGTGAACATGTGAATTAAGGTGGTGATGGTAGGATGCTGAGACTAAAAACAGAGGACAGCACAACCCATAAAGTGTTGACTAACTTCCTGGGAGAAGTTTGTTCTAGTAAATCAGAGTCTCTATGAAACTCCCTGGCAAAGACCCCAGATGTCCCTGTGTTAAATTGCAAACACACATTCTAAAATTCCCCTTATGTTCCATTCCTTAGTTCCTCTCAATCTTTTTCACTATCCAAAGTATGGTTTTCTACTTTGTTAGCTAGAATTTTGGGGGCTCCAAGTGACAAAAGCCCAACTCAACCTAGCTCAAGCAAAAAACAATATATTGGCTTTTACATCTTAAAAGTCCAGATCATCCTCAGGCTTCAGGCAAGATTGAATCCAGTTGCTCAAAAGATGTATTCAGGGAACTGTCTCCCCATCTCCACCTCCAGGATCTGCTGCACTCAGTCTTGTCCTATGTATATCCCTCAGTCTCTGACCTATTGTGTGGGTCCCAGACTTGTGTGGCAGCAACTGCTCATCGTGCTTCTCCATCTTGAGTGATCCCAGCCTTCTTCCTACTCCCCACTTATTACCCTAATCATGTTAAGAGACCAGAAAACACCCAATTTCCCAAGGAAAAGGGAAAGAAACTTGGAATTTATCCTAGACCTCTCAATGAGCCCCCATATCTAACAGATCATAAAGCCAAGTCATTTCTACCCCATTTGTGTCTTTGGAATTGGTTACTTCTTTCCATGGCCCTTGTCACTGTGCTTTATCATGCATTGTTACTCCTGTCATGGAAGAGGAAAATTTCTCCCAAACCAGTCTTTGCTCTGCTCCCAACAAACCATCCTTCAAGCCTAGAATAACCTATTAAAGTATAAAACCTGAGCCTAGCATTCCCTGCTTAAACTATTTGGTTATGTAACTTGTAAAACTTGTTCCACAAATTTGGTGATTTTCTCAGCTGATCACTTGAGCCCCTCCAGCTCCCCTGGTGGGAGAGAGCCTACTTCTCTTAGGTTGGGTTCCCTAGAAACAGAGCCCAAGCTGGGATCAATGTTCATTGTTATTTTAGGAGCCTCACTGCTCCCTGCCTGTGGGCTGCCTGCCTAGGTAGAATACAGTGTCTTTGGTAAGGAGATTGGGGATTGGCCTCCCAAGAGGCCCAGCGCTCCTCATGCAAATTGCTTTTACCCAGTGACAAGCTCTACCAGCCTGGGGTCTCAGAGTGGGGCCTTCACCCAGTCACAAAACATCCTGTTATGCCAGGGGTCAAAAGCTCAAATGCCTCCAGGAGCCAGAAGCCTGACAGACAGGGCAGCCTCCACTCAGCAACCATCCACTGTTACCCCGCAGAAATCTGGCACTCACAGTTGCTAAGTCTTTAATTTTTTTCAGGAGGAACCAAAAATATTGAGTTTTATGTGAAATATTCTGGTTTTAAGCTGTTAGCTTGATTAAAAAACAACAACAACAACAAAAAAAAACAGGCAAAACAAAACTTGTCTGGGGCCTTATCTGGCCTAGGAGCTGTCAGTTTGTGAATTTGGTTTGATGCCCTAATCCCAGAACAATGGATGCCCACTTGCCCCACATTTGCATAACTTTGGGAGCCACTGCAGTGATCTGGGACTAGACAAAGATCAGCTGTGAATCGACTACAAAAGGTTCCATGATTTCAAAATAAAGGGTAACCTTCTTCAGCAAGGCCTGTGTGACCTCCCTGACCTGGCTTCTACCCTTCTCCACCCTTTCCCGCACCTCCTTCCCCCTCCTCCCAAAGTTATTTCGCACCTAGGGCCTTTGTGGTAACCCGGCTCTTTATCCCCGAGATCTCTCCCCTTCCAGTTATCTAAGGGCACTCCCAGCATCTTTCAAGGATCCTTTCCCTGACCCCTGCTTTCTCTTCTGCTTACTCCATTTTTCAGAGCTGTTACCTCGCGGCCTCATGTGTTTTTTACATGCCTGTTGCCCCAGCTGACCGAATCCCTGGAGGGAAGGAGCCTGGGTTTCTTCACTCCTGTATCCCCACTGCCTCATAGAGCCCTGGTGCTTTCAAGGCAGACTGGAGCAATGGGTATCCAGTGAAAAAAATCATGACCTTGACCATTGCCCTTCACATGTCAGAAATGCATTTGTGAAGAACTGGCCATTTTTATGTTAAGAAATTAAGTTGAAATCTGGTATTCATGAGAAGACGAAAACTTGCTTCATCCTTTAATTTTTAAAATGACTACCTATTGTTGAAAAACTGTTGGAAAAAAAATACGTTTTAAAACTTACTCAGCTTTGGACCTCGCTGAGGCTTCCAAGAGGTTCTGGAACTAGAGAATGGCTACAGTGACCAGCATTCGCTTTTCTCGAGACCCTCAAGGGTTCTCAGGGCTCATCTTAAAGTGGGGGATGAGAGGGGAGAGGGGATGTGTGCTGCCTCCCTGGGAGGGCAGAAACCAGCTCCTCTGAATGAAACAGCACTTTCCACAGAGACAGCGGCCTAGGGTGTGAGGGCGAGCAAGCCGCAGTCGAAAGCCCCTTTGCATAATCCATTCTTAAATTGACTGAGGCTTGTACAGTTGTAAACTGAAACTCCAGAGGCAAACCCTGAGCGGTTACATTTTCTCGAAAAGAATGTTTCCCAGCCTGTCAATTATTTCCTGGTCTCCGTCCCTCCCCAACGCGCGCACACACCCAACTTTTAGTAGCCAGCTGCCTTGACATTGAGTCTCTCTCCTACCTGAAGTGGAGCACCTCAGGAAGCAGCGAGGCTGCCGTTTCATTCATAATACATGAACTCAGGGGAGGAGGGAGGCGGGGGCAGGGGCCTTTCATCTCTGCTATTTAAAATCCCGGCATTGCAGCTGAAAGGGAAAACGACCTGGGATTGAACGGCACCGGGGATGAAGCATTGCACGATAACGGCACAACCGAGCGCGTCAGCGGCCCGCCCGCCGGCTATTTATACCGCGCGGATTATGCAATCGGGCTCCAGCCATTCATGCCCCGACTGGGCCGCCGCACGCCCGGGGCGGGGGGGCCTCATTCCCGGGCGCCGGGTCAGTTTCTAAGTTTGCATCATCCCCTGCATTACGAGAGAGCTTGGGTTTCCATTCCTGCCAGCGGGGCTTGGGGGAGACAGCTGGGCTACAAACTCACTTGGCACACACGACTGCTTACTTAAACATCATAATAAAGGCACCAGATCGCCCGAGGCGCGGCCCGGCCGCGCGCAGGGTTGAGCTCGGGGAGACCGGAAGGAACTGATAACCGAGCGCTAATGACACCCCCTCCCTCCGCGTCGGAAGTGTCCTCGGAGCGCCGGTCATTGAGAAATACCGAAGGGGCAGAGTGGGGGTGAAGCGAGGACAGGCCCGGGCGCAGCTGCGCGCGCCTCGCGGGGCGGGGAGCGGGGGCGCCGCGGCAGCGGGGGGCTTCTGCAGGCTGGGCCGCGGCGGGGCGGTGCGAACCTTTGGGCCCCGTGGAGTCCTCCCTAAATCACCCCCTCCCCGCCCCTGGGAGGGGGGAGGGCGAGTGATTGCTCAGATCCCACCCCCGCCCCTGGGGAAATCTACACTGCCGGCCCTACCGGACGAGAGGGGGGAGAAGGACACGAACGAGAGAGCGGATTGCAGAGGAGGCTAAAATGTCCGCTTCTCCTGGCGCCCGAGCCAGGCGGGAGGGGTGGGGGCCGCGGACGGCTTCCCAGTGAAACAGGACCTGCGGGGCTACTGAGCATGCCCGTCCCCGGCCGCGGAGGGTCGCTCCGGCTCCGCGCTCCGGACTTTCCGGGCAGCCCGCGGGAAGGGCCGGGGTGGGGGTGCTCCCTCGCCCAGGACTCGGAACTGAGAAGCCTGTAGGTGGGGGACCTGCTGGGGGCCCCGCTGGGTTTGCGTGAAGTTGTGAGCAGATCGATATTACTTTTGAAGCTTTACGATCCTACTCTGACTGAGCACTATTGATTTGATCGTGTTCAGAGATTCCCGCAGCCCCCTGTTCTGCCGGTTGTGGGGAGAGACAGGGATGTGGGTCCTTAGCTCTTTCAGCAGTGACATCAATTAAAGCCCTAAATCTGTGATATCCCCTATTCCAGCAACAATCCAATGGACTTTGATAACACCTTGATGTTCAGATCAACAGACATATCTGAGTTATTCGCCCAATGTCCTCATTTATTCTATGGAGCTGCAGGAGTCAGACTTGCCTCAACCACAGTAATTGATGGGGAGGACCAAGAAGTGACCTGCTAGTAATGTTTCCATCAAAAGGCCCCTTTTGGGTGTTGAACAAGACAGAAGAGAACTGGCAGGCTTCATTTAAAGGAACATGAAGGACAGAGTGGAGGGGGGCATTTGGTAAACCAGCTGGCCAGAGAGAGGAAAGGGCTATCAGGAATCTGTATAGCCCATTTAAGATTCCCAGCAACCCTATGTTGTGGGTACTATTCCGACCCAACAGACACTGAACCCAAGGCTCAGTGGACCTAAGGGCCTGCCTGAGATAGCCCAGCTGGAGTATGGTACCAGGTGATCCCAGTGGGGACTTGGGGACTTCTGGACCTCAGAATATTTATCATTGTTCCCCTGGCAACCTGGTCCATAGGCTGGGCCAGTCGTTCGCTGCTATTAAGCAGAGAGCTGGCTGAGTGAGTGGTGATGACACCAATTTAACCTGCTCATAGAGCTGGCCTACCTGCAGAAATTAATCACCTCACCTGCCACCTTGCCATTTGTGTACCTTGAAACTGGAGGGTGGAGCCCAAGAGATGCCCACAGGGTGGATAATTTTGACATGGGTAAGTGCCTGTGTTCTGGGAAGTTCAGGAATAACAGGGTGGGATCTCTTTCAGCACTCCCAGGGAGAAGAGCAACCATGGCCAAAGGTGAGACTTGGGTAGATTCCTTAGCCATCTGAGGATTTGGAAGACAATGAGATCTTGCCTTTGCTTAGTACTTTCTCAGGAACTCTCAATGGCCTCAAAAACTGATAAAGACAAGCTTGGCCTTGTTATTCCTGTTTTATAAAGAAACTCACTCGGGGTCTCAGGACTGCTAGGAGAAAACCAGAACCAAGCTGTTCCATCCCCTGGTTCATGCCCTCCCCACCACCACACATCACCAGCGTGAACCCTACTCCATGTCTACAGAGATCATGGCTGTGATAAGCACAAAGCCTGGAGTAAACCACCAGTTTATCCCTGACTCAAGGTGAAACTTTTTGGAGCATTTGTGGCTCTTATATGTATGTAAATTTTAGGAATACTAAATTTGAGGCATTTATTTATTTATTTAGAGACAAAGTTTTGCTCTTGTTGCCCAGGCTGGAGTGCAATGGTGCAATCTCGGTACACTGCAGCCTCCTCCTCCTGGGTTCAAACAATTCTCCTGCCTCGGCCTACTGAGTAGCTGGGATTATGGGTGCCCACCACCACACCCAACTAATTTTTATATTTTTAGTAGAGACAGGGTTTTGCCATGTTGGCCAGGCTGGTCTCAAACGCCTGACCTCAGGTGATCCGCCCACCTCAGCCTCCCAAAGTGCTGGGATTACAGGCATGAGCCACTGCGCCCAGCCTGAGGCAAATATTTAATCTCTTAACCTGTTCAGTGGTTGCTATTTAGTTAACATCGTATCTGGATTGTCCCATGGACATTCAAGAGGATGGAAAAGTCTACTGTGTTTGGAGAGCAGCAAGGGATAGGGACTATGTCTCTTGTTTCTTTTTCTTTCTTTCTTTCTTCTTCTTTTTTTTTTTTTTTGAGATGGAGTTTTGCTCTTGTTGCCCAGGCTGGGGTGCAGTGGCACAATCTTGGCTCACCGCCACCTTCACCTCCTGGGGTCAAGCGATTCTCCTGCCTCAGCTCCCGAGTAGCTGGGATTACAGGCACGCGCCACCACGCCCGGCTAATTCTGTATTTTTAGTACAGACGATGTTTCACCATGTTGGTCAGGCTGGTCTCGAACTCCCGACCTCAGGTGATCTGCCCGCCTCGGCCTTCCAAAGTGCTGGGATTACAGGCGTGTGCCACCGCGCCCGGCCGGGGCTGCTTCTTAACGCGAGAAATTCCATAATTTCTACGGAAATGCAAACGTTTCTGGGCTGTGCTGGGTTGACCTTTTTCTTTGCATGAGTAATGATTCTTAAAAACATCCGTTCCTTGGCCGGGTGCGGTGGCCCATGCCTATAATCCCAGCACTTTGGGATGCCGAGGCAGGCGGATCACGAGGTCAAGAAATCGAGACCATCCTGGCCAACATGATGAAACCCCCTCCCTACTAAAAATACAAAAATTAGCTGGGCGTGGTGGCGCGCGCCTGTAGTCGCAGCTACTCGGGAGGCTGAGGCAGGAGAATCACTTGAACCCAGGAGGTGGAGGTTGCAGTGAGCCTAGATCGCGCCACTGCACTCCAGCCTGAGGACAGAGCGAGACTCCATCTCAAAACAAAACAAAACAAAAATCCATTCCTCTATTGAGACAAAAAAGAAAAAAAATCACAAGATTCACGTGAAACGGAAAAGCCTCTGCCTTTCAGAACCTTGGCAAAGTCGAACCCCCTCCCCTCTCTGGTTGGGTTGGGCTGGAGAAGCCAGCCCCTGGCACCTGCGCCGCCCCTACCTTCCCACCCCGCGGTGGGGGTAGTTGTGCCTCTGAGCCTGAGCACCTCTTCAGCTGTTTTACTCCCTCCCCTCCCTTGAGTTTCCCATCTCTGCCCCCGCCCAACCCCCCGATTTTTAATCTTGGTGTTTGGAAGGAGGGAGGGGGCAAAAACGGGAGCCAGATGTGTACGAGTCCTCCGCTCCCGCCTCCTCCCTCCTCTCGGGCTTCCTAAAACCCGGAGCCCTAATCAAGGAGGATTCGGAGCCAGACGGTCGCGGCGCAAGCAAACAACTCGGCTCCGCGGCTCCCCCGGGAGTGGAAGCCAGGAGGGAGGGGGAGAGGAAGCGGGGCGTGCTCAGTAGGCGGGACAAAGTTTTTTTTTTTTTCTTCTCCCTTTTTTTCGGTCGCAAGTAGGAAGCTTTTTGCACTCCACCACCTCTGGCCGCTGGGAAGACGTCATCGCTTCCGCCCTACTTCCTCCTCCTGTTGGCGGCGGTGAGAATCCAATATGGAGTAAATCGGTGGAGTCGAGAGATGGGGCTCGGACGGGGCGCCCTGCACCGCCTCCCAGGCGCACCTCCCCCGGCCGCCGACCGCTCCCCGGAACCGTGATTGGCCCGGCCCCCCGGGGGCGACCCCGGACTGAGCCCCCCCACCCGCGGCCGGCGCTCTCCTCCTCCTCGCAGCAGTCCCTGCCGCTCCGAGGCGCGCTTGTTTTTCTCCTGCTCTCCCCCACCGCCGTCCCCTTCCCAAATCTCGCCCCCTCTGCCCGCTCCCGAGCCCCCGGAGCCTCCGCCCGCCTCTCCCCACGGCGCTGCGGCGTTCACTCCCCGCGCAGCCTGCCTTTGCACCCCTTCCCCCAAACCCTATCCCGCGCCCTGCTTCCCCTTCTGCTGCGGCGCCCTCTTCATCTCTAGCCGCCCCCCCTCCCCAAATCAGGCGATCTCCGGAGATGTGAAGAAGGGGGGCGAGCGGACAGGAAGATGAAGGGAGCAAAGCTGCCCGCCGCGGGACAGGCGTCTAGGTGAACAAGAAAATGACCGAAGAAACACACCCAGACGAGTAAGTTTGGTCGCGGGGTGGGACGAGGGTGCCCCTCAGGGGCAGCGTGGGGGCCGGGGCTGAGGATGCGGGCGGGGACGCTTATTGGGTGAACTTGGCGTGGGGTGCAGCGACTCGCTGACCTTTCGGCGTTGGGACGCGAGGCTTCCCTGCTTGTTGAAGTGAGGAGAGGGCAAAAACTGCTGCGGGCTGGCGGGCGCACGCCTAGGGTCGGCGGGCTGGTGGCAGCTCCGGGGGCCAAGGGCGTGCGGGTGACCTCCCGGCGGTCTCCGCTCCCTCTCGGAGGACTTACAGCTCCCCCGCCCCCGAAATCCTCGGCGGCTAGAGCGGAAGACCTGACACCCCCACTCCGGCTTCCCGGGGCTGGTGGGTTTTTGCACAGTGACTTTGTGACTCCCGCCGCCCCGCGAGCCCTGCAGTCCGCTCCGGAGCCCACTGGGGCCTAGGCTCCGCCATTTCGTTTTCTTGAATCGCTCTCATTTGCATACCACATTTTCATTCATAAAAAACACGGCGGAGCGAGAGGAGGACAGGCGCGGGCTGCGCGGGGGTCTGGTGCGCCAGGGTCCCCGCGCGGGCCGGCGTGCTGGAGCCGCCCGAGGGGCCCCGCGGCGCGTGAGTGCCTGTGCACGCGCTTGTGGCCGGCACACGCGTCCTGCGGGGTCGGGCGGCTCGGGGCGGACCGAGGCGTGTGCGGCGGGGGCGTGCGGGGCATCGCGCTGGGGGCGCGCGTGTGTGTGTGTGTATGTGAGTGTCCTCGCGGGTGCGCGTGCACGGGCTTGTGCCTGGCCCGCGGGCCCGAGGGGAACAATGCTCGGGGCGCTCCGCCGGAGGGATCCTGGGCCGCCCCGCGCGGGACCCGTGACTGTCGCCAGCCCGGGGCGGAGGTGCAGCTGCCTCCTGCCTCGCGGTCCAGGGGTCCAGTTTGGCATTTTCCCTCCCTGGTCTGAGGCGTTTTCAGTCTCGGGTGCGACGGGGGCGGGGCCGCGGGGCCCGACGCCTCAAGTCTTATGCCTGGGGTTTGAGCGGTCACCGCGCGGCGGCCGCCGCTGCTGCTCAGTGGCTGTGCCCGCCACCAGCCACTTTTTTTTTTTTGTGAATAAGACGCGCTCCTTTATTGTCACATGATATCCCTCCCCTCCTCCCCTGCACATTCATAAATCCGGAGCCTGCATCCGTTCCTTTCATTCAGTGCTGCCATTAGCCAAGGTAGCGGCGGCGCGGGCTTGGGCGCAAAGAGCTGGTTGGCAGCCGCGGGGACGCGCCCTGGAGGGAGGCCCCGCGCGCGTCTTTGCAGGGGAGTGTGGGCTTCGGAAGGCGTGCTCCGGAGGCCCCAGGTCTTTTGCCCCCCGCAGGCATTGAGCCTCAAGAGTGCTGGGAGGGGAAGTGACTCAGGGCTGGGCGACTGGGAGGCTTGTCTCTTGCAGCAGGTGACAGTGCTGTGCCCTACTCTAGGAAATCTACTCACTTTATTAAATATACCCCCTTTATCCTTTGGCGTCTGCTGTTGCCAGTCCGGGCGGGAGTGGGGCTGGTGTTTGGGAAAGGGAATTTCAGTTTCCTTCCTGTGAGTCCCCAGGGAACTTTGACTGCAGTAACCCCTGATCTTCCAGACAGCCGTCACAGGAGAGGATCCCTGCTGCTGTGCCTGTCGCAGACGTCCCACCGCATCTGCTGGTGTTTCTATTTCAGACGTTTTGCTTTGTCTTCGTATATAGCATCTTAAAATGGTAAAATGAAAAAAAGTTGCGCTTTTAGGGCTGAAATACAGAGAAGGAATATGCTGCTGGGCCTTGCTGCCTTTTGAACGTGACCAATAAATCAATATTTTTATGGGCCCTCGATTGTACCTGCACACAGAGTAGCAGTAGTAGCAGTGAGGCTGGTTGCTGTGCTCTGGCCTTGCAGATTCTTGGAGAGGTTTGACCACTCTACCTTGGCTCCACCCCTTGGGAATACAGGCCTGACCTGGCTCTTTTTGTGGCAGCTTGTCAGCCTTGCATCTTTCTCCATCTGCTATCCAAAGCAGAAGGATTTCGAGTGGGATCACCAGCGAGGAAAGAATAGCTCCATTTCAGGCTCTCAGAGCAAGTTCAGCATGAAGCCGTAGCCTCCACTGCTGTCACGAGTCCAGTTGAGAGGATAGATATTTGAGGAGTTCTAGTTTCACTTAGAGACTGAGAAAGCCTTGGCACCTTAGCCACTGAAGAAATGGGCTTATAGGGGTTATTTTTAATGTGATGACCTTGGCTCAAAACTTAAAATGCCTGAGAAGAAAGCGACTTCGTGGGCTGTAAACTGCCATGGTAGCCACTGTCTATTATTTTGTTCAACGTACCTGTGTAATGACGCATCTGAAAAATTCCTTTTAAATGTTAGTGACAGTAAGGTTTTTCTCTCTGAATTACAGAGCTTGCTGTGATTGCTTTTTTGTTGTTTTATTGTTGTTTGCTGCCACTGTCTTTAAGTCTAGAGCTAAAATTATTGTTTGATTAAGGTAGCCATATTTGGTTAGATTTTTGCTAGATTCCTACTTTGGGTGAATTTGATCTGTTTTTTTCTTGTAATGATTTTATGTTTGAGGTCTCTCAGATACCTTTGGAACCAGGCAGGGTTTGCTACTTAAGAGAACTGGTGGCATCAAACTGGAGACCTAGGAAAGATATATTTGTACTTTAGGTAAAATAGACTTGATAGTCTACATGTAGTAAAGGTTTTGTTGAATGGTCCAGATAATATCTGTTTCATTTAGCATCAGAATGCAGTAAATCAGAATCTTGCAAATGGTAAAATTGTGCTTAATTTAAAAAAATAATGTTTTGTTTTCTAATGTTGTTTTCCATGTCAATTTAAAATTCTTCTAATATATGGTAATTCAGGAAAGTTTCTTTGCTCTTGTTGATAATGGTCCCAAAAGATATCTTCCATATAGAAAATACACTGACCATTCTCTTTCGTCCCCCCTCCACATAAAAATGCATGTTAAAATTTACAATTATACAGACTTTTAAAAATATAATTTAAGAAGCGAAGAGCATCAGCAAACTATTGTAAGTCGTCCTCTGTGCATAGGGTTGGAAAATTTTTTTAAATCCATACCTATTTTGTCACTATCTTTAAAGCGTTTGATCATGGCTATGAATGGTTTGGAAATTTGCAGACAAGATAAACCTTACTGAACCAAGCTCTAACCCTGGAGACATCGAGCTGCCATTCAGCTTTTTCTTTTGTTCCTTTCATGAACTCTTCTCTGTAACCCACTTCTTGCTGGGAATGGATTTGCAGCTTCCCTTTCAGTCATATTTTCCCTAACGTTGAAATGTTTCCCATTAATAAAACAGGTGTAAGTATTTTTGCTGAACCATTTCAAAGACATTGCAGACATTGGGACTGTTGTACCTAAATATTTGAGCTTACTTCTCAAGAGATAAAAATACTGTTCTGTGAAACCACAATACTATTATCACATTTTACAAAATTAATAATTCCCTGGTGTCTTTAACACTCTGCCTGAATTGTCTGCAAAAATGTCTTTTATAACTGGTTATTCAGCCAGAGACCAATCGAAGACCCCGAGTTAAATGCGTTTGTAACGTGTATTTAAGGCTTAAGGCTTAGCCATTTGCTCACTTTATGATCTAAGGCAGTTTACTTTCATATGTCATGTCAGTTTTATATGGAGTGGACAAAATGGGAATAGACACTACCTATTTTGTGGAGCTGCTGTGAGAATTAAATGAGACAGCCTACGTAAAGCTTATAGTACAGGGCTAGGCATAAAACAGGTGCCCTATGTGGCTCTTTGCAGGGCACTGAGATAGATTTCTTTCAGGCTGAGCTTCATTTTCAGATAACCCTGTGAAGAAGGTATTACCCCCATTTAACTGATGAGAAAGCCAAGGTCAAGTTAGTTGCCCGAGACAGCAAACATTTTTTTAAAGCACTTTATTCATTTAGTCTTCTTAAAAATCCTGCGAGGTAGTTGGTATTATTATCCCTATTATAATAGGGAGAAGTGAGGCACAGAGAGGTGAAGTCCTTTCCTCAAGGTCATCCTGTGAGTAACTGAAGGAGCTGGGAATGGAGCACTCCAGTAGCCTGGTTCAGGAAGGTCTCTGTGCTCTTAACTAACCACTATGAACCATTGGGGTGGTCCAGCCTCAGTCGTTCTGACTCAGAGCTCGCAGCCTTTCTGCCAATCATGCTTGTTCATTATTCTTCTGAACTGGTGACAATCTGTCATTGCCATCATTTTTCTCACTTCACTTATCTTCCCAGAAAATGCTGTGAAGCATGAGGGGCATACTGAATTAAAATGGATTTAAATAAATTTGGGCTTGAGAATTCTGTGATACACCTCAAAGATAATGGGAGTAGTGCAAATTCAGAGTTGGTTATTATTGGAATGTTAGATCTATGTTAACTGAAATAACAGTTGTGGAAATTAAACCGATACAGTGAGTATTGATCCATTTTCTTTGTGTTTGCCTTAAAAAGGGAGGTATGTTTCTACCAGGGGGTATGGTTCTACTATACATGAGTAGAACCCTTAAATGTTAAAAATATGGAGTTGACTGTGCAGAATTAGAATCTTGATTTATTCCTCAGAAAATCCCCACACTACTGGAGACCCAGGCCTGGAGGATGATAGCTTGAGGCCAGGAAAACCAGCCTGGGCAACACAGTGAGACCCTGTCTCTACCAAAAAAATAAAAAATAAAAATTAGCCGCGTGTGGTAGCGCACACCTGTAGTCCCAGCTACTCAGGAGGCTGAGGGGAGAGGATGGCTTCAGGCCAGGAGGTCGAGGCTGCAATGAGCTGTGATCGTACCACTGCACTCTAGCCTGGGCGACAGAGTGACACCCTGTCTCCAGGAAAAAAAAATCTTAAAAGTAAGAAAAAACAAAAAAAACCTGAAAAGACCTTAAGGAGCTTGTAAGCTAGGACCTGTCATAGTATAAACTTAAGTGCCTAGTGCAAGGCTGAACAGCTAGTGAGGTGGTAGACCTGGAGTGGACTAAGCTCCATCAGCTGGTTGTGGTCTGGGTTTGTTTCCATGGGAATATTAGCAAATGCAACCTCCTTTCTAACTAAAGCTGGTCCCCTCTGCTTTCCTGTCCTTTTATCCAGTACAATATATACAAAGTGGATCAGTAGCAATACCCAAAACTGTTTTGCCTTAGCAATTTGCTTACTCTTGCTTTTATTCTGAAATTCTCTTCTTTCTTCCTTCACTTCTCCAGTAGGTGACATTCTGCTCATGCCCCCAGCCATCTCTGAGCCATTGCGTTTGGGTGGTCCTTTTTGACTTTCCCACCATAACCCCCTCCTCCCAGTCAAAATCAAGTCAAAGTCAAAATGCAAGTCAAAATCAATGTCTGTGTGTATTATTTTTTTCCCTACATTACATGGCAATTATTATTTCAAGTTGGGCTTATACCCAGCTAGATTCTGCATCCGAATTTGAGTTTTTTGGATTCAAGGTTACTTCTCAAATGCCTAGTTTTCTAGTTGTTGGCCCAACACCATTGGGCACATTGTGGTTGCTTAATGTCTATTGAATAAAATAATGGATTTAATTATTTTAAAGTGCTGTTTCATCCCTACTGACTAATGCAATAATTACAATTGTTGTATTTGGTTAACTTAGGGTATATATATATATAAGCCTCCTGAGAAACTCAACCATGTTCACATTGAGCCTCTGGTATTTTGTGGAAATTCCATGCAGAACTATCTGGTGGTAGTGATCTGTCATTGGTAACTCAAAACCCATTTTTATTCCATTCATTGTTGCGAGAACTGACAAGTAAAAAATCTTGACCACAATAAGACAGGGCCTGTTTCTATGCCTCTGTAGGAGAATCTCTGCAGAAATCACAGTATTAACAATTTTCAATAGCTGCAGGGTTCTGCTGGAGTCTTAACACTTGAGGGTGGATACAGCTGTGCTGATGAACTCCAATATTGGCATCATTCTTGTATTGCCGGCTGAACACAAATACAGTCTAACAGCAAAATTTTCAGAAATTGAACAAGTGATAATAGAGGCAGACCAGAAAGTTTTGGTGTATGTGATTATTTGTTTGGGCTTGTTTTTACTAAGGTAAATTAGGCCGAGTTTTTTAAAAAGACCCCGTCATCTCAATAAACTTGATAACTTATTCTTAGAAATATTTAAAAATTACTATTTAAATCTAGAACATTGTGATGGTGCTTTTAAGGCATTTTCTAGGGCTCTTAGTGACTTTGAAGTAGAAGAAATATTTTGTATTGATGCTCCAGTGCCCCGTGGAACAAAATATATTTTTTATATGCTTTCCCTGGATAGACATGAAGGATTGTTACATCTTGACATATGTCCCATGTCATGGAAAGAAAGTCAGGCCAGGATCATGGGAGTTTGCTAAATTAAGTAACAATTGTTTCATAACTACCCATTTCCCTTTCTCATGTAACCTTTATCAACATTATGTTCACATGTGGCATATTGCACACGTATTATCAAATTGTGCTTATGTTCTTCCTGCTACTCTCAAAGGGTAGTTGAATATTTATTTAAAAACAAACTTTCTGTGTTTACTTGCACTTAGAGGGTAAAGGTAAAGAAACAGATTTTGACTTCACCCTTAGCATTTAACACTTGTGATTGAAGAGATTAGAACAAATATTGGGAGCTTCTAAAATGTATGGTTTTGGCTCCTCTGTGTCCTGAAATAACGATTTTTCAGATCTGGTTGTTTTTATTCTTTGATATATTTCCTGTGGTCCATTTATAAATGCTTAAAACTTAATTATCAGTTAAGTTTTTAATTGACTTTCATTTGTTCATCTGGTAATGACATCTTTGTCTTTTCATTTTCATTATTTATTCCTCTTGTTTCTTTTTCTTACTGCTTTGCTTTGGCTCTGGCCTCCAGTACTGACTTTTCAGATACGCACTGTTTATTTTGTATTTGCATCCATACTAACTGAGAATGCACAGAGAAGCTTGGCCCATCTGTCTTTCTAGGTGTGGGAATAGGTTTGTTTGTTTGTTTGTTTGTTTTTGAAACAGACTCTTGATCTGTTGTCCAGGCTGGAGTATTCCAAGTGATCCTTCTGCCTTGGCCTCCTGAGTAGCTGGGATTGTAGGTGTGCGCCACCACACCTGGCTAATTTTTAAATTTTTAGTAGAGGTGAGGTCTTCTTAACGTTGCCCAGGATGGCCTTCAGCTCCTAGCCTTAAGCAGTCCTCCTGTCTCGACCTTCCAGAGTGCTGGGATTATAGGCATGAGCCACCTGCACCTGGCATGGGAATAGCTTTATCTTTTATTTTTATTACTTTTTTTTTAGAGATGGGGTCTTGCTCTGTTGCCCAGGCTGGAGTGCAGGGGTGCAATCATGGCTTACTGGAGCCTTGAACTCCTGGGCTCAAGCAGTGCTCCCATCTCAGCCTCCCAAGTAGCTGCGACCACAGGTGTACACCACCATGCCCTTTGAGAATAATTTATTAACCCTCATACCCATGGCCTGGCAGAACACTGAGCACATAGTAGGCTTTCTGTAAACAGTTATCAATTGGTTGAAGTAACTATTCATTAATTGAAAAAATAATTGTACCGTGTATAAAAATTTAACAATTTTTCACAATTTAACAATTATCTTTTTTGGATACCTATATCCAAAAAAGACTTTGAGTTGCTTTTTCAAAACTACTAAAGGAGAGGCTGCCATGATGGTAGTGGAAGAATCATGGACTTTGGAGTGAGACCGTACCTCTTCCCCTGCCACTAAGGGACCCTGCTAAGTATCCCAAGCCACCAGCCCTGGATTAATGTAAATGAGGTTCATTCTGCTGTATACCTAATAGGCTGTTAAAAAGTAGAAATGGACCAGGCATGGTGGTTCATGCCTGTAATCCCATCACTTTGGGAGTCCGAGGTGGGCCGACCACCTGAGGTCAGGAGTTCGAGACCAGCCCAACCAAGATGGAGAAACCCCATCTCTACTAAATATACAAAATTAGTTGAGCATGCTAGCACATGCCTGTAATCCCAGCTACTCGGGAGGCTGGGGCAGGAGAATCGCTTGAACCTGGGAGGCGGAGGTTATGCCAAGCAGAGATCGTGCTAAGCAGAGATTGCACCATTGCACTCCAGCCTGGTCAACAAGAGCAGAACTCCATCTCAAAGAAAAAAAAAAAAAAGCATAAATGAGGTAGCCTTGGTAAAACATTTTAGCACAGCACCTGAGAAATTGAGATTCAGTAGCATCCATCTACCCCAGGTCTGTCCCCCATCATGTAATAAGGTGTTCTTTCTTTTCAGAATTTACAAGGCAGAGGAGATCCATGAACTTTACAAGGCAGGAAACAAGATTTTCACTTTGTACCTTAGAGAGCTGAAATGACTTGCTCAAGGCTCCTCAGGGAGCTTGTGGGAGGATAATTAGGATTTAGAAGTCATGTTCTAAGACTGACTGTTTCTTTTGGCTTTCTAATGGTGTCCTGGTAGTTTTTGTACTGTGATAATCAATAATGCCCAGCTGACCATTGGCCCCTTTACTCAGTGATCCCAGTTGGCTGTGCTTTTTGAGATTCTGAGTTTTATAGCTTGTCTGTTCTCTTAGGGTAAGAGTACCTACCTGTAATAGCATCCTTGGCTCCCCTGCCATCCCTACGCCATTCCTGATATGTGGTCTAGATACCTTATTACCAGCAGCATTCAAATTCTCTCTAAAACAAAAGTCAGTAGGCTTGGTGTGGATGGGTGGGACTGACCATCCTCTTAGGAGTCACTTGGCTTATGACATGTTTTGTCTACTTGAATGCCATGTTTGGCATTTCATTTTATTTTTCCAGCCAAGGAATAAAGTGGACGATGGAGTGGGAATACAGACATAGTGCTAGACTAGAGGTTTAATTTATCAACATCCCAGTAATTTTACTCATTTTTATAGATCTTTTAAAGCAGCGTAAGTGTGACTATAGTCTTAATATAGTTATTACATTTCTCCCTTTTGCTTAAAGGTTAAGTCAAGTTTGATTTTTTTCTCAGGCTCAGACTCGCAAAGCAAATCTGCCTTGCTAGAATGATGTGCCTGGGCTCAACAGCTCACCTCTGGCCCTGAAGGCCTAATAATTGGTTGCCTTCTCATTGATCTGTGTGTGAGCACACTTCAGAACAGTACTCTGCTGTTTGTTAAAATAAAAAACAACAACAAAAAACCTTTGAAGACCTTACCGTCCATTCTAAGATGTCTTTTGTACTAAGGAAAATTGGGGATACTAGATTATAGGTGTTGATTTGGAGTGTGATATACTGTGAATCGGAATAACTTGAATTTAGAATGTACTTAGGCCCCAGTTGCAAAATTATGTGTAAATTATTGTATTGGATAAAATAAATGAGTGGAAGTACAGCCAGAGGAGAGGGAGCCACTAGCCATTGAATGCCTACCATGTGCCATTCACTTACTGCAAATATAGAGCACCTAGCCTGCCATACAATACCAGAGCTGTGGCTCAGGAAGTCCCTGCTCTCGGGGCACTTACATTCTAGGATGCTAGACAGTTTCATCTGCTTTAAGGTGTGAGGACAGCCCTCTTGATGACTGACTAACTGATTACTAACTAGAGTTGTTTTCCTTTTTCTTCCCCTCCTTCCTGCTGGGTTCCTCCTAGAGCTGCAAACTAGAAATGTGATGTGTTGGGGTTCTCATATTTGGGGTAGGGGAACTCTTCATGCACAGCATTGAAGGACCTACAGGCCCTTGCCAGAATCTTCAAACAAGCAAGCTTTTCAAGTCGTTTTTAGGTATGAGAGAAAGAATGAGTGAGGGTAAGAGAGAGAGAGAGAGAGAGAGAGAGAGAGAGTGTGTGTGTGTGTGTGTGTGTGTGTGTTGTACATACAAGCACGTACACATTCACACATGGATGGAATATGTCCAACCGTCAAGTGTCCACATACCACAGGTGAGGAAAAGATTCTGAGAGGGCCCTGTCTTGCCTGAGGTCTCACACACACAGCAGGATTTGTTATTTTTAACCCAGGTCCTTTGACTTCAAATCTTAACATCTGTAGAACAACAGTCTGTGTTACAACCTCACAGGGCCTCAGTTTTCTCGTATAAAAAATTGTGTTATCTGAATAGCTTGGTTTATATTACTGTTGAGCAAATGAAATTAGAACTCATTTAGAATCCTGTAAACACCTCAGAACTATGTAGTGACATTTCTTCCTTGCATTCCTGTTCAGCTCTGTGGAATAGGGAGCCAGTGCCAATCCAGGTGGCCTTTTCTGTACTGAGATATAAACAGCAACTCTACAAATACTTGTTTTGGAAAGAGTAAGCCAACTTACCCCTGATGGAAAGCTTGTGAGAGCAATGTGGCTAACACAGCATTGTGTTCACCTGGACCTGTATTGTAGCCTTGCTGTTTTGTGGGGAGGATCCTGTAGCCGTGCTTCTCAAACCTGAGCTTACATAGGGATTCCCTGGGGAAATCTGGTAAAATGAGGATTCTGATCCTGAGATTCTGCATTCTTAACAAACTCCCCAGGAATTATGCCACTGAGGGTTCATGGGCTTATCCATGGCTGTGATGGTTTTATCTTCATTGTCCAGACCCTAATAAAAAGATGACTTCACATCTTTGGCATTTTGAATGTTTGCTGAAGAGGCTCATTTGATAAGAAGGTGGTGATCATACACTGAGAGGTATCATCAGGTGCCTGTCCCTCCCCATTCTTAGCAGGACTTCCAGCTTTGAGGTACAGCTTGATTTTAAATGGAAATGTACTAGAAGAATTTTTTCTTTTTTTATGGCTGAAAGAAAGTTCTCGGTGAATGCTAGGAGGCCCATGAGATCCATCACTTAAAAAGAAATGTGAAGTCCCAAACTGTATGTGTAATGTCTGACTGTCAGACAAATCAGTCATGTATGCACGGAAAGGCTGCCGCCCTGGGAAGCTTGGGCGCTCAGCCCTAGAAGAAATCACAGGAAGTAATTAAACAGAGAAGGTCAGAGAAAGAGGAAGTGGTTGTGTTGTTTCTGATGCAAAGAGCATTGTTGTTACTGGGAATCAAGATGATGATGTTTAAATCTCTTGGAATGTGACTGCTTGGGGATTTGATTGTATTGTGGTCCTTTTAGTTTATTCTTTTAGACAGCAATGTAGTTAGGAAATGAATTGCTTTTAGGTCTTATCAGGAATCCCCACGTGCCTAAGCAGAAGTCTTAAGCGGGAGTTGGTTGTAGCTTGGCAAATTGCACTTAAATGAAATGAATGTCAAGACTATTAGAGGTTAATTTTAGGTGTCTGGAGTTCTCCCTAATTCTCCTGATTAAACACTTTAACATAATAGTTTCCTTAATTGGAATAATGATGGAATATTAGCATGCATATTAAACCATTTACCCAAATTTGAATAGGGTTAAAATGCAAATTATCCATCACTTGTCAGTGCTTACTCTTTACAGATAATTCTGGTGAGAAATCGGGAAGAGACTGGAATATGAATTGGAATAGGGCTTTCTACTTGAGGCAGCTTTGCTGGGAAAGTCAAGAATAAACTAGAGGACTGAAACAAGTGAGAGGCCCCTTTGTTTCCCCCCAAAAGGGGTACTAAAAATACGAAGGCCTGTGCTGTCAATAACTCCAACACGGAGGTGGGTACAATGGGAAATCTGAAATAAACTATAGACCCTCCAGTTGTATCTTCATTAGGTTGTCATATTTTTCCTTTTTTTTTTTTTTTTTTTTTTTTGAGACAGAGTCTTGCTCTGTTGCCCAGGCTGGAATGCAGTGGTGCAGTCTTGGCTCACTGCAACTGCCGCCTCCTGGGTTCAAGCGATCCTCCCACCTCTGCCTCCCAAGTAGCTGGGTCTACAGGCAAGCGCCACCACGCCCAGCTAATTTTTGTATTTTTAGTAGAGGAGGGGTTTCACCATGTTGTCCTGGCTGGTCTCGAACTCCTGACCTCAAGTGATCTGCCCACCTCAGCCTCCCAAAGTGCTGGGATTACAGGTGTGAGCCACCGCGCCTGGCCTGGCTGTCACATTTTTCTTTCAGAAGAAGGTGAATAAAACTTAAGGTCTCTCCCCAGCATTTAGATATCTCATCTGCAAGTCTTGAACTGATGCTACTAGCCAGTGGTTCCCAAACTAGTGTCTGGGAAACCATATGCACTCCATGCATTGTTTGTGAACCAAATACGTAATGTCTCCCAAGCATATGTATTACTGTCTTTCAGAGTATGTAGCTACATTTGTAGAATAATAAAATACAACCTTATTACAATACTACTGAATTCACAGTGGATGTTTGGCATATATTTTTCTTGGCTCACAGTTAATAAACACACACACACACACACACACACACACACACACACACACAACTATAATCCCTGTGAAGGGAAGTGCTCCCTGAATTTTTTCCCTTTGAGTCCTTGTGCTTGGAAAGTTGGGAATTATTGTTATGAACCGCATTCTGGATATAAGAACGTAAGTGTGGGCACTCTTTGGGGGTGAGGGATGAATACACAGAGGGTGCCTTGGTACTCTGGAGTGGATTTAGTGGAAGGTCTGAAGGAAAGCAAAGGACATGTTTAGTTGGAGTTGGATGGGGGGAGTTACAAGTGAGTCTAACCTACAGACTATGTATAAAGTTTGGGTCGTCTGATTAAAGGAGGAAGAGTTAGGGGAGTGAATCTTCTGTCTGCCAGCTCTGTCCCCTTTCTACTCTTGGAGTTAGCACCTTGTCTGTGTGGTACACAAGTGGAAAAGAGGATACACTCAACACTAAAAGTTCTTGAATGTGGATACCAAGTCTAAAGCAGATAGGTACCTGCTTGCCAAGTGTGGTAAGTTCTGGGATGGGAGTCAGAAAACTTAGGTCTGCCACTGACCTGCTGTGTGGCCTTGAGCAAGATTGTCAGCATCCCTAGACTCAGTTTTCTCATCTCTAGAATAAAGGGATTGAATAATAAAGTAATATTTAAGGATTCTTTTCATTCTAAATATTGCAAGCAGAATTTATATTTTTTAAAAAAAGACTTTTATTCTTACTTATAAGCATAATATTCTTGTTTTAAATAAAAAAAAATGATAAGAAATTAAAGGCCAGGTGCGGTGGCTCATACCTGTAATCCCAGCACTTTGGGAGGCTGAGGTGGGCAGATCACTTCAGGTCAGGAGTTTGAGACCAGCCTGGCCAATATGGTGAAATCCCATCTCTACTAAAAATACAAAAACTTAGCTGGGCGTGGTGGCGTGCATGTGTAGTCCCAGCTACTTGGGAGGCTGAGACATGAGAATGACTTAAACCCAGGAGACGGAGGTTGCAGTGAGCCAAGGTCGTGCCAGTATGCTCCAGCCCGGGCAACAAAGTGAGACCCTGTCAAAAAAAAAGAAAAAAGAAAGAAAGAAAAAGGAAAGAAAGAAAGAAATATTTATCACTGCACCAGCCAGGGGAGAGTTCACTTCCGACAAGGTGAGTCTTGAGTCTTTGAGGACTCAGAAAAGGATGATGGTAGTATTTAGGGGAGGAGACAGGTCAGCAAGGTGGAGAGGAGACATCTCATGTCCAAAGGTTTCTTCCACAGATAGGGACACTCCATGTCTGAGTTTATGCTGGGGGAGCTCAGAGAAAGCCAGTCAAGTCAGGTGAGGCTAAATTTGGGAGGATATTGAGTACCAGCCAGGCTGACAAAGCACGTATTTGGACTTTTGTTCTTTGAGTAGAACAGAGCTGGTTGAGGCTTTGAAACAAAGAGACGATGAAGTGATATGTTGGTAGAATCAAACAGATTAGTTAGAGAGTGCAGGCTAGGCTGGAGTCAGGGAGACCACTAATAATTCTGTCTGACAGATCTCAGCTGGATTTTTCTCTCTGACTTTAGTTAAATGCAGTGAGCCTGGATATAGAAACATATATTGTGAAGAGATAGTTGTTGGGGAAGATGGTCAAGGGGGCTGTGAAATTCAGAACAAAATTAGCCAACTTATTTTGTAAATCAGACATACAGCCTAGAATTAACCCAAGTGAAGTTTTGTTTTTGTTTGGTTTCAGTATTGTTACTTCTCACAGCACTCGTCAGTGAAGTGGTGAATGCTTTGCCCTTTCTCGCTGAAGTAAAATGGTTTCCATCTGACCATAACCTTTTAGAACTAGAGAGGATCTTAGGAAAATACGAGCTCAGCTCCCTCTTTTTTACACATAATTTGCAATCTGGAGAGGCTGAGTGACTAACTCAGGGTCACAAAGCTAGTTAGTTTGGGCTAGATCAGTGAGATATCATCTGGTTCCAGGCCTGTTTTGGGTACTGTGTTAAACATTCATGACAACTG